>NC_000010.11:21260000-21885000 GCF_000001405.40 Homo sapiens | reverse complement strand
TGATCCTGTCATTGTATTGTTAGCTGGTTATAATGTTGGCTTGTTTGTGTGGTTGATTTATAGTGACACTGGTCTGTGTATTTTTGTATTAGCTTATAGCAGTATTTCATTTCTGTATTTAGTGCCCCTTTATAAATGCTTATTTAAAAAGACATCACTTGCAGTTGTGATGAAACACCCCAGAAATAAATACAAACAATTGAATTTATTTGCTTTTTAAAAAAATAACTGATTCTCTATATGTAGCCCAAATTACTTCTGCTATTGCTCTACTTCAATGGTGATTTCATACTTCTCATTGTAAAAGCATCATCAATAATTATTCAGTCATTTCTCCTAATAGTGTTTACTGTGTTAATAGTTTCATCTCTCTATGAAGAAATAGTAAATAGTCATACACACACAAATACATACATACCCACATACAGTTATATTTGAGTACTTTTGTTTCTGGGAGAATTGCTGGGGAAAAGGCTGTATATGTTAATTTTAATGGATATGTTTAGACTGCTTTCCAGAAAGGCTCTAATAGAATAATACATTTCCTCCACCAATTTAGAAGTAGCCTTTTCCCTGCCAACAGTACATCTGAATTAGATTTTAAATTTGTACCCATATGATTGGTATAAAATTATATCTTGGTATTACTTAATTTGTATTTCTTTAACCTTTAGAGTGTATGAGCCTCTTTTCTTATTTGTTAGCCACGTGGGCACTCAATTGTGGATTGCCCATTTATGACCTTTTGCCTATATTTTTCTATTGGGTGGTTGTCCATTTATAAAATCTGTTTATAGCAATCTTCTGTTTATACTCTGAATTGGATACATCCTTTCCAAATCTATTATTTGTCTCTTGATTTGTTTACTCTTTTATCTTTTTTGTAACAGCATCTGGGTTTTCATTCTTATTTAGATGTCCCCTTCCTTTAAATAGTACAAGTAGATTTTAAGATTTCTTTTTGCAAAATTTTTATTGTTTTGGCTTTTAAAGTCAACTCTCTTCTCTATCTGGAATTTATTTGTGTATACAGTGTAAGAGTTTTCTTTTAAATGGATACTCAGTTGTGTAAGCATTACTTAATAAATTGTTTTCCCACTAAATTGAAATATAGACAATCCTAGACTTATAATGATTTGACTTACAATTTTTTGACTTTATGATAGTGCAAAAACAATACTGTACTTTGAATTTGGAATCTTTTCCTGGACTAGCAATATGCGGTAGGATACTCCCTCATAATGCTGGGTAACAGCAGCAAACTGCAGCTTCCACTTAGCCATATGATCATGAGGATTAAAACTGATCCTCTACAGTGTACTGTGTCACTATGTTATTTTGCCCAACTATAAGCTAATGTAAATGTTCTGAGTACACTTAAGGTAGACTAGGCTAAGCCATGAAGTTAGTTTTATTAAATGCATTTTCTAATTAAGGATGTTTTCAATATATGATAGGTTTATCAGGATGTAATCCCATAATAAGTCAACAAGCATTGGTATTTACAGATTCTCTATTCTCTTCTAGGAATTTGTCTATTCCTATGCCAGTATATACTGATTTTGTTACATTGGCAGTATAGTACATGCAAATACACACATACACACGTACACATGGGGTGGTGAAAATACTCTTATGAGGCTGAGTTTGACTATAGTAATTAAGAATGGAGTTGCTTCTCAATGTCAAGTCTCCAGTTAAAATGGTGTGTGTGTGTGTGTGTGTGTGTGTGTGTGTGTGTGTGTGTGTTTGAGATAGAATCTCACTCTGTCACCCAGGCTGGAATGCAGTGGTGTGATCTTGGCTAACCCCACCCTCCACCTCCTGGGCTCAAGTGAGTCTCATGCCTCAGCTTCCCAAGTAGTTGGGATTACATGCATGTACCACCACACGCAGCTAATTTTTGCATTTTTAGTAGAAGAAGGGTTTTGCCATTTTGCCCAGGCTGGTCTCGAACTCCTGGCCTCCAGTGATGCACCTGCCTTGGCCTCCCAAAATGCTGGGATTAGAGCCGTGAACCACTGCTCCTAGGCCTAAAATGGGATTTAATAAAGAGCCCAATGGATGGCCATCGATTCATAACTACTCTTGATGTTGCCAGATCATATTTCACCTTTGTAAAATATTGAAAAATAAATGTATACCATTTAGTGAGAGCCAGGTTTTTTTTATAGATGAGAAAGTTGATACTGTTCTAAGTGTTAATTTATTTGCCCAGTATTATTTACTTATTACATGGTAAAGTTAGGGTTACAATATTAAATTGAAGCTCTTTTTATTGTGCCAAAATGAAATATTTTATGAAAAGTACTTTGAAAACAAAGGTGTATGCAAATTGATATGATGGCTATCTCATGATCATCTCCACAATAGTAGCAACTCTGAGTTTTATTTAGAAACAATGCAATGGTTTATGTACAATAAAAGTTATAGCCAATTATTTATAACAGAACAATTATATTTTGATGTTTTCTTTCAGGATATGGTCTATGAATAAAATGTTAGAAATTAATTTTATTCTTTAAAAATCTCAATAATTGGTTCTTTTAAACATTTTTTAGAACAGAAGAAAGTTAAAAAACCAAAACCTGAATTTCCTGTATACACACCTTTAGAAACTACATATATTCAGTCTTATGATCATGGAACTTCCATAGAAGAAATTGAGGAACAAATGGATGATTGGTTGGAAAACAGGAACCGAACACAGAAAAAACAGGTAAATAAGCTTTATAAAACTTGTTTTGAGTAAAACATGTACAGAAAAGCACATAAAATACAGGGTTAGCTCACGATATAGTGCTTTGTTTTATTGCACTTCACAAATACTATTGTTTTGTTTTGTTTGAGACAGAGTCTCGCTCTGTCACCCAGGCTGGAGTGCAGTGGCGCAATCTCAGCTCACTGCAAGCTCTGCTTCCCGGGTTCATGCCATTCGCCTGCCTTAGCTTCCCAAGTAGCTGGGACTACAGGTGCCCACCACCACGCCTGGCTAATTTTTTGTGTTTTTAGTAGAGACAGGGTTTCACCGTGTTAGCCAGGATGGTTTTGATCTTCTGACCTCATGATCTGCCCCCCTCGGCCTCCCAAAGTGCTGGGATTACAGGTGTGAGCCACCGTGCCTGGCCGGTTTTTTTTTTTTTTTTTTTTTTTTTTACAAATTGAGGGTTTGTGGCAGCCCTGAATTGAGCAAGTTTACGGGCACCATTTTTCCAAAAGCATCTCCTTCCTTTGTGTCTCTATATAACATTTTGGTAATTCTTGTGGTATTTCAAACTTTTCATTACTATAACATCTGGTATGGTCATCTGTGATCAGTGACCTCTGACGTTACTGTTATAATTATTTGGGGTACCGTGAAGTGCACACATGTAAGACAGCAAACTTAATTGGTAAATATTATGTATATTCTGGCTGCTCTACTAATCAATCATCCTCTAGTCTCTTTCCGTCTCCTCTGGTCTCCCTACTCCCTAAGGCACAGCAGTATTGAAATTAGGTCAATTAATAACCCTACCATGGCTTCCAAGTGTTCAAGTAGAAGGAAGAGTTGCATGTGTATCACTTTACATAAAAATGATTAAGCTTAGTTCGGAAGGCATGGTTGAAAGCCAAGATAGGCCAAAAGCTAGGCCTCTTGCACCAAACAGTTAGCTAAATTTTAAAATGCAAAGGACACATTCTTGAAGGAAATTAAAAGTGCTGTTCCAGTGAATACATCAAAGGTAAGCAAGCAAAACAACCTTATTGCTGATATGGAGAAAGTTTGAGTAGTCTGGATAGAAGATCAAATCAGCCACAACATTCTCTTGAGCCAAAGCCTAATCCAGAGCAATGCCCTCTCTCTCTTCATTCTAAGAAGGCCAAGAGAAGTGAGGAAGCTGCAGAAGAAAAGTTGGAAGCTAGCAGAGGTTGGTTCATTAGGCTTAAGGAAAACAGCTGTCTCCATAACATAAAAGTACAGTGTGCAGCAGCAAGTGCTATGGAGAAGCTGCAGCAAGTTATCCAGAGGATCTAGCCAAGATCATTGATGAAGGTGGCTACACCAACCAGTAGATTTTCAATGTAAATGAAACAGCCTTCTGCTGGAAAAAGATAACATCTAGGACTTTCATGGCTAGAGAGGGGAAGAAGTTGATGCCTGGCTTCAAAGCTTCAAAAGACAGGCTTACTTTCTCGTCAGGGAATAATGCAGCTGGTAACTTTAAGTTGAAGCCAGTGCTCATTTATCATTCTGAAAATCCTAGGGTACTCAAGAATTATGCTAAATCCATTCTATCTGTGCTCTATAAATGGAACAATAAAGCCTGGATGACAGCACATCTGTTTACGGCATGGTTTACTGAAGCCCTATGTGGAGACTTACTGCTCAGTAAAAAAATATTTTTTTCAAAATATTACTGCTGATTGACAGTGTACCTAGTCACCCAAGAGCTCTGAGGGAGATATGAAAGGAGATGAACATTGTCTATATGCCCATACCACAACATCCATTCTGCAACCCATGAATCAAGGAGCCCTTCCAACTTAAGTTTTATTATTTAAGACATATATTTTATAAGGCTGTAGGTGCCATAGAGAGTGATTCCTCTGATGGATCTGGGCAAAGTAAATTGAAAACTTTCTGGGAAGGATTTACTATTCTAGATGCCATTACAAACATTCATGATTGATGGGAAGAGGTCAAAATATTGACATTAACAGGAGATTAGAAGAAGTTTATTCTAATCCTCATGGATGACTTTGGGTTCAAGATTTCATTGGAGGAAATAACTGCTGATATGGTGTGAATAGCAAGAGAACTAGAATTAGAAGTGGAGCCTGAAGATGTGACTGAATTGCTGCAATCCCATGGTCAAACTTGAAGAGATAAGGAGTTGTTTCTTATGGGTGAACAAAGAAAGTGGTTCTTGAGATGGAATCTATTCCTGGTGAAGATGCTGTGAAAGTTGTTGAAATGACAACAAAGGATTGAGAATATTCTGTAAGCTTCACTGATAAAGGAACTAGCAGGGTTGGAGATGGTAAAATGCTATCAAGCAGCATCACATGCTACAGAGAAATATTTTGTGAAAGGAAGACTTAATGCATCAAACTTCATTGTTGTCTTATTTTAGGAAATTGTCACAGACACCCCAACCTTTACCAACCACCACCCCAGTGAGTCAGCAGCCACTAACATGAATGCAAGACCCTCTACCAATAGAAAGATTATGACTTGTTGAAAGACTCAGATGGTTATTAATACGTTTTAGCGGTAAAGTATTTTTAAATTATGTACATTGTTTTTTGGACATAATGCTATCACACACTTAATAAACTAAGCTACAATGTAAACTTAGTTTTAAACATTTTTTTAAATTATTATTATTTTTTTGAGACAGAGTCTCTCTCTGTCGCCCAGGCTGGAGTGCAGTGGCATGATCTCGGCTCACTGCAACCTCTGCCTTCTGGGTTCAAGCGATTCTTGTGTCTCAGCCTCCTGAGTAGCTGGGATTACAGGCAAGCGCAATCACGCCCTGCTGATTTTTGTACTTTTGGTAGAGATGGGGTTTCACCGTGTTGGCCAGGCTGGTCTCAAACTCTTGGCCTCAAGTGATCCGCCTGTCTCAGCCTCCTAAAGTGCTGGGATTATAGGTGTGAGCTAACGCGCCTGGCTTATAAACAACTTTTATATGTACTGGGAAACAAAAAAAATTGTGTGGCTCATTTTATTACAATATTAACTTTATTGTGGTAGCCTGGACCTGAACTTGGAATATCTCTGAGGTATGCATGTATAGATATGCAGCTCAGTGAACTATCACAGGTGATGCAAGTTAACCATTGCCAAGTTCAATGACTAGAACATTGCCATTGTGCAGAAACCATGCTTTCTGCCACTATTTCCTTCTCTTCCACAAAGATGATGACATTCCTGACTTCGGAGTAGTTTTACCTGCTTGTTAGTTTATAAATAGCATCATTTCCTATGTAGTCCTTTGAGTATGATTTCCTCTATTCAGTGTATTTGTGAGATTTATTCATAATTGCATATAGCAGTAATTTTCATTGCTGTATAATACTTTATAAATATAGCACAATTTATTTTTGTTGGAGAAATGTGGTGTTTTCAGTTTGGGGCTATAATGAATAATTTTTCTGTGAACAGTCTTGTGCATGCCTTTTAGTATGTATATGTGTAAATTTCAATTTTTGGAGTTAGTTGCAGGGTCAGAGCTCAACTTCAGTAAATACAGTTGATCCTTGAAAAATATGGGTTTAAACTGCATAGGTCCACTTATATGTGGATTTTTTCCAAAAAATATTTTGGAAAAATTTTAGAAGATTTTGGGTAATTGTTCAAATCTCAAACCATGTAGCCTAGAAATACTGAAAAAATTAAGAAAAAGTTAGGTATGTCATGCATAAAATGTATGTAGATACTAGTGTATTTTATCATTTACTACCATAAAATATATACAAACCTATCATAAAAAGTTAAAACTTATCAAAACATACACAACTACTTACTGTACATGGCACCATTTGCAGATGAGGGAAATATAAACAAATGTAAAGATGCAGTACTAAATCATAACTGTGTAAAATCAACTGTAGCACACAGTGTACCTACTATACTACTATAATAATTTAAAACACCTCTCGTTGCTGTTGCAGTAGGCTCATGTGTTGCAAGTGTTGGCTTAAACCTCCCGATGATGCTAATCATCTCTGTGTGAGCAGTTTGTCTCTCCAGTAAATTGCATAGCATAGAAAATGTGATCTATCTGGGTTCTCATGTATTTTTTATCATGTTTAGTAAAATACTGTAAACCTTGAATAACACCATTGGGCCTATGGAAAGTACCACTAGTGATGCTAGGAGTGTTCTCGAGAACCAGAGGAAAGTCATGACATTACAAGAAAAAATTGAATTGCTTTATAAGTATAGTAGAGTGAGGTCTGCACCTGCTGTTGGCTGCCATTTCAGACAGACAACAACGTGAACTTAGGGTATTGATAAATACAGTACATTACTATAAAGGTATTTTCCTTAAGATTTTGTTTTCTCTAGTTTATTGTAAGAATGCAGTACATAAGCATGCAAAATATGTGTTAACTTATTGTCTGCATTATTAAAGCTTCCAGTCAACAGTAGGCTGTTAGTAGTAAAGTTTTTGGGCAGTCAAAAGTTATACTTAGGTTTTCAACTGACCAGGGGTTGGCGCCCCAACCTCCATATTGTTCAAGGGTCAGCTGTACTTTTAAATTGTTTTCCAAAAGTTTGTGTCAATTTATACTTTAGCAGCAGGATATGAATATTCCAGGTACTCTATATTTTTGCCAATGCTTGGTCAAGTCTTTTATATTTTATCCATTCTGGTAAGTATGCAGTGATACCTAATTTTGGTCTAATTTGCATCCTTTGATGAATAAGACTGAACACCTTTTCTTATGGTTATTGGATACTGATATCTTACTAAGTGAAGTGCCTTTCCAAATCTTTTTTAATTGTGTTGCCTTTTTGTTTTTAAGACTGGATTATAAAGAGTTCTTTCTGTATTTCAGAAATGAGTGTTTTGCACATATTTTCTCCCATTGTGCTTGGCCTTTTTTTGTTCTTAGTGGTGTCTTTTGATGACTAGAACTTACTAATTATATTAATCAGTCTGCCTTTTCCTTATTTGGTGTTTTCTATGTTCAAATATATATATATATGTATATATATATGTATTTTGTTTTTGGAGACAAGGTCTCACTCTGTCACTCAGGCTGAAGGACAGTGATGCAATCACGGCTCCCTGCAGCCTCAATTTCCCAGGCTCAAGTGATCCTCACACCTCAACCTCCTGAGTACCTGAAACCACAAGCATACACCACCACACCCGGCTAATTTTTAAATGTTTTCTAGAGTTTGGGTCTCCCTGTGCTGCCAAGTCTGGTCCAACCTCCTGGGCTTAAGTGATCCTCCTGCCTCAGCCTCCCAAAGTGTTAGGATTACAAGCATGAGCCGCCACACCTGAACAAACAAATATTTTTCTATCTCAAAATTATAAAGATTTTTCAAATCCTTCTAGAAGCTTTATTATTTGACTTAAACATTTCAATTAACAATATCCTGGAATGTTTTGTTTGTTTGGCATTAAGTAGTGATCAAGATTAATGTTTTGTTCCAAAAGTTCTCCAAACCCTTGGCCTGCTACAAATTATTTTAAAAATTGCTTCCTACAGCTCTACAAAGGTCAGTTTAATCATAATCCAAGTGTCCATAACTGTGTAGGTCTGTTTCCACATGTTCTGCTTAGTTCCATTTATCTACTTGTTCATCCTTGTGCTACTACCACACGGTCTTAATCACTGTAACTTCATGATAGGTATCTAGTACAGTAATTTTCCAATTTTGTTTTCCTTCTTTAAGATTGCCATTTTACATTTTCATATAAATGTTTAATGCAGCTTGTTGTTTTCCACAAATTATTCAGCTGAGATATTTAATTGGGATAACAATTATATATGGATCAGTTGTGGAGAAATTGACATTCAAATTGTATTGACTCTAAAACCCATAAATAGATCCATTAATTTAGATCTTTTAAAGTTTTTTCAGGCTGGGCACAGTAGCTCATGCCTATAATCTCAGCACTCTGGGAGGCTGAGGTGGGCAGGTCTCTTGGGGTTAGGAGTTCCAGACCAGCCTGGGCAACATGGTGAAACCCCACCTCCACCAAAAAATACAAAAATTAGCCAGGTCTGGTGACACGCACCTGTGATCCCAGCTACTCGGGAGCCTGAGGCAGGAGAATCTCTTGAACCCAGGAATCGGAGGTTGCAGTGAGCAGAGATCATGCCACTGCACTCCAGCATAGGCGACAGAGCAAGACTGTCTCAAAAAAAAAAAAAAATTAACGTTTTTTCAATAATGTGTTGCAGCTTTTTGTACATATGGGATATTTTTTCTTACATTTATTTTTTGTTTTTAGATGATTATTGTAAGTGGCATTGTGTCTCAAATTTCACTTTCTAATTATATTTAGTATATAGAATTAAAACTGATTTTTGTCTAACAACCTTGTTAAATTTTATTTATTTATTTGAGACAGAGTCTCACTCTGTCACCCAGGCTGAAGTGCAACAGCATGATCTCACCTCGCTGCAACCTCCGCCTCCCAGGTTCAAGTGATTCTCCTGCCTCAGCCCCTGGAATAGCTGGGATTACAGACGCCTGCTGCCACACCCAGCTAATTTTTGTATTTGTAGTAGAGATGGGGTTTCGTCATGTTGGCCAGGCTGGTCTGAACTCCTGACCACAAGTGATCTGCCTGCCTCGGCCTCCCAAACTGTTGGGATTACAGGTGTGAGCCACCACGCCTAGCTTATTTTTTAATTCTAATGGTTTCTCTGTATATTATACATTTTTCTCTTATTTGTGTTGATTAGAATCTCCAATACAATATAGAATAGAAGTGATGATAACAAGTATCCTTGTTTCATTCCCAATCTCAAAGAAAGCTTTCATTGCTGAAAATCTTTATTTCATCATTGAAATTGTTTATTTAACTTGTGGCTGGTTGTGATGGCTTACACCTGTAATCCTAACACTTCAGGAGGCTGAGGTGGGAGGATTGTTTGAGGTCAGGACTTCAAGACCAGCCAGGGAAACCTAGGAAGACTGCATCTCTACAAAAAATAAATGAATTAGCCAGGCTTGGTGGTGCACAACTGTGGTCTCAGCAAGTTGGGAGGCTGGGGCACGAGGATCTCTTGAGTCCAGGAGTTTGAGGCTGCAATGAGCTCTGATCACATCACTGTACTCCACTGTCTCAAAAAAAACTTTTCTCGCTGGGCGTGGTGGCTGAAGCCTGTAATCCCAGCACTTTGGGAAGCTGAGGTGGGTGGATCACCTGAGGTCAGGAGTTCAAGACCAGCCTGGCCAACATGGTGAAAGGCCGTCTCTACTACAAACACAAAAAATAGCCGTGTGTGGTGGTACGTGCCTGTAATCCCAGCTACTTGGGATGCTGAGGCAAAAGAATCGCTTGAACCCGGGAGGCAGAGGTTGTAGTGAGCCAAGATCACACCACTGCTCTTGAGCCTGGGTGACAGAGCAAGACTCCATCACACACACACACAAAAAAACAAAAACAAAACAAAAAAACTTTTATCATGTTACTATTAAATATGATGTGTGCTATAGGCTTTTTATAACATTTTTGTTGAAATGTACTTGACAGAACATAAAATTCAGCATTTAAAAATGCACAGACACTTCAGTGGTTTTTAGTCTGTTTAGCTTGTGCAACCATTACCACTCTCTGATGCTAGAACATTTTCATATCATCAGAAAATAAAATAAAACCATATCTATTAGCAGTTAGCAATTCTCTGATCTCCCCTCTTCTGGCAACCACTAACCAACTTTCTGTCTCTGGATTTGTCTATTCTGGACACTTTATATAATTGAAATTATACAATATGTAGCCTTTTATATTTTGCTCCTTTAATTTGGCATAATGTTCTCATGGCTTATTTGTAGTGTAGCATATAGCAGTACTTTGTACCTCATCTCTCTCTTTTTTTTTTTTTTTACAGACCAGGTCTTACTCTGTTTGCTCTGTTGCCCAGGCTGCTGGAGCACAGTGGCATAATCATGATCATAGCTCACTGCAACTTAAATCTCCTGGACTCAAGCAGTCCTCTCACCTCAGCCTCTTGAGTAGCTAGGACTACACACGTGTGCCACCAAGCTTGGCTAATTTATTTTTTTTGTTTGGACGGCATCTCACTATGTTGCCCAGGCTGGGCTTGAACTCCTGGCCTCAAGTGATCCTCCCTCTTCGGCCTCCCAAATTGCTGGGATTACAAGAGTGAGCTGCTTTGCCTGGCCTTCATTTCTTTTTGTGGCTGAATAATATTGTATGAATATGTCACATACTATTTATTTGTTAATCAGCTAATGACATTTGATTACATTCTGGGTCTTTTGGCTATGTTACAGCTGCTGTGAACATTCTAATACAAGTCTGTGTGAACATAGTTTTGTGGTTTCTCTAGGGATTACAATTAACATCTTAATTCATAGCTGTCTACTTAGAATTAATGCAAATTTTAAAAAGTACAAAAACTTTGCCCCTGTTCCACTGCCCTTTATGCCTGTTCTTATTATTTATTATTGTCACAGATTAAATCTTTAGATATTATGTTCTCATCAACCTAGATTTGTAGTTACTGCTTTATGCAGTTGTCTTTTGAATTAGGTTTTTAAAAAGAAAAGGAATTACAAGCCAAAAATGCCTTTATAGTGTCTTTTCCACTTACCTATGTTTATACCTTTCTTGGCATTTATTTTTCCATAGGGAGTTGAGTTACTGTCCAGTGTTATTTTATTTCATCCCTAAGGACTCCCTTTCGCATTTGTTGTAGGGCAGGTGTGCTAGCAGTGAACTCTCTCACTTTTTATTTTACTGAGAATATCTTGATTTATCCTTCATTTTGAAGGATAGTTTTTTCCACATATATTAATTCTTGGTAGAATTTTTTTTCACCACTTTTGATTACATAAGCTATTACCTGCTGGCCTTCATCGTTTCTGATTAGAAATCAGCTGTTAATCTTATTGAAGATTTCTCAAAATCATGAGTTACTTCTTTGGGGCATTCAGTATTCTCCTGTCTTTAGCTTTGATGGTTTGATTATGATGTTTCTTAATATGGGTCTGTAGCAGGATGAGCCGCAGGCAAGAACCCCTCAGACACCAAGTTGTAGAAGGAGAGGGCTTTATTTAGCTGGGAGCATTGGCGGGCTCACGTCTCCAAAATCCGAGCTCCCCAAGGGAGTAATTCCTGTCCCTTTTAAGGGCTTACAACTCTAAGGGGGTCCACGTGAGAGGGTCGTGATCTATTGAGCAAGCAGGGGGTACGTGACTGGGGGATGCGTGCACCGGTTATTAGAACGGAACAGAACAGGACAGAGATTTTCACAGTGCTTTTCCATACAATGTCTGGCATCTATAGATAACATAACCGGTTAGGTCAGGGGTCGTTCTTTAACTACCAGGCCCAGGGCACGGCGCCGGGCTGTCTGCCTGTGGATTTCATTTCTGCCTTTTAGTTTTTACTTCTTCTTTCTTTGGAGGCAGAAATTGGGTGTAAGACAATATGAGGGGTGGTCTCCTCCCTTAGGTCCATTGGAATTTATCCTGCTTGGAGTTCATTGAGCTTCAAATTTTGGAAGATTTAGACCATTATTTCTCAAAATATTTCTTACCTGCTCTCTCCTCTTTCTCCCACTCCTCCCCACCACCTTCTGGCACTTCCATTGTTCATATATTGATATGCTTAATGATGTTTCTGAAGATTTATTCATTTTTCCTTTATTCCTTTTTATTCTGTTCCTCAGCCCAGATCATTTCAATGCACATATCCTCAAGTTTGCTGATTCTTTCATTTCCTGCTCAGATCTGCTGTTGAGCCCCTCTAGAGAATTTTTTATCTCAGTTATTACACTTTTCAACTCCAGAATTTCTATTTGCCCTTTAAATAACTTAATCTGTTGATATTCTGAATTTGGTGGTGCATTGTTCCCATACTTTCATTTAATTCTTTAGACATGGCTTCCTTTAGCTCATTGAACATATTTAAAATAGATGATTGGCCTGGCACGGTGGCTCACGCCTGTAATCACAGCACTTTGGGAGGCCGAGGCAGGCAGATCACCGGAGGTCAGGCGTTTGAGACCAGCCTGGCCAACATAACCCTGTCTCTACTAAAAACACACAAAATTAGCCGGGTGTGGTGGTGGGCACCTGTAATCCCAGCTACTTGAGAGCTTGAGGCAGGAGAATCACTTGAACCCAGGAGGTTGAGGTTACGGTGAGCCAAGGTCACACCACTGCACTCCAGCCTGGGCAACAGAGTGAGACTCCGTCTCCAAAAAAAAAAAAAAAAAGATGATTTAACGTTTTGTCTAGAAAGTTCATTGTCTGGTCTTCCTCAGGCACAGTTTCTATTTTTTTCTTTATGTCAGCCATACTGTCTCATTTCTTTGCATAGCCTGTAATTTTTCATTGTTGAAAATTGCACATTTTGGCTGGGCACAGTGATTCACACCTGTAATCTCAGCACTTTGGGAAGCTGAGGCAGGAGGATCACTCGAGGCCAGGAGCTCCAGACCAGCCTGTCCAACATGGTGAAACCCTCTCTCTACTAAAAATACAAAATTAGCTGGGTGTGGTGGTGGACAGCTCCTCAGGAGGCTTAACCACAAGAAGCGTCTGAACCCGGGAGGCAGAGGTTGCAGTGAGAAGAGATCACGCCACTGCACTCCAGCCTGGATGACAGAGTGAGACTCTGTCTCAAAAATAATAATAATAATAACGAAAATTAGACATTTTAAATGTTATAAATCAGCAATTATGAAAATCAGATCTCTACTTTTTAAAGGATTTGTAGTATTGGGCTTGTTGTAGTTGTTTGTTTTTAGTGAGTTTTCTGAACTAATTCTATGAAGTCTCTATTTTTTGTTATGTGTAGCCACTGAAGTCTGTTACATTAGCTGGGTAATCAGCTAATAATTGGAAAGAGATTTTCATAAATGCCTGGAAGCAAAAATTCTTTCCATCTTTACCTTGGGCTCTGTATTGGTTTACAATTCTGCCTTAACCTTTTTTTTTTTTTTTTTTCCCCGCTTCTACATAGCCTTAATGTCAGCAGCAGGTGAGAGCTTAGCGCCTTCTCAGAACTTTCCTGAGTATGTGCGCAGCCTTGAACATGCACATGGCCTTCTAGGTTCCCAGGAATGTCAACATTTCATGCCTCAGCCTTTCCTCTCAAACTTTTTGGTTTGCCTATTGTTTGCACCAACTGTTTTAATAACTTCATGCATCATACAAAGACAATATTCTGTAAATTTTTTTAACAAATGCCCCCAGGGAAACAGCCTTAGCATAAGGCTAGTTTTAAGTTAAGGAAAATAAATACAAGCCTTTTAAACCTGTCTTCCAGGGAGGTACCAAACAGGACAGAACAAATAATTTCCATTCTTTGCAAGTTAGTTCATTCTGTTCCTTCTAGTACTGGTAATACAGGTTGTGATGTTCACAGGTTGTGGTCACCCAGGAACAGTGGGTAGGACTAGAATAAATTAATGTGCCGTAAAGTTACTGTTCTGATCAAAAATCATATGTCTGTCTTTCTGTCTGTCTGTATTTTGTTCTTTCTTTCTTTTCTCTCTTTCTTTCTCTTTTTTGATATGAGGTCTCGCTCTGTTGCCAACGCTGGAGTGCTGTGGCGCCACCATAGCTCACTGCAGCCTTGAACTCCCAGGCTCAAGCAATCCTCCCACCTCAGCCTCCCAAGTAGCTGGGACTACAGGCATGTGCCACCATGCCTGGCTAATTTTGTAATTATTTTCTAGAGATGGGGTCTCCCTACATTACCTAGGCTCGTCTCCAACTCTTGGGCTTAAGCAGTCCTCCTATCTCAGCCTCCCAAAGTGTTGGGATTACAGGCATGAGCCACTGTACCAGGCTCTAGCCTGGTTTTCTTGAGTGTATCTTACTCATGATGCTGCAAGCCTTTTGTTAATTTCTGGAGTTCAGAAAAAGTCGATTATATAGTTTTGGCTTTTTGTTGTTGTTGCTTTTATGGAGGGGTGGAATTTGGAGTTTCTTACTCTTCTGATTTTGTCCACATCAGTCTAAGTTTTTAAAAAATCAAGTTGAGAAGTTTTCTTTCTAGTTTTGCTAAAAAATTTTTATTTATTACAAATGAATATTGTTAAGTATTATCAAATATTTATTTTTGCATCTATTAAGATGATTGTGTGATTTTTCACCTTTGTTTTGTTAATGAGATAAAGTATACCAATTGATTTTCTGGCATTAAATCACTTTATTTTTCTGGAATGAACCTTCTTTGGTCCTATGAAATATTATTCTTTGTTATTTGATTTGATTTGCTATCTTTTTAGGATTTTTGCTTTTATGTTTATGAGAGAGATTCACCTGTGATTTTCTTTTCTTATTTGTCAGGTGTGGTGTCAGTTACATGCTTGACTTATAAAATACGAATTTTTTTATCAAGTTTTTATTTTAAAATAAATAAAATTATAGATTGATGGGAAGTTTCCAAGACAGTACAGAATTCCTCTGTACCTGTCACCCAGTTTTTCCTAATGGTTACATCTTTTGTAACTGTAGTACAATGTCAAAACCAGGAAATTGACATTTGTACATTGGCTGTTTATAGTTGTATGTCATTTCATCACCTATAGATTTATTAACCACTTCTCCAAACGAGGTATAGAACTATTTCATTGCCACAAAAATGTCACTCATACTTCTCCTTAATAATCACACCTGTTGATGAAAAAAGCCAAGTTCAGTTAAATATTTAAAGAGGTTTATTCTGAGCCAAACGTTAGCAACCATGGCCCATGACACAGCCTCAGGAGGTCCTGAGAACAGGTGCCCGAGGTGGTTGAGTTACAACTTGGTTTTATACATTTTAGGGAGACAATAGTTACAGGCAAAGGTATAAATCAATACGTATAAGGTATACATTGGTTTAGCTCAGAATGTCAGGACATTTCGAAGTAGGGGCTTCCAAGTCAAAGATTTCCTGATTGGGAATTGATTGAAAGCATTAAGCTTTGTCTGGAGAATTGAAGTCAATATAAAGAAATGCTTGAGTTAAGATAAGGGGAGTTGTAGAAGCCAGGGTTCTTGTTATGCAGATGAAGCCTCTAAGTAACAGGCTTCAGAGAGAATAGATGGCAAATGTCTCTTTTTTTTTTTTTTTTTTTTTGAGATATGGTCTCATTCTGTCACCTAGGCTGGAGTGCAGTGGTGTGGGCAACTGTCTTATCAGACCTGAAAAGGTGTCATATTCTCCAGAAGAGATATCTGGAAAAGACCTAGTAAGGGAAGGAGATTCTCTGCAGAATACAAATTTTCCCCACAAGAGACGGCTTTGTAGGGCCACTACAAAAAGTGTCAAATAAATGTATTTGGGGACAAAATACTTTGATTTCCTTTAAGCCCTGTTCCTTTCTTGTGATAATATACCAAAGGTTGGAATTTGGTATCCTATTGCTACAAAGAATCTGTTTTGTCAGTCTTATGATCTCCATTTTAATGTTAATTTTTGGTCAGTTGTGCCTAAACTCCAAAGGGAGGAGGGTATAATGAGGCATATCTAACTTCCCTTCCCATCATGGCCTGACCTAGTTTTTCAAGTTTTCTTTGGGATCCCTTGGACCTCAGTGGAGGTCCATAAATTTGGTTTGGGGAGCTTCAAATTTTAGTTTTGGTTTACATACCTATCCCCTACTCACCCTCCTTAACCTCTGACAACCAATTCTCTACAGTTTTGTCATTTTGAGGGTCTAATGACATTGATGATCTAATATCATTTTGAGGATCTAAATGGAATCATTCAGTATGTGACCTCTTGAGATCAACTTTTATAGTTAGCATAATGCCCTTGAGATTCATCCAAATGTTTGAGTGTATCAGTAGATTTCTTTTTATTGCTGAATATTCCATTGTATGCCTGTACTACAGTTCATGTAATTATTTCTCTATTTAAGAATATTTTTGGCCGGGCATGGTGGCTCACGCCTGTAATCGCAGCACTTTGGGAGGCCGAGGCAGGTGGATCACCTGAGGTCCAGAGTTTGAGACCAGCCTGACCAATATGGACAAACCCATCTCTACTAAAAATACAAAATTAGCTGGGCATGGTGGTGCATGTCTGTAAGCCCAGCTACTCGGGAGGCTGAGGCAGGAGAATCACTTGAACCCAGGAGGCGGAGATTGTGGTGAGCCAAGATCATGCCATTGCACTCCAGCCTGGGCAACAAGAGCGAAACTCCGTCTCAAAAAAAAAAAAAGAATATTTTCATTGTTTCCAGTTGTTGTTTTTTTTTTTGTTTTTTTTTTTTTGGAGACAGAATCTTGCTCTGTCACCCAGGCTGGAGTGCAGTGGCGCGATCTTCTCAGCTCACTGTAACCTCTGCCTCCTGGGTTCAAGCAATTCTCCTGCCTCAGCCTCCTGAGTAGCTGGGATTACAGGTGCATGCCACCATGCCCAGCTAATTTTTTGTATTTTTAGTAGAGACAGGGTTTCACCATGTTGGCCAGGCTGGTCTCAAACTCCTGACCTCAGGTGATCTGCCCGCCTCGGCCTCCCAAAGTGCTGGGATTACAAACGTGAGCTACGGCACCCGGCCTGTCACCCAGTTTTACACTAAATATGGATGTTCCTGAAACTGTCATAATACTGGTAGGTGTGTGATTTTTGTATGTTAATGAGCATATAATGAGGTTCTAGGTGAAACCTAGGTCAAATCCAGTGCCATGTGGGAACCAGTTGGTCTTAGCCAGCTTGATCTACTCCTGGGTTTTCAGGGTCTTATCGGTCCCTAGCTGCAGCTATTTCAATAGATTCCTTTTGCTAGTCGTGTGAAACTGCTGCCTGAAATTTTCTATTCTCCCGCGATCACCTTGTATTATTCCTCTCAGGGACCACCTTGTATTATTCCTTTCTCAGTATGTGGCTCTTGAGCAATTGAAATTTGACTAGTATGACTGAGAGACTAGATTTTAAATTGTGTTGGCCTGTAAATACTTTAAATTTTACTTTAAATAGTTTCAACTGACAGCTACCATATTAGACAGCACACATCTGTAGGCTGTGTAATGATGTCCTCCTTTTCATTCCTAATATTGGATATTTGTATATTCTTATATTCGCTCGCTGTCTCCTTTTCAGGCCATTAAGTTACTGGTCTTTTCAAAGAACCATCTTTTGCCTTTTTGAGTCTGTATATTGTATGCTTGTTTTCTTTGTTACTGATTTCAACTGTTTTATTTTTTCTTTCATTTTACTTTGAGTTTAATTTGCAATTTTTATCTCTCCTCTAAAGATGAAGAATTACTATACTGATATTTAGACTTTCTTGTAATATAGGTATTAAAGGCTATAAATGTCCCTCTAGGATCAGCATTAGCTGAAAAGCCAGTTTTAATAATTTGTGTTCTGATTTCCCATTTACTTAAAACATATTTCTAGTTCTTCTTGTGATTGTTTTCTTGACCCATTGATTCTTTATGAGTCTGTTTCTTAATTTACAAACACATGAGGATGTTCTAGTTATCTTTTTGTTATTAATTTCCAGCTTAATTGTTTTGTAATAGAACACACTCTGATTTCAGTCCTTTGAATTGTGTTGACACTGGCTTTATGGACTACTCTGTAGTCAGCTGTTTTAAATATTTGATGTACTGAGAGAATTGTATATCTGTGGGTTCAGAATTATATATATGCCAATTAATTAAAGCCTGTTAACTATGTTTTTAAATCCTTTGATTATTATTAGTTTGGGGTTGCTTGTTTGACCAGCTACAGCCAGAAATGTTAAAAACCTGTTGAGATAATGTATGTGTCAGTTTTTTCTTGCTCAGTTAACATTTTGCTTTATATATTTTAAGGCTATTAGTGCATTTGAATTTCACATTTTTATATCTTTGGTGAATCAAAGCTTTTACTATATAAAGTGTTGCAGTTTATTTCTAGTAACTTTTCTGCTTTGGGTTTTTTTGTTATTGTTTAATATTAATATAACTAATCGAGCTTTCTTTTGGTTTTTGTTTGCATGTTATATATTTTTCCATTTTGTTACATCTTTGTTTCTTATATGTTAAGTGTGCCTGCTTTTGTGCAGTTTAAAAAACTCTAGTGTGACAGTATTCAAATTTTATTTAAAGCATTCATTCCATTGTTATGTAATAAAACTACTTTAGATCTGTCATATTACTGTTTGGGTTTTTTATTTTTTTGCTTTTGTACCTCTTGTCTATGTACTTTTTTTTTTTTTTTTTTTTTGAGTTGAAGTCTCACTCTCTCGCCCAGGCTGGAATGCAGTGGTGTGATCTCAGCTCACTGCAACCTCCACCTCCCAGGTTCAAGCAGTTCTCCTGCCTCATTCTCTCGAGTAGCTGAGACTACAGGCATGCGCCACCACACCCAGCTAATTTTTGTATTTTTAGTAGAGATGAGGTTTCACCATGTTGGCCAGGCTGGTCTCCAACTCCTGACCTCAGGTGATCCATCCACCTTGGCTTCCCAAAGTGTTGGAATTACAGGTGTGAGCCAGCATGCCTGGCCCAGGACTAATTTTTAATATTCCATTTGTACTTCATGTTCTAAGTTTTTTTTCTCACTTAAGTCTTTTGTATTGATTAATTTACTGTACTCCATGTCCCCTTTTTAACAGCTTTATTATTGATATACCAATGATATAAAAATAAACTAGACATATTTAAAGTGTACCATTTCATGCTCTTTGACATACAGATATACCTGTGAACCCGTTGTCAGAATCAAGATATTGAACATGTAGATTTTCCTCACAAGTGTCTTTACAACCCTTTGTAATTTATCATACTCATCCTTCACCTATCTTCAGGCAACCAGTGATCTGCTTTCTATTATCATGGATTAGTTTTCTTGCTCTGCATATTATGTATAATCATACAGTGTAAATTCTATTTTGTCTGACTTCTTTCACTAAGCATAAGTCTGAAATTTATTCATGTTTGTTCATGTATCAGTGGCTTGCCTTTTTTTGTGCTAAGTAATATTCTATTGTATGAGTATATTAAAGTTTTTTAATTCATTCACTATTTCATGGACATTTGAGTTGTTTCTAGTTTTTTGACCATCATTAATAAATCTGCTATGAAGATTCAAGTGCAAGTCAAGTTTTTGTGTGGACATATGCTTTCATTTTTCTGGAGTAAATGCCTTGTGGGAGAATGACTAGAACCTGTGATAGGTATAGTTTAACCATTTAAGAAACTGCCAGTCTATTTTCTAGAGTAGCTGTTGATTTTTACATTCCCACCAGCAGTGTGTGAGAAGTGCAATTGCTCCACATCCTGGCCTACACTTTTTATCATCACCCTCTTTAATTTTAGTCATTCTAGTGGATGTGTAGGAGTACGTCGTTGTGATTCTGATTTTCAGCTCCCTAAAGATTAATAATGCCGAGCATCTTTTCATGTGTTTTCCATTTGAATATCATGTTTTATGAAATGTCCATTCAGCACTGTTGCCCACTTTGTCTTATTGCTCAGTTTAAGAGTTTGTTATATAAATCAGATAGACGTGCTGTGTTCCTGTATGTTTTGCAGATACGTTCTCCCATCATTTGGCCTGCTTTTTATTTTAGTAAAAGTATCATTTGAAGAGTAAAGTTTTTAATCTGTATGTTCAATTTTTTTCTTTTATACTTCTTTTTATATGTCATAATTAGGAAATCTTTGCCAAACTCAAAGTCGCTAAGATTTTCTTCTGTTTCTTTCTAGAAGTTTTTGTTTGTTTGTTTGTTTGTTTTTAGACAGAGTCTCACTCTGTCGCCCAGGCTGGAGTGCAGTGGCGTGATATCGGTTCACTGCAACCTCCACCCCCCGGGTTCAAGCAATTCTCCTGCCTCAGCCTGCCGAGTAGCTGGGACTACAGGCGCATGCCACCACGCTCGGCTAGTTTTTTGTATTTTTTAGTAGAGACAGGGTTTCCCTGCATTAGCCAGGATGGTCTCAATCTCCTGACCTCGTGATCCACCTGCCTTGGCCTCCCAGGGTGCTGGGATTACAGGCATGAGCCACTGCACCTGGCCTCTAGAAGTTTTATAGTTTTATCTTATATTTAGGTTTCTGATCTATTTAAAGTTATCTTTTTTGCAAATAGGTGAGGTAAGGGTCAAAGTTTATAGTTTTTTGTTTCCTTCTTTTTGAGACAGGGTCTCACTGGGTCACTGAGGCTGGAGTGCAGTGGCACGATCTTGCTTCACTGCAATCTCTGCCTCCTGGCTCAAATGATCCTGCCGCCTTAAGTAAGCCTCCCACCTGAGCCTCTTGAGTAGCTGGGACTACAGGCACACGGCACCATGCCTAGCTAATTTTTGTACATATTTTAAATAGAGACAGGGTTTTGCCATGTTCCTTAGGCTGGTCTTCAATTCCTGGGCTCAAGTGATCCACCCGCCTTGGCCTCCTAACTTCCTTGGGATTAAAGGCCTGAGCCACCTCACCTGGCCATTTTGTCTTATTCTTGATCTTGAAAGCATTCAGTCTTTTACCACCAATTATGTTAGGTGCAGGCTTTTAACAGATGCCCTTAATCTAGGTGAGGAAAGTTACTTCTATTTCTAGTCTGCTGAGAGTATTTATCATGAATAGATCTTTTTTTCTGCATCTAATAGCATGATTGTGTGGTCTTTTTCTTTTATCTGTTAATATAGTGAATTCTACTGGTTTATTTTAAAATCCTAAACCAGACTTGAATTCCTGGAATAAACTTCATTTGGTCATTATGTATTAGCCTTCTTATATATTGTGGATTTAGTCTGCAAATTTTCTTTTCAGTTTATGTCTGTGTACATATTGGTCTATAATTTAGTTTTATTTTAATATTTTTGTCTATTTTTTTTATGTCCAGTGACAGTGATATTGACCTTATAGAACACATTGGGAAATGTTCCCTCCTCTGTGTAGAATTTCATCTATTTCTTCTTATGGGAGTTTTGATGGTTTGTGCATTTGAAGAGGTCTGACCATTTCATCTAACTTGTTGAGTGTGCTGGCATGAATTGTTTCTAATAGTTCCTTATTTTAACTTCTATAGAATTTATATTGATGTCTCCTCTCTTATTTCTAATATTACTATTTTGTTTCTTCTCTGTTTTAGCCTCTCTTGAGCTACATCAGCTTTTGGTTTCATTTATTTTTCTCTGTTTTTTTCAGTTTTGTGTGTCATTGATTTCTGCTCTTACATACCTGTCTTCTACTTAGTCTGGGTTTTTTGTTTGTTTGTTTGTTTTTTCTGAGACGGAGTTTCACTCTTGTTGCCCAGGCTGGAGTGCAATGGCGCGATCTCGGCACACTGCAACCTCCGCCTCCCGGGTTCAAGCGATTCTCCTGCGTCAGCCTCCTGAGTAGCTGGGATTACAGGCATGCGCCACCATGCCTTGCTAATTTTGTATTTTTAGTATAGATGGGATTACTCCATGTTGGTCAGGCTGGTCTCGAACTCCCAACCTCAGGTAATCCGCCTACCTTGGCCTCCCAAAGTACCGGGATTACAGGCGTGAGCCACCTCGCCTAGCCTTGGTCTTCCTTTTCTAATTTCTTAAGGTGGAAGATTAGGTTGATTTGAGAACTTCCTTCTTTTTCTAAGTGTTAATGCTTTAAATTTCCTCTGAGCATTGGTTTCTTTAAATATAGTTTATGACCGGGCACAGTGGCTCATGCATGTAATCCCAGCCCTTTGGGAGGCTGAGGCAGTTGGATCACCTGAGATCAGGCGTTCGAGACCAGCCTGGCCAACATAGCGAAACCCTGTCTCTACTCAAAATACAAAAATTAGCCAGGCGTGGGGGCATGCACCTGTAATCTCAGCTACTTGGGAGGCTGAGGCAGGAGAATTGCTTGAACTCGGGAGGCAGAGGTTGTAGTCAGCCAAGATCACACGACTGCACTCCAGCCTGGGTGACAAAGTGAGGCTCAGTCTCAAAAAAAAAAAAAAAAAAATGTAGTAACAGATGGTATTTTACAGAAATCTTTCTGACACTGCCTCCTGTTTGCATATGGTTTTTAGTCTTATTATTATTTAGGTGTTACTATCACAGGAAAGAGGTCCAGATCCTAGACCCCAAGAGAGTGTTCTTGAATCTCACACAACAAAGAATTCAGGGTGAGTCCACAGTGCAAAGTAAAAGCAAGTTTATTAAGAAAGTGAAGGGCTGGGTGCGGTGGCTCACGCCTGTAATCCCAGCACTTTGGGAGGCTGAGGCAGGCGGATCACCTGAGGTTGGGAGTTCGAGACCAGCCTAAACAACAAGGAGAAACCCCGTCTCTACTAAAAATACAAAATTAGCCGGGCGTGGTGGTGCATGCCTGTAATCCTAGCTACTCGGGAGGCAGAGGCAGGAGGATTGCCTGAACCTGGGAGGTGGAGGTTGTGGTGAGCCAAGATTGCGCCATTGCACTCTAGCCTGGGCAACAAGAGGGAAACTCCATCTCAAAATAAATAAATAAATAAATAAAAAATAAAGAAAGTGAAGGGATGAAAGAATGACTACTCCAGATCGAGCAGCCCCAAGGGCTGCTGGTTGCTCATTTTTATGGTTATTTCTTGATGATATGCTAAACAAGGGGTGGATTATTCATGCCTCCTCTTTCTAGACCATCCGGGGTAACTTCCTGACGTTACCATGGCATTTGTAAACTGTCATGGTGCTGGTGGGAGTGTAGCAGTGAGGACCACCAGAGGTCACTCGTGTCTCCATCTTGGTTTTGGTGGGTTTTGGCCGGCGGCTTTACTGCAACCTGTTTTATCAACAAGGTCTTTATGACCTGTATCTTGTGCCAACCTCCTTCCTGTCTCATCCTGTGACTTAGAATGCCTTAACTGTCTGGGAATGCAGCCCAGTAGGTCTCAGCCTCATTTTATCCAGCCCCTACTCAAGATGGAGTTGCTGTGGTTCAAACACCTCTGACATTACTGTTTTTGAAATTTGAGGTAAGCGTTAAATTCATTTATATATAATATTAATACTGACATTTGGGGGTTAAGTCTATTAGGATTTGCTGTTTATCCTTCTTGTTTCAAATTTGTTCCTGTGTCCTCTTTTGCTTTCTTTTGGATTAATATTTAATATTTTGTTTCTCCTTTCTATGAAATTGATGCAGTTCTATACTCTTTTCATTTTATTTTTACTGGATAATTTACCACAGGCTTGTTTGAATTTCTTTGCCTTTTTCCAGAAAATGCAATGGGCTTAGAATCTTTACCTCATCTGTCTTCCTCCTGCCTTTTGTGTTAGGAGCTAATTTTATCTCCTCAAAATTCATGTTGAAGTCCTGACCCCCATTACCTTAGAATGTGACCTTATTTGGAAATAGGATCTTTGCAGATGTAATTAAATGAGGTCATACTGGAGTTTTTATCTGTAGAACTGTGTGATTAAGCAGCATTTGCTCTCCTGGGTTCCTTTGTTTCAAAGCCTGTATTCTCTTTCTCATTGAATTTGTATCTGTGGTTTCTGTGGTTGAACTTACCATAGAAATGTGCACACATTAGACTCTCAGTAAGTACTTGTTAAGTTAATCAAGCACCCAATTAGTCATGGTGACCTCTGCTGAGAGAGCATAATCTTGGGAAGAGTGGGAGACAAGATCCTGGTCTCTAAAGGTTGGGAGACTTGAATTCTAGGTACGTTTTGTTTGTTTGTTTGTTTGTTTGTTTGTTTGTTTGTTTGTTTTGAGACAGAGTCTCACAATGTCTCCCAGGCTGGAGTGCAGTGGTGCGATCTCAGCTCACTGCAACCTCCGCCTTCTGGGTTCAAGTGATTCTCCTGCCTCAGCCTCCCAAGTAGCTGAGGTTACAGGTGCGCACCACCATGCCTGGCTAATTTTCTGTATTTTTTAGTAGAGACGGGGTTTCACTATTTTTGGTCAGGCTGGTCTCGAACTCCTGACCTCACGATCTGCCTGCTTTAGCCTCCCAAAGTGCTGGGATTACAGGCATGAGCCACCGCGTCCATCCTGAATTCTAGTTTTAACATCACCATTTATTATCTTTATGATCTGAGTTTTAGTTTTCTTATCATTTAGTATCTTATAAAAGTATGAAATTATCTCCTCTTTCTATTTTAGAGATAAGAGAATATGTGGTAAAAAACATTTTATAAACTCAAAAACCCTGAAACATGAAGTTTTCCTCTTATTCTTGCCTTGTTTTGGATCTGCTGTCATTTTCAAAGTTTGCTTAAGGTTTTTTTTTTTTTTTCTCCTTTTCATTAGTATAAACCAAAGTGAAGATAAATGTATGTCCTAGTTACCCTCTCTGCTGTTTGCATTAAGAAGTTGACTCTGGCCGGGCACGGTAGCTCATGCCTGTAATCCTAGCACTTTGGGAGGCCGAAGGGGTGGATCACTTGAGGTCAGGAGTTTGAGACCAGCCTGGCCAACATTGCGAAACCCCATCTCTACTAAAAATACAAAAATTAGCCAGATGTGGTTGCACATGCCTGTAATCCCAGCTACTGAGGAGGCTGAGGCAGGAGAATCGCTTGAACCCGGGAGGTGGAAGTTGCAGTGAGCTGAGATCGTGCCACTGTACTCCAGCCTGGGTGACAAAGCCAGACTCCGTCTCAAAAAAAAAAAAGTTGACTTTTTCTCCAAGAGTTTATCTGTTAGTTTCCCTGACTAGTTTTTGTTTTGTCCAGTATTTATAATCTAAAAGATCTCACAAAGTATTGATGTAAAATGTCATGGCAGTGAATGACCATAGACAGAGCTAGTATGTCTGTGTATAACCCCTCTGTCTATGTAACCCCTATGTCTATGTAACCCCTATGTCTATGTAACCCCTATGTCTATGTCTATAGGGGTTTTACCATAGAATACCAGAAAAATACCATAGTAGAAAACTGTTGATTTTTACTGATGATTTCATATCAAATAGGGGAAATATAAAATGTTCATCATTATTTTCATCATTCTTAACATCTTTTGAGTGTCAGATACTGTCCTGTGTGCTCATGGAGTGGCTCATTTAACTTCACAAGAATCTTAGGTAATAGTATTTTCTTCATTTTACATAGGAGTTTGAATATCGGGGACATTGTGCTGTGTTTAATTTAGTCATATGCAATAGCCACTTTTTAGGGCAAAAACATTCAAATGTCAAGAATCTTTCATGGCTCAATCGGCATTAGTAAGTTAGGCATTAAGCTATTCCCTTAAGAAGGAACTTCTTAACCTTCTTAAGTTCTTGGAAGAGTCAAACGTAGGTAAATTCTCCAGAATTTGCCAGGGCTTTCATCAGTGACAGTGCCTACAACACTTGATAGGAATAAATGAAATATGACAAATATCCAAGTAGTGGGAGGATTAGATGAAATTTTAAAAATTATAACTGATGATTTTTAACTGCCTGACATTTTATGAGTTAAGTTGGTGATATACTTTTTTTACAATTTCCAAAACAATGTAGTTAAATATTTTAAATCTAGTAAGCAGATATCAAACAATATTTTGTGGAAACAATCATTCAAATTTGTGAGTAATGGGAGTAAAGTTCTGATTTCATCAGGTAAGCCAAAACAAATAATTTTCCACCATAAATATTATAACAAATAAACTCTTTTAAAATAAAATATTTTCTTCCTTTTCCTCCCTGGTGACCTAGTGGTAATGTTCTGCAGTGTTTTATGTAGGAGACCTGGATTTCATTCCTGTTCTCGTTATCTCTCTCCCTAGGGCTGCAATGAATTAAATAAGAAATAAAATCACTATCCTGCATCCTTATTGCCATGGGCTGTGCCCTTGTCAGATTTCATAAGCTAAACTAGCTGGACCTGGTTAGTATTGGGTTGGAAGACCTCAAAGAAAACAAAGTCTGTGAAAACACAGATCTTCTATACAGCCAGTATTTTCTTCCATGAAACCTTGTCTTACGGTTATTATTGCACTTTCCTCTTTACTATTTGATTGATTTGCTTGCTCCAGGTAAAAAGAAAGGTCTTTTAAAGTAAATGGCATTCTGGTCGTTTAAATCAATGCACTTATTATTTATTTTTCCTTTTCAAAATAGAAAACTTGTTTAGTTTGAAAGATACTTGGTTATATTCTTGAGAAGGCAGTATCCCAACTAGCAGTGTTTTTTACTGTATAAAAATTTACTTTCTCAGAGACTTTTTATTTTATTCATTGCTATAAAATGCCTGTTCTGTTTCTTTTTGTTTTGAGAGATAATGTTGCCCTTACTTTACGAATGATGTAACACATAAAAAAATTTTTAATGCATATAACTGTGTGAAGATCCAAAATTGTTTTTGTGTTCCCTTTAAAACCTAGGTTATATATCTCTGAATTTTAAATTATAATTTAGGATAATCTCAAATACCAATACTTTTAATTAGATAGCTGTGGTTATATATGTATAATAGACAACAAATATAATTCAGTAAGAATTGCACTAATGTTTGTTGACATTCATCTTTTTTACACAAATAGACCCAGTTTACCCAAAGTTGTTTCTCCCAGAACGCACACAAACATACCCGGTTTTTTTTTTTGTTTGTTTGTTTGTTTTTTTGAGACGGAGCCTTGCTCTGTTGCCAGGCTGGAGTGCAGTGGCACAATCTCAGCTCACTGCAATCTCCACCTCCCAGGTACAAGCAGTTTTCCTGCCTCAGCCTCCCGAGTAGCTGGGACTACAGGCATGTACCACCATGCCCAGATAATTTTTGTATTTTTAATAGAGACGGGGTTTCACCAACAAACATACCTTTTATAAATACTGATGGTATGGATACATATACACACATCCCCTAATATTCCCTAACATGCTGATTTCCTTCTTCTCTCTCTCCCTTTTTTTCTTCCTATCTTCCTACAAAGGAACACTTTTTTTCTAATGACATTTTACATAGAACCCCAGTATATTAAAGAATGATACAAAAAATTTCTCTGGTTAATGCCAAAATGAGGGAGGCTAAAGTCTTGTCATCTCAGCTTCTTCCTCACTCCATGAGGTGTAGAACCTTGGAAAAGCCCTAAAATTCCAAGAAACATGTCTTCCCTGCTTAGTTTCACATTTATCTATATACACAAAAATTTAGTGGTTTTGGAAGAGTTTTCTGTTCCTGTTTAAAAGGGTTAGCACTAAGAGTATGGTCCTGAAAAGTATTCAACAAGGACTTTTAATGGTTCTTACTCTACTCTTATGCCAAACCCTCTTCATTTCCAAGTAAAATGGCCCCCAAACCAAAATTAAGCCATCAAAGTCATAGCAGTCAGTTAAAGATAAATGGCATATCCTTCTTTATTAATAAGGATAGTTGTTAATTGTATTATGGAGTATTCCAGAATTGATCCACTTTATAATCTAGTACCATTTAAGATAATATTTTTCGGCTGGACATGGTGGCATGTGCCTGTAATCCTAGCACTTTGGGAGGCCAAGGTGGGTGGATCACCTGAGATCAGGAGTTCGAGACCAGCCTGATCTGCATGGTGAAACCCCATCTCTACTAAAAATACAAAAATTAGCCAGGTGTGGTGGTGCGCACCTGTGGTCCCAGCTACTCGGAGGCTGAGGCAGGAGAATCGCTTGAACTCCGGAGGCAGAGGTGGCAGTGAGCCGAGATAGCGCCATTGCACTCCAGCCTGGGTGAGAAGAGTGAGACTCTGTCTCAAAAAAAAAAAATTTTTTTTTCTATGTGTCATTAGTGATTTTTTTAAAGGGTAGTTTTCCAACTATCTTGCAGTGTAACCAATTTTAAACCAGCCCTCTTTATCAAAATTCTAGAATATACCATGAGTGTGTTGGTAAATTTTTTTTAATTGGTTCTTAGGAGGAAAAAAAGCCTTGATTTGTGACAGTTGCCAGTTTTAATGGTGTTAATTTCTCCCACCGTGGCTGATTTCAAGCTATCAACGTGAAACACCGAAAGTGGAATTGGAAGTAGATGCATAGTAGTAGATTACCATTATATAGTATTTCCACCATGCAGCTACAATAGATATAAATATCCTCAAAGACATACACAACAATAGATGTAAATATCCTCAAAGACATACACAATAATAAAATGTAGTAAAATAGGAAGTGATGAATTTTGAGTCATTATTACTTTTTTGTATAATTTAATTATGTTTACATAATTTAATTTTTAATGATGCATATATTTAACTGGCTTATAGAATTTCTGAAAATAGTAGTTGCAGTCATGAGCTGGTATGAGTAGACTTCAGCATACTACTGTTCCTTGGGAAAATTTGGTTTCTTTACCTTTCAAAACAAAACCCTTTAGAGATAATATCTACCTTCAGGAGAATGTATAAAATTCCCACTCTAAGTCTAATTCAACCATCCCTCAGTCTCTGTAACTATCTCTAATATTGTTCATTATAAATAGTTATGTAGATTATTTTGCTGTATCTAGAGAATATTTAGAGGAATAAACACCAACCTATTTTCTGCTTTTCGTCAGGTTATTCTGTCTGTCTTATGAAGTCATCTGTTATATTATTCTGTAGTCCCTTAATCTCGTTGCTTCCTGTTAACTTGCCTAGCAAAATGACTTGAAACCTATCAAAATGAACATCTTCCCTATGTCTTAACAACACAACCAAAAAAAAGGCGGGCAGGGTGGCGGTGGGGTAGGGGTGGGGGTGGCGGAGCACTGATTACGTTGAAGTGTTGGTGAGACTCTTTTTGCTAGATCTTCAGCTACCTAAACGGTTTTATTGTTAAGAACAGAGTTTTCTTTTTTAAGCTTCTAAATGTAATTAGTTTGATAACAGCTGAAGTCTCCAGTGGTAAGTCTCAATCTGTTACCCTAGCAGTCACCTATTTGTATTCATCATTGATAATATCAACTTGCTACTGAATATTTTCACCATTCATTAGTTTACTCTTTAATAAAAATTGTTTTTTATCACATACATTGTCTAAAACAGTTTTATTTTTTTCAAAAATCTGAGCTTTGCCTATTAGAAAATCATATATGTTATTGATTTGGCCTTTTGAATTAAAGATATTTATCACATAAGTAAAGTATCAAGATAAAAAGAATAACTTTCTCTAAACCTTGTCTCTAACTGTTGCAGAATGGATGAAAGAAAAGACACCCTAATGAATGAATTATTATATGGCACTATTAAAAATACACTTCAGAGTTCTTTTGATCATCGTGACAGAAAAGGGCCAGTGATTTGAGAGCTCAAAAAAATGGGCTGTTTATTCACTGTTTATGTGTTTTGTATTCTTGCTTTATTAAAATCCTATTTTAACTCCGTCAGTATTGATTAAATGCCTATATTTTTTAAGATTCTATTAGAGGTAGAACTTTTTAACAATGCAATACAAAAAAAGTCAGATCTTAACTAGATGATTTTCTAGAAGAATTAATGGAACTATGGTTAAAGTAGATTTTTATCAGCATGTCTCATTCACTTACTAATACTCTCTAATGTTATCTTTAGTTTCGTAATATCGAAGACTGTATTTCACAGATGGCTGAGAAACTTTACAACCATTCTCTTGTGATGGCCATTTGACTTTAATTTTTTAGTTATAAATTTATTTTCTTAGAAATTTTCTACAATAAAAACAGTTTACAATCAATTTTTAAAACGCCAAGATAATATTGATAATTAAGTCTTTAAAGTAGGTCTTTTGTTAAACCTAATTATAAGTGTATCTTATAATTAATGGCTGCTGTCATACCACCTGCTCTCTTCTGCCTTGAATCTTATCACATCTATGTTGCTTTGAAATCTGAGAATGCTTTTCACTTCCTAACAACTGATATGCTACTTCTTCCAATCAGACATCACATTACTGATTAGGTGAATACTACTTCCTGTTTGTTTGTTTTTTTTCCTGTATCTCTAAATGCACCACTTCTGTCTTAGGAATATGACATTATGTAAAACAGATACTTAAATTAATTAGATTTTATTTTTGTAGAGGTAAGGAAATTATAGAAAAGACAAGTTATAGTGTATTAAATGCTTTCCAAAAGTAAAAGTTTGATAATATTTAAAATACAACTATACCTATGGAGAAACAGTTTTTTTTTTTTTTTTTTTTAAAGATCCACATTTGTATCTGATAGTCCTTTTATAATGTAAGGTTTTTTCACCATATTGTATAGTATAGGATTTAGTTTTTGTATTTTATGTTGTTTTCCCTGCATCCAGCCTTATTAATATAAATAACTACCTTTTAGGAAGAATTGAGATATAATTCTTATATTATAATTACCTGGTGACTTATATTTCTCTTCTCTTCTACTATAAACAACCTGATGGTTGAGTTCATGGCCTTTTTATCTTTGTATCCACTGTAGTGTCTATAGGGTAAATGTAATTAAATTGAGTTGGTGAATTAGACTGATGCCACTAATTTGTTTCACTTAATCACTCAATGTCTATTACATGTTCTTATCCTTTATGTGTTGATCTTTCAAAGGACAATCTTATTTCCGTCATTTTAAACTTCTGGGAGTATCTTCCCATATTCACAACTAGGAATAACAGGGGTGGCAGAGCTAACTTGATAAGTTTTGACACTGGATTAGATTCAAATGGATGAACCAGAAAAGCAGTTTCCCCAGTGATAGTCTTTTTTTTTTTTTTTTTTTTTTTTTTTTTGAGATGGAGTCTCATTCTGTCGCCCAGGCTGGAGTGTGCAATCTCGGCTTACTGCAACCACTGCCTCCTGGGTTCAAGCAATTCTCCTGCCTCAGCCTCCTGATGAGCTAGGATTACAGGTGTGCACCACCACGCCCAGCTAATTTTTATATTTTTAGGAGAGACAGGGTTTCACCATGTTGGCCAGGCTGTCAGTGACAGTTTTTAAGTAGAGATATTCTGGTACAACAATATGGTTAGTATTGAGGAAATAACTTTTTTTACCGAAATAAAAGGTCAGGGAGGCCAAAGTGTGCTCCTGAATGCTAATTTTTATTCATTTTTAGTGTGTATCAGACTACTTCCATAAACGTGGTCAGTTTACTCTCTCCCAGGGTTAATCTACATGTTAAGTAAAATTAAATGCAAAAGACCCTTTATCAATATATAGTACCATGAAAGACTCACTTTCTCATGAACTAACAATACTCAAAGTACAGAGAGTGAATTCTTGGAAGAAACACATGTGGCGCAAAGACACAAAGCCAAGACATTTCAACAGTATATTCCAAATAAGATATAGCAGGCCAGAATGACTTCTGGAACATGGCAGGAGTAGAATATGAGATAAAGCTGGAAAGAAAGGTAGGTAACAAAATGTAGAAGTTTTTGAATGCCAAGATAAGAAGTTTAGATTATTTTATGTAGTAGGGAATCTTTGGATTTTTAGCTGGAAGGAATGGGGTATTGACATGCTCTGTTTTGTAAAGGTGAAAGTAGCAGCAGTAGACTGAAACTGTGGAGTGAGAGTGGAAAGGAAAGATATTTTATAATTGATGCAGAAATAAAATTCAGACTTGCTGAAAATCATAGCTAACTAGTAAATGGTGGAGTCAGAACTCAAATGATCTGACTCCAAAACCACTACAATATCCACCCTCCACAATATAAGCATATTATAATCATTTGTGTGTGTATCTTTATTAGGAGAGCAAACCATATCTTTTCATTTATGTCCTGTTTCTTAGCATAGTACCTAAAAAAAAAAAAAGTGGGTACTTCGTTAGTTCAATCAATAAATATTTATTGAGCACCTAACCAAGCATTATGCTTGGTATGCATATGGTTTACGTCTGGTAAATGTTGCCAGTCTTCCCAAGTAATTGTAACCAATTTATACATCCACCAGTTAGTTCATGAGGATTTCTGTTGCTCCACACCCTGACAACACTTGATATTGTATGTCTTTTTTCATTTTAGCTTTTCTGGTGGATCTCACAATGAGGTATGATTTTATTGTTGCTATAAGAGTTTTTAAAAATTGAGGTGAAATCCATATAACATAAAATTAACCTTTTAAAATGAACAATTCAGTAGCATTTAGGACATTCACAGTGTTGTCCAACCACCACCTCTGTCTAGCTCCAAAACATGATATCACCTCAAAAGGAAACTGTACCCATTGAGCAATTGCTTCTCATTGCCCACCTCCACCAGCCCGTGACAACCACCAGTCTGCATTTTGTCTCTATGAATTTACCTGTTCTGAATATTTCATTTAAAGGAACTCATACAGTATGTGACCTTTTGTTTCTGCCTCCTTTCTCTTAGCATATTTTGATGGTCATCCACTTTGTAGCTAGTATCAATCTTTTTATGGCTGAATAATATTCCGTGTGTGTGTGTGTGTGTGTGTGTGTGTGTGTGTGTGTGTGTATCTCACAATTTTTTATTTTTTTTATTTTTTATTTTTTTTGAGACAGAGTCTCACTCTGTCGCTCAGGCTGGAGTGCAGCGGCGTGATCTCGGCTCACTGCAAGCTCCGCCTCCCGGGTTCACACCATTCTCCTGCCTCAGCCTTCCGAGTAGCTGGGACTACAGGCGCCCGCCACCAGGCCAGCTAATTTTTTGTATTTTTAGTAGAGATGGGGTTTCACTGTGTTAGCCAGGATGGTATCGATCTCCTGCCCTAGTGATCCACCCGTCTCGGCCTCCCAAAGTGCTGGGATTACAGGCATGAACCACTGCGCCCGGCCGTATCTTACAATTTGTTTATCCATTCATCCATTGATAAATGTTTGGGCTGTTTCTACCTTTTACGTATTGTAAATGATGGTGCTACAAATGTGTGTATGGTTATTTGAGTTTATGTTTTCAATTGCTTTGGGTATATACCTGATTGGAATTGCTAGGTGATGATGGTAATTTTATGTTTAACTTTTTGATGTACCATCAACCTGTTTTCCACTGCAGCCGAACCATTTTACATTCTCACTAGCAATATACGAGGATTCCATTTTCTCCATATTCTCACCTTCACTTGTTATTTTTCACTTTTGTTGTGGTTGTGATTGTTATAGCCACCCTAGGGTGTGCAGTGATATCTCACTATCTCACTTTGGTTTTGATTTGCATTCCCCTAGTGAGTAATGATGTTGAGAATCTTTTCACATGTTTTTTGGCCATTTGTTGTGTAGCTTCTTTGAATAAATGCCCTTTTTTGAATTGGGTTGTCTTTTTGTTGTTGAGTTTGTTATAATTCTGCATACTAGGTGCTTATCAGATATACGAATTGTAAATATTTTCTCTCATCCTGTAGGAGTTTTTTCATTTTCATAATAATGTTCTTTCATGCACAAAAGTTTTTAATTTTGATGAAGTCCAATTGATTGACTTCTATTTTTGTTGTTTGGACTAAGAATGCATTGTCAAATCCAAGAGCGTGAATTTTACCCCTATGCTTTCTTCTATGAATTTTATGGTTTTTCTTATTATATTTAGGTTGTTGATTCATTTTGCATTAATTTTTATTTGTGGTGTGAGTTATGGGTCCTGCTTCATTCTGTATGTATAGTCTCAGGACTATTTGTTGAAGAGACTGTTTCTATCTCCATTAAATGGACTTGTCACCTGTGTCAAAAACCATTTGATCATATATGCAAGGTTTATTTCTGGCCTCTCTATTCTTTTCTCTTGTTCTATGTGTCTGTCTTCATGCCAGTACCACAATATTTTGATTACAATAGCTTTGTAGTAAAATTTCAAATCAGGAAGTGTGAATTCTCCAGCCTTTGTTCTTTTTCCAAGTTCATTTTGGCTATTTAGGGTTCCTTGAGATTTTAATTAATTTTAGCATGGAATTTTTTGTTTCTGCAAAACATGTCATTGGGATTTTGTTGGGTATTGCATTGATGTGCATAGATGTGCATAGTAGTCACATCTTAACAATATTGTCTCCCTTGTGCTAGGAAGCACTAAGTAAAAAAAAAAAAAAAGAAAAGAAAATTTAAATATTAAGTATTCCAATACATGAACATGGGATGTCGTTCCATTTATTTCTGTCTCCTTTAATCTCTTTCAGCAGTGTTTTGTAATTTTCTGTATACAAGTCCTTCACCTCCTTAGTTAAATTTATTCCTAAGTATTTTATTCTGTTTCATGCTGTTGTAAATGGAATTGTTTTCTTAGTTTTCTTGTTTATATTGTCCATTGTTAGTGTCTAGAAACCCAACTGCGTTTTATGTATTGATTTTTGTACCTATAATGTTACTGAATTTGTTAATTCTACTAGTTTTTTTTGTAGGGTCTTCAGAGTTTTCTACATATCAGATGATATCTGTGAACGGAGATAATTTTACTTTTTCCTTCCAATTCAGATGTCCATTATTTCTCTTTCTTACACAGTTGCCCTGGCTAGAACTTCCAGTACTATGTTTAAACAGAAGTGGCTAAAGTGGGCATCCTTATCTTGTTCCTGATCTCAACGGGAAAGTTTTTAGTCTTTTACCATTGAGTATGATGTTAGCTATGGTTTCTCCACAAATGACCTCTATTATGTTGAGGTAGTTTCCTTCTATTCCTACTTTATTGGGTGTTTTAATTAGGAAAGGGTGTTGAATTTTGTCAAATGTTTTTCTGCATCAATTGAGATGATCATGTGTGGTTTTTTTTTCCCTTTTATCTATTAATGTGATGTATTACATTGAATGATTTTCTCATGTTGAACCAACCTTGCATTCCTGGGATAAACCTCACTTCATCTTAGTGTATAATTGTTTTCATACACTTTTCGATTTGGGTTGCTAATATTTTTTTGATGATTTTTGTATCAATATCTATAAACAATATTGGTCTATAGTTTCTTTTCTCATGCTGTCTTTGTCAGACTTGGAAATCAGTGTAATACTGGCATCATAAAATGTGTTAGCAAATGTTCCCTTCTCTTCAGATTTTTTAAGATTTTGAAAAGGACTGAGTTATTTGCATCTCCCCTCTTTTTTTCCCCCTGTCAGTATTGGCTTGTCAGTTTTGTCTTTTTAAAAAAATGACATTTTGTTTCATTGATTCTATTATTTATCTGTTCTCTATTTCATTTTTATTATTTCCTTCCTTTTGCTAGCTTTGGTCTCTGATCTCCTTTTTCTACTTCCTTCAGGAATAAAGTCTAAATTATTAATTTGAAATACTTCTTATCAGTGTAGGCATTTACTTTTTTTTTTTTTTTTTTTTTTTTTTTGAGGCGGAGTCCCACTCTGTCACCCAGCCTGGAGTGCAGTGGCACGATCTCGGCTCACTGCAACCTCTGACTTCTGGGTTCAAATGATTCTCTTGCCTCAGCCTCCTGAGTAGCTGGGATTACAGGTGCGTGCCACCATGCCTGGCTAATTTTTTTTGTATTTTTAGTAGAAACAGGGTTTTGTCATGTTGGCCAGATTGGTCTTGAACTCCTGACATCAGGTGATCCACCTGCCTCAGCCTCCCAAAGTACTGGGATTACAGGCTTGAGCCACTGTGCCTGGCTGGCATTTACTATTATAAGATTACCTTCAAACACTGCTTTCACTGTATTCATACATTTTGGTATGCTTTATTATTATTTTAATTTGTTTCTGAGTGTTTTCAAATTTCCCTTTTGATTTTTCTTGTACTCATTGGTTAAGAGTGTTTTAATATCCACATGCTTTGAGTTTTCTCGTTTTTCTTCTGTTGCTGATTTCTATCTTCATTTCTTGTGATTACAGAAGATACTTTGTGTGATTTGAGCAATTTAAAATTTATTGACACTTGTTTTGTGGCTTGATACATGTTTTATCCTGGAGAATGTTCCATGTGCACTGGAGAAGAATGTGTATTCTGCTGTTATTGGATGGATTGTTCTGTAGATGTCTGTTAGATCTATTTGGTTTATAATGTTATTCAAATCCTCTGGTTCCCTATTTATCTTCTTTCTAGATGTTCTATCCATATTGAAAGTGGGGTTATATTGGGGAAATACTTCAGGACATTGGTCTGGGCAAAGATTTTTTTAGGGGTAAGACCTCAAAAGCACAGAATACAAAAGCAAAAATAGACAAAAAGGATTGCAACAAGCTAAAAATGTTCTGCACAACAAAGGAAGCAACAAAGAGACAGCCTATGGAATGGAGGAAAATATTTGCAAACTATTCATCTGACAAGGGATTAATAACTAGAATATATAAGAAACTCAACTCAATAGCAAATAATCTGATTTTAAAATGAGCAAATGATCTTAATAGACATTTTTCGAAAGAAGGCATAGAAATGGCCAACAAGTATATGAAAATAAATGCTTAGTATCACTAATCATCAGGGAAATGCAAATCAAAACCAAAATGAGATATAATCTGACCCCAGTTAAAGTGACTGTTATCAAAAAGACAAAACAACAAGTGTTGGCAAGGATGTAGAGAAAGGGAAACACTAATAGTTCACTGTTGGTGAGAAAGTGAGTATAACTGCTATGGAAAACAGTATGGACATTCTTCAAGAAACTACAAATAGATCTACCATCCGATTTAGCAATCCATTTGCTGGGTATGTATCCAAAAGAAAGGAAACCAGGGTATCAAAGTGATACCTGCATGCCCATTTTTGTTGCACCACTATTCACAATAGCCAAGATAACAAAATCAACCTAAGTGTCCATTAGGATATGAATGGATAAAGAAAATGGTGTGTTTGTCCATATATATATGGACACACACTCAATGGAATATCATTCAACCATGAAAAAAGAATGAAATTCTGTTAGTAGCAGCAACATAGATGGAACTAGAGGACGTTATGTTAATTTTAATAAGCCATGCACAAGAAGATAACTATTGTAAGTTCTCACTCATATGTGACAGCTGAAAAACTTGATCTCACAGAGGTAGAAAGTAGAATGATAGTTACTAGAGGCTGACAAAGGTAGGAGGGAGGGATGATGAAGAGAGGCTGGTTAGCGGTTGCAAAAATACAGTTAGAAAGAATAAGTTCTAGTGTTTGATGGCATGGTAGAGTGACCATAGTTAACAGTAATTTGTTGTATATTTCAAAACAGCTAGAAGATAAGATTTGGAATATTCCCAACCCAAAGAAATGATAAATTTTTCAAGTGATGGATATCCTAATTACCCTGATTTAATATATGTATGCATGCATCAAAATATCACATGTGCCCCATAAATATGTCCAATTATTATATATCAATTTTAAAAGAAGAAAATTGGGAGAAAGTAAATGATATTTTGGAGTCACAAAAATTGCTGAATCCTAACTGTGTGACATTTTTATGACTACTTTGCTGGTTCTTTCCTAGAGGCACACAGTTTGGAAGTGACAATGCTTATAACACACTATGAATGTAAAAGTAAAATAATGCATAGATGCAAAGTGACACCTAAGGGAAAAGAAATTACACTTGAGCTGAACATTGAGGAATAAGAGCTAAACAGCTAGAAAAGGGGAAGGGACCTAGGAGTAATACATATTTATTTCTAGTAACTGTATTATGTGAAAAATGTTTATCTCTTTATCATAGAAGCTTCCTATCTATTTGTCCTTGACACCTTCAAGCAGGATTCTTAGTTATCACCTCTCCTATCTAAGCCAGAACTGAAAACGGAGTTTAAAAAAAAAAAAAAAAAGTCATTATCCATTTGTCTTTCATCTTTGATATGGAAATGTTTATTTTTGAAATACAAACGAGACAACACCAGTTTCATTATTTTGTGTTGTAAAATGGAGATAATAGTAGGTTGTTGGGAAGATTAAATCTGTTAATGTAAAACACTTTGATACTTGGGATATAGTGTTTAATCCTAACCTCATTTTGGCTGGCTTTTAAATTTTCTGTCTTCCATCTCGCTAATACTCTTTGTAACATATATATTTAATTTGCTTTTATACCTATCTGCTGAATATTATATTTCAATTTTAAAAAGTTTTAATGGTAGAGGCTCTACTTGGTACTTTATCAAATCCTTTTGGTAAATATTTATATTTTTCTAATACCTCTGCATATGTGGATATTTTCATGCTGGTCTTTTATTTCTTTAAACATAGTAACACCTTATCCACAGATGCATTTAGCCACAGGGATGGTCCAGATACCTGGTCAACCATATTGAGGAAACTTTAAACCTTTGGTTTTTTTTTGCCATATTAAATGATTTTTGGCAGAGCCCAAAATTGTTTTCTAAGGGAGTTCCAATAAAGTAGCAGGTATCTACCTTCAGAATTAAAAGAGGATGATAGTAATAGCGGTTAATGTTTGTTTATTATTTATTACATGACAGGCATTGTGCTTGAACTCCTTCAGTTCACAGACATTGTACGCAAACTACCTCAATTAAGCCTTACATCAACTATGTGAGATAACATTATTATTATTTCCCATTTACTGATGCGTTAACATGAGGAGGTTTATTTGACCCCAGTACTTTTAATCATTATACCAGTCTACCTTTAATTGGATCATGGCTGTTGCATTATAGATCTTTCATAACTAAATTTGGTTCAACTATGGATATTCTACTTAGCAATTACAATTTAATCTAGAGGTGGTTAAGGAAATCTGAAGCTGAAATGGTTCTTTTTTCAAAAGTTTCTTAATTCAAATAGGTAAAATTTAATATAGACTCATTTAATGTACTTCTTCCTGGGGGCATATTACCAAGAATATATTTACCTTTTCATATTGTTGTATATTTTATGTACATGCTTGATTATCTTACTATCAGATTACCAGAGTGTTTTTTTAATAATTATTTTCTGCATTAAAACAATTGCCTTGGAGCATTTCACAATAAAAAAATAATTGAATTAATACTTTATACTTCTAAGTGCCACCAGTTAGTTTTAGAGCCCAGTTTAAAAATTAATGTCCTAGGCAGGGCACAGTGGCTCATGTCTGTAATCCCAGCACTTTGGGAGGCCGAGGTCAAGATTTCGAGACCAGCCTGGCCAACATGGTGAAACCCTGTCTCTATTAAAAATACAAACATTAGCCGGGCATGGTGGCACACACCTATAGTCCCAGCTACTCGGGAGGCTAAGGCAGGAGAATAGGTTGAACCCTGGAGGCGGAGGTTGCAGTGAGCCGAGATCACACCACTGTGCTCCAGCCTGGGCAACAGAACAAGACCCAGTCTCAAAAAAAAAAAAAAAAGTTCTAATTTTTATGTAGTTTATGCAGACATAGTTAGGAATTTTAGTGTACCATTTATTAACTACTTAAAAGTGACTTTTTTTCCCCTCCAGCTTGCTTGATGGAAGATCAGAATCTATGCAATGGCACACGAGACAAACAAATTTGCAGTTTATCATCTTGTCACTAGTGCTACTTGAAAGGACAAACAGAAGCCCCCAAAATACAGTGTATTATCTAGGAAGGCTTTTACGGTTATAGCTACGTAACTACCAAACCCAGACAATCTCTCCACCGTAGGGAAATTTAAAAATCTGTGTGTACACATATAAATTTTTTGAGACAGAGTCTCATACTCTGTCACCCAGGCTGGAGTGCATTGGCATGATCTAGGCTCACTGCAGCCAAGCAGTGGCACCTCCTGTGCACAAGCAGTCCTCCTGCTCCAGCCTCCTGGGTAGCTTGGGCTACAGGTAGGCACCACCATGCCTAATTTTTAAAATTTTTTTGCAGAGACAGGGTCTCTTATGTTGCCAAGGCTGGTATTGAGCTCACGTTCAATTGATCCTCCCACCTTGGCCTCCCAAAGTGTTGGGATTGCAGGCGTGAGTCACTGTGCACAGCCAAAAATCTATTTTTTTAAAAAAACAGCCATTTTTCCTCTTAAATGATAGTATCTTTAATACCTATTCTAATGGGGTGGTGGTGGGGTAGACTATTGTGGATGTATTAGTAAACTAAACAAACTGAGTTGAAAATCAACATATGTTTCAAAATGATTAATAGGATCAAAAATGCAAAGTTGAATAATAGTTTTTAATTGCAGTATAGTCTCTTTACTGGTGTGTCTCTGCCCGAAACTTTTTAGCTTGCCATTATTCTCTATGTACTTCTAAAAATCTTAATATTCATGTCTCCTTACATAACTCAAGACTGCACAGATGAAGTACTGTCCAATGACAGTAAGATTGGGCCAGGCACAGTGGCTCATGCCTGTAATCCCAACATTTTGGGAGCCTGAGGTGGGTGGATCACTTGAGGCCAGGATTCGAGACCAGCCTGGGCAACGTTGTGAAACCCAACCTGTACTAAAAATACAAAAAAAAAAAATTAGCCAGGTGTGGTGGCGCACAGCTGTAATCCCAGCTACTCGGGAGACTGAGTATATTGGTCCATTTTCATGCTGCTAATAAAGACATAATCGAGAATGGATAATTTATAAAGGAAAGAGGTTTAATTGACTTACAGTTCCACTTGGCTGGGGAGGTCTCATAATCATGGTGGAAGGCAAAAGAGAAGCAAAGACACATCTTACATGGCAGCAGGCAAGAGAGCTTGTGCTGAGGAACTCCCATTTATAAAACCATCAGATCTTGTAAGACTTACTCACTACCATGAGAACAGTATGGGGGAAACTCCCCCTGTGATTCAGTTATCTCCACCTCACCCTGCCCTTGACAGGTGGGGATTATTACAATTCAAGGTGAGATTTGTGTGAGGACACAGCCAAACCATATCACTGAGGCACAAGAATTGCATGAACCCAGGAGCCTGAGGTGGCAGGGAGCTGAGATCACACCACTGCACTTCAGCCTGGATGACAGAGTGAGACTTCCTCTTAAAAAAAAAAAAAAAGATTGTAAAATCATTTCTGAATTTTGAGGTCATTAAGAAAATCTCTAAGTAGGCCAGGCACAGTGGCTCACGCCTGTTATCCCAGCACTTTGGGAGGCTGAGGCAGTGGATCACGAGGTCAGGAGATTGAGACCATCCTGGCTAACACGGTAAAACCTGGTCTCTACTAAAAATACAAAAAATTAGCTGGGCATGGTGGCACGTGCCTGTACTCCCAGCCACTTGGGAGGCTGAGGCAGGATAATCACTTGAACCCAGTAGGCAGAGGTTACAGTGAGCTGAGATTGTGCCACTGCACTCCAGCCTGGGCGACAGAGTGAGACTCTGTCTCAAAAAAAAAAAAAAAAAAAGGGAAACCTCTAAGTAAATGTACTAATTAAATCTGGGATTTTGATTATTAGAAGTCAGCACTGCATTCTTTGATTTGAATTTAAAAATTAGCTCTTTACCTAAAAGCTGGGACTTCACAGAGATTACAAAGTTAGCTAAATAAATGTTTTGGATCATTTTACTAATATATACATGTATGTGACGAAAAATAGAATTAAGCTTATTCCAATAATCATACATACTTCCTCTAATTCCAACTTAAATTTCAATTCATGAGACATTTTTCCTCAATTCCAAATAATATTTGTTTTCAAGGATTTTATACCTCTGATGCTGGCTTTTTGCTTAATATATGCACACCATCCTAGGTATTCAATATCGATACTCTTTTCATCCACAAGCATACTTTTCGCTGCTTTTTATTTATTCAACTAATAAGAAATCTGTTGACTACTATGTATAAGGTACTGAACTAAGCACAGGGGATACATTTGAGAACATAATGACCCCTGCTCTCATGAAGTTTATATTATCACTAGAGAGATAGTAGATTTTACTGTTCCTAATTTTTGAGATTATGTATATCCCTTATCAGAACATTCATTGATAGTTTTTGATAATTAGACTATTAATTTTATTAGAGACCATCCTTAATTATGGGAAGGCAGAGGTGGAATTTTCTCACAAACTGTACTCCGTCATCCTCTGTTCATCCTCCATATTTACTCCTGCCAGTTCATTTGTGCCTCATTTCATTTCATTCTATCCTGAGGACTTCTCAATTTACATCTTTAAAACCTCTTGCCTATTCTTTATAGCTATCTACAGGACCTTGCCATAAGATGGCGTTCAGTGTACCTGAAATTCAACATAGGTAAAACTGAACTTAATTCTCCCAACTTTCTCATATCTGTACTTGTAACTTATTCTGACAATACCATAGACTCAGAATTATATACGCTTTTTAAAAAACTTCTTGTTTTACAAGTCCAGTTTATCCTGGCCCTACCTCTCTGTGTTTTCATCTCTTCCTTGGAAATCCCTCAGTGCTACCATCCTAGTCCAATCTCTTATTATCTCATGCCTGCTAATACTTTCTTCGCTATTATCCTGTCAGTTCATCCTATTTGCTTCTCTCACATGAGGTTTTTTTTTTTTAATTCTTATTATACTTTAAGTTTTAGGGTACATGTGCACAACATGCAGTTTCGTTACATATGTATACATGTGCCATGTTGGTGTGCTGCACCCATTAACTCATCATTTAGCATTAGGTATATCTCCTAATACTGTCCCTCCCCCCTCCCCCCACCCCACAACAGTCCCAGGTGTGTGATGTTCCCCTTCCTGTGTCCATGTGTTCTCATTGTTCAGTTCCCACCTATGAGTGAGAACATGCGTTGTTTGGTTTTTTGTCCTTGCAATACTTTGCTGAGAATGATGGTTTCCAGTTTCATCCATGTCCCTACAAAGGACATGAACTCATCATTTTTTATGGCTGCATAGTATTCCATGGTGTATATATGCCACATTTTCTTCATCCAGTCTATCATTGTTGGATATTTAGGTTGGTTCCAAGTCTTTGCTATTGTGAACAGTGCCGCTATAAACATACGTGTGTCTTTATAGCAGCATGGTTTATAATCCTTTGGGTATATACCCAGTAATGGGATGGCTGGGTCAAATGGTATTTCTAGTTCTAGATCCCTGAGGAATCGCCACACTGACTTCCACAATGGTTGAACTAGTTTACAGTCCCACCAACAGTGTAAAAATGTTCCTATTACTCCACATCCTCTCCAGCACCTGTTGTTTCCTGACTTTTTAATGATCGCCATTCTAACTGGTGTGAGATGGTATCTCATTGTGGTTTTGATTTGCATTTCTCTGATGGCCAGTGATGGTGAGCATTTTTTCATGTGTTTTTTGGCTGCATAAATATCTTCTTTTGAGAAGTGTCTGTTCATATCCTTCGCCCACTTGTTGATGGGGGTTGTTTGTTTTTTTCTTGTAAATTTGTTTGAGTTCATTGTAGATTCTGGATATTAGCTCTTTGTCAGATGAGTAGGTTGCAAAAATTTTCTCCCATTCTGTAGGCTGCCTGTTCACTGATGGTAGTTTCTTTTGCTGTGCAGAAGCTCTTAGGTTTAATTAGATCCATTTGTCAATTTTGCCTTTTGTTGCCATTGCTTTTGGTTGTTTTAGACATGAAGTCCCTGCCCATGCCTATGTCCTGAATGGTATTGCCTAGGTTTTCTTCTAGGGTTTTTATGGTTTTAGGTCTAACATTTAAATCTTTAATCCATCTTGAATTAATGTTTGTATAAGGTGTAAGGAAGGGATCCAGTTTCAGCTTTCTACATATGGCTAGCCAGTTTTCCCAGCACCATTTGTTAAATAGGGAGTCCTTTCCCCATTGCTTGTTTTTGTCAGGTTTGTCAAAGATCAGATAGTTGTAGATATGCGGCATTATTTCTGAGGGCTCTGTTCTGCTCCTTTGGTCTATATCTCTGTTTTGGTACCAGTACCATGCTGTTTTGGTTACTGTAACCTTGTAGTATAGTTTGAAGTCAGGTAGTGTGATGCCTCCAGCTTTGTTCTTTGGCTTAGGATTGACTTGGCGATGCAGGCTCTTTTTTGGTTCCATACGAACTTTAAAGTAGTTTTTTTCCAGTTCTGTGAAGAAAGTCATTGGTAGCTTGATGGGGATGGCACTGAATCTATAAATTACCTTGGGCAGTATGGCCATTTTCACGATATTGATTCTTCCTACCCATGAGCATGGAATGTTGTTCCATTTGTTTGTATCCTCTTTTATTTCGTTGAGCAGTGGTTTGTAGTTCTCCTTGAAGAAGTCCTTCACATCCCTTGTAAGTTGGATTCCTAGGTATTTTATTCTCTTTGAAGCAATTGTGAATGGGATTTCACTCATGATTTGGCTCTGTGTTTGTCTGTTATTGGTGTATAAGAATGCTTGTGATTTTTGTACATTGATTTTGTATCCTGAGACTTTGCTGAAGTTGCTTATCAGCTTGAGGAGATTTTGGGCCGAGACGATGGGGTTTTCTAGATATACAATCATGTCGTCTGCAAACAGGGACAATTTGACTTCCTCTTTTCCTAACTGAATACCCTTTATTTCCTTCTCCTGCCTGATTGCCCTGGCCAGAGCTTCCAGCACTATGTTGACTAGGAGTGGTGAGAGAGGGCATCCCTGTCTTGTGCCAGTTTTCAAAGGGAATGCTTCCAGTTTTTGCCCATTCGGTATGATATTGGCTGTGAGTTTGTCATAGATAGCTCTTATTATTTTGAGATGCGTCCCATCAATACCTAATTTATTGAGAGTTTTTAGCATGAAGCGTTGTTGAATTTTGTCAAAGGCCTTTTCTGCATCTATTGAGATAATCATGTGGTTTTTGTCTTTGGTTCTGTTTATATGTTGGATTACATTTATTGATTTGCGTATGTTGAACCAGCCTTGCATCCCAGGGATGAAGCCCACTTAATCATGGTGGATAAGCTTTTTGATGTGCTGCTGGATTTGGTTTGCCAGTATGTTACTGAGGATTTTTGCATCGATGTTCATCAAGGATATTGGTCTAAAATTCTCTTTTTTTGTTGTGTCTCTGCCAGGCTTTGGTATCAGGATGATGCTGGCCTCATAAAATGAGTTAGGGAGGATTCCCTCTTTTTCTATTGATTGGAATAGTTTCAGAAGGAATGGTACCAGCTCCTCCTTGTACCTCTGGTAGAATTCGGCTGTGAATCCATCTAGTCCTGGGCTTTTTTTGGTTGGTAAGCTATTGATTATTGCCTCAATTTCAGAGCCTGTTATTGGTCTATTCAGAGATTCGACTTCTTCCTGGTTTAGTCTTGGGAGGATGTAGGTGTCAAGGAATTTATCCATTTCTTCTAGATTTTCTAGTTTATTTGCGTAGAGGTGTTTATAGTATTCTCTGATGGTAGTTTGTATTTCTGTGGGATCAGTGGTGATATCCCCTTTATCATTTTTTATTGCATCTATTTGATTCTTCTGTCTTTTCTTCTTAATTAGTCTTGTTAGTGGTCTATCAATTTTGCTGATCTTTTCAACAAACCAGCTCCTGGATTCATTAATTTTTTAAAGGATTTTTTGTGTCTCTATTTCCTTCAGTTCTGCTCTGATCTTAGCTATTTCTTGCCTTCTGTTAGCTTTTGAATGTGTTTGCTCTTGCTTTTCTAGTTCTTTTAATTGTGATGTTAGGGTGTCAATTTTAGATCTTTCCTGCTTTCTCTTGTGGACATTTAGTGCTAGAAATTTCCCTCTACACACTGCTTTGAATGTGTCCCAGAGATTCTGGTATGTTGAGTCTTTGTTCTCATTGGTTTCAAAGAACACCTTTATTTCTGCCTTCCTTTCTTTATTTACCCAGTAGTCATTCAGGAGCAGGTTGTTCAGTTTCCATGTAGTTGAGCGGTTTTGAGTGAGTTTCTTAATCCCGAGTTCTAGTTTGATTGCACTGTGGTCTGAGAGACAGTTTGTTATAATTTCTTTTCTTTTACATTTGCTGAAGAGTGCTTTACTTCCAACTGTGTGGTCAGTTTTGGAGTAGGTGTGTTGTGGTGCTGAAAAGAATGTATATTCTGTTGATTTGGGGTGGAGAGTTCTGTAGATGTCTGTTAGGTCTGCTTGTTGAAGAGCTGAGTTCAATTCCTGGGTATCCTTGTTAACTTTCTGTCTCGTTGATCTGTCTAATGTTGACAGTGGGGTGCTAAAGTCTCCCATTATTATTTTTTTTTCTTTTTTAGTATTTATTGATCATTCTTGGGTGTTTCTCATGGAGGGGGATTTGGCAGGGTCATAGGACAATAGTGGAGGGAAGGTCAGCAGATAAACAAGTGAACAAGGGTCTCTGGTTTTCCTAGGCAGAGGACCCTGCAGCCTTCTGCAGTGTTTGTGTCCCTGGGTACTTGAGATTACGGAGTGGTGATGACTCTTAAGGAGCATGCTGCCTTCAAGCATCTGTTTAACAAAGCACATCTTGCACCGCCCTTAATCCATTTAACCCTGAGTGGACACAGCACATGTTTCAGAGAGCACGGGGTTGGGGGTAAGGTTATAGATTAACAGCATCCCAAGGCAGAAGAATTTTTCTTAGTACAGAACAAAATGGAGTCTCCTATGTCTACTTCTTTCTACACAGACACAGCAACAATCTGATTTCTCTATCTTTTCCCCACATTTCCCCCTTTTCTATTCGACAAAACCGCCATCGTCATCTTGGCCCGTTCTCAATGAGCTGTTGGGTACACCTCCCAGACGGGGTGGCGGCCGGGCAGAGGGGCTCCTCACTTCCCAGAAGGGGCGGCCAGGCAGAGGCGCCCCCCACCTCCCGGACGGGGCAGCGGCTGGGCGGAGACGCCCCCCACCTCCCAGCCGGGGCGGCTGGCCGGGCGGGGACTGCCCCCCACCTCCCTCCCGGCCGGGGCGGCTGGCCGGGCGGGGGCTGCCCGCCACCTCCCTCCCGGACGGGGCGGCTGGCCGGGCGGGGGCTGCCCCCCACCTCCCTCCCGGACGGGGCGGCTGGCCAGGCGGGGGCTGCCCCCCACCTCCCTCCCGGACGGGGCGGCTGGCCGGGCGGGGGCTGCCCCCTACCTCCCTCCTGGACCAGGCGGCTGCCGGGCAGAGGGGCTCCTCACTTCCCGGACGGGGCGGCTGCCAGGCAGAGGGGCTCCTCACTTCCCAGACGGGGCGGCTGCCGGGCGGAGGGGCTCCTCACTTCCTAGACAGGGTGGCTGCCGGGCGGAGGGGCTCCTCACTTCTCAGATGGGGCGGCCGGGCAGAGAGGCTCCTCACCTCCCATATGGGGTCGCGGCCAGGCAGAGGCGCACCTCACATCCCAGACGGGGCAGTGGGGCAGAGGCGCTCCCCACATCTCAGACGATGGGCGGCCGGGCAGAGACGCTCCTCACTTCCTAGACGGGATGGCGGCCGGGAAGAGGCGCTCTTCACTTCCCAGACTGGGCAGCCGGACAGAGGGGCTCCTCACATCCCAGACGATGGGCGGCCAGGCAGAGACGCTTCTCACTTCTCAGACGGGGTGGCGGCCGGGCAGAGGCTGCAATCTCAGCACTTTGGGAGGCCAAGGCAGGCGGCTGGGAGGTGGAGGGTGTAGCGAGCCGAGATCACGCCACTGCACTCCAGCCTGGGCAACATTGAGCACTGAGTGAACGAGACTCCGTCTGCAATCCCGGCACCTCGGGAGGCCGAGGCTGGCAGATCACTCGCGGTTAGGAGCTGGAGACCAGCCTGGCCAACACAGCGAAACCCCATCTCCACCAAAAAAATACGAATACCAGTCAGGCGTGGCGGCGCACGCCTGCAATCCCAGGCACTCGGCAGGCTGAGGCAGGAGAATCAGGCAGGGAGGTTGCAGTGAGCCGAGATGGCAGCAGTACAGTCTAGCTTCGGCTCGGCATCAGAGGGAGACCGTGGAGAGAGAGGGAGAGGAAGACCGTGGAGAGACGGAGAGGGAGAGGGAGAGGGAGCTCTCCCATTATTATTGTGTGGGAGTCTAAGTCTCTTTGTAGGTCACTCAGGACTTGCTTTATGAATCTGGGTGCTCCTGTATCGGGTGCATATATATTTAGGATAGTTAGCTCTTCTTGTTGAATTGATCCCTTTACCATTATGTAATGGCCTTCTTTGTCTCTTTTGATCTTTGTTGGTTTAAAGTCTGTTTTATCAGAGACTAGGATTGCAACCCCTGCCTTTTTTTGTTTTCCATTTGCTTGGTAGATCTTCCTCCATCCCATTATTTTGAGCCTATGTGTGTCTCTGAACGTGAGATGGGTTTCCTGAATACAGCACACTGATGGGTCTTGACTCTTTATCCAATTTGCCAGTCTGTGTCTCTTAATTGGAGCATTTAGCCTATTTACATTTCAGGTTAATATTTTTATGTGTGAATTAGATCCTGTCATTATGATGTTAGCTGGTTATGTTGCTCGTTAGTTGATGCAGTTTCTTCCTAGCCTTGATGGTCTTTACAGTTTGGCATGTTTTTTGCAGTGGCTGGTACTGGTTGTTCCTTTCCATGTTTAGTGCTGCCTTCAGGAGTTCTTTTAGGGCAGGCCTGGTGGTGACAAAATCTCTCAGCATTTGCTTGTCTGTAAAGGATTTTATTTCTCCTTCACTTATGAAGCTTAGTTTGGCTGGATATGAAATTCTGGGTTAAAAATTCTTTTCTTTAAGAATGTCGAATATTGGCCCCCGCTGTCTTCTGGCTTGTAGAGTTTCTGCCGAGAGATCCGCTGTTAGTCTGATGGGCTTCCCTTTGTGGGTAACCCGACCTTTCTCTCTGGCTGCCCTTAACATTTTTTCCTTCATTTCAACTTTGGTGAATGTGACAATTATGTGTCTTGGAGTTGGTCTTCTCAAGGAGTATCTTTGTGGTGTTCTCTGTATTTCCTGAATTTGAATGGTGGCCTGCCTTGCTAGATTGGGGAAGTTCTCCTGGACAGTATCCTGCAGAGTGTTTTCCAACTTGGTTCCATTCTCCCTGTCACTTTCAGGTACGCCAATCAGACGTAGACTTGGTCTTTTCACATGGTCCCATATTTCTTGGAGGCTTTGTTCGTTTCTTTTCATTCTTTTTTATGTAAACTTCTCTTCTCGCTTCATTTCATTCAGTTCGTCTTCCATCTCTGATACCCTTTCTTCCAGTTGATCGCATCGGCTACTGAGGCTTCTGCATTCGTCACGTAGCTCTCGTGTGTTGGTTTTCAGCTCCATCAGGTCCTTTAAGGACTTCACTGCATTGGTTATTCTAGTTATCCATTCGTCTAATTTTTTTCAAAGCTTTTAACTTCTTTGCCGTTGGTTCGAATTTCCTCCTTTAGCTCGGAGTAGTTTGATCGTCTGAAGCCTTCTTCTCTCAACTCATCAAAGTCATTCTCCATCCAGCTTTGTTCCCTTGCTGGTGAGGAGCTGCATTCCTTTGGAGGAGGAGAGGTGCTCTGATTTTTAAAGTTTCCAGTTTTTCTGCTCTGTTTTTTTCCCATCTTTGTGGTTTTATCTACCTTTGGTCTTTCATGATGGTGACGTACAGATGGGTTTTTGGTGTGGATGTCCTTTCTGTTTGTTAGTTTTCCTTCTAACAGACAGGACCCTCAGCTGCAGGTCTGTTGGAGTTTGCTGGAGGTCCACTCCAGACCCTGTTTGCCTGGGTATCAGCAGCGGTGGCTGCAGAACAGCGGATATTGGTGAACCCCAGACGCTGCTGTCTGATCGTTCCTCTGGAAGTTTTGTCTCAGAGGAGTACCCGGCTGTGTGAGGTGTCATTCCGCCCCTACTGGGGGGTGCCTCCCAGACAGGCTTCTCGGGGATCAGGGACCCACTTGAGGAGGCAGTCTGCCCATTCTCAGATCTCAAGCTGCGTGCTGGGAGAACCACTACTCTCTTCAAAGGTGTCAGAGTGGGACATTTAAGTCTGCAGAGGTTACTGCTGTCTTTTTGTTTGTCTATGCCCTGTCCCCAGAGGTGGAGCCTACAGAGGTAGGCAGGCGTCCTTGAGCTGTGGTGGGCTCCACCCTGTTCGAGCTTCCTGGCTGCTTTGTTTACCTAATCAAACAACTAACTTGGCAATGGCGGGTGCCCCTCCCCCAGCCTCGCTGCCACCTTGCAGTTTGATCTCAGACTGCTGTGCTAGCAATGAGCGAGACTCCATGGGCTTAGGACCCTCTGAACCAGGTGCGGGATATAATCTCCTGGTGTGCCGTTTTTTAAGTCCGTTGGAAAAGTGCAGTATTAGGGTGGGAGTGACCCGATTTTCCAGGTGCCGTCTGTCACTGCTTTCTTTGACTAGGAAAGGGAATTCCCTGACCCCTTGGGCTTCCAGGGTGAGGCGATGCCTCGCCCTGCTTCGGCTCGCGTACGGTGCGCTGCACCTACTGTCCTGCACCTACTGTCTGGTACTCCCCAGTGAGATGAACCCGGTACCTCAGTTGAAAATGCAGAAATCACCCATCTTCTGCGTTGCTCACGCTGGTAGCTGTAGACCAGAGCTGTTCCCATTCGGCCATCTTGGCTCCTCTCCTTAGTCCACATTAGGTCTTTTAAACAACGTTTCACTGGGGAGCCCCTCTTTCTTTCTTTCTTATTTTTTTTTGAGATGGAGTCTTGCTCTGTCGCCCAGGCTGGAGTGCAGTGGCACGATCTCAGCTCACTGCAAGCTCCACCTCCCAGGTTGACGCCATTGTCCTGCCTCAGCCTCCCGAGTAGCTGGGACTACAGGCGCCCGCCACCGTGCCCGGTTAATTTTTTGTATTTTTAGTAGAGATGGGGTTTCACCGTGTTACCCAGGATGGTCTCGATCTCCTGACCTCGTGGTCCGCCCACCTCAGCCTCCCAAAGTGCTGTGATTACAGGTGTGAGCCACCGCACCTGGCCTGGGGAACCCCTCTTTCATAAAGTATTTTTTTTTACAAACTTACCCTACAGTGATCTTTCCCCTGTCTGATTTCTAGTAGCACATTTCTGTGCCACTTAATCTTGTATTTGGTTGTATAATGCTTTACATTATATAGTATTTTGTTGGTGGTAATTTTTTTAATAAAAAACAGTTGCCATCTATCTGCTGGTGGAAGAGTGTGAGTGGGTGGTACAGTGATAAATAAGACATACTGAATTTTGTCCTGAATATTAGCTAACATTTATTAAGTGGCTACTGTGTGCCTGGTACTGTTCTGCGCACTTCATGTGTATTAACTTATTTGATTCTCACAGCAACTCCATTTGGTAGATGCTATTATTTTCTTCATTTTACACAGGAGAAAACTGAGAGGCAAGGTAAATTCTCCCACACTGCTTAGCTAATACATGACATAGCCGTGATTCACACCCACTTCACTGGTTTCAGAATTCATGCTTTTTTAAATTTATTTATTTTTATTTTATTTTTTGTGTCAGAGTCTCACACTGTTGCCTCAGCTGGAGTGCAATGGCACCATCTCGGCTCACTGCAACCTCCGCCTCCTAGGTTCAATTGATTCGCCTGCCTCAGTCTCCCAAATAGCTGGGATTACAGGCGCCCGTCACCATGCCCAGCTGATTTTTTGTATTTTTAGTAGAGATGGGGTTTCACTGTGTTGGCCAGGCTGGTCTCAAACTCCTGACCTTGTGATCCACCTGCCTCAGCCTCCCAAAGTGCTGGGATTAGAGGCCTGAGCCACTGCGCCCAGCCAGAACTCATGCTCTTAACCACTGTCACTATATCATGTAGTTGAAAAGGTCAGACAAAGAGCTAAATAAGCATATTTTGAGGTGTACTTTGTGAGAGGTTTAAAGTACTATTGCAGTTTAGCAGATGGCAAGATTACTTCCACCTAGGAAAAAACCAAAAATTTTTATGAAAGATTTAGAAGTGGGGTGGGGAAAACATTCCAGAAACTAAGGAATAAATCACTCTTGAGACAGAACTACTCAGAGCATATCATCAGGAACAGTGAGTAATTTAGTTTAGCTGGGTCAAAGGATTCTTGAAATGATAAAGAGAAAATATGTTTGTAAAAGTAGGTCGCAGCCAAATCATAGATCTTGAATGAGAGGTTAGAGTGTTTAAATCATACAGAAGGTGAAGTGATGTTGTCCACATATTAGAAATATTTCACTGCAAAAGTATATAAGATCAAAGGGAAGAGAAGGACCCATTAGAAGATTTTTGCAATAGTCTTAGTAAGAGATAATAAATTCCTGAGTGAAGTAGCTAACAGAAATAGAGACCAGGGGAGAGACTGGACAAATCTTGAATGTTCAGGATTCAAGAAATCAGTTGATTGGATAATGCAATAAGGAGGAGGAAGAAGTAAAAATGCCTACTTGGTGATTGGAAGAGACAGTTACCATTAAAAAAATATGGGGCATGGTTAGGAGGTGATAGTTTGGCAGAGAGAATGATATGTAATCAGTTTGGTATGTGCTAAGTTTATGATGCAAATGGGACATACATCAGGAAACATTCAGCAGATAGTTGTTAATGTAGAATTTAAGAAATCAGAACTAGAGATGTAACTACTGGGGACCTTGACATACATTTGATGGCTAAAACCAGGGAAGCACATAGAAGAAAAACATCTAGGAGAGAAATTGAGGAATCAGAACCAGAAAAGGAATATTCCCAAAGTAAGGAGAATGAGAAGATTACTGTGACTTAAAATAGGACATGAAAAAGTGGAATGTTGCAGGAGATAAAACAAATATGGCAAAACGTCAGCAGTTATGAAATCTAGACTGTGAGAATTTACATGTATTTTTATGCCTTATATATGCTATGTTATTCTTTTTCCTTAGATTTTTATTTTCCTTCGTTTTCTGTCATTGCTTGTTCTACTTCAGATCATTTTCTTATATCCTATGTCAATTCTAAATTTTCTTCATTGCACCTGGAAATCACAGGATGACTATGGTATCCACCTAAGTTTTATATATATATCTACCTAAAGCGGATATTATGTTATAGACATAAGAGTAAATGTATCAATCCTTGAGAAGGCTTCCTTGGGAGATTTCTGGCCACCTAACAGACTGAGCTGATATGAATGACCGTTCCAAGAAAGGATTAAGCATTTTTTTTTTTTTTTTTTTGAGATGGAGTCTCGCTCTGTCGCCCAGGCTGGAGTGCAGTGGTGCGATCTCAGCTCACTACAAGCTCCACCTCCTAGGTTCACGCCATTCTCCTGCCTCAGCCTCCTGAGTAGCTGGGACTACAGGCGCCTGCCACCATGCCTGGCTAATATTTTGAATTTTGAGTAGAGATGGGGTTTCACCATGTTAGCCAGGATGGTCTCTATCTCCTGACCTCGTGATCCACCCATCTCAGCCTCCCAAAGTGCTGGGATTACAGGCGCAAGCCACTGCACCCGGCCAGATTAAGTATTAAGAACAACAACAGTAACAACAAAAGTAATCATAGTATAGATTAAAAGAATGAAAAGTAAATCTAGTTTTGGTACCAGTAACAATAGCTCAAAACCAGAGTATTAGCAGAAACTGACACCACAGAATATAAGTGTTAGTGCCTGGGGTTTTAATACCCACTTGGGGCAGAAATTGTGCCTTTGAGTCCAGAGGCAGCTGGAACTGAGCCTCTAGCCTGCTCTCAAAGGGCTACCCTTCTGTGAAAGGAGAATGAGAAAATCCTGTGTTCTAGAACCATTGAAATCTCTGGGCACCTGACAGAGGCCAGAGCAAAAACTATTCTTTAGGCTTACCCCAAACAGGGTTTTTGGAACTGTCACAGAAGGAAAAACAAAGACCACCCCCACTACCCCACCCAGTAAAGATGTGCCCACTATTAAAACTCATAAACTTTGAGGGTAGTCAGCAGATGCAACAAAGAAGAAAATTGGCATTACAAGAATAAGAGATAAGAAAACCAATCTGAAAGAGACCACAAAACTCAGCATTTCTATAATGATTAAAGAGATAAAAGTAGGAATAAAACCATAGTGAAAGAACATGACAGGATATGAAAAAAAGAACTTTTAGAAATGAAATGTTCACTGAGTTTTTTGTTTTTGGTTAAACCATTTTAAAAAATGTTTGAATTGAACTTCTAAAATGAGAATTCATGAGTTAGAAGATGATCTGGTCAAATCATCCAGAATGTAGAACCAACAGATAAGGATGGAAAATATAGGAATAGTTAAGAGACACTAAAGATAGAATGTTTAATACATTTCAGAAAGAAAGAATGAGAAATGCAGTATTATAATTTTTTAAAAAGACAGATTTTTCAGAATTGGTAAGAAAGAGAAATCTTTGTATTTGAGTAGTACATAGTATACTGAACAGGATGAATAAAAACAGTCTACCTCTAAACAAATCAAGGAGAAACTGTTGAACATTAAAGCAAATAGAAAATCTTAAAACTAACCACAGAGAGAAAACAAAGGAACGCCAGTTATACTACCAATTACCTTCTCATCTGCAACAAAAAATATCAGAAGAAAGTAGGAAAATATCCTCAAAGTGCTGAGGGAAATCATTGTCAACTTAGCATTTTATGTATTGTTAAAGTATTAGTTGAAAGTAGGAATAAAATAAAGATATTTTCAAACAAACTAAGGCCTAGCAGTTTGCCACTCATGGACCCTTACCATGAAGTCTACTTAAGGATGTGCTTCAGCAAGAAGAAAATTGAATGTAGAAAAAAAGAGAGGGTAGTGAGAAAAAGTTGTGACAAAACAGGGAAATCATGTTGATAAATCTAAAGCATTGACTGTAAAAGCAAGTATTGTAATAATGGTGACTAGTTTAGAGCAAGGTAAAACAAACTAAAACTAAAATACATGACAGCAACACTTAGAAGATGGGAGAAAAAAATCAGAAACATTTTAGGATTCTTGTATTTAATGGGAGGGGGATAGATATGGATTTACTTTAGATTTGTTAGTGATTGTTTAAAAAATATTGGATATTCATTACTGTAGCTAGAATGTAGAACTTCCAAGCCAATTGAGAGAGGATCATGAGCAAGAAAACTTTACCAGTCTGAAAGAACATATGAAAAGAGAAAGAATAAAAGAAAGCACATGGTAAATGGCATAAATTAAGATAAGGAATAAATCCAAATATTTCAATCACAATAAATGAAAATAGGCTATAATTACCAGTTAAATAACAAATATTGTCAAATTAAAAGAATGAAATCCAGCCATATGTTATTTACAGGAGAGACATTTAAAGCATAATGTCACTGAAAGGTTGAAAGTAAAGGGATGGGCCCAGCCCAGTGGCTCACGCCTGTAATCCCAGCACTTGGGGAGGCCGAGGCAGGTGGATCACCTGAGGTCAGGAGTTCAAGACCAGCCTGGCCAACATGGTTTAATCCCGTCTCTAGTAAAAATACAAAAAAATTGCTGGGCGCATTGGCTCATGCCTGTAATCCCAGCACTTTGGGAGGCCGAGGTGGGCGGATCATGAGGTCAGGAAATCAAGACCATTCTGGCTAACACAGTGAAACCCCATCTCTACTAAAAATACAAAAAGAAATTAGCCGGGCATAGTGGTGGGCGCCTGTAGTCCCGCCTACCCGGGAGGCTGAGGCAGGAGAATGGTGTGAACCCGGGAGGCGGAGCTGCAGTGAGCCAAGATCACGCCACTGCACTCCAGCCTGGGCGACAAAGCGAGACTCCATCTCAAAAAAAAAAACAAAAACGAACAACAACAAAAAAATCAGCTGGGCATGGTGACTCATTCCTGTAGTTCCAGCTACTTGGGAGGCTGTGGCAGGAGAATCGCTTGCACCCAGGAGGCAGAGGTTGCAGTGAGCCAAGATCACCTCACTGCACTCCAGGCCTGGAACATAGCAAAGCTCCATCTCAAAAAGAAAAGAAAGTAAAGGGATGGAAAAAATAAGAGGACTGACCCTAATAATCTTTATGCATCAAACAACAACCCCAGCTTTATACATGGCAAGAAAATATACACAATTACCACACTTTCAAGGAGCAGATAACCTGCCTTATATGGATTATTCTGATATATATAGAGAAAAAATTCCTGAAGTTCTTTTATGAGGCAAATGTAAATTATAATTTCAAAATTAAATATGTGTATCATGAAAAAGAAAAAGTGTAGGTCAGTATTGCATATGAACTTAGTTACAAAAATCCTTCCAAAAATGTTACTGAGTTTCAAAAAGTTATTTTCTAATGTTTTAGATTTGCTTTAAAGTAATATGGAGGGAGGAAGTAGATGGTGATAGCCATGGAACAAGATTGATTATGAATTAATAATCGTTGAAGCTGGGTGATGGGTACATGAGGATTTATTATGTTATTGGTTCTACTTCTATCATATGTTTAAATTTTTTGATCTTAAGACTTTAAGTCTGTCATAATCAAGTATGTATTCAACAGAATTCAACATCCAGTACACCCCGCTGCCAATAGGTGAAACTCTGTACATTAACTTGTAAAATATTTGAAGCATTCACTTAAAAATCATGAACATGAAAATAATACCTTAATTTCCTTTTATTCAACATTATCTGGATATCTGGCTTGTAAATGGTTACTCATTTGCTATTAGACATTAGGAAAGTTGCCTTATTTTTTGATTCTAAGTTTCTGATCTGTTAAATGAGTATCATAATAGTGCCTAGCTGGGCACATGGGATATAAGTGATCTGGCTGCACTACTCTAGCAGACCCCAGCCTAGATCAGCCATCTCATATGATAAATACATTGCTTATTGTTTTATACACTGAGATTTTCAGTTGTTTGTTTTGCAGTAATAACAAAGTATACATCTGGCAAAGTCAAAATTAGATGTTGGCAATTATATGGAGGAAAAAGAGGTTCTCTCATTGACGCTGATGGGGAAGTAAATTAATAAAATTCCTTTGGAGAGTAATTTGACAATATCTAATTGTAAAGTTGAAGATGCCCATATCCTGTCAGAAATTCCACCTCTAAATGCATTCACTAGAGAAACACACATATAAGCAAAGAATTATTTAAAAGATGTTCATTGCAGCATGCTAGTAGTGAAAAATTTTAAACAACCTAAGAGTCCAAAAGGAGAATAATGATGAATAAATTATATGTAGTCATCAATGTATAGTGGGTTGAATAGTATCCCAAACAAATCCATGTCCACTTAGAACTTCAGAATATGATATTATTTGGGAATAGGGTCTTAGTTAAGATTAGGTCATGCTAGATTAGAATGGGCCCTAAATGCAACAACTGGTATCTTTCTAAAAAGAGAAGTCACACAGAAGCATCCACAAGGAAAAAGGCCATATGATGACGCAGCAGAGGTTGGAGTAATGCAGCTGCAAGCCGCAGAACACCAAGGATTGCTGACGAGGAGAGAGTTGTGGAACAGATTCTCCCTCAGAGCCTCCAAAAGGAACTAACCCTGCCAAAACCTTGATTTCTGACTTCTAACCTCCTGAACTGTAACAGCATAAATTTCTGTTATTTTAAACCACTTAATTTGTGGTATTTTTTTATGGCAGCCCTAGGAAATGAAGACACAGTGGAATACTACCTTGCAGTTAAAATGAATGAAACTAAAACTAAAACTATATGTATCAATATGGGTAAATCTTGGAAACCTAATGTCCAATGGGAAAAGAGTGGATAGCATGATACAAATTATATAACCCCAAGGCAGACACTGGGGAGGGAGGAAACTGACCTCCAGTAAGCAAGTGGTAGTAACTGGACAAAGTGACTTTGAAGTTACTTCATCATAGAAATGAATGAAGTAACACTGAAAACGTCCAAACATTGCTGAAAGAAATTAAAGAAAACTTAAATAAATGGAAAACCGTCTTATGTTCATGGATTGGAAGACTTAATGTTATTAAAATGACAATACTACCCAGGGCAATCATATTCGGTGCAGTCCCCATCAAAATTGAATCTCAAGGGATCCAAAAGGAAAAAAAAAAAAACTTGAACAAGAACAGAGTTGGAGAACTCATACTTCCTGATTTTTGCAACTTACTACAAAGCTACAATACTCAAAATGGTGTGGTACTGACATACAGACAGATATGTAGACCAATAAAATAGAATAGAAAGCCTAGATATAAATCCTTGCATATATGGTCAAACATGTTCAACAAGGCTACCAAGATCATTCAGTGTGGAGAAGACAGTCTTTTCCACAAATGGTGGTGGGAAAACTGAATATCCTCTTACAAAAGAGTGAAATTGGACTATTACGTTATAGTATATAGAAAAATTTACAAAAATGGGTCAAAGATATAAATGTAAGAGCTAAAATTATAAAACTAGTAGAAGAAAACATAGAAGGAAAGCTTCTTGACATTGCAATTGGCAAGTTTTCGTGTATATGACAGCAAAAGCTTGGGCAACAAAAGAAAGATAGATAACTTAGATTTCATCAAAATTAAAAACTTTTGTATATCAAAGGATACCATGAAGAGACTGAAAATGGGCCAGGTACAGTGGCTCATGCCTATAATCCTAACAATTCAGGAGGCTGAGGCAGGAAGATTGCTTGAGCCCAGGAGTTCAAGACCAGCCTGGGCAACATAGTGAGACTCTATCTCTAAAATAAAAAGAGAGAGAGAGTAAAAATGCACCCCACAGAATGGGAGAAAATATTTGCATATGTGATATATTTTCGTCTCCTCTTCTTCTTTTTTTTTTTTGGACAAAGTCTCATTCTTGTTGCCCAGGCTGGAGTGCAATGGCACGATCTCAGCTCACTGAAACCTCTGCCTCCCAGGTTCAAGCCATTCTCCTGCCTCAGCCTACCGAGGAGCTGGGACTACAGGTTCCTGCCACCACGCCTGGCTAATTTTTGTACTTTTTAGTAGAGACAGGGTTTTGCCATGTTGGCCAGGCTGATCTCAAACTCCTGACCTCTGGCGATCTGCCTGCCTAGGCATCCCAAAGTGTTGGGATTACAGGCATGAGCCACACTGCAGCTGGTCGATATGTTTTCTATCATCTATCTGATAAGGGGATTAATAACCACAATATATAAAGAAGTCCAACTCAATAACAACAACATAACTCAGTTCAAAGATGAGCAAAGGATTTTAGTAGACATTTCTCCAGAGAAGATTTACTCATGTTCAGTAGTCACATGAAAAGGTATTCAACATCACCAATCATTGGGGAAATGAAAATCAAAACCACATAAGATAGCACTGCAAACCCACTAGAATTGCTATAACAATAACAACAGAAAAAAAGAAATGTGAAGGCATGGAGAAAATTGAATCCTCATACATTGCTAGTGAGAATGTAAAATGTCTCAGCTGCTTTTTAAAATAGGTTGGTGGTTTCTTAAAAAGTTAAACATAGAGTTACCATATGACCCAGCAATTCCGCTCATAGGTGTACACTCAAAGGAACTGAAAACAGATGCTAAACAAATAACACTTACAGCCATGTTCAGAGCAGCACCATTCACAGTAGCCAAGAGGTGGAAGGAGCCCAGATGTTCATCACTAGATTGACTAACTATGCTATATACATACAACGGAACGTTATTCATTTGTTAAAAAAAAGACTGGTAGATGCTACACTGGGGATGAACACTGAAAGAAGTCAGAAGCAAAGGGCCACATGATATAATTCCATGTTTATGAAATATCCAGAATAAGTAAATCTGTAGAGACACAATGCAAATATGTGTTTTCCAGAGACTAGAGACAGGGGGTTATTGTTTAATAAGTATAGAGTTTCAGTTTGGGATGATGAGAAGGTTCTAGAGATGGACAGTGGTGATGGCTTGTACAACAATATGAATGTACTTAATGCCACTGAATGGTGCACTTAAAATTGTATACTTTAAAATAGTTGGCCGGGCGTGGCAGCTTACACCTGTATTCCCTGCATTTTGGGAGGCCAAGGCAGGTGGATCCACCTGAGGTCAGGAATTCGAGACCAATCTGACCAAGGTGATGAAACCCCGTCTCTACTAAAAATACAAAAAATTAGCCAGGCATGGTGGTGGGCACCTATAATCCCAGCTACTCGGAATGCCTGAGGCAGGAGAATCACTTGAATCCAGGAAGCAGAGGTTGCAGTGAGCTGAGATTGCACCACTGCACTCCAGCCTGGGCAATAAGAGCGAAACACCATCTCAAAAATAATAGTAATAAATAAAAATAAAATAGTTAAAATGTCAAATTTTATGTTATGTATGATTTACCACAATTAAAAATAAAAGAATAAGGGCAGGTTTGTGACAGCCTTGTGAACTGGGTAGGAAGTGGGGGCTGGATGGGAGCAGTGTGGTTTGCCCAGGCTGTAGAAAACAGATAAGACTTCCATCACCGTCCATCTCTCTCCAGAGGACTGTTTAGCAGTTCAGTAACACAGGGCTGACATTTGTTAAATACTGTTATTTTCTAGGACCTTAATATATGTCTTCAACTTATACAGCCTTACTTCGTGTACTCAAATGTATTTCCACCATCCTGTGTTGCCAAACTTTTCCTGTTTCGAGACACTAGTAGTCTCTGTTATTCACCGCATGTTTGTATACCTGTAAATAACGTTTATAGAACTCTCACACTTGAAGTGCATTTAGTATTGAGAACAAACTCTGTCTGAAATCCCTCTCTCAGATAATATACTCTTCTTGCCTAGCCTAGTTTTTGGTGTGGGGTATGACAGCCGCTCTTAATACTGCTACTGTTATTGAATGGAAGCTTTAGTATTCCTTCAGAAGAGCAAGTGAATTTAGTCTGTATGGTTACATGCCAGAAGAACTGTTTAGTGGTAAATTCCTGCCCCTCTCAGAATGCCTAGAATCTTCCTGTTTCTTTCTGTCATTCATTCTGCTAATCAACCAGTCATTCATTCAACATAATTATTGTAAGCCTGCTATGTGTCAGGCAGTGTATGCTAAGATACTCAAGGAATTTGTCCATATGTTTTTACCTGTTGATACATTTATTGTATCTAGTTTTTATTCTCATGTATTGAAACACATGAAAGAGTAACAGTGCACTTTATTTTTTTATTATTCAAATTAAAAGAACTATATAGACTGATATAGTTTATATTAAGCTTGTCCAACCCATGATGCCCACAGACTGGATGCGGCCCAGGACAGCTTTGAACGTGGCCCAACACAAACTCATAAACTTTCTTCAAACATTGTGGGATTTTTCTGCTTTTTTTTTTTTTTTAAGCTGGTCAGCTATTGTTAGCATTAGTGTATTTTATGTCTGACCCAAGACAACTCTTCTTCCACTGTGGCCCAGGGAAGCCAAAAGATTGGACACCCTTGGTTTATATGTAAGTAAAAAGCATATCAGAAGCCAGAAATTTTAAGACATAGAATGAATACGGAAGGAAGAAAATATGACAATAACTTTTTATTGAAGGAAGAAAATATGACAATAACTTTTTATTGAGATTAAGGAAAATACTCATCAGTGATAGAAAAATCGGACTAAATGTTAAGTTAGGAAAAAACACTAAACTACCCTATGTAAAAATGTAGTTAAATGGGTGGGCACACATATATGAGCATCATCAATGGTGTCATGCTGTGGTTTGATCCATGTGTGAGACTGGTTTTTATACTTTTGACATCACTTTCCTTATCCCATCCTAGGAACCATCTTACAGATGTATACCACTGGTCATAAGGAGATCTGGTTATTTACTGCCTTTACCAAAAAGCAGCTCTTAAGCTCATAATTCATCTAAGTTTTAGTTTTCTCCTAAAAAGCTCCTCTAATAGATTTCGCTTGTGATTTTGCAGACTTCAGTTCAAGTCTCTTTGAAGTGGCAGAGATTAATAAAGACCTAAATAACACTTGTTTTTAAAATTGTCATGATTTACAAATTACTCCTCTTTATTATGTTTTCCCTGCCTGCATTCTTATCCCTTTTCTGTAAATTACACAGACCTTCTCTTGTTAGTGACTAATATTTGAAACTACCGACCGTGGTAGTTTTTTCAATTTAACATGTATTAATATTTTCTGTGCACCTGGTTTATGTCTAGGACTTTGCTACTAGATAATATAACAAAACTGTAAAGGAAATTATTTTCCAGGATAAAAATCACTTATCCTGATCTTTAGAATTTTCAAGCCTTGTCATGACTGTTCTGACACCTAAAATTATAATCCTACCTTAATTTTATGGAACTATTCAGAGGTATCCCACTTCAGCAATTTGGCTTGATATGTTTATCATCACATAACTATGATACAATATATATGTATGTTCATTGTCAGTGACAATTTAACACTTGTATTTCTAACCCAAAAAACTGACAGTGGATTATTGGGCTAAAATTGTTAAGGTCTTACTCTAGCCCTGTCTTTGATTACCTTGTGAACTTAAGAAAATTTTTTCAAGTTTTGTAGGTCTCAGTTTTTTCTTTCTTAAAAACAGAGCATAAGACTAGATCGTCTCCATGTATTTATTTATTTATTTATTTTATTATTCATTTATTTATTTATTTATTTATTTGAGTCGGAGTCTCGCTGTGTCACCCAGGCAGGAGTGCAGTGGCGCGATCTCAGCTCACTGCAACCTCCGCCTCCTGGGTTCAAGTGATTCTTCTGCCTCAGCCTCCTGTGTAGCTGGGATTACAGGTGTGCACCACCATGCCTGGCTAATTTTTGTGTTTTTAGTAGAGATGGGGTTTCACCATGTTGGCCAGGCTGGTCGCGAACTCCTGACCTCAAGTGATCCACCTGCCTAAGCCTCCTGGGATTATGGGTGTGAGCCACTGTGCCCTGCCAGTTGTCTCCAGTTATTGAAATGAGTCTGTTCTAAGAGAATATAACAAAACTAAACATAACTAAAAATGTTACCCTTCATGCTTTCAAAATGGTAATTAGATTCCAGTATACATATATGATTTCGGTTACTATACTAAGAGTCAGGTACCATTCTGTTGAATAATATGACCTTTGATAAATACTGGATGCGCCATAGTAGAATATAGTGGAAAGAACACTGCAGGTTTCTAAGTTCCACTATACCATTTACCGGTGATATGTCCTTATACATTTTTTCAATCCTTTTAATTTATTTTAGTCTCAGTTGTTTTTTTTTTTTTCCTGAATAGGTTAATAACAGAAAATGTTCTGCCTGAAGACAGAATACTTGTTCCCTTGAGGTCATATTTAATTTTAAGAGCTATAAATCTATAAATTAAAATGTCCCTTGAGACATAAAAATGTCTGTTTGGTGGACTTCTAACTTTAAAGCAAGAAATGTTCATTTTGAGTATCATGAATCCTAGGAGAAATATATAATTATTGTCATTTCTCACTTGTATGTGAGTAATACATGTCTATTAATATATCTAGAATTTTATTTTCCTACCTCCAAAGTGGCCTGGTAGGCTTCCCATCGATTTTCTCATGGGTTCTTCTATTTTTCCTCAAAATACTCATTCGACAGTCATTCATTGACTTTATAATGTGTTTCAGGCATTGAGAATATATAAGCAAGAGGCATAGTCCCCAAACTTTAGGAGATTATAATCTATAGAGAAAAACAGTTATATAAAGAAGCCATCATAATATAATGTAATTTTAGTAAAACTATATACCACTGTATATATTGCATTTTTTTCTACAATTCCTGGCTCATAACTCACATAGATGTTGTTACATTCCTTTGTTACAATATTGAAGGCAAGAGCAGGCCTGAGGAAACAGAATCTCTCTCTCTCTGACCTCCTGCCCTCCTTTCACCTGCCCAAAGCAGGACTCAGTCTGATAGTGGGTCATAAGACCGTCATTCCAGAGAAGGTTTTGCCCCATACTCTGGAGGAAGGAATGCTGCACAGAGAGACCAAGAAGATTCTGAACAGACAGGCCTGGCTGGGTTTCCCTACTCAGTCTATTAGTATAAGATCTTTTTATCTAATCCCATTTTTGCATGATTGTCAATCTTGCCTACATAATGAGGCCTCCATAAAAACCCACAAGGACAGGGTTCAGAGGGCTTCAGGATAGCTGAACGTGTGGAGGTTCCTGGAGGGTGGCGTGCCCAGAAATGATATGGAAGCTCTGCACCCCTTCACCCATCCCTCACTCTAAACGTCTTTTCACCTGTATCTTTTGTAATATCTTTTAAGTAAACCAGTAAAACATATTTCCCTGGGTTGTGTGAGCCACTCCATCAAGTTATTTGAACCCAAAGAGGGGGTCATGGGAACCCCAACTTGAAACCAGTTGGTCAGAAGTTCTGGAGGCCCAGGCTTCCATCGGGTTGGAGGGTCTGGGGGGAACTCCTGGGGACTGGGCCCAGAGTCCTGTGGGATCTGACACTGTCTCCAGGTAGATAGGGTCAGAATTGAATTGGCAGACACCCAGGTGGTGTCTTCTGTAGAATTGATTGCTTGCTTGCTGTTAAGAGAAATCCCCACATGTTGTGGGTCACAGAAGCCTTTTGTATTTATTGTTTTTGTGTTTGTGTGAAAGTGGAGGAAAAACACAGTTTGAAAGTTTTCCCAGGTGTATACCCAAGAGAGATAAAACATACGTCTACATAGAAACCTGCAGGTTTGTTTATAGCAGCATTATTTTTAATAATCAAAAAGTAGAAACAACCCAAATGTCCATCAGATGGATAACACAGACAAAATGTGGCATATCCCCCCCAGACATAGAATATTTTTCAGCAGTAAAAAGAAATGAAGTACTGATATATGCTACTACATGGACCTTGAAAACATTATGCTAAGTAAAAGACTACATATTATATGATTCCATTTTTATGAAATGCCCAGAATAGGGAAATCTATAGAGACAGAAAGTAAATTAGTGGTTGCCTAGGGACTGAAGCAGTTAGGACAAATTAAAGGTGACTGCTAAAGGATAAGAAGTATCTATTCAGAATGATGAAAATGCTTCAAAATTGTGCATGACTTTATGAATATACTAAAAAGCATTGAATTATACACTTTAAATAGGTGAATTTATGGTGTGCTAGTTAATTTCTTTTTTTGTTTGTTTTATTTGAGACAGAGTCTTGCTCCATTGCCCAGGCTGGAGTGCAGTGGCGTGATCTCAGCTCGCTACAACCTCTGCCTCCTGGGCTCAAGCGATTCTCTTGCCTCAGCCTCCAGAGTAGCTGGGATTACAAGCATGTGCCACCATGCCCTGCTAATTTTTGTATTTTTGGTAGAGATGGTGTTTCACCATGTTGGCCAGGCTGGTCTTGAACTCCTGACCTCAGGTGATCTACCCGCCTCAGCCTCCCAAAGTGCTGGGATTACAGGTGTGAGCCACTGTGCCTGGCCTATGGTATGCTAATTAGATCTCAATAAAAAAATTTTAAAAATCAATATCAAATGCACAAAATGTGACCATGCCCCAAATTAAGAGATTAAATAACTTCTAAAGGCCACCTCACATGTTCTGTGATTCTAAGCTTCTATAATTTAAATTATATCAGTGGTAAAGCAATACATTTTAAAATTTTGAATTTCAAAGCGTGACCAACAAGCTAGTAGACTACTGCATGTCCTCCAAAACTTTTTTTTTTTGAGACGGAGTTTCCCTTTTGTCACCCAGGATGGAGTGCAGTGGCGTGATCTCGGCTCACTGCAACCTCTGCCTCCTGGGTTCAGGTGATTTTCCTGCCTCAGCTTCCCAGGTAGCTGGGACTACAGATGCACGCCACCATGCCCAGCTAATTTTTGTATTTTTAGTAGAGATGGGGTTTCACCATGTTAGCCAGGGTGGTCTTGATCTCTTGACCTCGTGATCACCTGCCTTGGCCTCCCAAGATGCTGGTATTAACAGGCATGAGCCACCGCGCCTGGCCCAAACCTTTTTTAAAACCAAACTTTTATTGCTTTTCATCAGGTCTTAAAGCTAGTGTCACATTGTAAAGTCTTTCTATTAGTGTCATGTTAGTCCTTAAATACGATTTTGCTTTATCCCAAGTAGTATAATAGTGATGCATCTAACTTTGGTTTCCTTCAATTTACTCTTCTGCATTTTTCTAAAAACAAGGTTTCAGACAGTGAATTGTAATATAATCTTATGTAAGACTTTTTTCTACCTTTCAGTATTTAAAAAACAGCAGAAAATAAGTAAATAATGACTGCACAGAGATTTTCTAGCATAGATTTAGCAGTGCTCATTTTCAAAATAAATCATTTTGAATCTTTTTGAATAGTATGGCAAAAGTTGGGTCTTACTCATTTCTTTCTTTATCGGGGAACCTGCCCCTGATAGTCATGTAGGTTCTTTTCTATTTTTCCTAAGCGTCGGCCAGGTTGAGAAATAAAGGGACAGAGTACAAAGTGTAAAGCTGGGTGTCCAGGGGAGACATCACATGTCGGCAGTTTCCGTGATGCCCCACAAGCTGCAAAACCAGCAAATTTTTATTAGTGATTTTCAAAAGGGGAGGGAGCATACGAAAAGGGTGTGGGTCACAGAGGTCATGTGCTTCACAAGGTAATAGAATATCACAAGGCAAATGGAGGCAGGGCGAGATCACAGGACCACAGGACTGGGGCAAAATTAAAATTGCTAATGAAGTTTCGGCATGCTTTGTCATTGATAACATCTTATTAGGAGACAGGGTTTGAGAGCAGACAACTGGTCTGACCAAAAATTTATTAGGCGGGAATTTCCTTGTCCTGATAAGCCTGGGAGCGCTATGGGAGACTGGGGCTTATTTCATCCCTACAGCTAGACCATAAAAGACAGCTGCACCTAAGGGGGCCATTTTAGAGGCCCACAGGGACACATTCTCTTTCTCAGGGACGTTCCTTGCTGAGAAAAAGAATTCAGCAATATTTCTCCCATTTGCTTTTGAAAGAAGAGAAATATGGCTCTGTTCCGCCCGGCTCACCAGCGGTCAGAGTTTAAGGTTATCTCTCTTGTTCCCTGAACATTGCTGTTATCCTGTTCTTTTTTCAAGGTGCCCAGATTTCATATTGTTCAAATACACATGCTCTACAAACAATTTGTGCAGTTAACGCAATCATCACATGGTCCTGAGGTGACATACATCCTCCTCAGCTTACGAAAATGACGGGGTTAAGAGATTAAAGACAGGCATAGAAAATCACAAGGGTATTGATTGGGGAAGTGATAAGTGTCCATGAAATCTTCACAATTTATGTTCAGAGATTGCCGTAAAGACAGGCATAAGAAATTATAAAAGTATTAATTTGGGGAACTAATAAATGTCCATGAAATCTTCACAATCCACGTTCTTCTGCCATGGGTTCAGCCAGTCCCTCTGTTTGGGGTTCCTGACTTCCTGCAACATTTATTCTTAAATTTTTTTGCAGAATACATTTTTTTTCATTAAGAGCTTTGAATTTTAATTTGGCTCTTGTATGAACTTCCTAGGAGGTCTTAAGAAAATCATTACATCTTTTTTTGCTGGTTTCCTAATCTTAAAGTTGATGATAGTGTTATTGTTTCAGGACCAGCAAGACAGAACGTAACTTTTATAGAGCACTGGAAACATGAAGCTAAAAATAAAAAATGAGGGGAAAAAAAATACAAGGACTACAAGTCATGATAGGACTTTCTCATGTGGTCAGAGTGTTCGTAGTATATTTAAGGACAAAGATTTAAATAAATGTAAACATTTATGTGTAATTTAAAATAACTTTATTACAAAAACTGCTGTGATGAGCATCTTAAACAAATTTTAGCATATCACCATGTTTTTCTTACAGGTAAGAAAAGTAGGTGCTGAAAGAAGGTCCTCAAACAGATGTACACATAGTCTATTGATTTTTTTTTTTTTTTTTTTTTTTTGAGACGGAATCTCGCTCTGTAGCCCATGCTGGAGTGCAGTGGCGCGATCTCAGCTCACTGCAAGCTCCACCTCCCGGGTTCAGGCCATTCTCCTGCCTCAGCCTCCTGAGTAGCTGGGACTACAGGCACCCGCCACCACGCCCGGCTAATTTTTTTTTTTTGTATTTTTAGTAGAGACGGGGTTTCACTGTGTTAGCCAGGATGGTCTTGATCTCCTGACCTTGTGATCCACCCACCTCGGCCTCCCAAAGTGCTGGGGTTACAGGCGTGAGCCACCGCGCCCGGCATTTTTTTTTTTTTAAGAGACAGAGTCTCGGCCGGGCGTGGTGGCTTATGCCTGTAATCCCAGCACTTTGGGAGGCCAAGGCGGGTGGATCACGAGGTCAGGAGATCGAGACCATCCTTGTTAACACGGTGAAACCCCGTCTCTACTAAAAATACAAAAAATTAGCTGGTCATGGTGGGTGGCGCCTGTAGTTCCAGCTACTCGGGAGCCTGAGGCAGGAGAATGGCGTGAACCCGGGAGGCGGAGCTTTCAGTGAGCGGAGATCGCACCACTGCACTCCAGCCTGGGTGACAGAGCGAGTCTCCGTCTCAAAAAAAAAAAAAAAAAAGAGAGAGAGACAGTGTCTCTTTGCTGCCCAGGCTGGTCTCGAGCTCCTGTGCTCAAGTGAATCTCTTGCCATGGCCTCCCAAAGTGCTGGGATCACAGGCATGAGCCACTGCACCCAGCTGGTCAATTGATTTTTGACAGTAGTGTCAAGGCAATCCAAAAGGAAAAAGGATAGTCATTTCTTTCTTTCTAGAAGTCTTGCTCTGTCGGCCAGGCTGGAGCGCAGTGGCACGATCTTGGCTCATTACAACCTCCTCCTCTTTGGTTCCAGCAATTCTCCTGCCTCAGTCACCCAAGTAGCTGGGATTACAGGCTCACGTCTGCCTAATTTTTGTGTTTTTAGTAGAGACAGGGTTTCACCATGTTGGCCAGGCTGGTCTCAAACTCCTGACCTCAGGTGATCCCCCCGCCTCAGCCCACCAAAGTGCTGGGATTACAGGTGCCCATCTAGGATAGGGTATTGGAACAACTGGATATCCATATAATAGAAAATGAAACTTGAAGGCTGGGCGCGGTGGCTCATGCCTGTAATCCCAGCACTTTGGGAGGCCGATACAGGCGGATCACTTGAGGTCAGGAGTTCGAGACCAGCCTGGCCAACATGGTGAAACCCCATCTCTACTAAAAATACAAAAATTAGCCAGACGTGGTGGCGGGCCTGTGATCCCAGCTACTCGGGAGGCTGAGGCAGGAGAATCGCTTGAACCTGGGAGGCAGAGGTTGTAGTGCGCCAAGTTCACACCACTGCCCTCCAGCCTGTGCAACAGAGGGAAACTCCGTCTCAAAAAAAAAAAGAAAATGAACCTTGACCTCTGCCTCATCCTTGAGATAGGCAAAGATTTCTTAGGATACTCTAATCACTAACCATAAAAAAATAGAGAAATAGATACATTGAACTTTATGAAAATGAAAAGCTTCTGCTCTTCAAAAGACACCATTAAGGAAATGAAAAGGCATATATTGCCAACAAGTGTGAAGTTTGTTTCATGCTATATATGGACTAAGCCTTCCCTAGTTTCATAGATACTGCTGGTAGAAAACTTAAAACTCCTGTGTCAGAGATAGAGGACAGTTTATTACTGATAGCAATAGCAGTTATCAGAATATCAGTATGTTTCTGCCAGCTCCCCAAACCTCAGGTGTAACAGGATGCATTAGCGATTGTACAGATTCCACCTTGGCCCACAAGGAGGACATCTATTGCAGTTTGATCATCAAGAACAACCCCCGGCAGAGAGTTCAGGCTTACCTGAATGACTTCTACTACCATGGTAGGATGGTGTCATGGATCAGTTCAAATAGTCAGGGAGCTATAGTGGCTCCATGCCATTAAACAAGGCTTAACATTGTTTTTAGTTCTGAGCAGCACAGTACTGTGGCTTGTGGCTTAATGTTTTTGGCTACCCATGATTTATATGAGATGGCAAGAAGGTCCTCATGTCTGGCGCCATCTGTTTCAATCTTGAGAGCTCTTTGACACAGTGCCCTAGCCACAGTGCTTTCTAGCTGAGGTCGTGGAGTTTGCCCCTCTGCCTGACTCAAGCTAGCAGTGTGACCTTTGGTGAGTCTACCTTAATCCAGAGCATCTGCTTTCCCATTACTGAGATAAAATCTCTTAAATCCTAAATTTCAACATAAGGGCTAGAGGAGTTTTCCAGAGTGGCAGGGCTGACTGCATAGATTTACGTACATTTCTTTGAGTTACTTTCTCATTTTCTGTGAGGTTACTTTTGTTCCACTTTCACTGGATTTAGCATTCTATTAATAAATCCAATCCAGGGCAGTAAGAGCCTGAATACTCTTCAAGTCGTCGTCCTTGGTTTCCTATAATACAAGAGTGTATCTTTCTCTGCGAGATCTCCCTGAAAGGATGAAAGCACCCAGGACCCACTTTGAGACATTTTGCTGTCATTTCCAAATGGATTTAAGGTTGGCATAATAGACTACAGAAGAGGTTGTACTGTAAGACAACCCACCTGATCCCATTCTTCCCTAAGAAGCATTACACACCCTGCCCCCTTATCTCCCAAGTGAACCAGCCATTGTTCTAATGATTGGCCTGGTTTGTGCTCATGAATTTCTCTTTTCATGCTCATTATGAGTGTGTATCTCTAATTGTTTTCTGAAAGGGAGTAGACTTTATGGCTACACAAAATGAATCTTAGTACTGTTACTTAGTACTTGTTACAGTGGTACAGACCTGAGGCTGACCAAACAGGATGGCAAGGAAGTCCCCTAACCTGGAAGAGATTTAGGAACAATAAGGATGCCTTTATAGCAGCTGTGTTTGAACCTATTTCCTGGTATTCAGCATGCAGCCACTTCCACAATTCTTCCTTATTAATAGACAGTAAAAGGAAGTGACATTTGCTGCCCAACCGACAATATAACTTAATTAGCATGTTCGCTGTAGGTGCCCAGTAACTTCTGCAAATCTCTACAAGGCCCTCATTCAGAAAGAGGAAGAGTCTGTGAGAATCCCATCCTCATCACCAAAACTGTCAAAAACTGTAAAGAGTTTGAGATTTTACCTTACTTGTGAGCAAATAAGGTAGCCTGCTACAGTTTCATGAATGCTGGTAGAAGACATGAGACTCCTGGGTCAGAGACAAAGGGCAGTTTATTACTCACAGCAGCAGCAGTAGCTAGAGTATCAGCATTTTTCTGCTTGTTCTCTGAGCTTAGTTCCCACAGAGTAAGAGGGCCAACTGACTCCTAAACAACCAGTGCGGTGTATTACAGATGGGGAATCCTGAACTTAGGTAACTCAAATTTTTTACAACAGGCAATAAACATGGCTACCCATTCCTCTGAGGAGGCAATATCTTCACTATACTGGACAATAAGAATGTTTGCCCTGGCTGGGCGCAGTGGCTCACGCCTGTAATCCCAGCACTTTGGGAGGCCAAGGCAGGTGGTCAGGAGATCGAGACCATCCTGGCTAACACGGTGAAACACCATCTCTACTAAAAATACAAAAAAAATTAGCTGGGCGTGATGGTGGGCGCCTGTAGTCCCAGCTACTCGGGAGGCTGAGGCAGGAGAATGGTGTGAACCCGGGAGGCAGAGCTTGCAGTGAGCTGAAATTGCGCTACTGCACTCCACACTCCAGCCTGGGCGACAGAGTGAGACTCCGTCTCAAAAAAAAAAAAAAAGACTGTTTGCCCTTTGACCTTGAGGGAGACAATGTCCTTTCCTATTACTGCCTATCCATTGGGCCGCTTGAGCGGCCTCACTGTTTGGCAGTTGGCTTCCCCTAGAGACAAGTAACCCAAGAAAGAGCAAGGCAGAAGCTGTATGTGTATATATATATATATATATATATAGAGAGAGAGAGAGAGAGAGAGAGAGAGAGAGAGAGAGAGAGAGAGGGAGAGAGAGAGAGAGAGAGAGAGACAAGTAACCCAAGAAAGAGCAAGGCAGAAGCTGTATATATATATATATATATATGTGTGTGTGTATATATGTATATATATGTATATATGTATATATATGTGTGTGTGTGTGTGTGTGTGTGTGTATGTGTGTGTATATGTCTTTTATCATTTATCCTTGGAAAACACACCCTATCCCTTCCACAGTATCCTATTGGTTTTACATGTCAGCCCTAGCCACTGTGGAAGGAGACTGCACAAGGGCATTAATACTAGGAAGTGGGAATCACTGAGGAACACCTTGGAGGCTGACTTGTTATCACAATGGCTGTATAGTTAACACCATAGTTTGCTGAATAAAGAGTATATGGGAACTCTGTACTATTTTCTAAAACTTTCTATAAACCTAAAGCTATTTCAAAGTAAAAGTTAAAGAATTTTAAATGAAAATATAAGGTCCAGGAGTGGTGGCTCATGTCTGCGGAGGCCAAGGCGGGAGGATCACTTGAGCCCAGGATTTCAAGGCTGCATTGAGCCTTATTGTGCCACTGTGCTCCAGCCTGGGCAACAGAGCAAGGCTCTGTCTCTAAAAAGGAAAAAATCTATTAAAAAAGAAAATATAGATTATAGACCAGAAGAAAATATTTGGTAATACTTATATCTGACAAAGATCTAGTATCTACAAAATATAAAAAAATCTTAAAACTAATAAGAAGACAACCAATTAACAAATGGTCAAAAGACATGAACACGTACTTCAAGAAAGCATTCACTTGGCCAGTAAGCACATGTGAAGATATTCAAGATCATTTGTCTGGCTGGGCGCAGTGGCTCACACCTGTAATCCCAGCACTTTGGGAGGCTGAGGCAGGCAGATCACGAGGTCAGGAGTTCAAGACCAGCCTGGTCAACATGGTGAAACCCCGTCTCTACCAAAAATACAAAAATTAGCTGGGCGTGGTGGCGGGCACCTGTAATCCCAGTTACTCGGGAGGCTGAGGCAGGAGACTTGTTTGAATTTGGGAGGCAGAGGTTGCAGTGAGCCAAGATTGCACTGTTGCACTCTAGCCTGGGCAATAGGGTGAGACTCCATCTCAAAAAAAAAAAAAAAATCATTTGTCATCTGGGAAATGCAAATTATTACCACAGTAAGATATATTTCAGTCCCACCAGAATGGTCAAAATTAAAACAACTGACCATGTCAAGTGTTGGTAAGGATGTGGAACAACAAGAATGCTCATGCATTGCTGGGTAGACTGTAAAATAGCACCTCTTTGGAAAAATACTCCTGTAGTTTCTTACGAAGTTAGACGTACGTTTTCCCAATGACCTTAGCAATTCCACCCCTCTGTATTTATATGTGAGAAATTAAAACATGACCACTGAGAGAGTTTTACACAATATCCATAGCAGCTCTATTCATTCATAAACTAGCCTTATGAATGAAAGCTAGCAGCAACCCAAATATCCATTAATAGGAGAATGGATAGACAGATTGGGATACAGATCTTTCTTCTGATATGTGTTGAGAATATTTGCTGCTAGTTTGTGGTCTTCCTTTTCATTTTTAAAAATAGTTTCTTTAAAAGACTAAAAGTTTAATTTTGGCAAAATCCAAATATTTGTGGTTTTACCATTTCAAGTCATTACTTGCACACAACTCTCACACTGATAGGAGACTGCTAAATCCTCTGCAGTTAAGGAGTCTGTGGGAGACACGCAGGGGTGTCAGTTGTTTTGCAATTTGGACAGATTCCAGAACCTTTGCTTAAAAGGGGCCCCATTCAAGGTGAGTCATTTCGCAAGTAACAACATATATGGGCTTAATACAATTTGTAATGAGAAGTATGTTTCCTCCAGAACCCAAAAGAGCCTAAAAGAAACTGTGGGTGCTATGAGAGTCAATAGCTGTTTCTTGACAGTGTCATGGATGGAGTTGCCTTCAGTTTACCCAATAATGTTCAGAAATACAACCAAGGCCTTGCTCTGTGTGTAAGGCGGTGGGTCACCCCGTGAGCTCCTTTCATTTGTATGTCCCGAGTGAGTGTATCAAAGGAATCTCCTCAGCGGAGGAGGTCATCAGTGTGATGTCATACCTGCATTCCTGGGGAAAGTAGGGTGCAGTTTCAATCTTGCCCTCGAAGATTGTATGTTACAGTGAGGCTGTTTAAAGTACCCCGTGGTAGCTGGGTAAAACTGTATTGGGTCCCTTTGGAGGCAAACTGCAGTCAAGAGTGTTGAAATAGGCACTGAACAAAACATATTCACCAAATCTATAATACCAAAATATTTACCAGTTGCTGGTTAGATGAAGTCAGTAATTTCAGTTATATTGGGTATGGGTCCTTAGTGAAGTCCACAGCATTGAGGTTGAAGTAATCCACCAGGAGGCACCATACATTCCTCCCAAGTGGAAAAGCTGGTCAAATTGGGCTGTTAAATGGACAGGCAGTGGGGATAATCACCCCTTTTCTAAATAGGTCTTGTATAGTGGGTTTTAATCATTAAAGGCCCTGTTTTAATTTACATCTGGCTGTATTAACTGTTTTCATGGGGAAGCAGTACGTCCATGGGGTCCATTTTAAAAAGGCAATTTGTTAGTGCCAAAGACTTAAAATTAATTCATGACTCTTTGGGTCAGAGTGTCCATGACCACTATGGGATATTTTAGAACAATGGGTGTGATGACCATAGGGAATTAAGGCAAGACAGAATTCCTGTGGTTAGGGCGAGGCATGCATACTTGTCCTTTATATTATGTTCAATAACTCCCCTAAGATTATAGGGGGACCCTTGTTTAAATTTAGGAGGATCGCCAATATTGATTAAGGGCACAAAGGTTTGCCAATTGGTATATTTCAGTAGATGTTAATTCAGAGCCAGTGTCATAGAGGGACAAAAGCCAATTCCTGCCCTTTTATCTATGTATTGTATAAATTCAGTGAATTTTGAAAAACCAGTTGGGCCAAATTGTGGACTTCTGTTTTAGTTTTTGTTTTTTTGTGTCCTGCCTATTCTGAACGGAATTGTGTGCCCCCAAATTCACATGTTGAAGCCCTAACTCCCAATGTGACTGTATTTAAAGCTAGGGCCTGTAAGGAGATAATTAAGGCTAATGAAGTCGGAAGGGTGGGGCCCTAAATCGATAGTATTGGTATTCTTAAAAGAAGAGGAAGAGAGACAACAGACTCCCCCATTCCCCCCACCCCGCCACACACATACACACACACATGAAAGGCCATGTGAAGACTGAGCAAGAAGGCAGCCAACTGCAAGTCAGGAAGATAGGCCTCAAAAAAGAATTTCTCTTCCTAAGAGTAAAAAGACATTTGAGGTTATTTAGTTTTTAATTTTGTTGTTGTTTTTATACCATGTATTTATATATATTTGTCAAGGGCATGCCTCCATTTTTAAATAGGAAAGGAAAATTATATAGCTGAAAACTGTGCACTAAATTAAATGCACTAAAAGTGTTTATAGAACTTGAGGGTAAGAGATAATTAGATTATTAGACATCCAATCTCATCCCATCCCATCTAATACATATTAGATATATACATCTAATATGTGTATATATATCTAATAATGTGTTATGTATATCTAATGTGTTATGTATATCTAATAATATGTTATATTATTATGTATAATAATGTGTTATATATTAACTGGGCAATGCGATGTAAGAATGTTATTTTCTTGGATAAAATTTCTGAGAATTTATGAGTTGAGCTGAATCTAATAAAAATAGTTGAATCCAAAATTTTAGCTTCTGTATTTATATAAATAATTATTATTAATAGGTCATTTCAATAGAAGTATTGCTCATTAGAGAGTTTCAGTATCTATTTATTAGATAGAAATGAGCCTTTTGTCATTAAAGTATAAAAATACAATAAACAAGTACATTAAAAATTTTTTTTAATTTGGCCATAATTTTTAGTGCCAAATAAATTATATGATGCTTTCTAATTAACATTTTATAGTCCAAAGCTGTGAGAGGAAAAGTCCATATAGATTACTTTAAAAATACAGCCCTACCCCAAGAATATAGAGGATTTTCAGAGACACCAAATCTTTGAACATAGTGGGTTTTATGGCAAAAATCCATCCCAAAGGTACATGATTTGGGAATATAATTTAAGTTTTCATATCAGTTCTTACTTTGGTTGCTATATTTTGAGGTCATTACATTACAATATTTAATAATTTGAAAACTTTTTATTTTGTATTCAGTATGGAGATTTATTCCCAGAATGGGCTTTTCTGATGCAAAATTGGAGTGCTTGTATAGTCACAACAGCTGTCTCCACACCATGTGGTATCTTCCATTACTTTACTGTAGAGATGAATATTTGGCCCGGTGTTTCGGTAAGATTGGACACACATGGTTTTAAGTGGCAAAGCAGTATGCTTATGCATTCATTTGACTTTCACAGCTACAGTTGGCTCCAGATTAGAAGAGGGAGAGTACATTCACACCATGGCCACCCTCATGGCTGCTGTAGTAGCTGGATCACAGGAGGCTCTGTTGCTTCTAAAGACACAACTAACTATTGCCGAGGAATTACACATTCACCAAAGTGCCTTACAGCTGTAGGAGGGAGAATAATGCATTGCTAAAAGGGTTCTCTCAGATTTCAGATTATGGCCCTAGTCACTATCGAGCCTCTTTAAAAATATTAATAATAAAAATTATGGCCATAAAATAACTATGAAACTTAAGACTGTCATAGCAGTAGGTGATTTTTCAGGAATTCAATCCAAATACTTTATATAAAATTTTTATTTTTCAGAAAACTACTATGCTTTTACACACTCATTAATCTAATTAAAATCAGATTTGTTTTTAATGTCAATGTTTATGTATGCAGAGTATTTGGGAAGTTGATCTGTTAAAAATAGAAATTATTTTAAAGACTTAGTTTACTACCTGAAACAATGATTTATATTTTAGACATTGTAGACAATTTTTTTGCTCCAAAAATGTTAAAATAACATAGAAATTAGGTAATTTGATTTAGTGTGATTTCGTACATACTGTATGGTTTGATCAGTATATATCTTTATGCAATGATCAACTTCAAGCTCTTCATGACATGATCTTTTACTGTAAGCTTATTTAAATTCTGCCTAAAACTTAAGTCTTTTGCATTTCTGAAACCGATTGGTCTACTTATTAAAGCTTTTTAGCAATAAAACTATGATTTTGTTGAAAATCCAATTATATTTCTCTAAATTGTAGCTGAATAAGAATAATTCTTTTTTCCTTAAATAAAGACAAGGAGAAAGAAAAAACCCTCCGTGTAAATTTTTAAGTCATCTGATATGAAGAATTGGATTTCTGATATTCATTAAATATCAAAGAAATTCCGACCAGACCCAATGTGGGCTACCTTTTTATATAAGTGAATTTATGCATGTATTGTAGAGGCTGTACTGATGAATATGTTTGAGGCTTTCAGCTCTTAGTGGATACAAAATAGAATGATTGATAAAATCCTCCCTACTATTGGCTATTATTTACTGACTCTTAAGTGGCAGGTTGTATTTATGCCAATTTATCTGCTTCAGCGAACATTCTTGATAGCAGAACAAAGTGAATAAAAGTAGTTTGCTTTGCAAATGAATGCAAATGGGAGAGCCTTTCGGAAAGCCCTTTAACAGGGGCAATGCACTTTGATTATGAGTGAAGCTGCCATTTGGACATGGTGAAAAGAGCACGCTTGAACCATTGATTGGGGGAGACAGTAAAAAGTCAGGAAGGGCCCCGTTAAGCTTGCAGTGAGGCAGGCGGATGTCAGTGTGGTTAGAGCACAGTGGGAGAATGACAGGGAGGATTAGTGTCAGGGAGAAGCTTTGCTGTAGCTGTGGAGATAGTCCCTGGGGTCACTCACCTCTGACTGTTGTTCTGTGCTGATGGTTCTGTAATGCAAACTGCCTGATGTATGCCTGTTCATTATCGGAAATGGTGATTAGAAAAGGTATTTGCCTCAAAGGTTTCCTTCTTTCCCTCTTTCTTTTTCTTTATTCTTTCATTTTAATTAAAGGAAAATAAGGTAGGCTTCCTCAGTCTCTATGCTGGCTACTGGAGTATTGTTTAATACCAGAGTGCTTTATTGCCTCTGGTGGAGAATAGTTCAGTACTAAAGTGTAATGTGAAATAATTGTAACGTGGTTATTTGTTGTTTGATAATAATTTATTTCTCTGTGCTCACTTTGGGGTTTGACTACTGCTAGTGCTGAGAAAAATGCAGAGAATATGCTTGCTGTTAGACTTTTTGCATATGCGTGTTTATAATCTCTAAGGTATTTTTAAATTTAGTTTAATCATTTAGTCAAAGCTAAAAGTTGACCAAAATGAAATGGTCAAAATAAAATGAAATGCTGCTTTACATGGACTTGATGGTTTGAGTCTTGGCCACAAGAGTTTCTAATTTTATTTCTGTTCCGAAGTTTAAAAAAAAAAAAGAGTGACATTTGACAAGCTAAACTTCTTGAAAAAATATTATTTTAAAATTGAATATCGTTACATAGAATGATCATAAAGTGTCATTGCAGTTCTGATTTCAGACCAGTATATTTACTTGTTCACATTTCATTTATACTTGTAAGTTTTTTATTTTTATTTTTGCTTTCTTTAAAGTGTGTGTTTAAAAAAAAAAAGAGAGAGCCCTTTAATAGTAACTTTATGTGAGGCATTTATGAGCAGCACTGCATTTTATAGCAAGGATGCATTTCATAAGCTTTGAGAATGGTTTCTCATTTTAATTCAAAGCTGAATGGTCTTTTTTAAAAAATGTCTGCAAAACCTGGTTTTGCAATATTTATGCTTTCTTAGTTAGTATACGTAGGAAATGAAATAGGCTTCTAGAGCTTTGCATTCCAGTGTTAAATATGCAGCTCAAATCTTTATTGAAACTATTAGATACAATTTAGTATTGTTTTTTACAGAAAGCATATTGCCAATAATTTGCTTCACAGCAATTATCTCTCAATTATCTTTTTTTATTCTTCCAATTATCTTTTTATTTTCTCCCAATTATCTTTTTTTATTTTCTTTAATGTTTTGCAGGCACCTGAATGGACAGAAGAGGACCTCAGCCAACTGACAAGAAGTATGGTTAAGTTCCCAGGAGGGACTCCAGGTCGATGGGAAAAGATTGCCCACGAATTGGGTCGATCTGTGACAGATGTGAGTTCACTGAGATTTGCATTGTATAGAGAGAGAAACCAGAACAAGTCAGCTATGTAGAAGGCAGACATAGATGGGTTCCACAGTATCTTTGGGGAGGGGATACAACAATCCTTTTAGGACCTGAAAGTGAACCATTAATGCAATAAGTGAGAAGCAGATGTGAGCCAGTCCCCTGGTCCACAGTTAACAGCTGTGTGAGGAATTCTAGTGTTTAGAGACTTAAGCTACTGTAACCTAATCAAAGGAAAACAATGCCAGTTTTTATGTTTATAGTGACCCCTTTAACTGTGGAAAAAATAGTTCTCAAACTGATCAGAATTAGGAGGGTTGTATTTCAGCTGGATCTTTTTAACATTGAAGTACAGATTGCGATTGCTATTTAGACAGGTGGTTCTGATTAATTAAATGAGCAATATACCCATAATGCAAATGGTGTTGGCCTTTTTGTTTCAAGGATGATAGCAACAGTTCGTTTGATAAGTAGTTTAACCAGAAGAAACTGTGTGTGTGTGTGTGTGTGTGTGTGTGTGTGTGTGTCCATACGTAACATTTAAAAGATAAATTACTTACTTGGAAAGGTTTTGACTTAATGCTTTAGATGCTTTTATTGAGGAAATTTAGAGCAGAAAATTTTTTAGAAAGCACCTAGCACAGTGCCTGATGTGTAATATACTAAATACACAGTAAATGTTTAATTGAAATTGAGAAAAAATATTATTTTTATCAAATTGATATTTTCATGAGGGATAGTAAATATGCTTTACTAAATTTACTTTAAATAAATCCTATAGATCCAAAAATACTTAGAGGGTTACTGAAAGCAAAGATTTAAATTTCCCCTTCCATTCTGTTAGTATACCTTTAGGCCTTTTATAGTACTGATAGTTTTTTAAAACCTGCAAAATGATTACTGAACATGGCTACCAAAAGGAGCTTATAAATGCTGTAAGTTACTTTCAATAATAAACTTCCACTTTTTAGTTTAGAAAGAAACGTACAGAAATTATTACAGTTGCGCATCTCTAATCCGTCACGTTGGCGCTCAAGTTGCAGATTTTTGAGCAATTTCAGACTTTTGGATTAGGTATACTTGACCTGTACTGTCAAGTTTTGTATTGTTTTGTTTTGTTTTTGCAATGGACCTGCTTTGAGAATTTTAAATTATATATATGAATATTGTTACTACTGTATAGGTCATTTAAAAGACTACAATCTGGATTTTTATAAGACGTTTAGCAATATTTTTGCTTCAGAGTTGAAGTTTGATCATAGGGGAAAATAGCTGAAGTATTTTGTAACTTTTTTTTTTTTTTTTTGCTGTGTTTCATGAGTAGACTAGTTATCTTGAGTTACTAGAAAAGAACCATAAGGATAACTTTTCTTCAGCTAAACATGTTACTGGATGGTGTGTTTTATTATCTCGGTTTTAAGGTTGTTTGTAAAAGATAGGTTAATAATGACATATCAGTAAATATCTGACCAAATTAAAGACATTCCATGGTTTTTGATGTTTTAAGTACTATGACCTACTAATTACATAGCTGCTATTAATACAGTGATTATCAAAAGAAACTAAAATAATTTTTTAAAGTTATAAAACATTGGTTTAAAAAGGCCCTAAACTTTTAGTTCAATTGCTTAATGAAAAATAATAGTAATACTAATGTATTATCTCCTTTGAAGACTGCACCACATTTAACTTCTAAGATAATATTTCTATAAGGCTCTACATTTGATGCTAAAGGCAGATAGGAAACTGAGTAAAGCAATATTTTAATTTGTTGTCATTAAAACCTGGTAAATTTTTATCTGTATTTTTAAGAGGAGAAAGATGAAAATTTTTTAAATGCCAAGAATACACAGGATATAACCAACAAAGCCTCATAGATCCTAGTATATACTTAATTTACTAGAGTAGTCTTGGTGCTGTCAAAAGCATCTTTTTAAACTTTTGCAAATTCATCCCATATGTCTCCTTTTTTTCCTCCCTAGACTTACCCAAGGCAGAATGATTCCGTGTCTGCAATAGATATTTTTTCCCTTTATCATGGAAGTGGAAAACCTGACATTGTGAAGTGATTTTTTTTTTGTTTTTTGGGTTTTTTTTTTTTTTGGCCAAGTATTAGTTCTGTTTTCATAATAACAAAGGTACCTTGGAAATAAATATGTAATAAATCTAAACTTTTGTTGTACAAAAAAATGCCATTATAACTTTTCTTCTATGTCAATATATATATAGACCCACACTGCATTTTCATTCTGTAAGCATCATCTCCATGGCTGGACTATTCATTTCAATAACTCTCCTGTCCCCCAACACATGCATATGTCCACACACACACACACATACATACACACACACACACACACACACACACACACACACAGAAAATCACTCTGTAAAAGAGAACAGGTGTCTGTAGAATCAGTAACTCACAGGGATGACTTGTAAATTACATTGAAACAGCTAAAATGGTTCAGCTAGTATTGTTTCTCTAGTATAATGTTAAGTGAAAGTTAACCACACTTTAAAAAGACCACTTGTGCCTCCTTTTGGCTTATGGTGTTAATTAGATTTGTTTTCATTAAGTATTCGATTATGAAAAAGTAGCCAGGTTCAATTGAGTGTCATCAGAACCTCTGCATACTGACCTGATCACCTGCCTAGTTCTCCCTGGCTTTGCACAGCTGTTCTTTGACCGGGTTTCCTTGCCAAATTTGTAGCTTCAGGCTTAGTTCTCTTTCCTTCAAGAAACAATTGACCTTTTGGGAGAGAGGTGAGTGTGTGCCAGTGGTGGGATTTATGTGATTCTTTATTTGGGTTGTCGGATTACAGTTAAAAACCTTTTTATTCCTCAATTAAGAAAGAAATTAAGTATATTAATTGTCATAATTAGCAGAGTTAGATTGCTAAATTGTACTCTGGATAAACACAAGCAATATTTTTTTAAGCTTTTTAAAAAATTGACACCGAGTATATTTTAATTCAGATATACCTAATCTGTAAGGCCTACTTTATTATGGATTAAATATTTTAAATGTTGATATATGCCTTTCAGCAAATAATTTTGGTAATCACAAAGGACACTCAAATTGTAAAAATAACAGCGGAAACAAAAACTGTCTCGCATGTAAAACCAACTTTAACATGATGATTAACTGCAGGTTTCCTAAATTAAGGTCAGGGGGCCCCAGATTTCTTGCTTGTGAAGTAATACTATTCTTTTGCCTGAAAGGATGTAAACTGATTCTGCTTCTCTCCCTGGTCACTAATCTCTTGCATTCTGGTTGTGATAACAGACTGATAGGAGATTTTTCTGCCTCTTTGGAAAAGGCCCAGGTAGGCAGCAAAACAAAAGACAGGTGGCTAGATTTAAACAGGCTTTTATAATTAGCTTAGTGCCATAGTGTGAGGTAAGGGGTGTGTAGTTATATATGTAGCCCATTATGCAAGTGAAGAGGAGGAAGGAAAATCATAAAATTCCCAATTCATTTGTATAGCTCAACTGCAAGGAGATTCCTATTGGGGGAAATTTATATATTGTTATTATGCTGGTTTCAAAAACACGTAAGTGGACTGTTCCATGGAAAATAAGCATTATGGTTTATCAGTGAACTAAATATATAGTTATTATCTTGGCAAATATATTGTTATTACTTTTAGAGTCAGGCCAGCCCTACACAAAATTATAAACATGATAAGGACTGTCCTTTTGGTTTTTCTGCCTTCGTCCTCACTGCCGCTGTACCAGTTTCCTGCTACAGTAGTTCTCTTGGTCTGAGCCACATCTCATACTCCTCTCCCTTCCTTCTCTTACCCTCTCAACCTTACAACTTTTAAAGATATTTAAATTTTAGAAAACATGTGCAGGTTTGTTATACAGGTAAACTCGTGTCACAGGGGCTGGTTGTACAGATTATTTCATCACCCAGGTATTAAGCCTACTACCCAATAGTTATTTTTTCTGCTCCTCTCCCTCCTCCCACCCTCCAGGCCCCAGTGTCTGTTGTTTCCTTCTTTGTGTTCATGAGTTCTCATCATTTAGCTCCCGCTTACAAGTGAGAACATGTGGTATTTGGTTTTTTATTCCTGCGTTAGTTTGCTAAGGATAGTACCCTCTCCAGCTCCATTTATGTTCCCACAAAAGACATGAGCTCATTCTTTTTTGTGGCTGCATAGTATTCCGTGGTGTATATATAATCACATTTTCTTTATACTATCTATCATTAATGGGATTTCGGTTGATTCCATCCCTTTGCTGTTGTGAATAGTGCTGCTGTGAACATTCACGTGCATGTGTCTTTATGGTAGAATGATTTACATTCCTCTGGGTATATGTCCAGTAATAGGATTGCTGAGTCAAAGAAAGGGTAGTTCTGCTTTTAGCTCTTTGAGGAATCGCCATACTGCTTTCCACAATGGTTGAACTAATTTACACTCCTACCTACAGTGTATAATCATTTCCTTTTCTCTGCAACCTTGCCAGCATTTGTTATTTTTTGACTTTTTGGTAATAGCCATTCTGACTGGTGTGAGATGGTATCTCATTATGGTTTTGATTTGCATTTCTCTAATGATCAGTGATTGAGCTTTTTTTCATATCCTTGTTGGCTGCATGTATGTCTTCTTTTGAAAAGTGTCTCTTCATGTCCTTTGCCCACTTTTTCATGGGATTATTTAAGCTCCTTATAGATGCTGGATATTAGACCTTTGTCAGATGCAAATATTTTCTCCCATTCTGTAGCAAACCAACATTTATATTTTCAATTGCTTTGGTGATAATATTGATTATTCCATTATTCATTTTTGTAGTATTTTACGCTTTTCAAAACATTTAAATATACTTTTATTTGTTTTTTCATAATGACACAGTGAAGTAGATAGGCAACCATTATTTTTCCCTATTTTACAGCTGAGTAAACTGCTGTTAAGATATTTGTTCAAGGTGACACAGTTGTTAGTAGAACTGGGACAAGATCACATATTTTGATTCCATACTTATATGTTTTTACCTCTGGTTAATTCTGCTTTACTGATGTTTGTATGGAAAATACTTTAAATTTGTCTAGAGATTTATATCATTAACTCTTTTTTGATAAAACTCTATGTTCATAGCAAAAAGAAAACATCAAAGAATACACTTAAGCTAAATTTTTTTCTAATCAACCATAATTTTAAAGAGATCTCTGTGAACATTTCTGTGTAACATTGTATAAACAATGTATAAACGTTGTATATCATTCTAGAGACTTTAGCGTTTCTCTGTATATGTATGGATATGTATAATTTTAATAGGATTAATCTACTTTCTGTCCTTTTCACATAGCTCTAGAACATGAGCATCTTTCATGGCAATAAATAAGATCCACATCATTTTTCTAAAGAGTTACACGATAGCCCATGCTGCCATGATATCATTAAAGAATATCCTATCGGTTGACATTTAAATTGCTTCCTTTTTTTGCTATTTCATTGAGATGGACATGGTGTTTTAAAAAATTGTCTTTTCACTCATATCTATTTTATTAGCTTGTGTGCCTAGAACTAGAGATTGCATTCCTAGAAGCTGCTTAGTTCAAGAATATGAATGTTTTTAGAGCCTCTGAGGGCTCTGAAATTGGCCTGCAGAGAGGTTATAACAATACACATTCCCACTAGTGGTATATGAGAGGTCACTTCCTCATACTCTCATAAAAACCAAACACTACATTTTTCACCATTGCCCATGAAGTGAAAAGTGTTATAGTATTGATCTTTGTTACTTGCAAAAGAAAACACAGAGACTTGGTACAAGGGGTCCACGTCTGATGAGGGGTTCTAGTGTGGGACAGAGAAAACAGGGGCAAGATCATTGTTCAGTAAATAATACAGTTAAGTTTTCAGGATTTGGGGACACCTGAAACAACTTTGTAAGAGTCTCTCAAAATCAAGGAGGAGACATGGAAAAGGTCTTGGGGATATTTATGAACACTGAGCATACACAGATCTTTAAACTTTCTATGGATAAGATGTCTCCAAAGTAAAGGAAATTGGAATGACACAGGTCCCTCAGCAACACTAGATTCTGTGGGATGAGGGAACAGTGCCTTCACAGTGCTCAGGGGAAATGGTTCTGAATCTAGAACTGACCAAGTGTGATGGTAAATACGTGGGGTGAGAACTCGTACCCTTTCCTAGAAATTTTCCTGAGGTTGTACTCCAGCAACAAAAGGAATAAATCGAAGAGGACAACATGGGATCCAAGAAATGGTGAATCAGGAGAACTAAGGACGGCATGATAGGGACCCTGGGAGGGAGGGAGGTTTCATAGAATAGATAGTATGGCTGAGAACTTGGAAAAATGCCTATGTAAAAATGTGGAAAAGAAAAAAAAGGCAAAGTGCAGCAACTAATGCCTGTAATCCCAGCACTTTGATAGGCTGGGACAGGAGGATCACCTGGGACCAGAAGTTTGCGACCAGCCTGGGCGACATAGGGAAACCTTCATCTTTACAAGAAAAGGAAAGAAAAATTAGCCAGGTGTGGTTGCACACACCTGTGTGCCAGCTATTTGGGAGGCTGAGTCAGGAGGATCACTTGAGCCCAGGAGATCGAGGTTGCAATGAGTCATGTTCATGCCACTGCACTCCAGCCTGGGTGATAGAGTGAGCCCCTGTCTCAAAACAAAAAAACAACAACAACAAAAAACAGTAAAAAGCAACCAGAAATTCCACAAAGAACATGGAAACCACACGTAAAAAGACATAGTTTAAATTTAATTATACTACAGAGTAGATTGGTAGAAAGAGCACTTGTTTCAGTGGTGAATAATATTTACCAGGTCATAATTATGTAATATCTTACATGATGGTTTTTTATATTTTAAACATTTTATATGTTTTACAGATTATTTTTCAGTTTTTAAAATCCACACATTGTGGAGGACTGTGGCATGTTGTTCACCAAAGTAAGTTCTCTCCTTCTTCTCTAGCAGTAGATTGTTGGTCAGGCACATATGTGCACAATGACATTGCATTCCCAAGCCTCCCAAACTCTGATATGGCTGTATCACTAATTTCTTTTCAGGAGAACATAAAGTAATGTGTGTTCATATGAGCCCTTATTTATTTTTCCCTCCCACTGAGCTAGAATACTAATATGCCTGCAACTAAGTTGCAACCACGCAAGCAAAGATAGTTGCCCTAAGGAGCTGTGGAGAAACAGGCTAGAAAGAACCCAGATGCATGCAATGAAAGAAAATTCTTGGGTAGTGACAAGTAACATGAAGAAAAATAAAGCAGGGTAAGCAGATAGAGACTGATGGAGCTGCATTTTAAAATAGGGTTCTGAGGAAAGTGTTCTCGGAGAGGTAGTATTTGAGCAGAGGTACAAAGCAAGTGAAGGAGCAAGGTTGTCTGAGAAGGAGCATTGCTGGCAGAGGAAATAGCACCTACAAAGTCCTGGAGGCAAGAGCATGTCTGGGGTTTGCAAGGCCCAACAAGGAGGTCCATATGGCTAAGGCATGAGTAGGAGAAGGAGATAACAGGAAATGAGTCTGAGAAGTAGTGGAAGACCAGGCCATATTGGCCCTTTTTGGCCAAGGTGGAAATTTTGGATTTTACCCTGAGCGAGATGGGAAAGCACTGGAAGATTCTGAGTAAAGGAGTGCAGTGATCTAAAAGCATTGTTCTGACTGTTTGGTGGGGAAGTTTGAAAGCAGGAAGGAAGGCCAGGTAAGAGGCTATTTCAGTTGTCCTTTCAGAACACAATGGTGGTTTTGGACTAGAGGTTGTTGGTAGAGGTGGGAAAGAGATTAGATGCAGGATGTGGTATACAAAGGCACGTTAATTAGCAATGTATACTTGTAACCTTGTAACCTTCAGAAGAACTGTGAGCGGAAATGATTGCCTGTGTGTGTAAGGTGCATTGTTTTCTGTCATAAGACCTTGTGTACTGCTTTTGTTAAAAAGCTATGTACATGCATGACCTTGATTTTTAAAAGCGACTTTTTAAAATGTGAAGAAACAAAACATTTGTCTTTGAATTTTTTTCATGACAGTATATATAGGCCTACCTCATTATCTGAGTTTGTTCTGTGCTGGTGTAACAGACTACCTGAGAGTGGATAATTTATGAAGAACTAAGATGTATTTCTTACAATTCTGGAGGCTGAGAAGTCAAGGGGCCCACGTCTGGCAAGGGCCTTCTTGCTGCGTCATCCCACTGTAGAACACAGAAGGACAAGAGAGCACACAACATACAAGGGAAAAAGAAAGGAAGGGAGCTGAACTCATCCTTTTATCAGGAACTCACTCCTGCAATAACCCACTCCCGCCATAAGGTCATTAACCCATTCATGAGGACAGAGGCCTCCTGAGCTAATTGCTTCTTAAAGGTCCCACCTCTCAACACTTTTGCATTGGGGATTAGGTTTCCAACAAATGAACTTTGGAAGACACATTCAAACCATAGCACTCATTTGTTTTAAAATTTTTTTGTTTAAAAAAATTATTGATTTACAGAACTAGAAAAACCAATCCTGAAGTGTATATGGAATTACAAAGGACCCCCAATATCTAGAACAACCTTGAGAAAGAAGAATAAAACTGGAGATACCACATTTCCTGATTTCAACATATATTAGAAAGTTATAGTAATTAAAGCAGTATGGTACTAGCATAAAGACAGACACATAGACCAAGGGAACAGGAAAGAGAACCCAGAAATAAACCCACACATATACAGTCAACTAATCTTCAAAAGGGTACCAAGAATACATATGGGGAAAGAAAGGTCTTTTCACCAAAATGGTGCTTGGAAAACTTAATGTCCACATGCAAAAGAATGAAACTGGACCCTTACTTACACCATGCAAAAAAAAAATTTTTTTAATGGATTAAAGTCTTAACTGTAAGACCTGAAGCCATAAAATGCCTAGAAGAAAATATAGGAGAAAGCCTCATGACATTGGTCTTCACAGTGATTTATTGGATTATAACACCAAAAACACAAGCAACAAAATGAAAAATAAAGAAGTGGGACTATATCAAACTAAAAAGCTTCTGTACAGCAAAGAAAACAATTAACAGAGTGAAGAGACAAACCATGCACTGGGAGAAAATATTTGCAAACCATTTATCTGATAAGGTGTTAATGTCCAAAATATGTAAGGAACTCCTACAACTCAAGAGCAAAAAAATAACCTCATATTTAAGTGGGCAAAGGACTTCAAAAGACATTTCTACAAAGATGACATAGAAATGGCCAACAGGTATATGAAAAGGTGCTCAACATCTCTAATCATTAGGGAAATAGAAATCAAAATGACAATAAGATACTTCACACCTCTTAGGACAGCCATCATCAAAAAAACAAAAACAAAACAAAAAGAAGTGTTGGCAGTGATTTAGAGAAATTGGAACCCTTGTACACTGTTGCTGGGAATGTGAAATGGTACAGTTGTTACAGAAAACAGTATGAAGATTCCTACAAAAGTTAAAAATAGAATTATATGACCTAGCAATTCTAGAAAAACTTCTAGATGTATATCCAAAAGAAGTGAAATCAAGATCTCAAAGAGGTATCTGCACTTCCCCGTTCATTGCACCATTATGCACAGTAGCCAAGACATGGAAACAGCCTAAATGTCCATTGATGGATGGATGGCTAGAGAAGATGTGGGATGTACATATAATAGAATATTATTCATTCATGAAAAAGAAGGAATGGCCGGGTGAGGTGGCTCACACCTGTAATCCTAGCACTTTGGGAGGCTGAGGCGGGCAGATCACCTGAGCTCAGGAGTTTGAGACCAGCCTGGCCAACATGGTGAAACCCCGTCTCTACTAAAAATACAAAAATTAGCTGGGTATGGTGGTGCATGCCTGTAATCCTAGCTACTCGGGAGGCTGAGGCAGGAGAATCGCTTGAACCCAGGAGGTGGCGGTTGCAGTGAGCCAAGATCATGCCACTACACTCCAGCCTGGGCAACAGAGTGAGACTCTGTCTCAAAAAAAAAAAAAAAAAGCGGAAATCCCACCATATGTGACAACATGGATGAACCCCTGAGAACATTATGCTAAGTGAAATAATCTTCTCCTATAAGGACAGATACTACATGATTCCATTTTTATGAGTTATCTAAAATAACCAGATTCACAGAAGCAAAAAATAGAATGGTGGTTGCCAGGAGCTGAAGGGAGGGAGAAATAGAGAGTTGTTGTTCAATGGATATAAAGTTTTGGTAATATGGATGAGTAAGTTCTAGAGGTCTGCTGTAGGATGTTGTGCATATAGTTAACAGTATTGTACTGTATACCTGATTTAAGAGAGTAAATCTCATGTTATTTTAGTAAATTTGTAGAGTTGTGAAATCGCCACAATCCAGTTTTAGACATTTTCATCACCCGAAGTGTTCCCTCAATCCCATTAGCAATCATTTCCCACTCCTGTTCTCTCAGGCTACACTGATCTATTTTCTTTTCAGGATATTACATTTAAATGGAATCTTAACAGTATTTAGTCTTCTCCTGTTCTCTCAGGCTACACTGATCTATTTTCTTTTCAGGAAATTACATTTAAATGGAATCTTAACAGTATTTAGTCTTTCACATATGGCTGCTTTCACTTGGCGAAAGGTATTTGAAGTTCATCCGTGTTGTAGCATGTATCAGCAGTTCATTTCTTCATATTGCTCAATATTTGTGTGCATAAATACTGCATTTTATTTATTCTATACTAATTGGTCATTTGTCTTATTTCCACTTTGGTGCTGTTAGAATAATACTGCCATGAACATTAATCTGTATAGTACTTATTAGCCATTCCTACGTCTTATTTAGTGAAATATCTATTCATAATTTTTGCCCATATTTTAATTTGGTTGTTTTTCCTGTCATAAGAGTTCTTTATATATAGGTTAGACATCCCAAATCTGAAAACCTGAAATTTGAAATGCTCAAAATTCCAAAACTTTTTGACCACCAAGATGACACTCAAAGGAAATACTTATTGGAACATTTCAGATTTCAGATTTTCAGATTCAGAATGCTCAGCTGGTAAATGGAATACAGATATTACAAAATGCAAATAAATCTGAAATCTGAAACACTTTTGGTCACAAGCATTTTGGAGAAGGAATACTCAACCTGTATATTATGGACTCAAGTCTTTCATCAAATATATGATTTGCAAATATGTTCTCCCACTGTGTGGTTTGTCTTTTTGTTTTTTTTAATGGTGTCATATGAAGTACAAAAGTTTACTTTTAGTAAAGTCCAGTTCATCAATTTTTTTCTTTTATAGATTATGCTTTTTAGTGTTATACCTAAGAACTTTTCCTAACCCAGGATAGCAAAGAATTTCTCCTACATTTTCTTAGAAGTTTTATAGTTTTAGATATTACATTTAAGTCTAAGATCCATTTTGAGTTGATTTTTTGTGTTTAATGTGAGATTTAAGGGTCAAGTTCATTTTTTTTGCTCATGGATGTTCATTTGCATTGACTCTATAGATCAATTTGGAGAGAACTGCCATCTTAACAATTTTGAATGTTCAAATTCATGAACATGAAATGTCTTTCATTCATTTAGAGCTTTTACAAGTTCTGTCTACAGTGTTTTCAATATGCAAATCTGGTTCTTCTTTTATTAAATGTATTATTTTTTTCAGCTTATAGAGAAGAACCATTTTCTTTTCTCTCTCTCTCTCTCTTTTTTTTTTTTTTTTTTTGAAGATAGGAACTTACTCTGTTGCCCAGGAGTGCAATGGCATGATCATAGATAACTGAAACTTTGAACTCCTTGGCTGAAGGAATCCTTCCACCTCAGCCTCTCAAATAGCTGGGAATACAAGTGCATACTACCACACCCAACTAGTTTTTTTGTGTGAAGATGGAATCTCACTATGTTGCCAAGGCTGGTCTCAAACTCCTGACCTCAAGCGATCCTCCCGCCTCAGCCTCCCAAAGTGTTGGGATTACAGGCGTGAGCCACCTTGCCCTGCCAGAATTGTTTTATTTATTTATTTACATTTTTATTTATTTTCTGACAGAGTCTCACTCTGTTGCCCAGGTTGGAATGCAGTGGTGTGACCACTGCTCACTATAGCCTCGACCTCCTAGGCTCAAGCAATCTGCCCACTTCAGCCTTCCCAGTAGCTGGGACTACAGGGATGGACCACCACTGCCCAGCTAATGTTTTAATTTTTTATTTGTAAAGACAGGGCCTCACTATGTTCCCCCCAGGCTGGTCTTGAATTCCTGAGGTCAAGAGATCCTCCTGCCTTGACCTCTCAAAGTGTTGGGATTACAGATGTGAGCCACTGCGCCCAGCCAGAATTGTTTTCTTAATTACACTTTCAAATTGTCCATTGCTGGTATGTAGGAATACAGTGGATTTTTATATACTGGGTTTTGGAGCCTGTGGACTTAACTAACATTGATAGTTTAATAGTTCTGTGGATAAAAAGTTTTTATTCTTCCTTTCCAATCTGGATGCCTTCAGTCCATTTATTTACTTAATATCTTGTTGCACTGGCTAAAACATCTAGTACAATATTATACAGAAGTGGTGAGTGCAGGCATACTTGCCTTGTTCCTGATCATGGAGGGAAGACATTCAGTCTTTCACCATTAAGTATTATTTTAGCTGTAGGTTTTTCATAGATGCTTTTCTTTCCCGGCCCCCCAACCCCTGAGATGGAGCGCCCAGTTGCCCAGGCTGGAGAGCAATGGCACAATCTCAGCTCACTGCAACCTCCACTTCCCGGGTTCAAGTGATTCTCCTGCCTCAGCTTCCCAAGTAGCTGGGATTACAGGCATTCACCACCACGCCCAGCTAATTTTTCTATTTTTAGTAGATACAGGGTTTCACCACGTTGGCCAGACTGGTCTTGAACTCCTGACCTCGGATGATCTGCCCTCCTTGGCCTCCCAAAATGCTGGGATTATAGGCATGAGCCACCGTGCCCAGGCTCATAGAAGCTTTTTATCTAAGGAACTTCCCTTCTATTTCTAGCTTGAGCATTTTTATCATGAATAGACATTGGATTTTGTCACATGATTTTGCTTCATCTATTGAGATGATCACATGATTTTTATCCTGTGTTTTATTAATATGGCATAGTATATAAATTGATCTTTGGATGTTAAACCAACCTTACATTCCCACTTGATCATGTTGTATATACATTTTATATGGTGCTGGATTTGGTTAGCTAATTTTTTTTTTTTTTTTTTTGAGGTGTTGTCTCACTCTGTCACCCAGGCTGGAGAGCAGTGGCACGATCTCAGCTCACTGCAACCTCTGCCTCCCGGGTTCAAGCAATTCTCCTGCCTGAGCCTCCAGAGCAGCAGGGATTCCAGGCGCCTGCCACTATGCCTGGCTAACTTTTTTGTATTTTCAGTAGAGACAGGGTTTCACCATGTTGGCCAGGATGGTCAGAAACTCCTGACCTCAAGTGATCCGCCCACCTCAGCCTCCCAAAGTGCTGGGATTCCAGGCATAAGCCACCACACCCGGTCAAGGTTAGCTAGTAATTATGGATTTTTGTTTCTTTGTTCATGAGAGCGAATGGTCTATAGTTTCCTTGTGATGTCTTTGTCTGGCTTTGATATCAGGGTAATGCTAGCCTCATAGAATAAATAGAAAGTGTTCCTTCCTCCCCTAATTTCTGAAAGTTTGTGAACAATTGTTATTATATCTTCTTTGAGTATCTGATAGAATTCACCAGTGAAGCCAGCTAGGCCTTGGCTTTTCTTTATGGGAAGACTTTTAGTTACTAATTCATTTGTTTTTAAGTTATTACGGGTCTATTCAGATTTTCTATTTCTTCTTGATTAAATTTTAGTAATTTCTAGGGATTTATTCATTTCATTCACATCAGCGGTTGTGCTCTGAAAGTGCTTGAATAATAAAAGTGTGGCTGATATTCTCTCCAAAGAAGATTTTTTTTTGACCACAGATTTCATTTCTTTAATGATGGGTGAACTATCCATGTTTTTCATTTCTTTTGGTTACGCTAAGCTAACGGTTTATCAATTTTGTTGATCTTTTCAAAAAATCAACTTTTTGTTTCATTGATCTTTGGTATGGTTTTTTCAGTTTCAATTTTATTTCTACTCTGAACTCTATTATTCCTTTCTTTCTGCTAACTTTGGGTTTGGTTTCTTGCTTTTCTAGTCCTTGAAATGCATCATTAGGTTATTTATTTGAAATCTTTCTCCTTGTTTATGGCTATAATCTTGCCTCTAATATTGCTTTTTCTGTATTCAGTAGATTTTGATTTGTTGTGTTTTTAATTTCGTTTGTTTCAAGAATGTTTTTAATTTTCTTTTAAATTTTTTTATTGACCAATTGGTCGTTCAGGAGCACATTTAATTTTCATATATTTGTATGGTTTTGAAAGTTCCCTTGGTATTGATTTCTAGTTTTGTTTCACTGTGGTCAGAGAGGATACTTGATATGATTTCTACTTTTTAAAAATTTGTTGAGACTTGTTTTGTGGCGTAACATGTGGTCTGTCCTGGAGAATGTTCCATGAGCTGATGAGAAGAATGTGTATTCTGTAGCTGTTGGATGAAGTGTTCTGTAAATGTCTGTTAGTTCCATTTGGTCTAAGATGCAATTCAAATTCAGTGTTTTCTTGTTGTTGATTTCCTGTCTGAATGATCTGTCCACTGCTGAGTGTGGGGTGTCAAAGTTCCCAACTGTTGTTGTATTGGAGTCTATCTCTCCCTTTAGATCTAATAATATTTGCTTTTATGTATCTGGTTTCTCCAATGTTGGGTGCATATATATTCACAACTGTGCATATATATTCACATCTTGCTGAATTGATCCTTTTATCATCATATAATGACCTTTTTTGTCTCTTTTTGCAGCTTTTCACTTAAAGTCTGTTTTATATGATATAAATATAGCTATGTCTTCTCACTTTTGTTTTCCTTTTGCATGGAGTATCTTTTTTCTTCCTCTACTTTCAGTCTGTATGTGTCTTTATAAGTGAAGTGAATTTCTTATACGTAGCATATAGTATAGTTGACTCATATTTTTAAAAATTTTATTTTGCCAGTCTATATCTTTTAAGTGAAGAATTTAATCTGTTCATATTCAAGGTTATTATTGATAAATGAGGACTTACTCCTGTCATTTTGTTCATTGTTTTCTTGTTGTTTTAGGTATCTTTTTTTCCTTTCTTCCTCTCATGTCATTGTGGTTTGGTGGTTTTCTGTAATATTAAGATTTGATCCTTTTTCTGCTTTGTGTATTTGCTATAACAGTGAATTTTATACTTTTGAGTGTTTTCATGATGGTGATTATCATCTTTTTGCTGCCAGATGCAGGACTTCCTTGAGCATTTCTTGTAAGGCCAATGTAGTGGTGATGAATTCTCTTAGTTTTTGCTTGTCTGGGAAAGATTTTCTTTCTCATTTCTGAAAGATAGTTTTGCTGGGTACAGTATTCTTTGGTGGCTTTTTTTTTTTTGGCAATTTATTGAATACATTGTTTCATTCTTTTGTAGCTTGCAAGGTTTCTCTGGAGAAATCTAATGGGAATCCTCTTAAATGTAACTTGACATTTTTCTCTTGCCATTTTTAGAATTTTCTCTTCGTCTTTGCCTTTGAAAATTTGATCATAATGTGCCTCTGGGAGGATCTTTTTGAGTTGAATCTATTTGGGGGTCTCTGGATGCCCCAGATTTGGGAAGTTTTCAACTATTCTTTGATTAAATAGGTTTTTTATGCCTTTTTCCATGTCTTCTCCTTCTGGAACTTCCATAATATGAACACTTGTTCACTTAATGGTGTCTCATAAGTCTTGTAAGCTTTTTTTTTTTACTTTTTTGATTTTTTGCTTTTTTTCTTTCTTTCTCTAACTGGGTAATTTCCAATGACCTGTGTTCAAACTCAGAGATTTTTTTTTCTTCTGTTAGATCAAGTCTGCTACTTAAGCTGTTTCTTTTTTTTTTTTTTTTTTTTTTTTTTTAAAGACAGAGCCTTGCTGTGTTGCCCAGGCTGGAGTGTAGTGGCTTAGTCTTGGCTCACTGCAACCTCCACCTCCTGGATTCAAGCAATTCTCATGCTTCAGCCTCTCTAGTAGCTGGGATTACAGGCGTGCACCACCCTGCCTGGCTAATTTTTGTACTTTTAGTAGAGACCAGGTTTCACCATGTTGGCCAGGCTGCTCTTGAACTCCTGGCTTCATGTGATCCACCCACCTTGGTCTCCCAAAGTGCTGGGATTATAGGCGTGAGCCACTGCACCTGGCTGTATTTTTTATTTTATTCATTGAATTGTTCAGCTGCAGGATTTCTATTTGATTCTTTTTCATGATATTTATCTCCGTTGAATTTCTAATTTATATCATGATTTTTTTTCCTAGTTTTGTTGAATTATCTATCTGTACATTCTTATATCTTGGTGAGTTTCCTTAAGTTCATTAATTTCTATACTGGCAACTTGTGGATTTCCTTGTCATTAGGGTTTGTTATTGAAGAGTCGTGTTCCTCTTGTGATGTCATATTTCCTTGATTTTCATATTTCTTGTGTCCCTGTATTGATGTCTGTGAAACAATAGCCTCTTCCAAACTTTCTAGAGTGGCTTTCATACATAGAGAAAGACTTTCACCTGCAGTTGGGTCTTACAGTGCCAGTTGGGAAGTGGATGGTAACTCTTTCCAGGTAGGTGCAGTGGTATAGTCTCTGTGCAGCTTTTTCATCTATATTCAACATTAGTAATAAATGTGACTGCCTCAGTGGCCTAGGTTGTAGACATTCGTGGTTGTGGCAGCAGCAGCATAGGTTGTTAATTCTTTGGTTGTAGGGGCTTTTGGAGTCCTTTTCTCAACTTCCCCACGGTGGGGAAACCTAGCCAAGGGGATCCCTCTTGCTGTCAGATCTGGCATGGCCTACAAGCAGCTGCCACAGTGGCTAAATTCCAGGTGCGGGTGCTCAGAGCAGCTGTGGGGCTGGAGTCCTAAGCTCAGGGTCTTATGAACCTTATTCTGGCACCAGGGTCTTGGGGTGCAAGCTTGCTCTCTGTGGCAGGGTTGGATGTAGGTTGCTCTTAGTGCTGGGATCTGTGACTCTGAGGCACCTTCTAGCAGCTCATGTCCAGGAGGTCAGGTTGTAGCTGTGATGCTACCCCTGGGGAGCAGTTCACAGCTCTGGCCTGACTCCAGGGAAGAAGGTGTGCTCTGGAGGTTTGAGCCTAGGCCAGGATATGGCTTTGATTCAGGAGCTTGAACCAGTAGGGCTCAGTGACAACTCAGGACGCTGGATGTGAGGCACCATGTAGTGGTAACTCTACAATCTGGGATGGTAGGGCTCAGCAGTATCTCAGTCTCTGTGAGTCCAAGTGCAGTGGCAGCAAGTAGCCCAGAATGGCCGAACATGGCTGTCGTTTGGGCCATGAGGGGCAGAAAATGGCAGAGTGATAACACTACTCCACAAACAGGGAGGTGTCTTAACAGCCCAGACCATAGGGTGCTGGTCCAGCTCCAGAGAAGCAGGGTACTGGAGTTGTTTGGCCTGTAGGGTAGGGTGTCTGAGCTTAGCCACTGCTTTGTTTCCCTGAGACAAAGGGTAGTACATAAGCTTAGCCCTGGGATGCACAGCTTCTCAGCTCAGCCAAGGCATGAGTTCCCCAGGGGGCAATGTGCTGCTATAGCTCTGGCCTAAAGGGGTGTGACTGCCCAGGCAGCCCAGGGACCATGGATGCAGGGCTCCAGCAAAGCCCTCTTTCCAGCGGAGGCAGTGCACAGTTCCAGCTCAGGCTTGTAGGGGCAGAGCACAGCCGCAGCTGACAGAGGTAAATGGAGCTGTTCTGTCAAAGCACCCTTTCCTCTGGAGGGAGAAATGGTGCTTAAGCTCCAGCCCAAGGCAATGGGAGGTGGAGGATGGAAGTTCCACCACTGCTTGGTTCCACAGGGAAAGGTGCTCACAGCTGAGCCACTTGTGGATGTCAGACCACTGAGCAGAGGTGCTCTGATGGTGGGGTAGCCTCAGGGATGAAGGGATACCATGACTACTAGCCCCCAGAGCAAGACTACTCCAGCATTAGTTCCAGTTACAAGATGGTGTGGCATGGTGGCCATGCAGGCCACAGCGGGAGGAACACAGTATTGGCTACTCCTCTGGGGGAGCAAAGCTGTGCAGCTTCTTGGCAGCTCCCTCAGCTGGGCTTAGTGCCTGTGAGGACTGCAGGTGACCCCAGTGGTGAGGCCTGTAGGTGTCTAAGGTGTTGGTGGGGGCTGCTGGGATCCTCTTGCCTACCTTTTCATCAAAGACAGAAGTGGCCACCTGGTTCCCAGCTGATCCTGGCTGGGGGATGGAGTGGCAGAGGCCTGGCATTTCCTTCTTTTCATGATGTGGCTATCCTGAGTTTCTGCACTCACCAGGGTTGCTGTTACTTCTTTGACATGCTCCAGCACTCTCCTTTGGTTATTTCTGTTAAAATGTAGTGGTTTATTCATTGTTTTTGGCTGTCTTTGTGGAAGGGATGAGCACTACGGGTCTCTAGTCAGCCATCTTGCTGATATCACCTCCCCAAATAACTCTATTTCTTCTTCTCCTTCTCCTCCTCCTCCTCTTCCTTCTTTTCTTCTTTCTTCTTTTTTCTCTTCCTCTCCTTCCCCTCCTTCCTCCTCCTCCTCCTTTTTTCTTTTTTTGTGACGGAATCTCACTCTGTTGCCCAGGCTGGAGTGCAATGGCATGATCTCTGCTCACTGCAACCTCTACCTCCTGGGTTCAAGCAATTCTCCTGCCTCAGCTTCCTGAGTAGCTGGGACTACAAGCGCCTGCCACCATGCCCGGCTAATTTTTGTACTTTTAGTAGAAACAAGGTTTCACCATGTTGGCTAGGCTGGTCTCAAACTCCTGACCTCAGGTGTTCTGCCCACCTGAGCCTCCCAAAGTGCTGGAATTACAGGCGTGAACTACCACACCCAGCCAAGACTCTGTTTCTCTCTGAGTAAATTTTAGAACATTAGATTTTTCTAGGAATATATCCCATTAAACTAAATCTTGAAATAAATTGGCATAAGGTTGTTAATATTATTTATTACATACTCCCTCCTTTATTGTAAAATATAAATATGTAAAACAGCTCAATGAGTAGCTATACAACAAACAAGATTATAATTTTCATTAGTACCCAGAAAATAACATTAACAGCAATATCAGGTAGGGATAGATGGTAATTGGATCGATAGAAATTCCCGTTTTAGTCCAGGCACAGTGGCTCATGCCTATAATCCCAGTGCTTTGGGAGGCCGAGGTGGATCTCCTGAGATCAGGAGTTCGAGACCAGGCTGGCCAAATGGTGAAACTCTGTCTCTACTAAAAATACCAAAATTAGCCGGTGTGGTGGCGCACGCCTGCTACGCGGGAGGCTGAGGCATTAGAATCACTTGAACCCAGGAGGCAGAGGCTGCAGTGAGCCAAGATCACAGTGAGCCACTGTACTCCAGCCTGGGTGACAGAGTGAGACTCCATCTCTCTCTCTCTCTCTCTCTCTCTCTCTCTCTCTCTCTATATATATATATATATATATATATATATATATATATTCCCATTTTAAAATCAAAACCTCAACATTAGATCTGAAATGAATTTTCAAGAGATTGTTATGGGTGGGAAATCTGAAGGCACCCAAATGTTAGATTAAATACCTGAATTTACATAGTAAATTCTTAATTCTTCTTAATGTATGATCTGGAATTACTCTTTTCCCTTATCTTTATCATATTGTAACTCAGGTGTCAGATGGACCTCTCTGCCTCTTGGAGATCTAGAACCAATGGGCTAAGACCAACAACAACTCTATAGTCCGTGAACATCTAAAAATCTTCCCATTATGTGTGTTAATTCCCAAGGTGTGCACTCTTCTTGCCTCACGCGCCTGTATCCTAGTGTGTCCCCTTTGTACTATACGACAGTGAATTTCTCAAAAAGAATCTACTCGTCCAAAAGCATTAATGAGCAGGAGTGGATCTACGTTAAATGGAGCCTGAAGTATATACAGTGATCAACATTCCTAGTGATCTTATAGGGGAAATGGAGGAACGCTCTATAACAAACAATTTAAAATCCATACATTACATACTAGTTATAGATATCACTGTGGTCCAGTGCCCTTCTTAGTCGTACAATTTCCAGTTGCTTTTCTCCCTTCCCCTCCTCCTTTTCCATCTTTTTTCATCTTCTCTGCCTTCCATTTCCTGTCACTTTCTCTCTTCCAGATTAACCCTCAACCTGGGTTCTTTCCTGTGTTCAACAGAGTACTTTGCCTTTTCCTCTGATGTCCAGGTGGCAGTTGCCATGTAGGCCCAGGAGGGCAGGGAGAGCATTCAACTTCCACTTGGAACACTTGCCAGACTATCCCTTCAACAAAGACAGTTTTATTTTTCAAAGGAATTCTAGAGCCATCTCTAGAATTTTGTTATATTTTCGACTGCCTACTCTCCCCTGTCAAAGGACATGGAAAGCTAATTCAAATGTTCTGGTAAAGGAGTAACAACTACTTGCAGGCCTTGGACCAGAGAATATCCTCCTTCAGTTTTCTTCTTCCACAGAGGACACACCTTGAAGAGGAGCAAAGGCAATAGTTGAGAGAGAGGAACGAGATATCTACCAAGCCTGCTGGATTCTTTCAATCCTTGCAAATTAGTAGAGTGGCAATATCACTGGCAGATACATCTGATGCACACTGGGGAAATTGAAGTACAAAGGCTTTGCATCCTGACTGCCTCCACACAATGGGAAATTGGCAGTAATGCAGCTTAAGAGGATAGAATTGGCCTCTTTCTTGAGAGGTGAGGCCAGACCCTCAAACTGCCAGTGCACAAAGCTGTTTGGATTGCTGTTTCCTTGCTTTGGCCACTATTGATTTATAAATAAGACTTTTTTAAAGCAAGAAGCTGATTTTTTTTCTTTTTTCTTTTATTATTATATTTTAAGTTCTAGGGTACATGTGCACAACATGCAGGTTTGTTACATATGTGTCCATGTGCCATGTTGGTGTGCTGCACCCATTAACTTGTCATTTATATTAGGTATATCTCCTAATGCTATCCCTTCCCCCTGCCCCCCACCCCATGACAGGCCCCGGTGTGTGATGTTCCCCTTCCTGTGTCCAAGTGTTCTCATTGTTCAGTTCCCACCTATGTGTGAGAACATGCAGTGTTTGGTTTTCTGTCCTTGCGATAGTTTGCTCGGAATGATGGTTTCCAGCTTTATCCATGTCCCTACAAAGGACATGAACTCATCCTTTTTTATGACTACATAGTATTCCATTGTGTATATGTGCCACATTTTCTTGATCCAGTCTATCATTGATGGACATTTGGGTTGGTTTCAAGTCTTTACTATTGTGAATAGTGCCACAATAAACATACGTGTGCATGTGTCTTTATAGCAGCATGATTTATAATCCTTTGGGTACATACCCAGTAATGTGATGGCTGGGTCAAATGGTATTTCTAGTTCTAGATCCTTGAGGAATCACCACACTGACTTCCACAATGGTTGATCTAGTTTACAGTCCACCAACAGTGTAAAAGTGTTCCTATTTCTCCACATCCTCTCCAGCACCTATTGTTTCCTGACTTTTTAATGATTGCCATTCTAACTGGTCTAAGATGGCATTTCATTGTGGTTTTGATTTGCATTTCTCTGATGGCCAGTGATGATGAGCATTTTTTCTTGCATCTGTTGGCTGCATAAGTGTCTTCTTTTGAGAAGTGTCTGTTCATATCCTTCGCCCACTTTTTGATGGGGTTGTTTGATTTTTTCTTGTAAATTTGTTTAAGTTCTTTGTAGATTCTAGATATTAGCCCTTTGTCAGATGGGTAGATTGCAAAAATTTTCTCCCATTTTGTAGGTTGCCTGTTCACTGACAGTAGTTTCTTTTGCTGTGCAGAAGCTGTTTAGCTTATTTAGATCCCATTTGTCAATTTTGGCTTTTGTTGCCATTGCTTTTGGTGTTTTAGATATAAAGTCCTTGCCCATGCCTGTGTCCTGAATGGTATTGCCTAGGTTTTCTTCTAGGGTTTTTATGGTTTTAGGTCTAACATTTAAGTCTTTAATCCACCTTGAATTAATGTTTGTATAAGGTGTAAGGAAGGGATCCAGTTTCAGCTTTCTACATATGGCTAGCCAGTTTTCCCAGCACCATTTATTAAATAGGGAATCCTTTCCCCATTTCTTGTTTTTGTCAGGTTTGTCAAAGATCAGATGGTTGTAGATGTGTGGTGTTATTTCTGAGGGCTCTGTTCTGTTCCATTGGTCTGTATCTCTGTTTTGGTATCAGTACCATGCTGTTTTGGTTACTGTAGCCTTGTAGTATAGTTTGAAGTCAGGTAGTGTGATGCCTCCAGCTTTGTTCTTTTTGCTTAGGATTGACTTGGCAGTGTGGGCTCTTTTTTGGTTCCATATGAACTTTAAAGTAGTTTTTTCCAATTCTGTGAAGAAAGTCATTGGTAGCTTGATGGGGATGGCATTGAATCTACAAATTACCTTGGGTAGTATGGCCATTGTCACGATATTGATTCTTCCTATCCATGAGCATGGAATGTTCTTTCATTTGTTTGTGTCCTCTTTTATTTTGCTGAGCAGTAGTTTGTAGTTCTCCTTGAAGAGGTCCTTCACATCCCTTGTAAGTTGGATTCCTAGGTATTTTATTCTCTTTGAAGCAATTGTGAATGGGTGTTCACTCATGATTTGGCTCTGTGTTTGTCTGTTATTGGTGTATAAGAATGCTTGTGATTTTTGCACATTGATTTTGTATCCTGAGACTTTGCTGAAGTTGCTTATCAGTTTAAGGAGATTTTGGGCTGAGATGATGGGGTTTTCTAAATATACAATCATGTCATCTACAAACAGGGACAGTTTGACTTCCTCTTTTCCTCACTGAATACCCTTTATTTCTTTCTCCTGCCTGATTGCCCTGGCCAGAACTTCCAACACTGTGTTGAATAGGAGTGGTGAAAGAGGGCATCCCTGTCTTGTGCCAGTTTTCAAAGGGAATGCTTCCAGTTTTTGTCAATTCAATGTGATATTGGCTGTGGGTTTGTCATAAATAGCTCTTACTATTTTGACATACGTTCCATCAACACCTAATTTATTGAGAGTTTTTAGCATGAAGGGTTGTTGAATTTTGTCAAAGGCCTTTCTGCATCTATTGAGATAATCATGTGGTTTTTGTCTTTGGTTCTGTTTATATGATGGATTACGTTTATTGATTTGCATATGTTCAACCAGCCTTGCATCCCAGGGATGAAGCCCACTTGATCATGGTGGATAAGCTTTTTGATGTGCTGCTGGATTCGGTTTGCCAGTATCTTGTTGAGGATTTTTGCATCGATGTTCATCAGGGATATTGGTCTAAAATTCTCTTTTTTTGTTGTGTCTCTGCCAGGCTTTGGTATCAGGATGATGCTGGCCTCATAAAATGAGTTAGGGAGGAATCCCTCTTTTTCTGTTGATTGGAATGGATTCCTTCTGTTTCAGAAGGAGTGGTACCAGCTCCTCCTTGTACCTCTGGTAGAATTCGGCTGTGAATCCATCTGGTCCTGGACTTTTTTTGGTTGGTAGGCTATTAATTATTGCCTCAATTTCAGAGCCTGTTATTGGTCTATTCAGAGATTCGACTTCTTCCTGGTTTAGTCTTGGGAGGGTTTATGTGTCCAGGAATTTATCCATTTCTTCTAGATTTTCTAGTTTATTTGCATAGCGGTGTTTATAGTATTCTCTGATGGTAGTTAGTATTTCTCTGGGATCAGTGGTGATATCCCCTTTATCATTTTTTATTGCATCTATTTGATCTCTCTTTTCTTCTTTATTAGTCTTGCTAGCGGTCTATCAATTTTGTTGATCTTTTCAAAAAACCAGCTTCTGGATTCATTGATTTTTTTGAAGGATTTTTTGTGTCTCTATCTCCTTCAGTTCTGCTCTGATCTTAGTTATTTCTTGCCTTCTGCTAGCTTCTGAATGTGTTCGCTCTTGCTTCTCTAGTGTTTTGCAGTGGTAGGGTGTCAATTTTAGATCTTTCCTGCTTTCTCTGGTGGGCATTTAGTGCTATAAATTTCCCTCTACTCACTGCTTTAAATGTGTCCCAGAGATTCTGGTATGTTGTGTCTTTGTTCTCATTGGTTTCAAAGAACATACTTATTTCTGCCTTCATTTCGTTATGTACCCAGTAGTCATTCAGGAGCAGGTTGTTCAGTTTCCATGTAGTTGAGCGGTTTTGAGTGAGTTTCTTTTTTTTTTTTTTTTTTTTGAGACAGTCGCACTCTGTCACCCAGGCTGGAGTGCAGTGGCACGATCTCGGCTCACTGCAAGCTCCGCCTCCCAGGTTCACGCCATTCTCCTGCCTCAGCCTCCTGAGTAGCTGGGACTACAGGCACCCACCACCACGCCCGGCTAATGTTTTGTATTTTTAGTAGAGACGGGGTTTCACCGTGTTAGCCAGGATGGTCTTGATCTCCTGACCTCGTGATCTGCCCGCCTCTGCCTCCCAAAGTGCTGGGATTACAGGCGTGAGCCACCGCGCCCGGCGAGTGAGTTTCTTAATCCTGAGTTCTAGTTTGATTGCACTGTGGTCTGAGAGACAGTTTGTTATAATTTCTGTTCTTTTACATTTGCTGAGGAGTGCTTTACTTCCAACTGTGTGGTCAATTTTGGAATAAGTGCGATGTGTTGCTGAGAAGAATGTATATGATTTGGGGTGGAGAGTTCTGTTGATGTCTATTAGGTCCGCTTGGTGCAAAGCTGAGTTCAATTTCTGGATATCCTTGTTAACTTTCTGTCTCTTTGATCTGTCTAATGTTGACAGTGGGGTGTTAAAGTCTCCCATTACTATTGTGTGTCAGTCTAAGTCTCTTTGTATGTCTCTAAGTACTTGCTTTATGAATCTGGGTGCTCCTGAATAGGGTGCATATATATTTAGGATAGTTAGCTCTTCTTGTTGAATTGATCCCTTTACCATTACATAATGGCCTTGTCTCTTTTGATCTTTGTTGGTTTAAAGTCTGTTTTATCAGAGACTAGGATTGCAACCCCTGCTTTTCTTTTTTGTTTTCCATTTGCTTGGTAGATCTTCCTCCATCTCTTTATTTTGAGCCTGTGTGTGTCTCTGCACATGAGATGGGTCTCCTGAATACAGCACACTGATGGGTCTTGACTCTTTATCCAATTTGCCAGTCTGTGTCTTTTAATTGGAGCATTTAGCCCATTTACATTTAAGGTTAATATTGTTATGTGTGAATCTGATCCTGTCATTATGATGTTAGTTGGTTATTTTGCTCGTTAGTTGATGCAGTTTCTTCCTAGCATCAATGGTCTTTACAGTTTGGCATGTTTTTGCAGTGGCTGGTACCAGTTGTTCCTTTCCATATTTCGTGCTTCCTTCAGGAGCTCATTTAGGGCAGGCCTGGTGGTGACAAAATCTCTCAGCATTTGCTTGTCTGTAAAGGATTTTATTTCTCCTTCACTTATGAAGCTTAGTTTGGCTGGCTATGAAATTCTGGGTTGAAAATTCTTTTCTTTAAGAATGTTGAATATTGGCCCCCACTGTCTTCTGGCTTGTAGAGTTTCTGCCAAGAGATCAGCTGTTAGTCTGATGGGCTTCCCTTTGTGGGTAACCCAACCTTTCTCTCTGGTTGCCCTTAACATTTTTTCCTTCATTTCAACTTTGGTGAATCTGACAATTATGTGTCTTGGAGTTGCTCTTCTCAAGGAGTATCTTTGTGGTGTTCTCTGTATTTCCTGAATTTGAATGTTGGCCTGCCTTGCTAGGTTGGGGAAGTTCTCCTGGATAAAATCCTGAAGAGTGTTTTCCAACTTGGTTCCATTGTCCCCGTCACTTTCAGGTACACCAATCAGACGTAAATTTGGTCTTTTCACATAGTCCCATATTTCTTGGAGGCTTTGTTCATTTCTTTTTACTCTTTTTTCTCTAAACTTATCTTCTCACTTCATTTCGTTCATTTGATCTTCCATCACTGATACCCTTTCTTCTGGTTGATCCAATCGGCTACTGAAACTTGTGCATGCATCACGTAGTTCTCTTGCCATGGTTTTCAGCTCCATCAGGTCATTGAAGGTCTTCTCTACACTGGTTATTCTAGTTAGCCATTCGTCTAATCTTTTTTCAAGGTTTTTAGCTTCTTTGCGATGGGTTCGAACATCCTCCTTTAGCTTGGAGAAGTTTGATCGTCTGAAGCCTTCTTCTCTCAACTCATCAAAGTCATTCTCCATCCAGCTTTGTTCCATTGCTGGCAAGGAGCTGTGTTCCTTTGGAGGAGGAGAGGCGCTCAGATTTTTAGAATTCTCAGCTTTTGTGCTCTGGTTTCTCCCCATCTTTGTGGTTTTATCTACCTTTGGTCTTTGATGATGGTGACGTACAGATGGGGTTTTGGTGTGGATGTCCTTTCTGTTTGTTAATTTTCCTTTTAACAGTCAGGACCCTCAGCTGCACATCTGCTGGAGTTTGCTGGAGGTCCACTCCAGACCCTGTTTGCCTGGGTATCACCAGCAGAGGCTGCAGAACAGCGGATATTGCAGAACAGCAAATGTTGCTGCCTGATCGTTCCTCTGGAAGTTTTGTCTCAGAGGGGTATGTGGCCGTGTGAGGTGTCAGTTGGCCCCTACTGGGAGGTGCCTCCCAGACAGGCTACTCGGGGGTCAGGGACTCACTTGAGGAGGCAGTCTGTCTGTTTTCATATCTCAAACTCCGTTCTGGGAGAACCACTACTCTCTTCAAAGCTGTCACACAGGGACATTTAAGTCTGCAGAGGTTATTGCTGTCTTTTGTTTGTCTGTGCCGTGTCCCCAGAGGTGGAGTCTACAGAGGCAGGCAGGCCTCCTTGAGCTGCAGTGGGCTCAACCCAGTTCGAGCTTCCTGGCCGCTTTGTTTACCTACTCAAGCCTCAGCAATGGCAGGCGCCCCTCCCCCAGCCTCGCTGCCATCTTGCAGTTCGATCTCAGACCGCTGTGCTAGCGATGAGCGAGGCTCCATGGGCGTGGGACCGTCCAAGCCAGGTGTGGAATATAATCTCCTGGTGTGCCGTTTGCTAAGACGGTTGGAAAAGCGCAGTGTTAGGGTGGGAGTGACCCAATTTTCCAGGTGCCGTCTTTCACAGCTTCCCTTGGCTAGGAAAGGGAATTCCCTGACCCTTTGCACTTCCTGGGAGAGGCAATGCCTCGCCCTGCTTCGGCTCACGCTTGGTGGGCTGCACCCACTGTCCTGCACCCACTGTCTGACAAGCCCCAGTGAGATGAACCTGGTATCTCAATTGGAAATGCAGAAATCACCCGTCTTCTCCGTCGCTCACACTGGGAGCTGTAGACTAGAGCTGTTCCTATTCAGCCATCTTGGAACACTCCCCAATTTTTTTTTCTTGTAAGTACAGTTCTAATTAATCTGCAGTCTCTTGAATGAATATGCAAGTAAATAGCCCAATTGTAAGCCCCTTGAAATGGATAGGATAATACCTTGCATATACAAACTAACATTCTCAGTACAGTAATGTACTAAGTCAATACTTAATAAATCTTTGGTATTTGGGATATTTCATTAGTAATGTGACATCCAGTGACCCACACGATATTTGAACTAAAAGGAAATCATGAATGCAATCCTTTTGTTTTATGGGCAGAGATGTAAAGTGGGAAGAAAACAGTATTTAAAAGGAAACCTGCCTTAGGTGTTCTGACTCCAGTATATGACTTTGCAGGTCCTCATATTGCTCTGAGCTTCAGTCAGTTTTCTCATCTGTAATATCAGCATTTTTTTTTCTTTTTTGAGATGAAGTCTCACTCTGTCGCCCAGGCTGGAGTGCAGTGGTGTGGTGCCATCTTGGCTCACTGCAACCTCTGCCTCCTGGGTTCAAGCGATTCTCATGCTTCAGCCTCTCAAGTAGCTGGGACTACAAGTGTGCGCTACCACACCCAGCTAATTTTTGTATTTTTTAATAGAGGTGTGGTTTCACCATGTTGGCCAGGCTGGTCTTGAACTCCTGACCTCAGGTGATCCACCCGCCTTGGACTCCCAAACTATTGGGATTACAGGCATGAGCCACCATGCCCAGCCTGTGATATCAATTTTACAAGGTAGTTGGGGATGAAATGTGACAGTCTTATGAAAATGTTTTGTTAATATGAGTGAACCATTATGCAATTGTAAATCACATTATCACTTTTGTTACAGATGTGAGTTTTAAAAAGAGATAAAGTAGGCCCAAAAACTAGTTAATGTCAGTCCAGGCCTAGAACTCGAGACTATTCTGACTCTTTCTTAGGCTATGTTGCCCTTTTGGTTTAGCAAAAACATGATTTCAAACCCTGCATATGTGGCAGCACTGTTCTTTGTCATACCTTGATCTGATAATATCTTCAAAGTGAAATCACTTGGTTTCCTGAGGTGCTGGGCTAAAGGAGGATAAATTTGAGAGCAAGGTGTTTCATGTCCTGAGACACTGGCCAGTTTATGTGGCTATGCTCCTAAGTGATTCTGCAAGCAGTGGCTCTCACAGGTACCCTTTTGAATATTTGAACCACAGAAATATCCAAGGACTCATTATGCTCTAATGGAACACTTTTTCATCTTCTTTAGTGATTCATTAAGGCAAAGTATATTTGCAGATTACAGGAAACCTTTTCTTTCTATATCTCCTATTTAAGATTCTTATATAGTCTTTGGATCCTATTAGGTGTTCTATGTTACTAGTATACTGAATTTGTAATTTGTACTTACTCATCAGAGCCCTATATCTTACCTAAAGAATGGTGTCTACTTTAAACCCTGTATCTAATTTACCAGTTATAATCACATACACTTTGAATACTATTAATGATATTCATTAAAGAACTGGTTTAGCTCATAGTCTGTGGTCTGGTGATGTTATCATACTGCCTAGTAAGCATTTATTTTATTACTCTGATTTGTACATAGCACCTTATTATGTATAGTTAAGAATGCAGCAAGTCAATAGAATGGTGATACCTGAGCTATTACATGTTAATGCAATTTAAAATTGCCTCCTTGTGTTAAAATTTGGGGAAACCATTAAAAAGAGAATAATATGGTGAATATGTGTTATGTTGTTACGGTGTTCACTGGTAGAGTAACAGTATCTACAAGACTACACAATTGTCTTTTTGCATAAGTGTTTTCTCCCAGGAAATAGCTATCCGCATTGCTTATAGAGGTAATCAGTTAATCAAAGACCTTCGCTTTTAAAAGTTAAGATGAACATTATTATCATCTCATATTTTTCTATCTAGACAGATAATCCACAGAAAAGTTTAAAGACATTAGAGAAATAACAAGAATGAGCACCACTGCTTTCTACCAGTTGGAAACATTTTTTCAGGTGGCTTATTTAGGAGGAGAAGGGAGAGGAGAAAAAAATAATTTTTCAAAGTGGTTTATTTAATGTTCAGGTAACAGAACATGCCTTGTATTTGAACGCTGTAGTAGTTCTTACTTGTAATGAGGGCTAAATTCAAGTGGAAAGTTGACCAAGAGTAAATTTAACAAATGAAAATAATGAACTTCACAGTTACATAATTTTTGTTACTAGAGTAATACTTAAAATATCACTGACAGCCAGAATTTGAAAAATATGACTTAAGGTTATTTTCCAGATTAAGTACTTATTTTATGAGTTACCTGAAGGTGCCAGAAATATGAACATATACTTTATATAGCTCAGAAAGTTGGAAAATTCTTCTTTACGTTGAACAGAAATATGTAACCATGTAACTGTTGACTGATCCTAGCTCTGGCCTGTGAACTATAGTTTTCATTTTGCTGATTTAATTTTCTGTTAATTTCATCAGTGTTTTTACTAGAGGGAATGCAACCTACAGTGTTTTTAGTAGAGGGAATGCAACCTATTTTAGTTTTTTTTCATTCACTCTACCCTTACCTATCATAAATCACAAACTTACATCATAGGTCCCCAATTGCATAAGCATTCTAAAGATAAATTTGGGCATTAGGAAGAGGAGTTAGAAAGTGTTTTCTGCTTGGAATCACAATGTGGTGAAACATATTCCACCACAGTTACAATCCATGTGACTATTTATTAATACACATTGGACTGTCCAAAAGCCCACCCAAGCCAGTAGCCCACAATATTAGTTCCTCAGATACCAAAGAAGAAGAGGGAGGCCTCATCTGTGTGAAACCTATATAGGAATAAATGTCTTCTCCCAAGACGAGGCTACAAAAAAGTCCTATATCTTCTGAAACTGCACATGATATAAAAATAGAATGACTAGCTGAAAAATGTATTATGTACTATTTGAGAAAATAAACACTAAACATTTTGAGAGTAAATTGGTACCCACTTTACTGAAAGTCATTCAGATCTAAAGGAGAGACATCAATCTGGTGATGACCGTGGTCATGGAAAGATGAATTTACTTCCCCAAAGTGACTTACTATCTTACTGAGTCACCCTAGGCATTGAGCTTTATATTAGACCACTACTTATTAGGAAACTTCTTTATCTACCTAGAATCATAAATGATCATTTGAGGATGCCAAACCTGCCCACAAACAAAAATATTTTGCCATCATCTGCCATGGATATGGCTCTTCCCAAGACAAAATCTAGTGAGAAGGGAAATTCTAAAAAAAAAAAAAAAAAAAAAAAAAGCCATTTGCAGTTAACGTTTTTATGAAACTGTCTTATGACAGCAGGAGATGTAGAGTTTGCATAGTAACTTGAATATTATCATTGGACCACACAGAATTGGAAAATCGACTGTGCTTTGCTGCTATCTAACGAACCTGTTGTAAGTTGTAAGTTGCCTTTTAAGTGAGAAAAAAAAAGGTATGGCTGCAAAATGACAATAGCGACATCACATCGTTTCCATTATTTGACAATAATGATCTGAAGGACTCAGATTATGTGTGATGGATAAGCTAAATTGTGATAGATGCTGTATTCAGAATCTACTACCAGCATAAGGCGACTCTTAACTATTCTCAAACTGAGTCCTTGACTCTGTAGAAACAGGAAGTTTGTTCTTGACAATGTATCAGGAAACCTTAAGTCAGTAAAGGCTATGTTCTAATACTAGAATATCAGTGCTAGGTGAATGATTCTCTAAGGTAATTCATCCCCATGTGCCATTGGAATTTGTTTACTGGGCAGGATTCTGATGTTAGGAATCTATTTGTCTGTAAGAAAATATATTAATATGTTTAGGCCGGGCGCGGTGGCTCATGCCTGTAATCCCAGCACTTTGGGAGACTGAGGCAGGCGGATCACGAGGTCAGGAGATCGAGACCATCCTGGCTAACATGGTGAAACCCTGTCTCTACTAAAAAATACAACAAAAATTAGCTGGGCATGGTGGTGGGCGCCTTTAGTCCCAGCTATTCAGGAAGCTGAGGCAGGAGAATGGCATGAACCCAGGAGGCGGAGCTTGTAGTGAGCCGAGATTGCGCCACTGCGCTCCAGTCTAGGTGACAGAGAGGAGAAAATATATTAATACGTTTAATATGTTAGTTTTTCATATAAGATGAAAAAACAATGTGTATGAAAGGCTGTAGCATGACTTTAAGATGTTAGAGAGTTATATGAATCTCAGGTTATGAGATTCTGAGGTCACGTGTATTTGTGACTTTGCCAGTTGACCTCAAATGAAAAGTTTATATGAATTCTTTGTGTGATCATATATGTCACAACTTATGGATCCAGGCAGGAAGCAGAGAAAAATTTAAATTCTACAAGATAAACCGTAAGCTTTTCTTAGAATTATACTACTGTGCTTGATTTATTATTTAGGTAAAATGCAATATATTCTGTATCTTTATACATCTTTTTTTTTTTTTTTTTTTGAGACGGAGTCTCGCTCTGTCGCCCAGGCTGGAGTGCAGTGGCGGGATCTCGGCTCACTGCAAGCTCCGCCTCCCGGGTTCACGCCATTCTCCTGCCTCAGCCTCCCAAGTAGCTGGGACTACAGGCGCCCGCCACTACGCCCGGCTAATTTTTTGTATTTTTAGTAGAGACGGGGTTTCACCGTTTTAGCCGGGATGGTCTCGATCTCCTGACCTCGTGATCCGCCCGCCTCGGCCTCCCAAAGTGCTGGGATTACAGGCGTGAGCCACCGCGCCCGGCCCTTTATACATCTTTATGTGTCCTCTAGTAATCTTTATAGCAAAAAAAAAAAAAAAATTAATAAAGAGGGACATTTATAAAAAGGCCATTTCAGGAAGATATAACAATTATAAATATGTGTGCTCCTGATAACAGAACACCAAAATACATAATGCAAAAACTGACAGAATTGAAGGAAGAGATGGACAGTTAAACAATAATGGTTGGAAATTTCAATACCTCCCTTTCACCTAACATATTTCTAAAACACGCCATCTAACAATAGAATATACGTTTTTCTTTACACATGGAACATTGTCCAGGATAGACTATATGCTAGGACATCAACAAACGTCAATAAGTTTAAAAGGATAGAAATAATACACAGTATGTTCTTTAATTCCAGTAGAATGAAATTAGAAATCAATATCAGGAAAAAAAAATCTGGGCAAATCAACAGATGTTTGGGAATTAACACACTCCTAAATAATCAGTGGATCATGGAAGAAATAATGAGGGAAATTGGAATATTATCAGAGATGAATGAAAATAAGACATGATGTACCAAGACTCAAGGAATGCAGCTAGCACACTTCTTAGAGGGAAATTTGTAGCTATAAATGCCTATGTAATAAAGAAGAAAGATCTCAAATCATTAACCTTTCCACCTTAAGACACTAGAAAGAGAACAAACTATACCTAAAGCACACAGAAAAAAGAAAATAACAAAAAGCAGGGCAGTGATATGGTTTGGATCTGTGTCTCCACCAATTCTATATTAAACTGTAATCCCCAGTGTCGGAGGTGGGTCCTTGTGGGAGGTGATTGGATCATGGGGTTGGATTTCCCCCTTTGGTGCTGTTCTCGGGACAGAGGTCTCACAAGATCTGGTTGTTTAAAAGTATGCACCATTTCCCCCTCGCTCTCTGTTCCTCCTGCTCTGGCATGTGAAGTGCTGCCTCCTAGTTTGCCTTCTGCCGTGATTGTAAGTTTCCTGAGGCTTCCCCAGAAGCCAAGCAGATGCTGCCACGCTTCCTGTACAGCTTGTGAAACCATGAGCCAATTCAGTATCTTTTCTTTATAAATTACCCAATCTCAGGCATTTCTTTATAGCCATGTGAGAGCGGACTATTACAAGCAGAAATGGAAGAAATAGAGAACAATAAAGAAATAGAGAAAATCAGTGAAACCAAAAGCTGATTCTTGGAAAATATCAAGAAAATTAACATGCATTTAAGTAAGTAATTAACCAAGAAAAAAAGAGAAAGGACTCAAATTTCTAGGGTCAAAAAAAAGGACATTACTGCCAATCTTATATAAATAAAAAGGATTATAAAGGAATACAATCGTGAATAAATGTATGTCAAGAAATTAGATGGCTATTTTTCTAATAGAAGTGAAATGAATAAATTCCTGGAAAGACACAAACTGCTAAAACTAAATCAGAAACAGACCATTTTAATAGATAGACTTATAATTAGTAAAAAGGTTGAATTAGTTATCAAAAACCTATACATAATGAAAAGTCCAAGTCCAGATAGTTTCACCACTGAATTCTACCAAACATTTAAAAAATTCCAGTGCTCTCAAAAAAAAAAAAAAAAAAAAAAGAAGAGGGGTGAATATTTCTCATCTCATTTTATGATGGCAGTATTACCTTGATGCAAAACCAAAGACATCACAAGAAAACTACAGACCAATGTTTTTATAAATATGGATGAAAAAAATCTCAAAAAATACCACCAAACTGAATTCGGCAACTTATAAAAAGAATTATCACCATGAAGCTGGGCATGGTGGTGTGCAACTGTAGTTGCAGCTCCTCAGGAGGCTAAGCAGGGGGAATCCCTTGAGTCCAGGAATTGAAGGATGCAGTGAGCTTTGATCACACCACTGTACTTCAGCCTGGGTGAAGATTTATCTAAAAACAAACAAACAAACAAAAAACATTTATTACCATGATCAAGTGGCATTTAACCATGGAACACAAGGTTGGTTAAACATCTCAAGATCAATTAATGTAAATACCTCATGTCAATAGAATAAAAAGCAGTATCACACGATCATCTCAAGAGAAGTGTTTGAGCCGGACTCAGTGGCTCCCACCTGTAATACCAACGCTTTGGGAGGCCAGGGCAGGCTGATCACCTGAGGTCAGCAGTTCAAGATCAGCCTGGCCAATGTGGTGAAACCCTATCTCTACTAAAAATACAAAATATAGCCAGGTGTGGTGGCACGCACCTGTAATCCCAGCTACTCGGGAGGCTGAGGCAGGAGAATCACTTGAACCCAGAGGCAGAGGTTGCAGTCAGCCGAGATCGTGCCATTGCACTGCAGCCTGGGCAACAGAGCGAGACTGCGTCTCAAAAAAAAAAAAGTGTTTGACAAAACCCAACACCCTTGCACTATAAAAACACTCAGCAGACTAGGAATAAAAAAGAAGTATCTCAACCAGATAAAAGACCATACTAAAAACCCACAACACCATGTTTACTGGTGAAAGAATGCTTTCCTGCTAAGATCAAGAACAAAACAAGGATGTCTGCTCTTGCTTCTTCTATTCAGCATTGTATTGAAGTCTTAGCCAGGGCATTTAGGCAAGAAAAAGAAATAAGATGGAAAAAAAGAAGTAAAATTATCTATTTGCAGATGGCATGATTTTATATATAGAAAATCTTGAGAAATGCACTAAAAAAAACATTGGAACTAATAAATGAGTTTAGCAAGGTTGCAGGATACATAGCAATATTACAAAAATCAGTTTTATTTTTTATACATTTACAATGAACAACTTGAAAATGAAATTAATGACATTCATAATTGCATCAAAAAGAATAAAATACTCAGGAATAAATTAAAAGAAGTGAAAAACTTTAACTTTGAAAACTATATAACATTGTTGAAAGAAATTAAAGTCTAATTTAATTTGGAACTCTTAAGTCTTCCTGACCTTAGATTTGGCAGAGGATTCTTAGATATGACACCAAAGGCACAAGCAACCAAAAGCTTCAAAATTAAAAAAAATAGATAAATTGGACCTCAGCAAAATTAAAAACTTTTGTGAGTCAAAGGACACCATCAAGAAAGTGAAAAAGCAACCCAAAGAATGGGAGAACTTATTTGCACATCTTATGTCTGATAAAAGTATATGTACCCAGAGCACATCAAGAATCTTACAACTCTGGCCAGGCATGGTGGCTTACGCCTGTACTCCCAGCACTTTGGGAGGCCGAGGCGGGCGGATCACCTCAGGTCAGGAGTTTGAGACCAGCCTGACCAACACGGTGAAACCCCATCTCTACTAAAAATACAAAAAATTAGCCGGGCATCTTGGCACATGCCTGTAGTCCCAGTTACTTGTGAGGCTGAGGTGGGAGAATCACTTGAACCTTGGAGGCGGAGGCTGCAGTGAGTCGAGATCGTGCCACTGCACTCCAGCCTGGGCGACAGAGCTAGACTCCATCTCAAAAAAAAAAAAAAAAAAAAGAAGAAAAAAATAATCTTACAACTCAATAATAAAAAGTTAAATGACCCACATAAGCAATGGATACAGGATATGAATAGATATTCCTCCAAGGAAGATACACAGATGTCCAATAAACACATGAAAAAATGCTCAGCATCAGTCATTAATTATTAACTATTAAGTTAGGGACCTGTTAGAAAGTGTTATATTAGTTTGGTCAAGTGAGAATGAAGGACTAGTGCAGGTGGTGGAGGTCTGAGAGAGAAGGGAACAAATGGAATTGAACTGTGAAGCAACTCGTTGGGGAAGGAGAGAAAAAATCCAAAAATGGACTCGTTAGATTTTGAGCCTAAGTGACTTGGATGATAAAACTATTAAGCAATGGAGGAAAAGCAGAGAAGTTGTTTTATTGGAAAAACTGATGAGTTTAGGCCGGGCGCAGTGGCTCACGCCTGTAATCCCAGCACTTTGGGAGGCCGAGGTGGGTGGATCACCTGAGGCTGGGAGTTCAAGACCAGCCTGACCAACATGGAGAAACCCCATCTCTACTAAAAATACAAAATTAGCCTGGCGTGGTGGCTCATGCCTGTAATCCCAGCTACTCAGGAGGCTGAGGCAGGAGAATTGCTTGAACCTGGGAGGCAGAGGTTGTAGTGAGCTGGAATCGCTCCATTGCACTCCAGCCTGGACAACAAGAACAGAAACTCTGTCTCAAAAGAAAAGAAAAGAAAAGAAAAACTGATGAGTTTAGTTTTTGGTTTGGTTAGTTTTAGGAACTAGGAGACCTCTGAGAGATTTAATGGCAGTTAGAAAGTGAAGCCATGTAGTACAGCAGAAAGAGCACTTGGCTTGTTTCTTCTTCTATAAAATGAAAGATTTGGATTTAAAAGGTGGTTATGTTATAGTGATAGAGAGCAAAAATTTTAGATCCCTGCTTGTTTTAGCTTCTCACTAACTGTTTAACTTGGATATATTATTTATTCTCCCTGGGCCTCAGATTCTGTAAAATCAGGATAACCATTCTATGCCTACCTCATATTGCTACTGTGAGGAATATGTGCACACACACAATTTATTTAGAACAGTGCCTATTGCATAGTAAGCTTAATGTTACGTAGGTGAAGTCCTTTTCAGATCTGAGGATCCATTGTTGCGTGGTCAGTTTCTATGAGACTGGCATTCCAAGGTAGAAGTCAGGGCCAGAGACCTAGGTTAATCATTTCTTTTCTAAAGTATTATCGAATAGCTGGGATGAGATACCAGAGTAGAAAGTGGAAAGAACATGAATGGCAAGGGTAGAATGTTGAGGAACACTTCTATTAGGGAACAAGAGGCAGGAGTATATAGGAGAGGCCAGTGGAGGAACATTCAGAGAAAGAAGGAAAACTAGGACATATTCTCATGAATGCCAAGTGGAATAGAAAAGATAAGGTCAAGGGAAGATTTAGAGTAGACTACTTGAGCTAAGTTTGAAGATTTATGGGATGCATCTCATGGACAGGGGAAGTTGAAGATGAAAGCAAGTAATTGATGGAGCATAGTTCTGTGAGGATTCAAGGGGCAGATTTAGCCTCAAGGGGAAGGAATGCATTTATTTCTTTGAATTAGGATAAAAGAAGGAATGGATATATGGTGGGGCAATCAAATTTTTGAGCTGGGAAATTCAGAAGTCAAGGAAGCTCATGTTGGATAACTTCAGTTTGTTTACATTAAATAGGAAGCAAGGTCATCTGTAGAGAGAGTGGAAGGTAGGGAACAAAATTGAAAAGTGTTTCCAAGCAGCTTTAAATGTTCTAATTCTGCTCTTTGTATGAATGGAAAACAAATGATCTATTTCAATTATAACAGGTAATATTTACTGAGCCTTTACTGTCTGCCAGGTATCATGCTAAGGGTTTGTTTCAAACTGAAAACATCCGTAAGAGGCAAATGGTAGTGGTATCCACACATTACAGAGGGTAATATATGAAACAGAGAAGGATGGAAAATTGCTGTCTGTTACCCAGCTGAGAGGTGGAACCAAGACTGAAGAGCAGATCTGCCTGACTCTCGGCTCTTAATGATCATGCTTTCTGACATTTTACTTTCAAATTTCATTAAAGCCATGAAGTGTTGGTTCGAGAATATACATGGATTAATGGGATAGAGAAATATAGAAAAATATAATAGCACATGTTTACAGCCAAACATAACTTTAATGAAATTCATATTTTAAATAAATGGAAAGGATGGCTTGTTAGATAAGTGCATTAGGGCAATTAACTATTCATTTGAAAAAAATTAATAACTTTAACCCCATATTTCTTAAAAATATACAATAGAAGTCTGAACAGTGGTTGTCTGTGGCAGGATAGAGATTGCATGAAGGGCACAAGGGAACTTTCTGGAGTAATAGGAATGTTCTGTAATTTTTTTTTTTTTAAGATGGAGTCTGGCTCTGTTGCCCAGGCTGGAGTGCAGTGACGTAATCTCAGCTCACTGCAACCTCTACCTCCTGGGTTCAAGCAGTTCTGCTGCCTCAGCCTCCCAAATAGCTGGGATTACAGGCGTGTGCCACCGTGCCTGGATAATTTTTGTATTTTTAGTAGAGACAGGTTTTGCTATATTGACCAGGCTGGTCTCGAACTCCTGACCTCAAGTGATCTGGCTGCCTCGGCCTCCCAGAGTGCTGGGATTACAGGCATGAGCGACTGTGCCTGGTCAATATTCTGTAATTTGATTGTGATGTTGGTTACATAGGCAGAGATTTTTGGTCAAAACTCATCAAATTGCACATTTAAAGTCTGCACATTACACTCTGTAAATTTTATCTCAATTTTAAAAAAGAAAGCCAAGTGCAGTGGCTCATGCCTGTAGTCCCAGCTACTCAGGAGGCTGAGGTGGGAGGATCATTTGAGCCTAGGAGTTACAGGCCATTCTGGGCCACATAGCAAGACTGCAACATAGCAACATATCTTTAAAAACAAACAAACAAACAAAATAAGTTGACAGAGAAAGAGAAGATAAAAGAAAAATAAGGCAATTCTGTATGTAGATCTCAAAGACATTGTTAAATGAAGAAAGAGCAAGCTATAGAATAAGACGTGAAATATGATACCATTTATATAAAGAAAAAAAATTACCACCAGACCAAATTCTTTCTGTGGATCCACACTCATATGTGTAAAGGTATCATGGTTCTTGGGTGCAGCTGCCCCACTCCATCAACAGATTCTTCCTCCAATGTCAATCTCAGATGCTCTTAGGGTTCCCTTCCAGGTTGCAGAAAGGAAGGACTTTTATCTTATAACACTATTAGCATAAATGTCATTTTCCCCACTGATTGCAATACTCAGTGGTAGAATATTCTCCAGTGAAGAAAGATATTCCATTTCTGGAAATTCTAGGTTTAAAAAATGACCTGTTTGCATAATGAAAGTAGTATCTTTTTTTTTTTTTTTTTTTTTTAGGCAGGGTCTCACTCCGATGCCCAGGCTGGAGTGCAGTGGTGCAATGTCAGCTTACTGCAACCTCCGCCTCCTGGGTTCAAGCGATTCTCCTGCCTCAGCCTCCCGAGTAGCTGGGATTACAGGCAACCACCGCCTTGCCCAGCTACTTTTTGTATTTTCATAGAAACGGGGTTTCCCCATGTTGGACAGGCTGGTCTTGAACTCCTGACCTCAAGTGATCCACCCACCTTGGCCTCCCAAAGTGCTAGGATTGCAGGCATGAGCCACCATGCCCGGCCTTGAAAGTAGTATCTTTTAAGAGGCAGCCCCCGTTGTGCATATGTACCCTAGAACTTAAAGTATTAAAAAAAAATAAAAATGAAAAGAGGCAGCCTCGTATAACGGAACTGTCATTGAACTAGAAGGAGTCTAGGGATGTGAGTTCTTGTCCTGAAGCTGCTGCTGAGTGGATGGGTGTTTTGGAGCTATCCATTTAATCTCTCTGGGCTTCAGTTTTCTTGTTAATTACATTAATGGATGCGACAGACGACTGAGGGTCTTTCAGGCCTAAGATCCAATGAACTGTGTTCATTCACATGGAGCTTACATGGAATCGTTTCACTCAGCATATAGTAGGTACATGGAAAGTAAGATTTTTGCTTTTATGTTTTGAAACAGGTGACAACCAAAGCCAAGCAACTGAAGGATTCAGTGACCTGCTCCCCAGGTGAGTTCATACTTCCTCTATCTCATTAATCTAAAGTGGTTTCTTCTAAATTAATCCCTTTTTATAATAACTTCTTTAAATACAAGGGTCTAGAAGTTTTGCCTAATGAACTCTAAATCTGGTCATATCTCCAAAAAGGGTTGAAATACGGGCACCAGCAAGCCAGTCCAGCCCTGCACATACTGGTGCCGAGAAGATGTATTTAATTAATAAGGTTAAATAAGTATACAGATCGTCTTCTATAGTTTAATTTGTGGGGACGGGGAACACAGGAGAAAGCCCATCTGCACACCACGCAAATGCTATGTGCACACTGTTTCCCTGCACTGTCCACCCCTGTCACTGCCGCACTTGCAGAGCTGCCCTTTGGGATAAATGGCTAACAGCTTTCCCAGGCATTTATGTTTCCTTTTTTTTGAGACGGAGTCTTGCTCTGTTGCCCAGGCTAGCGTGCAGTGGCGCAATCTCGGCTCACTGCAACCTCTGCCTCCCAGGTTCAAGTGATTCTCCTGCCTCAGCCCCCGAGTAGCTGGGATTACGGGCGCCCGCCACTGCACCTGACAGATTTTTGTATTTTTAGTAGAGACCTGGTTTCACCATCTTGGCTAGGCTGGTCTTGAACTCCTGACCTCTTGATCCTCTCACCTCGGCCTCCCAAATTGCTGGGATTACAGGCGTGAGCCACCGTGCTCAGCCCCATTTATGTTTCTTAAAATCAATTTCCTCCAAGATTAACTGGAATTTTGTTAGAGTCTCCATATTCTTTGCTTAGAACCAGGAAATAAGAACATGCTTCAGAAACTTTGCAACCTAACTCAAATACAGGTCCCAGGGAGAGTAATGCAGATGAACAAGCCAACAATTAGCAAACCCAGAGATCTCAAAAAGCCACCCCAGCCGGGCGTGGTGGCACAGCTATAGTTTCAACTACTCTAGAGGCCGAGGCGGGAGGATCACTTGAGCCCAGGAGTTCAAAACCAGCCTGGGCAACATAGTGAGACCCCCCATTTCTGAAAAATAAACGTAAAAAAAAATTTTTTTAAAAGAATTCAACTTGGAGTTCTCCAGGCTTTAGCAAGAGGAAATTTCTGGATTTCTTTTTCTGCCAATGAAGTTATTTCTGTGGGCATGGAGGCAGAGACGGGGCAATGGGATGTTATATGACAGAAGCCTACTTCAAGACATTCTCCAAAATCATACCATTGAAAAGGCAGCGCAGCTCAGAGTAAGGAACTGACGTAGATCTTCCTGGAGCTTGGTGGAGGGGGGTCAGAAGTATGAAGAAAACAGGAAATGTGGAGTTGAATATTTAAGTGCATCTCTGAGGCAACACCTGTGGCTGAGAGAAGGCACCAGAAGCAGCTTTGAGCAGAGAGCAGATCCAGCATCAGGACAGAGAGGAAAAGAGGCAAATCCGATGTGATATTTGGCCACATCCAAACATCCTGTGACTCTCTAAAAGCACCATAAGGTCTTTGTCACAAATATATTCATTAAATTATGTGTTTTATTTTGTTTTTTAATAGCCTTTAAGAAGCCAAAGAATTTTGAAATAAAAGTATTTCTTCTGATTATGTTCACAAATTAACAAAGAATCCGTAAGCAGTGTGATCCATTTAAGCCATAAAGCTGTGCTTCTGAAGTATTATTAGAAATTCTAAAATTGTTTCCTAAGATTTTGGATACCTTTCAAAGTGTTTGAAATGGATGGTTTAGAAAACACAGCTGGCTTAATAGGCTAGCACAGGGGAAAATGACCTTCTACAGATAAGAACACACCCAGATGGAGGTATTTGGCTGTTTCTTAAGAGAGTTGCTTTAGTGAGCATGGAAAGAAATGTTCGCTAATAGAAACTCAAAAAAATACAGATAAACAAAAGGAAGAAAATAACAATCACATGTAACCTACCAATTGTTGTTATTTTGAGAGAGATATTTCTTCAGACTTTTCTGATGCACATATGTGCATATAATATTTTTACAAGAATGGGACTGTACCGCAATACTGTTTTACATTTTTTCACTCCGTACACTCATATGTCTGTATCATCTTCTTAATGGCTCCATAGTAGTCCATAGTATAGATGTCTGCCCCATAGTTTATTTAACAAGTTTCTATTGTTGGACATTTTGTTTGTTTCCATTTTTTTTTTATTGTTCTGAAGTTGTGGTCTCCAAAGTGAGGTAGACAGGATGATTCTTTGGAATATAAGAAGACCGTATTTGAATTTCTGTTGATCTTTGTTTTTATCTTAAGGCAGTGAGAGAGGAATTAAACTTTCTCATCTTTGATATTCCGACTTATGCCAGCACCCTCACTGTGCCCATTAGCAGAGCTTATGTGTTACGTACATAGGGCACCAACGTTTCCCAAGGGAAAAATGGGATTTCCACAGCACTCACAGGCTGATGGTGGCCTCGTCACTTGGCATCATCCCATGTTCTTTCACTCTCAAGATATTGCAACAAGATACCCAGTTGAGTGAATGTATAGATAACCCCAGAGTTTCAGTGACATCTTTTTATAAGGTGGAAGGCAACCATGGGAATATTTCCTATTACACAGAGGCTTCCTAGTATTTTGACAAAGTACTTTTAAAAGTTTTTGAATTTAAAGATCCTCAATTTTATACTTTTCTTTTACCAAATAAATAAATAAATTCTTGGCGTAGGGTCTAAAAAAAAAAAAAAAAAACAACCTGCACACACTTAAAAAATTAAAACAGTACAAAAGGGAATGCAATGAAAAGTGTCTGAGTCTGGGTTCCTGGCCCCCTTCCACAGAGGGAATAATGAATTGGAGTGTGAGGGCGTACACGTCTAGAAGTATAACTAGTCTTGCACAGACTGTCTGTATTTGCCTCCCTCTTTCTTATGTTAATAGCAGCATACTCGCTGAAGACTAATATCTTTAATCATTTTATTATATTAAAATGTTTTTACAAAATAAAGATGGATTTTTAACAATGAATGTGAAAGTGTTTTGAAAGATATTTATGCTGTAGAAAGGACGTTTGAAAGTAGATGCTTGGCTGGGCACGGTGCCTCACGCCTGTAATCCTGACACTTTGGGAGGCCAAGATGGGCGGATCACCTGAGGTCAGGAGTTCGAGACCAGCCTGGCCAACATAGTGAAACCCGGTCTCTACTAAAACTACAAAAATTAGTTGGGTGTTGTGGCCCATGCCTGTGGTCTCAGCTACTCGGGAAGCTGAGGCAGGAGAATCACTTGAACCCGGGAGGCAGAGGTTGCAGTGAGCCGAGATCATGCCACTGAACTTCCAGCCTGGGCAACAGAGCGAGACTGGCTCAAAAAACAAAAAAAACAAAGTCGATGTTTGAAAGTATTTTCTTTGTTATGTGTTATTCTATGGCCAAAACAATGTGACCTATAAAAACTCTTATTTTTACGGATTTAAAAATGTTGAAAATAGAATTTTAACCTGTAAATCTTTCAAACAAAGTGAACTCATTTGTTAAAAATACAGCCAGGCGTGATGGTGTAGGCCTGTAGTCCCAGCTGCCCAGGAGGCTGAGGTGGGAGGATCACTTGAGCCCAGAAGTTGGAGGCTGCAGTGAGCTATGATCACACCACTGCACTCCAGCCTGGGTGACAGAGCAAGAGCCCCATCTCAGATAAATAAGTAACACTTTCTATTTAGTTTGCAAGAACAAATGATTGGCTTGGGGAAGATTTTTATGAAAATGTTTTCATAATTTGTATTGCACAATGAATACCAGAGCATGGTAAACTTGGCCAGCAGGACGCTACATGTGGATAGATGTATCCTTTTGGGTCATCTTTTCCAACTAGGATGGCCATTCAAAGTTAGGTGCCAAAATAAAGCAAATTTGGAGCCAGACCTTTAATTGAGTATTTTATCCAGTATTAAGCAATTTTTCAATCTCATTGTTTTTAATATTAATATTTTCATTAGAATGTTTCATGTCACTTAATGATGTTTTTAGATTGTGGTGGATATAATTGAATAAGTAAATATACATATATTAGAATTGCATTTTCGGCTGGGCGTGGTGGCTCATGCCTGTAATCCCAACACTTTGGGAGGCTGAGGCACTCAGATCACGAGGTCAAGAGATTGAGACCATCCTGGCCAACATGGTGAAACCTCGTCTGTTCTATAAATACAAAAATTAGCTGGGCATGGTGGCGCGTGCCTGTAGTCCCAGCTCCTCGAGAGGCTGACGCCTGTAGTCCCAGCTACTCGAGAGGCTGAGGCAGGAGAATCACTTGAACCCAGGAGGCAGAGGTTGCAGGGAGGCAAAATCGCGCCCCTTCACTCCAGCCTGGTGAAAGAGTGAGACTCCATCTCAAAAAATAAAAATAAAAAAAAATTGTGTTTTCAAAGATGTTTTATTGATGGGGTTCATAATAAAAAATATGGAGGAGATAATGATTATGAAATGCCACTTGTTAGTAGTAACAAAAGACTAGGACCTGGAACTTTAGTGAGCTAATACAGAATAACCTCCAGGGAGTTTGTTGCCATTAACGTAAGAAAGGAGAAGGCTAATGCAGCTACATAGGGTGTGTGACACTGTTTCTAGACGTTCACACACTCACACTCCAACTCATTTTTGCCTCTTACAGAGCAGACCAGGAATGCAGACTAAGCCACTTTTCATTGTATTCCTTTTTGTAGTTTTTATATTTTTAAAAATTATATCTAGATTTTTTTTTTTTTTTTTTAGACGGAGTCTCACTCTGTCGCCCAGGCTGTGGTACGATCTCAGTACACTGCAACCTCTGCCTCCCAGGTTCAAGCGATTCTCCTGCCTCGGCCTCCTGAGTAGCTGGAATTACAGGCACGTGCCACCACACCCGGCTAATTTTTGCATTTTTGTAGAGACAGGGTTTCACCATGTTGGCCAGGCTGGTCTCGAACTCCTGACCTCAGGGGATCCCCCCTGCCTTGGCCTCCCAAAGTGTTGGGATTACAGGCGTGAGCCACCGTGTACAGCTGGGATTTTGTTTTTTATTAAATAAAAGCCTACTATAAAGAGGAAACATTACTGTAGAAAAGGAAATAAAATATTGCCCCCTTTTTTGTTGTTGTTTTGAGACAGAGCAAGACTTTGTTTCCCAGGCTGGAGTGCAGTGGCACAGTCTTGGCTCACTGCAGCCTCTGCCTCCTGGGTTCAAGCGATTTTCATGCCTCAGCCACCCAAGTAGTTGGGATGACAGGCATGCGCCACCATGCCCAGCTAATTTTTTGTATTTTTAGTAGAGACGGGGTTTTGCCATGTTGCCCAAGCTGGTCTGGAACTCCTGGCCTCAAGTGATCCACCTTGCCTTGGCCTCCCAAAGTCCTGGAATTACACGCTTGAGCCACACTGCACCTGGCCTAAAATACTGCCTCTTTGTAGCTAAATTTGTATATACATCTGTAATTATTTCCATAGGAGAACCTCCTCTAAGTAAAATTACAGAGTCACAAGTAAATACATTCTTAAGGTTCACCTCCATTTGACAAATTGTTCTTTAAAAAGGCTAGACCTGTGCTGTCTAATATGGTAGCCACTTGCCACATGTAGCTATTTATATTAAAGTTTAAATTAATTAGAATTAAATAAAGTTAAAAACTTAATTCCTCAGTACTACACCAAGTGGTTTATATAATTGTATCACAGCATGTTTCATTGGACAGCTCTGGGCTGGGCCAGTTTCTGCTCCCACGCCCCGTGTCCAAATGTACCTATTTCCCTGCATTTTGCCAGCACTGGGTATTGTCATACTTTCTAATCTTTGCCAATTTAATAATTGAAAAGTAGTGATTCTTTGTTTTAGTTCTCTGATACTCATCAGCTACTGTAGTTCTTCCTTTGTGAGCTGTGTTCTTTGTCCTTTTATCTTAATGAGTTGTAACTGCTACTGTATTGAGGATATCAGTGCTCTGTCATCTATTCTGTCCTATTAAAAGGTTTAAAGCTTTTGTTATTAATTATTATTACTTTTAGAGACAAGATCTCATTCTGTTGCCCGGGCTGAAGCACAGTGGCGTGATCATAGCTGACTGCAGCCTCAAACTCCTGGGCTCAAGCAGTCCTCCCTCCTTAGCCTCCCTAGTAGCTAGGAATACAGGTGTATACCACCAGGCCCAGCTAATAAACTTTTTAATAAAATGTTTCTTTTCCATGTTTAAAAATTCTTACTGTAGCTACTATTTGTAAGTGTATAATTTACTCATACACTTGCCTTCCAGAGGCAGCACAGTTTTAAGGTTTGACCAGTTGATTTTTGTCTTTCCAGTGGAGCCAGTGAATCCTTTCTTATACTGAGTAGCAGGTTATTCCCTCTCAAAGAGATGTTTGCATTCTTGTTCACAATCTGATTCTTTATATACCCATTATTCCTCAGAGTAGAGAAAGGGACAAAGGCTTGGAATCAGACAGAAGTGGGTTCAAATCCCACTCTAGTGCTTTCTGAGTCTTCTTTTTCTCATCTGTAACATTAGGGTAATGATCCCTATCTTTCTAGAATAGAGTAGTGTGGAAATGAAATTAAACCATGCATGCAAAATGCCTAGTGCGCTGCCTGCTCTGTGCCCGGCAGCTGCTGTTCTCACCGTCTCCTTAATTCACCTTGCCCTTCACCTCTGTGTGGCACACCCTCTTTCCTAGGAATGGTTAGACTCTCCGAACTCAAATCGACAGTTCAGAATTCCAGGCCCATCAAAACGGCCACCACCTTGCCCGATGACATGATCACCCAGCGAGAGGACGCAGAGGGGGTGGCAGCGGAGGAGGAGCAGGAGGGAGACTCCGGTGAGCAGGAGACCGGGGCCACTGATGCCCGGCCTCGGAGGCGGAAGCCAGCCAGGCTGCTGGAGGCTACAGCGAAGCCGGAGCCAGAGGAGAAGTCCAGAGCCAAGCGGCAGAAGGACTTTGACATAGCAGAACAAAACGAGTCCAGCGACGAGGAGAGCCTGAGAAAAGAGAGAGCTCGGTCTGCAGAGGAGCCGTGGACTCAAAATCAACAGAAACTTCTGGAACTGGCGTTGCAGCAGTACCCAAGGGGATCCTCTGACCGCTGGGACAAAATAGCCAGATGTGTCCCGTCCAAGAGCAAGGTGAGTGATGGGGAAAGAGGCCTCTGCACAGGTGTTAGAATCCCACCAGAGGAGCCACAGCTTGTCTGCCTGCAGCTTCTTCCCTCATTCCTATCTACTGACACCTGCCCCGTGATTTCTTCTTTCCCATTTATCTTCCAGTATATTTCTCCCTAGAGCGTGTGAATCTGTGCATTCAGGTGGTTCATGTGTGTAGATGAGCTCAAGATTCTAAGTTTCATCATCCCACAGGGCAGCTGCTTATAGAAACTTCACCCACAGCACCTGCCTGCCTTTTTGAGAACTCGCCCACTCCGGCTAGGTTTTAAGGGCACATGGGAGGCTCAGCCGGCGCTGCCTCACCGTGAAATGCAGCAGCTGGGAAGGGTCAGGATGGAAAGCTCCTTTGAACCAGGCTGAGGGTTCATAAATCACAAGGCCCATTGGCTGTGTAGCAAATCTTTGACCAAAGGGATAGCTGGTATAGATGGTATTACCGTGATCATCTTCGATTCTGCCATGTGAATAACTTTGGACTCAGCAGGTACACCTGGTGGCTGTCCAGAGGCCCTGAGGCCATCTCCGTATGTGGTCAGTGCCAGGCGACAGCTAGGGTTCGGCTTACTTTCCACGGCCGTGGCCGTTTGTAGTTGGCCTTTCTCCCTGCTGGTAGCTCTTGGTGCCTGCTCAGATATTTCTGAGATGGTCCTCAGATGGGAGGAGGGGGCGGGAGTGCCCTGTGGAGAGCCCACCCACCGGGCTTGGGCGGCCTCTTTCCTGTGATCTGGCCATGAGGCGCTGCAGAGAGCCCCAGGGTGTGATCCTAACACAGTGTCTCTTGAGGCTTCTTTCCCTGTAGCTAGATTGTTAGTCGAGGAACCAGGAACAGTGAGAATCAAAAGCCCCGATCTCTTCCGCTGTCTGTGCCTCCCTCAGTCGCCTCTGGGCACACTCATGCTCATTTACATTCTTATTTTTTTTAATTGAAATTCTATGTTGGAAAATCCAGCTCATGGCCATGCATGTCCCTGAGTGTACAGGTGTAGTTTTCTCCACCTACTTTAAAATGATTAAAGTTGAGAGTTCCTGGGGAGAAAAATAAACGGTTAGCTGTTGATATATTTGAGAAGCGCAGATTCTCCCAGCCTCTCCGACTGGTTTGCAGAAGTAACTATTCTACCCGAATTTCTCTAGCATCTGTCAGGACACAGGCAGACGTCTTCATGTGTGATGAGTCCACACTGGCTTATAAACGAAGGGGCTGGAGCTTGGATTCCTAAGGATAGAACACCCAGAAACTCATACCTGGGGGGCTGGAAACCTTCCGGTTTTCAACCAGCAATGAGCAGGGCTTCTTCAGCCTGCGGGTGTTCCCCTCAAGCCTTGACTTGAGAGCGAGGCAGGGCTGAGCTTCCTGCTGTCCCGGAGCCTGGGCCTGGCTGCCGTGCACGGCTCAGCTCAGAGCTCCGAGCACACTGTCCTTCTGGGGTTAAGTGCTGGGTCTGGCCACATCTGGTTTTGGCAGTATGTTGTTAGGGACAGCATAGCTACTAAGGAAAGACTGATATCTTTAAAGACCTTAGGCAAGTAATCTTTGGGGATGCAGAAAAAAAACCCTGAGAAGAGACTCTCATAACACCACTAAGCTAAAATCCTAGGAGAGTAAACATCCTTTCTCTGTCCCAGGCAGCTGATAAAGTCACTTTGCACTGGACCCTTAGTCAGCAAAAGCTACAGAACCACAGGGTCATTATTTTTGGAACAGAAACAGAATAGATTCTGGAAAGTTCCTGTGATCAATGTGAGAATAATGAGGCCTCTCCCCACCATCACCCCACCTCTGCTTTGGTCCTGAGCTCCAGCCCAGGGTGTGACAGCTGTGGCCAGCTGAGGTCTGAAGTGGGCGGCTCTGCAGCCTGTAGGGTGGGATGGAGGTGGGGCCAGGAGGAGCAGGAATGAGTATTCCAGCACAAGTTCTGCCAGTGTCCTGGGGGCTGGCTCCCCACGGGAAAGGTCTTAGCAGCGCCTAGGGAAAGCCAGACCCACGGAAGAAGACTAATAGGCTACCTGGCCCCAGGGTTTTTGATTTCTTTAAAGTAGCATGTTGTGATAAAAGAGTGAAGTGTTAACATGAAAATAAGAGTTAGCAGGCTGAAAGACCCGATTATGATGCTAGTACGCCTCACAAACGGCCGCCCCAGCCCCTCACTCCACGCCAAGCACCTTCCCTTTGGGCTGGGCTTGCAGGAGCCCTTCTCGCACTGCCCAGACCGGTCTGCCTTGTGAGCGACTGGACTCCAGGACATCCCGGGAACTCTGGGCAGAGGGACTGGACGTGAGGCTCTTCATGAGCAGAAGCCAGCAGACCGGCCACATGATGACCACACTGACTTGTGCAAGTGACTGTTCTCACCTCTCTTTTTTTCTTCCTACAGGAAGACTGTATCGCTAGGTACAAGTTGCTGGTTGAACTGGTCCAAAAGAAAAAACAAGCTAAAAGCTGAATATTCTGGGAGATGATGTTCACCTTCATTTTCCAAAATGAATATCTTAAAAATCTTATGCAGAAATTTGCATTTTGTACCTCAATATTTCTACGTCATGTGCCTTAGTAAAAAAAAATAATAAATAAATAAAAGATGAGTGTTGTGCTATACTGTTTAAACAAATACTGTGCTGGGGGAAAAAGGATTTGGGTATGTTGCAGATTATTTTATTTCTCATCACTTCAAAGTGTACTTTCTTAGGGAATAAACAAATAGTGCTTTCTAATGATCAGGCAAAAATATGTGGTTTTGAAGGAACATGTGAACAAACTAATGTGTAAGAATTCAAATTTAATGTTTCTCTAAAACCACGACCAAAGAACACAGCAGTTCGTGTCTTTATTGGGGGTTGAATAGCAAGATCAATTGCTTGGGGAGGAAGAAAACCAGGTTGGTATCCAGCTGGCTGGCTAAGAACAATGTGAGATTATCTTAATTAGTTAAATATATCTAGGGAAAAAAAACAGTCTAGGTGAAGGAGGACATAAGGTAATACACTCTAAGTTTGAGCTGCTTGATAGAAATGTGTTCCCACCTGATAGAATTTCCAGAGAACATGCAGGACCGTTTTCAGGAAATGATGAAATTGGGACCGTTTTTTCATACCTAAGTTAAAAATCACTATTTTATACTATTACTTTCTGTCGAAGTCTTTCATGCTATGTTTGAACTGTCACTGTCAGCTGAGCGCTCCTTTTAAATCTTCTGTCATTTGCTCAGGGCGTGGAAATAGTGTGATGAACACAGCTTGCCTAAACTTGAAAATCATGAAGATAACCAGAACACAGTTAAGGGACGTGATTTGATAAAATATCTTAAAGACGTCATATTCCCTAAGGAGTAAAGTGAGGGTACAGTTTCCTGGAGGAAAGTTTGGGTGGCAGAGATCCCCACTCTGCAGTGCAAGCTTCTTTCTATACAGAGGACGTGGAACCAGGTAAGTCCCCAGCCCTTTCCCTGACAGGAGGTGACAGAGGCTGCCTCAGGTCTCAGGCCGAGCAGACGTAGGGAACTTACACCTCATACCCAACTCCCTCATCCCAAAAAGAGCAGCGGAAAAGTGAAAAAACAGCACATTGCAAGCCCTCTTCCAAAATTTTTGAGACAAGTTTCAGATTTCGCATATTTTTTTTCTGATTTTGGAATATTTACATATACATAATAAGTTGGCTCAGGGATGGGACCCAAATCTAAACACCACGTTCTTTGTTGTTTGTTTGTTTGTTTTTGGAGACAGAGTCTCGCTCTGTCATCCAGGCTGGAGTGCAGTGGTACGATCTCGGTAGACTGCAACCTCCGCCTCCCAGGTTCAAGCGATTCTCCTGCCTCGGTCTCCTGAGTAGCTGGAATTACAGGCACGTGCCACCACACCCAGCTAATTTTTGTATTTTTAGTAGAGATGGGGTTTTGTCATGTTACCCAGGCTGGTCTCGAACTCCTGATCTCAAGTGATCCTCCCGCCTTGGCCTCCCAAAGTGCTGGGATTACAGACGTCCATTATGTTTGACATATACTGTATGCACACAACCTGAAGGTAATTTTATGCAATATTTTTAATAATTTTGTGCAAGAAACAAAGTTTATTTGCTGAACCATTGGAAAGCAGAGGCGTCAGGTGTGAAATTTTCCACTGGTGGCGTCACGTTGGCACTCCAAAAATTTGGATCTTGAGAGCATTTCGGATCTTGGATTTGGGGTTAGGGATGCTCAGCCTGTACCAGCCACCGTCTCCACGGTCTGGTTTGCACAGAACTGCCTGAGTCAGGGAGCAGCAGCTTCCATCAGCCTCAGCCAGCAGGGACAGGGAAGTGGTGCCTGTCTGGCCAGGTGGGGACAGGGGACAGGCACAGTCATCTGGCTCCAGTGGTGCTCACTGTCTTCCTGTAACAACCCAAAGCCAGGCTAGTCACGGGAATCCGAGTCTTCCCCAGAACTCTGTCCTCCAGCTGGGGGGCCATGAGGTGACTGCTGTGCAGTCACAGTGGCTACATGTGAGTGACACATCTGAGAAGGAAGCCGGTTCCTGGAGAGGGACAGGGAGAGGGGAGGATCGTCCTGGCCATATGCCAGGCTGGGGGCCCCTCTGGTCTCTGAGCCCAGCCTCAGGCCTGTTACACAACACAGGACACTCTGTGAGCGTTCTGCCATTAAGTCATCCTTTTCACTTACAGCACCCTGAATTGGGTTCCTCTCACACACACCCCAGAGCCCAGTTATAAGTTTCCTGGGCTTTCTGCGGGAGAGGCCCGTGGGGGGTCCAGAGGTGCTTTAGGAAATTGAGTTGCTGGAACCCCTCAACTCACCCTGTCCTCATCTTCTCCAGCTGCCTTGAGAGAGTGAGGTGCTAGTGTGGTTTTCTGCTGCCTGTCTCTGCCTGCCAGGAAAGGCCTGCTGCCCATGGTATCCCCTCGGGGGGCTCTGGAGGCCAAGGAGTCAGTTGAAGTAGGATGGGGTGGGGGGTTTTGCGGGGGAGGCCAGGGTCAGAGGCTGGGCAGGACTCGTGTGGGCTCCCAGCTCTCAGAGCACAGCTCTGTACACAGACAGATGACAGCTGCCACCCCGGGTCACAGCAGGAGAGCGAGGATCCTCGAGAGGGAATGTGCTGAATGCATGTGGGGACGTGGCACATCCACCAGCCACGTGACAGCCCCACCGTGCCCCTTCTCCTCTCCCACTCCCAGACCCGTGTCCTCCCAAGCCACCTCACCCTGCCCACTGAGGAGGCCTCCCCATGCCGTGCCCAGCCGCCACAGGTAGCCCGTGCTTGCTTTTCTGTTCTTGCCGTCTTGCTCATGAGAACCAACCCAACCACTTTCTCCCTTTCCTCTTCAGTTTACGCTTTTTTTGTTTTTTTTTTTTTAAGAGACAGTCTCGCTTGGTTGCCCAGGCTGGAGAGCAGTGGCACAATCATGTCTCACTGCAGCCTCAAACTAACAGGCTCAAGCAATCCGCCTGCCTCAGCCCCCCAAGCAGCTGGGACCACAGGCGTGCACCACCAACACCTGGCAAATTTTTTCTGTTTTTTTGTAGAGATGGGTCTGGCTCTGTGGCCCAGGCTGGTTTTCCCTTTTTGAGGGAAGAAAAGAAGTTGTCTGTGGGACATGAGTGCTGTGTGTACTATTTTTTCCTTGTTAAATGAGACCTGAGAAAACGTGAACCTGGAATGTCCCAGGTGGGAGGGCAAACCCCAGTCCACCCTGGGCCCAGGGCCCTGGGCTGCTCACCGGCCCGCCACGTCCTCCGTGGGCCTGGAGCCTCTCCAGGGGTATTGCCTCTAGGGCCTGCAGTGTGTCCTTGTGAACATCCTCAGCTGGGCATAACTTAGTCTCCTGAGGGTGAAGTTGATCTTGAGAACAGCCCAGGGCTGCCCTGAGAGCGGTCACCGAGCAGCCCTGAGGTGCAGTGGGTACCGGTGCTGCCTCTAGGCCTCTACTTCTGGGGACCCCATGGCTCCAGCTCCTCGGCAGGCCCCCCAGTCCTCGCCCCCATGGCCATGTCCATTTGCTCGTGTTGCAGGGAGTGAGACCTGACTGGAGCTGGGGGGCGCTGGCTCTCCCACTGTCCGCGAAGCTGGGTGACATCAGGTGTGTTGTTTTACTACTATGCCTCAGTTCCTCATCTGGGAAAATAGAGAATAATGGCAGCTGCCGCTTAGGTTGTTAGGATGATAAAGTGAGATAATCTGTGTGAAGTCTTTCTAACGCAGTGCCTGGCTTGGCAGAAACAATATTATTTCTGACAGCCTGGCTTCCTGTCACCATCGTCTCTGCGTGGCGATGGCCACAGCAGCGCTGATGGGCCAGAGTCAAACTCCTTCCATCTCCTGCCCGTGGGGGCGAGAATCCCAGCCCGGGGCCTAGGGGCCTGGGTCACTCCGTGCACTCCCGGGGACCCTGCAAAGGGCTTGCAAAATCATTCTATCTTGGGTGTGTACGTTTCTGGGGAGAGGGTCCACATCTTTCACTGCGTGCCCCAAGGGCCTCTCACCCAAAAAGGCTCACAGCCTGTACGGTGACATTTCTCCTGACACGGCCCCAGGAGGGCCCATGTGGTGCACAGGAGAACCTTAGACTGGACCTCAGGCAGCAGCTCTGCTGCTGATGACCTGGGGCCTGGGCAAGTGATATTAGCCCCTCTCTGGGGCTCATTTCCTGTCCACAGAATGCAGGTGCTAATATCTGAGGGGCAGCGAGCTGCTCTCGGAAAGCCCTTCACACTCGGGGCCCCTCTCGGCTCTGCCCCCATCTTGTGCTCCTCCTCTTGCCACTGAGTAGGGACGTTTCTTCCCTAGGGCTGACCTCAGCCTGGTCTCCTTTTCTTCCTCAGGTGTGGTTTAAGGGCAGAGTTTGGATCGGAAGACCCACGTCTGAATCGTAGGTGAAGACTATGGGGAAGGATCAGGGACCAAGGCCATGGAGAGGGCTGTGGTTCTGAGGGCTGCAGGAGGGCACGGGAGCGGCTGGGGGAGGAGTGGAGGGAGGGAGGCTATCTGCAGCCCCCACCCCACTCAGCCCCGCAGAGCGCAGAGCAGCAGGGTATACTCCCAGGCATGACACCAGGCGAGGGGGCACTGCCCTCATCCTCCTGGATACCCGAGTCTCTTATCCTTTAGTGGTTTAAATTCTCTCTCCCCACTGGGGCAGAAATCTCAGTGCTACTATTTCTTCAAACCATTTATAGCGCCAGTTTTCGAAGCACACTCACCTGTTGTCTTACTTATCCTTAATGGGGGTTCTGCCCCCGCCCCCCCCCCCCCCCCCGCCCACAGAGGGTCAGGAATGTTTGGGATGTGCAGCCAAGCCACGTTCTTCCCCAGGTGTGCAAGAGCTCCCCGTGCACGGCCTTAGAATGCCTTATTAGGAAAAGTTGGGGTGGGAAGTGTCAGGCCTCTGAGCCCAAGCCAAGCCATCGCATCCTCTGTGACTTGGACGTATACGCCCAGGTGGCCTGAAGTAACTGAAGAATCACAAAAGAAGTGAAAATGCCCTGCCCAGCCTTAACTGATGACATTATCTTGTGAAAGTCCTTTTCCTGGTTCATCCTGGCTCAAAAAGCTCCCCCACTGAGCACCTTGCAACCCCCACTCCAGCCCGCCAGAGAACAATCCCCTTTGACTGTAATTTTCCTTTACCTACCTAAATCCTATAAAACGGCCCCACCCTTATCTCCCTTATCTCCCTTCGCTGACTCAGCCCGCCTGCACCCAGGTGATTAAAAGCTTTATTGCTCACACAAAGCCTGTTTAGTGGGCTCTTCACACGGACGCGCATGCAAGGAAGGAGGTTTTTCATCAGTGGACCAGCTTACTTAGATTTTCACCAAATCATCCGATTCATCTGCAGAATTTGCTTTGGGAACTGCCTAGGAGTTTGTTTTCAATTGGTCCACACGTGCTTGGCAAACACCCTGAGTGTTGCAGACTGTGGGTTTAGTCTTCCACTGGAGTATTCTCAAATTGCCTTTGCAGTTTTAGAATAAGACCTCTTATAATAAGCTTCCCACTGTCAATGTTTTCAGACACTTTAAAAAATGCCTCTTGCTGCAGGGCTTCTTCTTGATATATGCCAGTCACACTCCCCCAAACTCCTCTCCAAGTAGAGAACTAAAGCTCTATCAAATATTTCATCCCAACTTAATTTTCTAGGGTATTTGTTGTTGTTGTTGTTGTTGTTGTTGTTTATTTTGGCAGTTAGGCTTGTTCCTGAAGTTTAAATGGCACGGTTTAAATCATGTTCTGTGCATACAGGGAGGCCATGTGTTCCCTGGGGCCCAGGACACCCAGCCTGGGTGCTACGTAATGCGGCCTTCCTGTCTTATGGGGCATTGCTAACAGGTGGCCCATCCCAAATGCCTGCAGATTTTCAGAGGGGCGCTGAACTCCCCAGAGAGGAAGGATAGTGCGGAGATTTCCATTGTCTTGCTTTGGTTTAGAAAGCCCCAGGGTAGGGGTGAGTCCTGGTCCCGCCCCAGCCCTCGTGAAGACCCACCTGCCTCAGAGAATGGCTGAGCTCCAGAGACACCTGAGTCAGTGCCCAGCCTGGCAGGATCTTCTGCAACTACGTGCACCGGCACCTGTGCTGCAGGCCTCCCGCTCCCAGCCACGGACCAGCACCTGGGCTCAGGCCTTTAAGACCAGGAGTTGGCTGTGGAGGCTGAGGAGAGGCGAGACTTTGGCGTGCGGCTTGCGTGACTGCAACTAGACAAGGTTAGTCATTTGGTAAAAACAGATGTTGGTATTTTCTAAAACAAATCCGACTTCCAAATATTGGGCTGAAACACGCATAGTGTTTCCCTCTAGTCGGGGGACTCCCTTTGTAACCTCACTCCTGAGTTTGAGACGTGGGGTGGGAGCCAGGCCAGGGTCGCTTACAGTGGGGGCCTCTTGCCCTCACAGCCTTGTCAGGAATGGCCCCAAACCAAGAGCGTCCTCGGGTCAGTATTTCCTGGATTATTACGTGAGTTTACTGCAATAAACTTCATCTGTGGGTCATACAGTTTAAAAAGTATACCGTTTACAAAATGAAATTGACAGATTTTGGGGGCAACAGTAGGGTCGCTGTATGATTTACTGTGGCCTCAGTCATAAAGGAAAGTGAGCCATCTCGGTCATGTTTGCTTTTGTTATTACTCAAAAAGAAATACCTTGTGAAATGTAAGATAAAATGTCTCATTGCTTATACTGTCATTTTGGTTCCAATCTTGGTTTCACAAAGTTAGATATCACTGCAGTTAAACAGTAGATATCTTGACATATTTGACCACAGCTATTTTCCCTTTTTAAGAGGCTTGGCTTAAAACAATCACTATTGGAAATTTGTTCTTTGGCTACAATTATGTCTGTCCTGTTCTGTTAAAAACTAGAATTTAAAAATTGGTTGCAGGCCAGGTGCACTGGCTCACACCTGTAATCCCAGCGCTTTGGGAGGCCAAGGCAGGATTGTTTGAGAGCAGCCTGGGCAACATGAGACCCTGTCTCTAAAAAAATAAATAAATAAAAAACTCAGCCAGACACGCTGGCACATGCCTGTAGTCCCAGCTACTCAGGAGACTGGGGTGGGAGGATCGCTTGAGCCCAGAAGTTTGAGGTTGCACAGAGCTATGATTGCACCACTGCCATCTAGCCTGGGTGACAGAGTGAGACCCTGTCTTGGGGGAGGGGCGGGGAAATAATGGGTCCTGGGTAGAGAATCACCGCATGAAGGTGCTGATGTCCAGGTGATTCTACTGGCCAGCCAGGAAGAACCACTGCATGAGGCTAAGAGCCTGCAAAGCAAATGGGACCCTGTTTTGTTCAGCAATTCAATGTACGCGGGCAACTTAGCTGCAGAGAGCACCCGACCTTGCCTGCTCTGGAGGAGCCCTGGGGAACCAGCAAGGTGGCAGTGCTACCAAGATGGAATCCCCTAATTCATCCATCTGCTTGTTACGGGAGCCAAGTGAGAAACCCCAGATGCAGTCATCAGAGTTTGAAGGAAAACAAACCTGATCAGCACAAATTGAATTTCATGCTTTAATTTTAAACTTTGGAAGGTACTACCAAAATGAAGATGCCGTTGAGTTTGCTGCAAACCATGAGGTAACTTCTTTTTTCACTGGTTGCAATGGACTGAATATCTGTCTCCCCTCAGCAAGGTCATGTGTCGAAACCCCAACCTCGAAGGAGATGGGATCAGAAGGTGGGGCCTTTGGAGATAATTAGATCAGGAGGGTGGAGCCCCCATGAATGGGAGGCCAGAGAGCAGAGTTGCCCCCTTCCGAGTGAGTTGGCCTTCTGCCTCTGGAACAGAGCCTCACTGACGGGGAGAAATATATTTGTTGTATATAAGCCACCCAGACTACAGCATTTTTTAAAAAATTATGTCATTGAGACAGGGTCCTGGTCTTACCCAGGCTGGAGTGCAGTGGAGTGATCATAGCTGCAGCCTCCAACTCCTGACCTCCAGTGAACCTCCTGCCTTGGACTCCCAAAGTCCTGGGATTACAGACGTGAGCCTCCACACCCGGCCAGATTATGGCACTTTGTTAAAGCAAGGTGAACTGACACTGGTTTGATACAACCTCATTGTACAATCAAGTATTTAAGGGCACACGTTGGGAGCCTTAGACACTGCCTCCTACCTTTTAGCCCCTTGTCATCTGACTCCTGTACCTCTCTTCCCGCCACCAAAGCTGCTCCTGTTCATGTCACCAAATACCTAAGTACCATGTCCAAAAGGTGATTTCAGGCTTGACCTTACCCCTTTAATCCTGAAGGTGGTATATGACATCTTCCAGCTTTCTACAGCCTCACATTCTGGAGTGAAATGGATGTAAATCAAACCAAGAGTTCCCCTGGCGGCTCCTCAGATTCCTGTCCAGATGTTTCATCTTTTGCTTTGTTAGTCTTGGTGTCCCCAAAGTCTGCAGTCTTCTTCCTTGTCTTCACCCTTCTCCCACCCCAGTGACTTCAACTGCCCCCCTCTGTAGGGGTCTGGTGAGGGTCAGCTTGGTGGTTCCAGAGCCCTTTGCTCTAAACCCCGGCAGAATCCTCCACTCTATTCAGGGAGCTATGGTGCTTCCCTCATGTCCAAAAGAGCCAGAGCAGAGGTATGGCAACCTGCCTGTGTGGTCTCCTCTCCAATAAGCTGGAGGGTAAGAATCCCTCCCAGGGAGTTGGAGAAAGCAGCTCGCCTGGAGCTAGGGCCTTAGAAAAGGTGAATTCCTTTTCCCTAAAAGCCTCCAGGAGGTTGAAGCCTCCCTAGCTTTTTTGCGGGGGATTCCAACTTGTCTGTCTTCTCCAGTCGTCTCACATAATCTCACCTGAATTCCCCAAACCAGTTCAATGCACAGGTCCACCGAGGGGTCTCTGGTTTCTTCCTTAGTTCCTTTCCAGTCTGCACCCAGGCAAAGGCTCGCACACCCCTACACCCCTTGGAAAGACTATGAATGAATGCAGAGCCAGGGACAGCTCAAACTCCAGCCATAGCCATGTCCAGGCCTTTATGATTCTAGTTACCAGTGATGCCTGGGAAAGGCACAGGGATGTCAGGGACATGGTATGTTCAAGAACAGCATGGCTGGGTTTTGCTGGGGTGCACAGCAATGGGTGGAATTGTGCTGGGAGCCAGTGCTGGATGGATGGGCCGAGCCCACACCCCGAGAGGCCTCAATCTTGAAGAGGCATCCCAGCCTCCGCCACTCCTTAGGAACTCTGAGTCGGGAGGGGCTTTAAGAGCGTCAAGGGGTGCTGCCACTTTACCTGCCTCAGATCATTCTTGTTCTTAATTGCACCAATTCACATTTTGGCAGCTATGTGACTGTATCTTCCTAAGGTACTCAACTTCCTAATTTGCAAAATGGGGGAGACAAAACAGCCCTCACAGAGTTGTGTGAAGCGGAGGTGAGGCAAAGCAGGTGAAGGGCTTGACATGATGCCTAGCTCAGCATCCTTGGGAACACCCTCTGCCAACTGTCCACACTCGGAGGACATGGCTCTCCCATTGAAAGTAGACAAGGGTGGTGGCCACACTGGTGGCTCACCTGGAGGGTGGGGCGCTGGAGTCCTCACCAACCAAAGGCCTAGCTCTGGTTGTACCTGAAGTAAACCAACAGTTGTGAACAAAACCTGAAAATTCAACCTCATGGAATTTGGGAGTGTGCAGCAAAAAGCAGGCCAGAGAAGAGGCAGTGAGCTCATCTGGAATATTTGGACCCAGATCTAGAAATAACACACTTGTCTCCTGATACCCACCTTCTCCCTTCTCCCATCTGCCTTTCCCGAATTCACCCACTCTGCACCTTGCTAGCCAATCCCCCCACCCCGCCTTTTTTTGAGATGGAGTTTCGTTCTTGTTGCCCAGGCTGGAGTGCAATGGCAGAATCTCAGCTCACCACAACCTTCACTTCCTAGATTCAAGTGATTCTCCTGCCTCAGCCTCCCGAGTAGCTGGGATTACAGGCATGTGCCACCACACCTAATTTTGTATTTTTAGTAGAGACGGGGTTTCTCCATGTTGGTCAGACTGGCCTCGAACTCCCGACCTCAGGTGATCCACCCACCTCAGCCTCCCAAAGTGCTGGGATTACAGGTGTGAGTAATCATGCCCGACCAGTTGCTAGCCCCCCCCCCTTTTTTTTTTAAGAGAAGAGGTCTCACTCTGTCACCCTGGCTGGAGTGTGGTGACATGATCACTGCCGCCATGACCTCTTGGGCTTACATGATCCTCCCACCTAGGCCTCCTGAATAGCTCGGACTACAGGTGTATACCCCATGCCTGGCTAACTTTGTTTTGTAGAGAGGGCACCTCACTGCACTATCCACGCTGCTTGCTGCCTTAATGCGCATTTACAGTCTTCCTTTTGTGGCCACAGGACTACAGAAACCACACTCCAGCACAGCACCAATCATCTCTTTCTTGCAAACCCACAGCCCTCTTCTAGCCTCATTTCCTGTGCCCACCTGATCCCTTGTGACTAGCGTAGTCCTCTCCAACCCTGCCCTTTATGCTGCCCCTACTCCCCTAATCCCCCGAGATCCCCTTCCCCTAAAAGACAAGGGAACATCATTTACACAGCTCCTGCTGTGACAGCCATGCCTAACTGGCCTAAAAAATGATTAGTTTAATAAACACAAAATTTGATTTCAAAGATCTTTCCTGTCACTTTAAGTGGCAAAAGCAGGCCATAACTTTGTATATTCAACCAGGTAGGAAAAGAGAAAATATTAAAATTGTAGATGTATCATTTTATAAAAAAATGAAAGGAGGCCGGGCGCAGTGGATCACACCTGTAATCCCAGCACTTTGGGAGGCCGAGGCGGGCAGATCACCTAAGGTCAGGAGGCAAGACCAGCCTGCCAACATGGTGAAACCCCATCGCTACTAAAAATACAAAAATTACCCAGGCGTGGTGGTGTGCGCCTGTAATCCCAGCTACTCGGGAGGCTGAGGCAGGAGAATTGCTTAAACCCAGAAAGCGGACGTTGCCGTGAGCTGAGATTGCGCCATTGCACTCTAGCCTGGGTGACAGTGAGACTCAGTCTCAAAAAAAAAAAAAAAAAAAAAAGGCCTTTTGTTCTGGTTCAAATTTCTTAAAAAGTAGTCATGATAATTTTTATTAAATGGTTAATTCTAACACCTAAAAGTGTCACCAGTGCCCTGAGGTGGATGTGGATCACAAACTTGGAAAATAGGCACTTTGTCTGCTCCACAACCATGTGACTGTAGGCCTCCAGACCTTGATGCAGCCAGGGATCTGAGGCTGAGACATGTTGGAGACAGTTGGAAGGGAGATGAGTTGCCCCCATTCATTTACCTCAGTGGGGAATCTGTCCCTTAGAGACCTGCCAAACTTGAACTGTGACCTAAGTCACGGTCAAACGAAACTTACATTTTCACATAAATCTGGACTGAATTGCAAAAATCAGTAAGTGGTGTGAAAAAGACATTTCCTTTGTTGCAAATAACAGATTGGGGAATGGAAAAACAATTGACATGAATTTTATCAAAGTAAAAATTATTTTAAAAATGACTCCCAAATTTTAAAAGTTTGCCCCTATTTCATTTTGAAAGGACTAGTTTATATGAAAAGATGGTATCATTGATGTGTTTTATTTTCAATAAGTAAAACTAAGATGAACAGTATTTGTCTCACTGAGATTTCTACTCAGAAGGACATGACCCAGACAGCCAGGCACGTTGGCTCCTGACTGTAGTACCAGCTACTCAGGAGGCTGAGGCAGGAGGATTGCTTGAGCCCAGGAGTTTGAGGCTGCAGTGAGCCATGATCTCCCCACCGCACTCCAGCCTGTGCGACAGAGTGAGACCATTTCTTTTAAAACCTAGGTACATAACGCACTTATGAAAGCAAAATTACATTTCATTGTAAGGTGGTACCTCCCTTGCAATTCCAAGGGCCTCTCCTGCCTGTTGGGAGGATTATGGGATCATCGTTCCCTTCTGCTTGGTAGGCAGCGTAAGACAGCGACTTGGCTTTTCTGTCTTGGCCCAGTGCTTGATCTTGACCCACAACACGGACTGCACATCCACAGGACTAAAGTACAGAAGTGCAGACGGCAACCAGCCAGTGTAGACCTTCTTCAAGGCTCAGGGCCACTAGCAGGGCAGCAGCTCTTCAGTGCCCTTCCCAGAGCACAAGGCGCACATGTGAACCAGCAGCTGCCAGGGCCCTGCAGGGCAGCAACCCAGGATGACGAGGTCGACGTCCCGGAGCCTCCAGGAAGCCAGAGAGCTACAGAAGCGGACACTTACAAACATGCAGCTAAGGCAAAGGACACATGTTGAGGAATTAAACTCGCAGGAGTTGATGGATGAGTCACCTGTCATTCTAGAGGGAAGGTAATCCTTCGCCTTGGGAGAAGAGACGACTTTCTAGAGTCGTAATTATTTTTCATGTGCATAAAAAAAATCTCTCCAGGAACCCAAAACTCACTCCTTAATAAAGTTTATAGCCTAGGACCAGTTTTTCTTGTTCATGTGCCTCTTAATTACCAGGAGCACTTGACACAGATCAGTATGTTCTGATTCAATTAAGTCTGGGATAAAAAGTCTGAGCATTTATATTTTTGAAAAGCACCACAGGTGATTCTGATGCTTACCAAGACCCCAAGACCACTAAGTAGATTGGGCTTCTCTTTCATGGATATGCCTCTAGTTAAAGCTAACTGTATAAAGAAGAAGAATCTCTCTCTACCAAGTGTGAGTACTGCTTTATCAACGGGCTCTAATTATCTCATCTAAAAGGACTTTGTTTTCCTTTTATCTCCACCAAGGCTGTTTCCCTCTTCTCTCTCCGTCTCATCTGAGGATGATCCAAGATCTCTGAGCCCGAGGTGGGTTTGTACCGCACAGTGCTTTACAGAATGCTTTGCACATCGTATAGCATTTGCTCATGAGAGTTTCCATTAACTCCGGGGCAATATACCAGTGCTCCAAACACAAAACACAGGCCAAGACTCCCTGAGGAAGCAACATGGGTGCACCCCCTCCATCCTCTCCAAATGAGAATGGCACGGAGTTATAAACATTATTAAATTTTATTAACAAAACATTTTGTACATTTTAATACATGTGGAATTTTACATCTAGGTAAAATAACAACACATTCAAAATTTACCATTTATACAAACTGTTACAGAATAACAACCAGTGGGTTAAATAAGTAAAATAAACCACACTGATTTTTTAAATTATCTACAAAAGATTTGACTTTAAAATTCCCCTGAACATATAAAAATAAATTAATTTTACTTTTCAATTAAATCTACCAATTAGAAATATTACAAATCAAAATATCAATGTTATCTTATGAATTTGTCACAATACAAAACAGATTCACAAAACTTTATTTACAGAAATGAGGTAAGAACTGTGCAATGTTTAACCAAGAAACATATTGCAGAATTAACATGTTCTTCCAGCTAAGTACACAGTGGAGGTCTAATTACAGCTGGGTCTTTTCCACTAATAATTCACACACCAAAGAAGAGTTTGATGATGACATCCTCAGTGGGGGAATCACTCTGCGGTACTGTCACATCAAAAGCGTGGCTCCCCAAAGTGGAAGGGCTGTCATACAGGTTTCACCTGTTTCAGGAACTCTAGTGGTGAGCTTTTAATGGTCAGTAATGGGAAGTGGTTTAAATAAAACAAATCTCTATTCTTACCAAATCCACTCCTTTTCTTGTGACTCATTAGTGGATAAATACCCAGGTAATAGTTTTGCCTGAGCTATCTACAGTGGCACAGAAAGTTCTGAATAAAGGCGGAAGCATGGGAAGGCTGCAGGTGACGGGATGATTCCTGCTGCTCGGAGGACTGACTGTCCCACCCTGCTGTCTACAGCCCTTGCAGCACAATGGAGGCACTTGATCAAGGGCAAACCCCACCAGCACTTTCCACAGTGGCCCCTTTCTGAAAGAAGTATTTAGCTTTGAATTGATCTGGTTCCCCCAGCAGCCTCAGAACTCACTTAACTCAAGATTTCTTCAAAATATGAGTAGGTCTTAACACTAAAGAAAGCAATTCTCAAAAGAAAATTACCTTTAGCAGATGCAGACATTACCATCCTAACTTCATTACCAAAATTGGCCAAATCCCATTAGAAAGGAAATTTTTTTTTAACAAAGATTGCCAAGTCCCAGGTGATGTGCTATATATTTGTAATACTGAATCAATGCAACTCCAGGAGAAGAAATTAGTTCCTTGGAATTTGACTTAGAGCAAGCATACTGTAACCCAAACAAAAGAGCATATTTCAACTTGTACAATAAAATCAAGTAGTTTGTAAATGGAGCAAGTATTTAGTTTTGCTATTTGCATCTCCAATTTATAAACAAAACTAGTTGTGTACCAACTATATTAAATTCTTGAGTTGATAAACATATTGCATGTAAATTATGTCACTTTAAAAAGTTATTAAATTTTCTTTCCATGTTCAAAAAACTGGGGTAAGGGGTAGGGGCATGGGAATTCCATTTCAGTGCAACAAAGCAACAAGAAAACTAATCAAAGCCTTACAAGAATGTCCTTGCAGCAATTAATCCTTTGTTGTGCATTGAGTTTCTTGTTGCGTTTCTTCATAGCTGTAGTAAAAGGACTGCAAAGGCAGCCAGATGAAGTGCTAGAACAGCAGGATAGGCAATTTCTAGATGTTTCTCAGGTGTCAACTTTTCTCTTGAGCTACAGGCCCAGTTTTATCACTAAGTCTCTGCAGGTAAACAAAAGAGCAGATGCGTTAGCTAAATCAACTTTTGATAATATTCTCCGAATTTGAAACTGTGACTGAGATAAAATGTGGTATAGAAAGTTACTCCCTTTTTTCTTGCAAGTTGGCAAGGCTACTTGCAACGTAATATATAGACATGAATTTACTAGTAAATACTTTAAAAACATTAAATTCAACAGTATAAAAAGACCAAAGAGGTGGGCCCATCTGAGGGACAGAACTTGTAAAGAATGAATGCAGAATTCATCTTCCAAAATCAACTTTTCCACAGAAGTAACATGGTACTGTAGAGAATGAAATTTTTATGGGCTAAGAAAGTCATCGGCTGTGATTCCACATTTGCTATTTGTCCTTGGGCTTTCTTTGCGTTTCCTTTTACTAATCTATAAAAAAAATGGAGTTACAGCCTATTATTAAAGACTGAAATCACAAATGTCACTGTATCTTGCAAGGACACCTGGCACATAGCAGGGTACTAAGCAAACAGCACCTCCCAGCACTGTGTTCTCTATTATGAGCACTCTATTAGCTCATTAAATTACTGTGATTTTCCATTAAATACATTTCATATTGTATAACCTAGGAAAAGTTTGTAATTAGTGCATTTCTTAACACAAGAAAAACACTTGGTGAAACACTGGGGGGGAAAAAATACTACCAAAGAACTCAATACAGAATCACTGAAAACTGTCCATGTCAGCAGAACACTGGAGAGGTAATGCGGTGTGTGATGACAGGAAGTAGGCGAGACAAGAGGGCAGACAGAAAGCACTGAAGAGTTCATGAAAAACAATCCTCTATTTTGAATAATTCTCGTTACTAAGTACAAACTAAAGTTTCTGAAGACTAAAAGCACAGTAAACAAAACTTTCAAAGTAACGGGAAACAGCAAACACTGCAACTTTGAACACTCATTTGCCAAGTCTCCCACCTCAGTCCCTCCCTTCTTCCTTTTCCTGATGTCCAGTCTCCATTCTACATCCCCATAGCCTTCCTCTAACAGGGTTCTGCCCTGAACTGGAATTTAGGGGAAACATTTATACTCCAGTAAAGTAGACCTAATTGAAGGGGAGAATTAATCGAAACGGCCTTAAAATGGGTTCTACTGTATGTGTAGAATACTGTTCCTGCATCCATTTTTAATTTAACTTTCACATTGAAAGGGTACGATGCCATCACTTACATGAAATTAATAACTAAAAATTTGAATTCCATTACAGATGTGACTGTGATTTACTCCCTCTAATCTGGTAGAATTATTGGATTGTGTGCCCTAAAATGTATATATTCATCTTGGTAATAAATATACTTAATGTGTAAAAAGCACTTTGGAGTAAAATAAAAATATTTCCAAGATATATAGACTGGTTCTATAAACAAAGCTTCTCAGAAAGCACCAACTATTGTCTTTTGATTTGATTGTCCCATATGACTTGCTAACTTTGTCATCTTGAAAATTGCTGAATTACAAAACAGCCTTCAAACCTAATGTGCAAATTCAAACTGATATACTTAGGGGACGTATAAATTGGCTTAGATCCTTTGCCTATAATATCCATCTGCTAAAAGCAACTGGTTTTAAGAAGAAATGATCAGGGGAACAAAACCAGGCTGGAAAATGATCATCTCCGATTAATCAATACAGTTCTTGTTTCATTAGATGTAGTAAGGAAAATATACTTACTGCTACTTTCTGACTTGCATTATCTCCATGGATGGTGAGAAATGGGTTGGTGGTAGCTGTGTGAAGTGGGGGTGCCTGTGTACCTGCAAGAAGGTTGTTTATGGGTATTTGTGTTGGTCCAGGGATCTGCAGCTGCTGAAGTTCAGGTTGGTGGTGCTGCTGGTGGTGATGTTGCATTAACTGATACAAAAAGGCTTGATGTTGTTCCTTAGGCAAAAAACATGTGAGAGAAAATGAGTTCCCAAGCACGGAATTCAGCAGTCAGATGAGCTGCCTTATGTTTTCTTTCCTTTAATATTAGATATTTGCAAAGAAAGAAAACAAGTATCTCATCTAGAAAAATATGCTGCACTAGATAATAACCATCTACTATAAAATGTCAGTATCTTCAGCAAACAGCTTATTTTCAAAACAGGACACACATAGGAGAGCTCTATTAGGTTATCCGTGATGATCAATCAGGAAGTGCAGCAGCTTAAGAGAAATCAAGGTGGACATTTGAATGCATCATGCGTGGTCAAACCCTTTCCAAACTTAAAACAACCTTAAAGTTCCCGTTTCTGCCTGTCATTAGGGTGCTTTCTTGATGCAGTTACCACTCTACAGCAAGCATATACTCCATGCAGCGTATATTTATAGATTTCCTGAGTGCTTACTAGGTGCCAGGCACTGCTTTTGGTGCTTGAAACACATTGAGCAGGGAAAGGGAAATAAATGAAAACGTTAGAATGTGATTACTGCTCTGCGTCAAGGGAAACACAACTGTGTATGAGAAAGTCTGGAGGGAGTAGGGTTTAATGGTCAGGTTGTAATTTTAAGCAGATTACCCAGGGCAGTTTTCATTGGGAAGTTAACATCTGGATGAAGATTTGGAGGAGAAGAGGGAATTCGCTGGGTGGATATGGGGGCAGGTGAGGATTTCCAGGCAGTGCCAAAGGCCTCCAGAGGAGCAGGCCCAGCAGGATCCAGTGGCAGCAAGGACCCGGGAAGGGTGGAGGGAGCCAGGAGGAAGTGAGGAGAACACAGAGCTTGCAGTGGCAAGGCATGGCCACCTTGGCTTGTATTCATGGTAAAACGGGAAGGTTTTGAGAAGTGGCACAGTCTGATTTCAGGATGGAGTCAATGTGGGGTGTCAGAGTGAGGATGGAGCTGCCATCAGCTGAGGTGAGGAAAACGATGGGTGGGGCGGGGTTGTGCAGGAAGATCAGCTGTTCGGTTCTGGACACGTTATGTTTGAAATGTCTTTTAAGATATGCCAGCGGAGCTACTGAGTGAGCAGCTGCATTACAGGAGCTTGAAGCTCCAGAGAGAGGTCTGGCTGGAGATGTAAGTATCAGCACAGAGATGCTATTTACAGACAGTGATGAGAGATCACTGAATTCCACCTTGGGCACTCTCAGGCTGAAGAGGAGGACCCAGGAAAGGATGCTAAAAAGGAATGACCAGTTAGGTAGTAAGACACCAAGATGATGTGGTATCCTGGAAGCTAAGAGGAGGAAATGTTTCAAGGAGGAGGAAAAGCGATCAACTCTGTCTAATGCCGTTGCCAGGTGACGTTAAGATGAAGAATGAGAAGGGACCACTGGATTTAGCAAACATGCAAGTCATCTGGGGGAAGCAGAGTCAAGCAAGAGTGTCGAGCGGAAGCTGTGCGGAGGCTTCCAAAAAATCCTCACCTACGTTAAGTTTGATCCCTGTAAATGAACAAACTTTAGCCCACGACATTGGCAGATGAAGGAAAAAGTACAGTCCTTTAGTCCTCATGGTCTCCAAGCAATAATTTGTGCTGAAAATTCCTTAACCATGTTCTGGAAATGAGACAGCTACACATGCTATTATTAGAGTAAAATCTTGATTAATAGGAAGACACCCAAATAAATGGAGTTTTAGTGCTCATATTAAGATGAGGCAACTGGTAAGAAAAAACAAGATCCCATCTTAGTGTCAGCATTTAAGATTTTTTTTTTTTGAGACCGAGTCTCGCTCTAGTTGTCCAGGCTGGAGTGCGGTGGTGTGCTCTCGGCTCACTGCAACCTACACCTCCTGGTTCAAGCGATTCTCCTGCCTCAGCCTCCTGAGTAGCTGAGATTATACACACGCGCCACCACACCCGGCTAATTTTTGTATTTTTAGTAGAGACGGGGTTTCACCACGTTGGTCAGGCTTGTCCCGAACTCCTGACCTCGTGATCCGCCCACCTCCGTCTCCCAAAGTGCTGGGATTACAGGCATGAGCCACCACGCCCGGCCAGCATTTAAGAATTTATATACACTTACATGCAGTGTGCCTTTAACACCACTCTAAAAACAGACTGAAAATGATCCAGAATCAAAAGTATTTTCAATATATTTTTGACTGCAGCAAAATAGTACATAAATATACTTAGAAAGGATGTCAGCCTTTGTAATTTCTATGTTAATTAAGCAATGCATTCTCCAAGCAGCCCAACTGAATGAAGAGTGCTAGGGAAATGGGTCTGGAGGAAGCCCCACGACTGTCCACAGGGCCAGGCCTGCCCTGCACCTGAGCCACAATCCCACTTGGGTCTCGGTCCATACTTTCTCCCCTTCTACAAGTTCTCTATTTCCCATCTCCCCTCTTATCTAACCGTTAACACCCATCTCCTTCCCTCTGCTGATCACTTTACTTCTAATTAAGAAAATCAGAAGCACTGAAAGTGGGATTGCTTCAACCCTCCACATAAAACCCACCTCCAGTTGCTCTGCCTGCCTTGCTGGGGCAGTGAAATACCGTTCTCATCTCCTCCTCTGCTAGCACCTTTCTTCTCTCCTATCCCAGCAATGTCCCATCAACATACACACACGCTGTCACATTCAAAATGAGTCGAAACTGCCCCGTGTGCCCACCACATCTGCCTCCTGCTTCCCCTTCCTCTGCTTTCCAAAGTGACATGTCTTGAGGTGCCCATATGCTATCTTTACTTCCTCTCCCTCCCATTTCCTTTTGAACCATTTAATGAGGTTTTTACTTTCATCACACCCAAACTGTAAAAAGCCTCTAGACAACCTTTAAGAAAGAAACAGTCCCTGTCAGGTGCAGGTGTCACTGCACCCTCAACCTCCTGGGCTCCAGTGATCCTCCCACCTCAGCCTCCCAATTAACTGGAACCACAGGCATGCACCAGCACGCCCGGTTGGTCAATTCTTTCTTACCCTACCACAGAAGCATTTTACACAGTTGACTCCTCCCTTTCTGGAAACATTTCCTTCACCTTGCCCCTAAGATGCCACACTGTCCTTCTCTTGGCTCACTGGCCACAGTTTCTCAATAGCCTTTCTTTACTGGCTTATTCTCCTTTTCTAGGGTGTCCAGGACTCAGTCTTCATGCTCTAGGAGTCCGCATCAAATCTGATGGCTCTCATCACCTGTGCAGCACTAACCCCAGATTTCTAACTAACTGCATCTCTGCCTGGGACTCCAGACACCTACTGTGCAACTGCCTTATCTCCATTTGACTTGTACATCTAAAGAGATTTCAAGCTTAGTGTGTCCATGACACCTATTTTTCTCTCCAAAATTGGTTGGGTTCTGTTCTCCCACATCTCAGTAAAAGTCACTAACCAACCATTCAGAATTCTTCTTTCTCTTGTATGTCCAGCAAACAAGTCTTGTTGGTTCTGTCTTCAAAACATCTTGGCTGGGCACAGTGGCTCACACCTGTAATTCCAGCACTTTGGAAGGCTAAGGGCAGATCACTTGAGGTCAGGAGTTCAAGACCAGCCTGGGCAACATGGTGAAACCCTGTCTCTACAAAAAATACAAAATTAGCCAGGCATGGTGGGACATGCCTGTAGTCCCAGCTACTCGGGAGGCTGAGGCAGGAGGATCACTTGAGCCCAGGAGATGGAGGTTGCAAGGAGCCCAGATTGTGCCACTGCACTCCAGCCTGGGCGACAGAGCAAAACTCCCTCTCAAAAATATACATATATATACCACAATTCCAGGCAGTTTTCAATACGTAGCCCATACTATTTTAACACCTACGTCTCCTGCCTGGATCACTCCCTTTTTCCACTTTTGCCTCTGTCTTCACTCCCCCACACCCTATAACACACACAGACTATTCTCCATATAGCAGCAAAACTAATCCTTTAAAATGTAAATCATTATTTCACTATTCTGTTCAAAACCTTCCAATTCTTAATCCTGAAAAAAATGGAGAATGAAATGAGATAAACAAAACTAAGATTATTAGCACTGGGTGAGAGAATGGAATGAGGCGTACATAGGTCTTCAGGGTGCTCTCCACTCTACTTTTGGTACACTTGAAATCCTCCGTAATAGATTTTTAAAAACTCGCCAGTGGCTTTCCATTCATACTTAAGATAAAATCCAAATTTCTTGCCACAGCCAAGAAAGGCTGTATGCGATCATCTAAGACCACCCCCTTGGCTCTGACCTCTCCCACCCTCTGACCACATGGCTGCTGACTTCTCTTCCGAACACAAGTACGTCCAGACCTTTGACAGCAGCTGCCCCTTTACCTCCAACGTGCTTTCTCTCTGCGTTCCCTCAAGTCACAAAGGCACACTCCCTGAACTCTCACATCGGTCTGTGCTCAAAAGTCACCCCCCTTGCAGAGGCGGGGCCATCCTATCTAAAATGGTCCTCGGTTCCCTATGCTCTTCCCCACTTATTCCACTTCTTTGTTCTTCTCAGTATTTATCACAACCAAAAAGCGTGCATCGTGTCCATCCATCTCCCGTATCAAAATGAAGCTCCGGGAAAACACGCACCACATCTCAGCACTGTGTTACCAGAGCCTATGGCAGCACCATGCCACGTGCCCTGTCACTTTTAAGTTCAGGAATGAATGTGACATCACTGCAGGTATCACAGCCTGTACCACATGGCAAGAAAAACTTTTTTGATTATGCATTCAATAATGTTATTTCACAAAGGAGAAATCTGTACCCACAGTGAATATTACAGCTTAGAACACATGCTCCTAATAAGATATTATCAAAAGAAAGAACTTACTGGTGTGAGCTGTTGAGAATTTAACAACTGCTGAAACTGCTGTTGATGAATAAGTATTTGTCGTTGCTGGTCAGAAAGTAATCCTAGTCCTGAGGCACTGAAAAATGATTACAATTCTTACTTTTTACTACACACCTCTAATGCATTTTTAGAAGTCTAAAAATGAAAGACAACTTTTCAATTTGATGTTTAATAACTTAAGTACAATTCTGAATCCAAACACTCTGAAAACAGTTATGTACAATTTCTATATATATGTATGTTTATATACATCCATGTGTACAGCTAAACAAGAATTCACATTGTCAAGAAATGTTTTTATTATAAAACAAATAGGCCCTAACTCATTTTATGGAATAGAAATTTACATGTGTTTCTAACAAGCGTATGTAATAATTTATCTTTAATTATTCAAGGATAATTTAACTCACACTAAGTAAACACATATTTGAAACAAAGAATCCAAACATACCACTGATTTGACCTATCCTTTTCTAATGGTCCCAATGGTAAAACTAAACACCAAGGAAGAGAGCTACAGGAAATAGCTTTCTAGTACCCACTGCAAATCCATTTAAAAGTATTTATTCCCCCAAAAGTATGCTTAATAACAACATAGCTTTAGTCCCCTAGTTTTGAACAAACATTCAAATGCAGTTCCAGTACAATGAAACCAGTGAGTCTCACTTCCTGGGAATTCAGATAAATGACCTTTATCCTATATCAAAATCTTTGATTAGAACATTAAAAATATTACATAAATTTTAGGAAACTAATATTCATGTTATCTCCACTACGATATCTTTCTTCAGAATTTATGATACAGTATACAAAGAAATAAGAAAAACTAGTATTTAAAAACAGACATCACAGATTAAGACTAATTTTCAGCACAGAACATAATGCTGTTACTAAAAGTAACTTAATTTTAATCTAAATTACTTAAGTTTCAAAAATAAATGTACTCTGTATAATATACTTAAAATTTTTGGCAGACTTCTTAAGGTGTATCTACAAAGGAACACATTGAAAGCCCCAATCTAAGGCATAGACAACACCGGTACTCTGTTATACTAAAAAACCCAAAACATACTTAAGTTTCTTACCTGTTAGTCAGTGTAGCTGGCATTGGATGTGTTGCATTAGGTGGTACGGTTGTGTGGGTGAGAGGGGTAGGGTTCTGGGACATTGTGACAGGAGTCTGCATAACCCCATTTAAAGCTCCTACAATGCCATTAATTGCCAGTTGGTTACCTGGCAAAGCTCCAATTATTCCACCCACTGCAGACACGGCAGGAATGGTGGAAGTTACAGGCTGCATTCCACTAGCTAGTGCCCCCACTGTCACGCCATTGACCTGCTGAACTCCACTCACTCCTGAGCCTTGTTGAGCCGGACTCTGCCCAGCAGGAGGTGGGGTAGAAAGAGCTGATGAGCTGCTGGTACTTTGTCCACTGGAGGTTAAGTCCTAGCGTAAGAAAGAAGAGAAACTAAGTCCACTGGACATTAAGTCCCAGCGTAAGAAAGAAGAGAAACTAAGTTTAAAGAACACTGCAAAACTGTTTAAAATAATTTTAAACCATTTAATATACTATTATTCACAAGTAAATCAACATAGATGAAAATAACCATACAAAAATTACCTGATTTAATACAGGAAGAGAATTATCAGGTAAAAAGCTGTTTCCTATATGAGGGCTCTTACTGCTGTTCAAGGAATCAGTAGTAGGAGCTAGAATAATAAAAGACAAAAAGAAACCTATTTACCCTATTAAATTACATTATGTGTAAGATTAAAGGCTTATTAAAAAGCTTATGCTGAAGCCCGTATCAAAACCACTTAAATATCTAGTCTTGCTATTCCTAAGACTGATTTAAATAAGAAAAAAAAATCTATATTGAATACCATCGCTTTAAATCAATAACGAGATCATTAGACATTTAAGTAAATTTTACCATTATATTATGGACTAAGAAAGTTAAATTCAAGTTGATCACTTAACAGGATTCTTTATGCCCTTCAAAAACAACCTATAGTTCCTTTTCTACATCTTCATATAACTGGTGACCAATTATTACTCACTTATAATACAAATAAAACTGAAAGCCTATTTTCCTTAGATACAAAATAAATATTTTCACACTTACCAGTCTGTGCTGAAAATGTGTGTATTTGATGAGACGGACTAGGATTTGCTGTTATTGTTGGAAAAGGCACTGAAAGCTGTGCATTCAATAACTGAAGCCGTTCCTTTTTGGCAGTCAAGTTTTTAATTTGTTCCTCTAATCTTCGGTTTTCAACTTGAAGTTGGTGTAATGACTTCAGCATTCCTAAAACTACCACACATTTGGATAGTTTTTAATAATGACAAGTACACACATAAGACTAAGTATTTTACGCAGTGCCGGTAACCTTAGAAATAAGTTAAAATAGAACAGTAGAAATTCTGTAAAGTGTTTCTAAATGATAAAGTTTTGTTCCTAAATTTGTTTATGGATATAAATTGCCTATCTATGTTTGTATTTTTATAAGCACAAAGGCAAAGTGTTCCTGGATGTACCTTCTGGAAACTTTGTTGCCACATACCAAAAAACACACACCAGCTTCAGGTAATTTTCCATTCTCAATGAAAAGTAATGACATTTTATTTTCATCAAAATAAAAGCCTATTAAAAATTCAAGTGCCTGTCACTATTTTGCATTGAAGTCATATACAGAATGGTTAAGGATCGCACCAATACCCTCTACCAAAATAATGAGCACATGTTTTTGTTTGTTGTCCGGTTTAAACGAAGTGCTGCCATCAGACGCCTGGCAGGAAGCCCCTAATCCCAGCTGCTCAGCATGTTGCTCTGCAGGTCACCCAGCAGGGAGCGCTATGTGTGCGCCCAGCCACCTCTCCAGTCCTGGAGAAAGGCGCATCCCCTGTAAACAGGCTGACTTTCAGTCTGGCCCCATCACCTCAAGTACTTCAATTCCTTCCACAACTTGGACCTCCCAGCTAACAACACAGAGTGTTGCCGTTAAGATTTTTGAAGTGTCCGTCACATACTAAAAAGTTGTATTTGTTTAACATGACCTCAGGGCCTTTAGAAGATACAACTCCTCTGGTACAGACACATCTGGCCGTTTCCCATGGATTTAACTTTTATCCCTCCCCTCCAAGATCCCACAAAGAAACCTTAGTGGGCCCAAATGAGATGCAATAAGACTCAGCTAAACCTATCCTCCAGCTATCGTGTTTAAAGGATTAGCCTGGCATGAATTTCCTCACAATTAATTAGCATTTTTTGTCAGGGTACCATTCATAAAATACCAATTTATGGCACTTAGCTAGCCAACAATAAGCAAAATGTTTCAATAAAATGAGGCAGCAAAAGTTTATACTCGAAAATGATGAAAACCACCTATTTTTCCCTAAAATTAAGACAAGGCCACATCTCCAGCTAACCACCACCTATTTTAACTCTGCATTTTACACCCACGGCCCTAATACTTGAAATGGTGAAGATACTGAAACACAGATATATAGTACATGCTCTATAATCCAATAGATGATAAGCATAATATATACTAATTATAGATTTAATTCAATAATTATTATTCTTCCTCCAAATTATAAAATGAAGAAGCTAGCCGGCCATACTTGACTATTTGTATTTTTTAAAGTAAGTTTTCCAGAGGTGAGCAAGTTTTCTTCTAACAATTGGGGTAAGAGAAGACAGTGCTCATGTATTTTAGTAAACTGATTGATAAGAACAAAGTACAGTGGAGACACAAAGTACCAATATGTATAATCATGGTAAGCACCGAGACAATGCTATGTATGAGCCAGGCAGTGGTCCTTACATTTTTCATGTCATTTAATCCTCACAATAACCCTCTGATATGGGTGCATTATTACTCCCAATTGTAAAAATAGGAGATTAAAGAACTTTAAAAAACATGCCCAAGATCATACTATTAATAACAGGTAAAGACAGGATTCAAGTCCAAGCAGTAACACTATAGAATCTCTTCTATTAAACCACTTCACCTTATACTTTCTCTCACTGTATTATATAAAATGTATATCATAATCCCATTACTACTCTGGATGAAAAGTGACTTCTGCATCCATCTGCCTGTTTGTCCATCTGCCCATCTGTCTTGATTCACATATAAGAAAATGAATACTTACTGTCACTAGGAGTACCCTGTTCTAGTAAAAATTGCTGTCCTTCACTCCACTGCCTCTCCAAAAGCTGTTCTATGCTGGCTGCTACTGGAGGCAGATTTTCCAAACTGCTGTTGCCTGGTTGATCATAGCGAATCTGTAAGCTGCTTACAGGGGATCTGTTGAAAACAATTCTCAAGTTAAAAAGAAGGGGAATGCTTTTAAGAGAGTACAGTTTCTTACCTTAAGCTGACCCCTTTTCTCCTGTATGAGTTTTATAACACCAGGCTGCCTATGCCAGAAGTATCAGGTTCCTGGATTTAGAAAACCATAATCTACCCTAAAATTGAGTAATTATCATTCTTCCTCCCAATATTATAGAATCAAGGAAATAGCTAGCCATCATAGATAATTAAAAACCACTAGAAAATATAAACACACCACCAACAATCTCTGAAATAGGCTGTAAAATAACTTGGTATGGCATTATAAGACAAAAGAGGGAAAGACAAAATTAGACTTAAAAATAATTTCCCAGAAAAGGGTTTCACCATTCTGCTTTGATATATTTGCCATCATAATAACCTGAAAAAGTATAATACTGTAAAAGGTATTTGAATTTACAACCAACTAAAATCTCAAATGTCACTAAAAAGAAATTTTTAAGAATCTTAAAGCAGCCTTTTGTTATAAATTAAAAATTACTCATTTTCAAGTATTTTCACAATTAAGAAATAAGATCAAAGCAATTTTTTTTTTTTTTTTTTTTCATTTTTGGAGATAGGGTCTCACTTCGTCAGCCATGCTAGAGTGCTGTGGTGCAATGATGGCTCACTACAGTCTTGACTTCCTGGGTCCTGGGTTCAAGCAATCCTCCCACCTCAAGCCTCCTGAGCAGCTGGGACCACAAGAGCACACACTACCACGCACAGCTTTTTTTTGGGCGGGGAGGCGGCGGTGGGGGAGGTTGGGCAGGGGAGACGGAGTTTCACCATGTTGCCCAGCTTAGTCTCCAACTCCTGGGCTGAAGTGTTCCTCCCGCCCAGGCCTCTCTATCTAACTGCTGGGATTATAGGCATGAGCCACCGTGCCCAGCCCCCAAAGCAATTTTTGATCCTTTTACATGAATATTTCTAAAATGTCTTAGATCTATACTTCAAATGATAACCCTTCTAAAACAAACAGCACTTGTATTAAGATGAACATGTAATGTTCTCTACACTTTTTGGTTTAAATAAGTGTGGCCATTTCCGGTCTCCAGCTATCATTCTAACATAATACATTTAAAGAGCTTTAGAATTTCCAATGCGTTTGTATATATCTCATATGATCTCCACAACAACCTAGTGAGAAGTCAAAACCTGGTTTATTGGCTCCATTTTCAAATGAGGAAACAGGACGGAGTTTTAGTGACTTGTCCAAAGACACACTGCTGGTGAGGTGACAAGAGCTGGGCTATACAACTCAGGTCTTCTAACAACCCACTAGTGTTCTTGACACTGCCTTAATATGCGTCTCTGCAAAATTTTCGTAAGATGTTAAACAAATGGGGTTTTTATTCCATATGTAAACATTATGGGCCACATACAGTTGGCCATCCCTCTGCAAATAGTACACTATACCAGGATAATTTAGGCTGTTACATCTCAGGCTGATTTCTAAAGAGTAATATAAAGTTGGAAATAATATGCTAAAAATAATTTAGTACCATTTGTTAAGTCCCATTTAACTAATGAAAAGGAAAAACTATATTAAGCAAAATAGCACTTTCTTAATAATTCTCGGTAGCTTGTAATATTTTAAGTTTAAAAGGGCAACAGAGAAATGCTTCTTCCACTAAACACTGAGCAAACATTAACTTTCTTCTTTGAAAAGAAAAACAACATAGAATTAATCACAGCATAAAATCACAGACTAGTCAGATCATGTTATCATTGTTCTTCAGATTCCTGGTTTCCAAAGAATGGATATTTGATTTTCTGCAGAGTTCAATCAGGGAAAACAATACTACTTTTAGTTCACCCAGGAATTATACAGAAAAAAAGGCATCACTAGATGTACCATTAGAAAATGAAATTAGTGGTTACTGAACTAATCTTTAGGATAAAGAAGATGTTCCTTAACAGACATTCCCCAAATATATCAGCAATACTGTTATTCATGATCTGTCATCACATGAAAAAGTTCATTTTGGAAAAAAAAAAAAAAAAAATTGTAGACATGGAGTCTTGGCATGTTGCCCAGGCTGGTCTTGAACTCCAGGCCTCAAGCAATCCTCCAAACTTGGCCTCCCAAAGCGCTGGGATTATAGACATGAGCCACCACGCCTGACCAAAGTTTTCATTTTTAATCACGTTTCTCCCATTCTTGGAAGAAAGACCCTAGAATGGGCTTTTCTCTTACTCTCCATTGTCACCCAGTCTAACACCATGCTTGAGGGAGGGTTCCTAAATTAGAGAACATGGAGAAAACAAAGAGAACGCACAGAAGGGAAATAAAATTAATAAGGAGATAGCTATCACCAAAGTTCCATTCTCCCCTACAAGCAGACACAGTATCTCATACCACATTCTCCCCATTTAGAACAGAAGGAATATGCAGTTTGATAACCCCAAATATATTAATTAGATTTTAATAAATGGTACCTGAATACTGTCATAAAATGATTTCAAAAAACTTGTAATACATTTGCTATAACTGATTCAAACAATTTAAGAACTAGTAGGAGTTTAGTGATCTACCACACGACTTTACTGAATTAGGAACTAGAGACTAAGGGATTAAGTGCTACACAGAACAGAGCTAAAACTGGAACCCAAACTTGAAAGTCTTGGGTCTACAACTTTAAGAGATCTTAAAACTATTTTATGATCAAAAAGAATTACTCAAATCAGTATACAGGTAATAAATACAAGAGAGTTCGAACTGATTGGAAACCAAAGGAAAGGGATTTGTTTTACTTAGAAATCTAATGGTGTTTAAATTAATATTTAAATTAATTTAGAATCATTTTTCTTGTCTAGACATGCTTCTTATCTGTAGAATGCTTTTATAGCCTCACAAATGTACACTCTACTGATATGAGATAAGAAAGTTTCCAAATCTCAAACGTTTCCTTTGCCTATACTTTGCAGTGTAAATAGCGCTTACCGTGGCGAGAGACTTCCTCGGGGTGAGCTTCCTCTGCCAACTAGGTTGCGGCTATTGTCTCCAAGATCTTGATCTGTAGTGTAAATATTTCAGAGCTGATAAAGTGACTCTCACTAGATAAGAGGTTTTAAACTCTTGCCCTGATTTTTCCTAAAACATACATTAAACCTTTACCACTATCTTTGCAGTTCCCACGAAAATAGAAGATCTAGCATGTTGCTAGTTCAGAATTGCTGAACTGTGGCATGTAAGGCGTTGTCCCTACACGTTTTTGTGGGTGTAGAAGGCCATGGATTATGTTCTGTTCTTTCATTCCTTTCAATTTTACAGCACAGAAGCGTGGTTTGCATTTGCTGTACCCTCCCCTCAGCCACTTTTAATTTCTACGGTTAAAGTAATGAATCACAGCTGTGGACAGCTAATCTGTATGCTTATCACAGCAAATCCGTATGCTTTGTATTTTTTAACACTTTGCATCCCAAGACAAGCCATAAAACACATTTACATAGAGCTGCACACCAAGACTAAAATTATGGTGTTAGACACTAGAGCCTTACACCAAGAATAAAATTACATAAAACACTAAATTTCCAAATTGACAAAAACAAGTAGGAATACAGAATCCTGAATTTTAAAGAAAAAAATTAACTTTTCAAAATATTCCTTAGGTAATATCATATATCTCTGCTTGGAAAGTAACTTGTATTTCCCCTGCAGTTAGTTCCTTATAAAAATCACCTTATCTGGCCTCTTTCAAGGTTGTCCTCCCCTTATTCTGAGTCAGGTAACCTCTGACCCTTAAACGGTAAAGACAGACTGATCCATTCTTGGTGAACTGCTAAATCCATTCCCTTCCCCCAAACAGGCATGACTACTTGGACATGTCAACCAATCCTTAAGGATGCAATGAAACAAAGCAAATCCAGTGGCTCATTAAGACAGTACAAGAGACAAATGCGACAAAACGTCAACTGGTGAACATTCACAGGATTACTAAACACTGCAGAAATTCTCTAACAGGATTTTTTTAACCAAGTTTGTGTAATACAATTTCATGAATTATGCAAATAAAGGTTTAGGCTATTCACAGAAAAGCCCAGTGTTATGTTACTTTCATTGCATAGAACTGAGAACTGAACACATCAATCACAAAAGTCACAGGAGACACTGCTGCATTCCTGCTTGCTGATGGCTCTGTTGAAACATTTCCATTTCAGACAATAAAAAAAAAAAAAAAAAAAAAAAAAGGACATTGCTATTTTGCAGCACAGCATACTATTTACTTCCAACTGTGATTCTTTTTTATTGTAAATTGACAGTTTGTAATTATATAAATTTGGAGTACAAATTGATGTTATGATATATGAATGTAATGTGGAATAATAAAATCAAGCTAGTTAACATAACCAGCACCTGAAATATTTAACATTTTCCAACTGTGAATATTTTTTTAAAGTACAAATCCTCTACTAACCACATCCCTGCATGTTTTCAAATAAAATGAACCAAAAGGGGAAAAAAATTAAAGTAGGTGAGAGTAGGGTTTTAGAGTTAGTAATTCTTGAAAACTTACCTGTTTGATTGTTTTCAGACTGAGCTATAAGAGCTGCCATTGATGAATTTGATCTATTGCCATACATATGAGATGGTGCCTGACTGAGAGAAGATCCAGATAGAGTATTTGCCTAAATGGAAAAAATTACAATGATAAATGAATTATATGTGAAAATATATTAAAAGTTTTCCCTTCTAATAGATCTAGTAATTATATTCTCCAACCTAAGAATATAAGCAAAATTTGTGACCTTCTGAAAAGCAAATTTCGTTCTTACTTGTTTTACCATTCAACATGTCAATTTTTTAAAAGTTACATAACTAGGCCGGGCGCGGTGGCTCACGCCTGTAATCCCAGCACTTTGGGAGGCTGACGTGGGCAGATCACGAGATCAGGAGATCGAGACCATCCTGGGTAACATGGTGAAACCCCCGTCTCTACTAAAAATACAAAAAATTAGCCGTGCATGGTGGCGGGCGCCTGTAGTCCCAGCTACTCGGGAGGCTGAGGCAGGAGAATGGCGTGAACCCAGGAGGTGGAGCTTGCAGTGAGAGGAGATCACGCCACTGCACTCCAGCCTGGGCGACAGAGCGAGACTCCGTCTCAAAAAAAAAAAAAAAAGTTACGTAACTACAATTTTTTTTTTTTTTTTTTTGAGAAAGAGTTTCACTCTTACCCAGGCTGGAGTGCAATGGCGCGTTCTCGGCTCACTGCAACCTCCGCCTCTAGGGTTCAAGCAATTCTGCCTCAGACTTCCCAGTGGCTGGGATTACAGGAGGCGCCCGCCACCACGCCCAGCTAAATTTTTTGTATTTTTAGTACAGACGGAGTTTCACCATGTTGGCCAGGTTAGTCTCAAACTCCTGACCTCAGGTGATCCACCCGCCTCGGCCTCCCAAAGAGCTGGGATTATAGGCGTGAGCCACCGCGCCTGGCCATAACTACAAATTTTTAAAAAAGAAGAACTGGCACGTTGGAAGGTAACTATTCCTGCTTTTAATTTTCAACATATCTAGCTGATACCAAACCCCAGTGGCACAGCAACCATGTGGACATGAGACTAATTAATCTTATTAAGCCATCTGAAACATAAAAGCAGGAAGACAACAGGTATCTAACCAAATGCTTCAATCTCTCATATCACAAGCTGGCTAAGGAGGTCAAAAGTCCAACTTTTACTTCTAGTATTTTAGCTACAGGGAGCTGTATTTCCATTGCTTAACTCTGTCATTAGTAAAACCTGCACACTATTTTGTTACTTCCTATTTTGATAGACTTGGAAGCCTGCTGCTTTTTCTGTTTTGTTTTGTTTTTATTTTAAAAGAAAGCAAACAGGCATCCCAAGTATGTTTTCTATACAATGCAGGACTCAACGAATCACAGCTTTGCCCTGACCCCATATAAGGCACTGTCTTTTTGGCAGCAAGCCAGCTCTACTAACTGAAGAGCTCGTCCAAAGTTTGTAATTCATTCATGTTGCTAACCACAATTCTGAAGGCCTCACTGGGACCTGTGCCAAACAAGCGAAAATGAACCCTTAAACAGATGAAGCTAAGGAGGCTGGCCAAAGTATTGCGTAATCCACTGTAATAAAAATGCTTTCTTTGATGTGCATGCTCTCTCCCACTTTCCAAGAATATTATGACCTTAAAATTTGACATTTTGGAGGCAAATCTCTTGTATACAAAATGCTGTTACTCACAGAAGACTCTCAGTGGCCTGAAATAATTCTCAGATTTAACAGAACCACAAATGTTAAAGTAGAATTGTTCTTCTTTTTCATGAATGAAATCAAACTGAAGCTTTTATAAACTAAAATCATTGCAGTTATTTCAGAACAAAACTCTTGAAAATATCGGCAAAGAACTAAAGCACTTCTATCGTAAAGAAGCTGAATAACAAGAACAAAAGATGGGGGACATTTGGATATGTATAACTGCACACAAGAGACTAAGACAACACAGTAGTTGTAAGCAAAATAACACAGAGAAGAAGCTGTATTTCTGGACAGACTCACATCATGACATTGCATCTTGGCCTTCAGCCCACTTACAAAGCATGAAAATGTGCGTTTATGGTTCACGGAAACAGTTTCTGGGATGTACCATCCTTGCTTTCTATTATCTCAAAGCGTGTATTTTATAGTTCACACTTTAATGTGTAAATTAAATCTGTCAATTTCTGGGTTTTGTTTTTCCTCTTATTAAAAATATGCAGACAAAGTCAGTAAGTTGGTACTCTTCAGTCCTGTTTAACAATCAACTGTCCCTCGGGAAAAGGTAAGTTATAACTTCAACATGAAGATCGTGCTGTTCACTTACCATGTATTTAGTAGTAGAGGGCACATAAAACACACAATTCATAAACAGAGATACAGTTAAGATTTTTTTCTCTCTCCAGAAGTCAATTCTTTGGGAATCTTAGCTATTAATAAAACAATATAGAATAAGAAAAATACAAACAATTCAACAGAAAAAACAGATATTACCAGTCCCATCTGTTGACGTCTCAGATCCTAATACTTAAAAATAGCTTTTGTAGAGCCAATTTACTCTTACTGTAGATACAATTCTAAAAAAGATCCACTACACATTTAATAGATTAGAAATGGAAAATTAATTAGAAGGAGGAAGAAACAGTCTTATCTCGAGACAGTCTGTTGACACCAAGAAGTAACAGCTGACCACAGGACAGGGCAGAGAAAAATAGGACCAACAGAGAAAACACAGTACAGAATGCGGATACGGTGGTCCTCCAAGAAGACACTGAGGATAGCATTCTCATTTTAGTTTATTATTAACTTTATAAAGTGTACTTCTAGATGCCTTAGCACTTCCAAAGCAAGGAAACACTCCCAGCCTTTTGACTCTCGTTCATGCAGTCATCTATGTGACATATCAATATATCACTTGGAATACCTTTTTGCTTTCAATTATCAGTCTCATCACTTGCCTTAGATAAGAATCCAAAGATCCAACTCTCACTAGAACTAGAAATATACTCTTTTTTAGGAAGGGTTCCTTCTGCCAAGGGCTTTATATTAATATTTATCCTTATTAGCTTCAAATTTCAGAGGGGTGGCATTTTCTTGATCTAGTCTCTGAATTATCTTAGTTTCCCTATCTATTAGATCTATATATACTAAAGATCAAAATAGAAAGGAGTATGGCACAACAACTAATTTGCATAATGATGATCATCAAAAAAAGATAAAGTATCTTTAGCGTATGCTAAAGAAGGAAAGTATCTATTTTTAAAAGATGGCTGGCAAAAGTTGATACAATAAATGAAAGTATTATTGGAAATGACCAATTTCCCAAACGGGTTAGCTAAAATTAATGTGGTAGTTGTTTTTCTAGTAAAGGCATTTATCTAAACAAGAGACTTTCAAAAGAGAAATTAAAAGTTATTAATTTTACCAGATAGAGTCATTTTGGTGTATAAAAACATCTACTACATTCCATATTAATTTCTGCTGGGAAACTGAAATCATGAACGTCATCATTTTAAGGTTGGTAAGATGAGATACCAAAGACTACACAAATGACTGTCACTGCTTAGCCTACATTTCTTAACTGATGTTTGGAACAGTTAATACTGGGACCCTTGATGAGTCTTTCGGAAAGACTGGGTACCTCCAAGCCAAGAAACCCCCACCTTTTAGTGGAAAGATCCCACAGCTTATTAGCACTGAAGATGCAGAAGAGGAAGACGGCTTACTGAAGAGAGCACACACAGTGTCTGGCGTTTCATAGACTCAAAAACCTTTGCTGCCATTAATAAGCAAAAGCATTAAGATTCAGGGGAAAGGAAGAAAGTCCATGTTAACCCAAAGAAATAAGGGTTATGAAGCATCAAGGGCATGAAAGCTTTTGTATTAAAAAAAACTGGAATAAGAAATAAAGGAAACATTAACATACACATACTTCTCTACAGCATACTTTGGAAACGGATTTTGAAAAGTGCATTGAAAGCAAATTACTAATATACCAGAAGACTGTTTCAGAAGATCTGGTACAAAGACTAGAAATTCTTTTTGGAAAAGAAGTACCTATTATATGACATTTCAATCTTAACCTGCCCAGGTAAGGAGAACGGCTATTGTGAATAGACACTCTCCTTGGATCTGCTGGTACTGTAAGAATATAAGTTAACACTAGGGGAGGCTGAGTGAAGGATATCCATGATATATCTAACTCTCTGTACTGTCCTTGTAACTTTTCTATATATCGAAAATTATTTCAAATTAAGAAAACTGCCATAACAAACTTAAGTTTATATATATATTTGAAAGATTCCTCTTTATGTAAGGATAATATATATAAGAATATATAGGATTATATATACATATATGGATGTATACATCCTTCATATAATATCTTAAAGAGGAATCCTTCCCCTTTCCCAAGACCAATAACTGATAAAAATCACTTCTGCTCAAGATGTTATCTAACATTTATTGTAACACTCTAGTAAAAACCTCATTAAGAGAAGTGTAATTATTTTACAAGATAGACTGAAAGACCAGTAGATTAAGAATAAATTGAATAATTATTGAACTAAGCTTAAGTCACTTTTAAACAATATATGTTCAGGTGTCTGAGTTAAAGAATATCCTTAGCAAATTTAGAATAACTTAATATATTAAACGTCTGCAAGTCTCTACCAAGGCAGTATTCAAACTCAAAACAAATAAAAGAAACTTAGTATTTCCTAAGTAGACTGGCATACCATATTAAAATATTAAGATAAAAATATATTTCAGCTTATAATTTCTCCTGTTATTAAGAGTTTACCTCTTATATTTTCAAATATCTGCCTATGACCACAGAGATGTTTTAAAAGAGCTTGTTTATAAAGTAGTAACTGTCAAATTCCTAGGAACTTGGCTCATGCTAAAGGAGTCGACTGCGTGGGGGAAAAGGTTCAAGTGTCCTCAATTAACTGAATGTGAAACTTAAAAGTGGACACTGTTTTGGTAGATTTTTTTCCTGCCTAATGTTAATAAGCGCAGAATAATAAGAAAAATTAGGTTCGAAAGACTAATACCGATGAAAATATTTCACCTTTGGAAAGCACTGTATTAACAGCAATGTATCATCTAGAGATAGATCTGAAACTTCATACTTCAATCATACAGGAACAGGTTATATATAGCAAGCATTTTTTTTAATGCACAATTAACCTGTCAATAAACATTAAAGTCAAGTGATTCAAAAAAGCTCTAAACTAGCTGCTTCAAGCTTTTCAGCCCTGACACATGATTAAAAATGCAATCTTCCAAAAATATTCAGGCTCACTAAATTCAGTATTTACTTTTTAAATTCCTAATTCGTATATACTTTCAGGAGGAAAAACATTTTATTATCACCATATATATCATAAGCCAAGCTATCTCACTTTGGGTAAATTATTAAACCTCTCTGTCCTCAATTTCCATCTGGAAAATGAGGATAACAACAGTATCTACCTCATAGGAACACTGTGAGAATTGAGTTAATATATGCAAAGGGCTTAAAAAATGCTTGACACATGGTAAGCGCTCATATTTTAGCTTAACTTTAAAAATTATTTTCACAAGCTATTGTGGTTTCTATTTTTCCATTAAAATTATTAGAAAATACAACTTACCAATTATATTCTGAACTGTGGCTATATTTCAAAGATTAAAACCTATTTCCCTAAGAAAACTTAAATAGCATAAATGCCTCATTATGCAGTAATGTTTTAAACTATGTATTTGATAATATAGCAATGCTGCACATAGAATGTAAGGACTTGAATGTTTCTAGATCCAATTTATATTATTGTTTGAATTTGGGAACACAATATATTTGATTAGAAAAGTTTCCAGCAAAAACATGAATGAACATTAGACATGGATTAGGGAACAATTGAAAGGTTCACATATTCTCCAGATCAATTCAAACTTTATATTTACTAAGAACATATTCTGATAGCAGACCCATTTCTGTGTCAGCTACCGCCAGTAAGGCTTCAATACTCAGCATGTGATGAGAGGTGAAACCAAGTGTGAACAACTTTCAGGTCCCATGAGTAGGCTGACTGTTGAAGCTGTCAGGTTCAATTGCATCATTCCACATTATTCAATGCTCCAAACTGCTCCCTAATTGTTAGGAGCTTAACGTATTCAAAACCATTGTTTAGGCTAATGCCAAAATGCCCCACAATTGAGTTTCCATAAAGTAGCAGGAGGGAATGAAGTGTAGTTAAACCATCACTGAACACTCATGATCGGACAACAGGACTGTATAGATTAACCAACAAATTCTAAGTAGGTTTCTTAACTGGTTAATATCTTATCAATATAGCTCTTACCTTTCTGGGAAAAAATTACTGTAGGACAAAGGCAGCTATTGAAATAATTTTGGAACTGGGAAAGACCTTAATCCACAGCTGAATATATATACTGGCTAAAATTCATTTATCTATGTTAGCATGAATTATATGAGTTTTAACAGAAATTGTTAATACTATTTCCAATACAGGAAGTGTTCCTGTACAATTTCTCACTGGTAATTAGGCTGAAGAGTAACAGTTGAAGTCAATAACCATGAATTCTAAAGTATTTTATGGTCTGCATTTGAACCTCATAAAGTATCTGTATAGCAGGTAGAACAGGTACTTAAAGTATTCCCATTTTACATATGGAAACATTGAGGCTCACAAAAATTAAAAGACCTGCCCAAGGTTATACAAGTGAGTAGCAAAACTCCTGGAACCCAGGACTTTTGCTGACTCAAATTTCTCTCTTCTGCATTGCATCACACAAATGAACACAGTAAAATTACTAACAACGTTTTCCAAGGAGATACCTCTTAGCATAAGAAGTACATAATTGGGAAATTCATTTTAACAGTAACAATTAGTAATAAGAGAGCAGGCTAAGGAATCATGTCTTAATTCCAGACTTACAGATATGTGACTGTGACTGAACCTTTTCATCATCTGGTAACAAGAGATGTTACCAAGGTTATGAAAACTGATTTTCCTCAGAAAGGTAATTCCCTTAAAATTATAAGTCATTATATTATTGAAATCAGAAGAAATTTACATTCTGACTAATTAAGTATAAACATAAATATCACCCCAGAAGTCAGTTAAATCTGCCTGAGAAACGAAACCATTTTCTCAAGCAGAATTAAAGTGTCCTTATTAGACATCATCTGAAAAGAAATCGGAGACTACATCTTAGACAACTTCCCCTACATAAACACACACATACATAATCATATTGGAAAACAAAATATTCGAAGCTAATTGAGATGAAAGTGTCACAGAAATCTGCAAAACTCTAGTCACTAAATTGTATGTTTAAAATACAGAAATATGCCCAGGCGAGGTGGCTCACGCCTGCAATCCCAGCACTTTGGGAGGCCAAGGTGGGTGGATCATGAGGTCAGGAGTTCGAGACCAGCCTGGCCAACATGGTGAAACCCCATCTCTACCAAAAACACAAAAATTAGCCAGGCGTGGTGGTGCACGTGTGTAGTCCCAGGTACTCAGGAGGCTGAGGCAGGAGAATCACTTGAACCTGGCAGGGGCAGAGTTTGCAGTGAGCCGAGATCGTGCCATTGCACTCTAGCCTCGGCAACAGAGTGAGACTCCGTCTCAAAAAAACAAACAAACAAACAACAACAAAAACACGAAATATCTGCATTTCCTAAATATCACATAAATAAACCTTGGAAGTTTATTTTACTTTAAATGTTAAGTCTACATCATTTTGTTTAACAGTAACATGGGATAGACAAGAAGCCATGATTATCACATGAAGATTGTATTTCAAACGCAAAACTCAGAAAGTAGGATGTAACGGAATGCAATTATGTTTCATTGCATTCAGTCTTAAGTTCTTCTACTAAAGAAATCATCCTTCAAACCAAAAAAAAAGCACCTGCATTCTCCCAAAGACAGTACAGAATGACTGCAGAACTAGGAAACAGCAGGATTTGAAAGGCAAAATGAAAAATTAATGACACTCCTACAGAAACTAATTTATACCTCTACCCTGATCCATGATTAACAGTCACATGGACAGGAGTCCGCTCTTCCCGCAATGTTAAGAAACTACTCTATTACTAATATACTAGTATGTAGTAAAGCAGGCTTCCTATCAATTATTTGTGAAAGAGCCATTACTCTAAAAACTAGTCTGTTGAAAGGGGGAAAAAAAAAAGGGTTTAACACTTAAGAATATAAAATAGAGGCCGGGCGCAGTGGCCCACACCTGTAATCCCAGCACTTTGGGAGGCCAAGGTGGGCAGATCACCTGAAGTCTGGAGTTCGAGACCAGCCTGACCAACATGGTGAAACTCCATCTCTATCAAAAATACAAAAATTAGCCAGGCGTGGTGGCGGGCACCTGTAGTCTCAAAAAGAAGAAAGAAGAAGAAAGAAGAAGAAAGAAGAAAAGAAGGAGAAGAAGAAGGAGAAGGAGAAGGAGGAGGAGGAGGAGGAGGAGAAGGAGGAGGAGAAGGAGGAGGAGAAGGAGGAGGAGAAGGAGGAGGAGAAGGAGGAGGAGAAGGAGGAGAAGAAGGAGAAGAAGAAGGAGAAGAAGAAGAAGAAGAAGCAGCAGCAGCAGCGGAGGAGGAGGAGGAGGAAGAGGAGGAGGAAGAGGAGGAGGAGGAGGAGGAAGAGGAGGAGGAGGAAGAGGAGGAGGAGGAGGAGGAGGAAGAGGAGGAGGAAGAGGAGGAGGAAGAGGAGGAGGAAAAGGAGGAGGAGGAGGAGGAAGAGGAGGAAGAAGAGGAAGAAAGAAGAGGAAGAGGAAGAAAGAAGAGGAAGAGGAAGAAAGAAGAAGAAAGAAGAAGGGAGGAGGAGGAGGAGGAGGAGGTGGTGGAGGAGGAGGAGGAGGAGGAGGAGGAGGAGGAATATAAGAATATAAAATCAAACAGTTTTTTAAAGGTTTTTTCCCCAAAATGTATGCTGCTATCAGACTCCCCTCCCCACCCCCCACCCGCCAATTTTACAAGTATCTCCTTTTCCCAGCACAAATCAAGTTTCAAGTTATTCTAAGTTTTTAACTTCTACTAGCCCTTCCCAATCTTATCTCCTTGACCACTTTCCAGGGAACAATTTTTTTTTTTTTTTTTTTTTTTTGAGACGGAGTTTCGCTCTTGTTGCCCAGGCTGGAGCGCAATGGCGTGATCTTGGCTCACCGCAACCTCTGCCTCCCAGGTTCAAGCAATTCTCCTGCCTCAGCCTCCCGAGTAGCTGGGATTACAGGCATGCACCACCGCGCCCGGCTAATTTTGTATTTTTAGTAGAGATGGGGTTTCTCCATGTTGAGGCTGGTCTCGAACTCCTAACCTCAGGTGATCCACCCGCCTCGGCCTCCCAAAGTGCTGGGATTACAGGTGTGAGCCACTGCGCCCGGCCCAGGGAACAGTTCTTAAGATACCAAATAAGGCAATGTAGAGGTCTATTTACTTAAAATGTATATCACAAAAAGCAAAAATGACCTCTGGATTTTATCCTGCTGACACCAATCCAATCAATAAAAACTCCTACTTTCGTTAAGGGTGTGGGGGCACAAAATGTTATTCAAGTTTAATATTTCCATCATCTATCACTATTATTAAAGTTTTTGCTTGCAAGTATGATGGTTTTCTTAACAGTTGTGGTAAGACTTCTAGAATTACTTTTTTTTTTTTTTGGGGAGACAGAGTCTGGCTCTGTTGGCCCAAGCTGGAGTGCAGTGGCATGATCTCGGCTCACTACAGCCTCCACTTCCCATGTTCAAGCAATTCTCCTGCCTCAGCCTCCCGAGTAGCTGGAACTACAGGCTTGAACCACCATACCCAGCTAATTTTTGAATTTTTTAGTAGAGACAGGGTTTCGCCATGTTGGCCAGGCTGGTCTTGAACTCCTGACCTCAGGTGATCCACCCACCGTGGCCTCCCAAAGTGCTGGGATTACAGGCATGAGCCACCACGCCCAGCCTAGAATTACGTTTTAAATATTGATAATTTTTATTCACCCATTTATCTTACTGCATTGCTCTAAAATCAACTACTTAGAGCAACCCTAAATAAAACACTAGATGTGACTATCTAAACACAACTAATGTAAGACTTGAAAACAAACAGGGTCTATATGAGAGTGAAACAGGAATAAACTTTGTCGTTTTGTAAAAAATGATTCAATTGCTAAGTGCATCCCCAATTTTAAGAGTCCTATCAATTCTATCTAAATATTTCTGTATCCTTTCCTTTGCACATTGCCTAGAAAATTTCACATTTTTCACATTCAACACCATTACTATTGTCTCAGGCAGCTAAATTGAAGTAGTTCAGCACTCAGTTCAACTGAGAGGTCAACGTGCCTCAGTTGCCTGGAGACTGATGGTTGCTACAGCAGCACCAGATAAGCCAGGCTAAATAAGCTTCAGCTTGAAGACAGAAAGCATTTACTGCTGAACAGAAACATAGATGTAGGTATCTCAGTACACAGCATGTAAATCTAACTGGATGATCACATTTGTAAGAGACCCATCTTTCTGAAACATGGAGAGGGGATAAATAGTAAAGATTTTAATTGAACTGAATCCTGGGTTACTTACAACTATGATTTCTTTGTTCTTCAGTTGAGTCACATGTCAAGTGGAATTTTCCCTCTAGCTATAAACTTCTCTTCTCTACCACTTCCCTAATGCCAACCCCCTGGCTCACAGACATAATGAATGAGAAGAAATGGGGATTTTTACTTAATTCAGCCGGGAAGTAACCAGAGGGTAATTAAACAGACTTTTATAAAGACAGAAAAGAGAAATGCACATTGAAAATGTTCATGTGAGACTTTGTCCAAGGATATAAAACTATCAACAGCATATGGTTGCACTTAATTAAAAAGAGATAAAACCATTTATAGGAGCTATTCTTTCATTTATCCTTTCACCCTCTCTAACCCCAAACCCCTGTTATGGCTACCTCACTTTTAGTGACATGAACTACAGAAAAACTCTGCTAAAGTAGTCAAACTCCTCTATATCAAGTTGGGAGGTTCACCAAATAGTTCACTTTCATCTTCAAAGACGATACTACTAATCATGCCATTGCTTTTCTGTGCTGAACTATCTGGGGTTGATTCTAATACGTAATTTTAATAGCAACTGCTCTCACTGTGCCATTCACACAAATGCATCAAAATAACCTAACATTGTGCTTGCCGGAAAAGCGTATATATATCCTAACAACACACGCAATGGAAATTATGCACGCATCCATAAAGCTCAAGTTGACAGGAACTTATAAACAACTATTTTAACTAGTTGTTCATTATTAGACATTTGTCCCTGTGACCATTTTCTTGACCATTAAAAGACTACTAGAGCTTTGGAGAAATGAAAATAAAATCATACATAATTTCAAATAAATAAAAAAAATACTTTGGAAATCTTAAATGATTATCTTTGGGGAAGGGGGGTGTAATACAGGGGGATTGGGTACAGCTTTCCCCCTGCACTGTCCTCTTTATAAAACAGGATTACAATTTCTCTTATATGACTCTTTTAAAACATCTTGGCTGTGCTTGGTGGCTCACGCCTGTAATCCTAACACTTTGGGAGGCCAAGGCAGGCAGATTACCTGAGGTCAGGGGTTGAAGACCAGCCTGGCCAACACGGCAAAACCTTGCCTCTACTCAAAATACAAAAATTACCTAGGCATGGTGGCGTGTGCCTGTAATCTCAGCTAGTCGGGAGGCTGAGGCAGGAGAATTGCTTGAACCCAGGAGGCAGAGGTGCAGTGAGCTGAGATCACACCACTGCACTCCAGCCTGGGTGACAAAGTGAGACTCCGTCTCAAACAAAAACAAAAAAATCCTATAGACTAGGTCACCTATCAAACTACAAATCTGAAGTCAGATAAAAGGGGTACACAAATGGAAAAACCTATATATTCATCATTATTTACAAACACTGTTCTCTCCCACTAGGAGGAAAAATGTGTAGTGCTTGAAGCGGTCATTCGGTCTTTTAACCTACATTCTCCTACACGGTTTTTTTTAAAACTTTAAAAAGATTTCATATATTTTTTGTGTAATTTTAAAAATTATAAAAGGAATTTTAAAAATCACAAGAGTCCAAAACTTGCTCATATTTTGTGGGTCCTACTTTTTTAAAGAAAGAATAAAAGCTCCCCTGAAAGTATATTTTATATCATTCAGACAAAATTTAAAACCCAGAAATTAAAAAGAATTAGTTGGTGCCCATACACTCATCCATCCTCTCTCATGAATACCATGTAAAAATACCTATCATTTTCACTAATACATTAATACAAATTGAGGTATTTCATAAATTCCTATAGAAGGCCCTATGTCATTTGTTTCTCCTCCAACAAAACTCACTTTAAAAATGAGAAACCCACCTATTACCTGTCACATGATAGTGTAACAACTTACCTGAGTTGTAGCAACAGCAGGGGCTGCAGATGACACAGCTGAGGGAGAGAGCGCTCCTACTTGTTGCAAATGCCCAGAAGACTGCTGAGGTAAGTGAGAGCTGGAGACAGGAGTACTAGATCCCGAGCCAGATACTACATTTGGAAACGATACTGCTACATCATTGCTGTTATAAATACCTGCAAAAAAACAAATGTTATTTAAATATAACTTAGCAGTCAAATTTGTCACAGACACACATAATCAGTAAACTTGCATTTCCTCCTGGATCCCTCCTCCAATTATAAATCTTATTGTTGCTGTTTAAAAAATATTGTGCTAGTAACTAAACAAATAAACACTGACTTCTCATGAAGCAGTTGTCTAAAAGAACCTACACCATTTTTATTTAGCAAAAAGGCTTTTGTTAAAAGCAGGGGATAGCAGAAAGAGCTTTGTAAAAAATATGTCATGGATTTTAGGAGTTTCTAAGAGCAAGAAAACGTTTCTTAAATAGAGGAATGAAGCAATTAGAGTTCCATAAAAATCACCTAATGGGCCTTCCAAAAGGCAAATGCTAAAGCCCCAGAAATCATCACTGAGGAAGTCTGAAGTAGGAAGAGACCTTGTTCTAGAAAGCCGACAAGGTAGAAATTAAAATGGAACAGGCCCAACTTGAAATTCCGAGACCAAAAGAGGAGCTGATGACATTGGTGGGAGACAGGTGTGGGAATAAAGAATGTTGGTAGATTCTAGAGACATTCCAGCGATAACACAGACAGGACTTTGTGACTGACTGTATGGGGCAGCTGCAGGGGTAGGAGAGGAGGAACGATTAAGACATGATGAACTGGGCTATGAGTTGGCAGCTCCATTTACTCCAGAGAACACAGGAGGTGAAAATCATGGGAGACTTGATGAAAACACTTTGAGAGGCACCATGGGGATAAAAGCCAGAAATAAGGTGGGAAATGGTGGAAGCTATTCATTCTAGAAAAGAGGGTGGGAGGATGAGCATAAGTTAACAGGAAACAAGTTAATTTTTTAAAAGTGCTTATTTTTTAAAAAAAGAAAATCATGCTCAGCATAGAGAAGGAGAGGCTTTCAGGATAAAGAAATGGGAATATCTATAAACCAGCCGTTCTCAACCAGGGGTGATTTTGCCCCACAAGGGACATTTCACAATACCTGGAGACATTTTTAGTTATCAAGCCTGGAGGGTGCTACTGGCATCCAATGGGTATAGGCCAGGGATGCTACTAGACATCTTACAATGCACAGGACAGCCTCCAGAAGAAATAACTGGCCCATAGTGTTAATAGTGTGGAGGCCGAGAAAACTTGCTATAAACCAGAGCTCTTGGGAGGGCAAGAGGGGAAAAAGAGCCTGAAACCAAGGTACAGAAACAGGAGGAAAGAATGAACCTAAGTGGGCTGCAGAAAAAAGAAATAAATAAATAAATTAGCAACTGTAGCCCTAGAGGACAACAATAATCAGTAATTTGTATCAACATACAATTTACTTTGTTCCAAAAAAACATCAACATAGCCTGGACAACAAAGGGAGATATTGTCTCTACAAAAAATAAAAATTAGCCAGGCATGGTGGCACATGCCTGTAGTCCCAGCTACCTTGGGGACTGAGGTGTGAGGATCACTTGAGCCTGGAAGTTCAAGGTTGTAGTGAACCATGCCGTGATTGTATCACTGCACTCCAGCCTTGGCAATAAAGCAAGACTCTGTCTTTAAAAATAAATAAATAAATAAATGAAGTTATTGACTTATATAATAAATTAAAGCACCTAGAATCTTATTCAAACAGGGAAAACAAAACAACTGGGACATTTTAAAAAGCCTTACAGCTATAATTAAGGCGTCGGGATCTTTTTTATATCTACAATTTCTCCAGAAAAATGATATATTTAGCCAATGCATTCATTCTGCAAACATCACTGAACTCATTATTTGCCAGGCATTATTCTAAGCCCTGGAGATAAAAAGCCATTCAAGATAGGTAGTCTTTGCCTTCAAGAAGTTGCGTAGAAAAAAGGCATTACAAACAGTTGTGGAGAGCACTATGACAGAGACATCCTCAGGAGGCTAGGAGCACAGAAAAAGAGGTATCTAATTCAGACCTGGAGTGAGAAAAGTGGTGAGCCAAAAAACTTACTGGAAGAGATGTTGTTGCTTTTCAAGCTAATTTCTTTTCTATCTTTTGTTTGTTTGTTTTCTGAGACAGAGTCTCTCTCACCTATGCTGGAGTGCCGTGGTGCAATCATAGCTCACTGCAGCCTTGACCTCCTGGGCCAAGCGACCCTCCTGCCTCAGCCTCCCAAGTAGCTGGGACCACAGGCGAATGCCACCACACCTGGCTTTTTTTTTTTTTTTTTGCGTTGGTTGTGGGGTCGGTGGGTTAAGAGATGGGGTCTCACTATGCTGACAGGCTGATTTCAAACTCCTGAGCTCAAGTGGTCCTCCCACCTCAACCTCCCAAAGTGCTGGCATCACACGCATGAGCCACCATGCCCAGCCTCAAGCTAGTTTCTTTTTTGAGGTGAAGTCTTGCTCTGTTGCCCAGGCTGGAGTGCAGTGGTGCAATCTCGGCTCGCTGTAACCTCTACCCGCGGGTTCAAGTGATTCTCCTGCCTCAGCCTCCCTAGTAGCTGGGATTACAGGCACGTGCCATCACACTCAGCTAATTTTTGTATTTTTACTAGAGATGGGGTTTCACCATGTCGGCCAGGCTGGTCTCAAACTCCTGACCTCAGGTGATCTGCCCGTCTCGGCCTCCCAAAGTGCTGGGATTACAGGTTTGAGCCACCACATCTGGCCTCTCAAGCTAATTTCTAAAGGGGCTGCAGTACAGAGGTGAAGGACGGTTTGAGGAAGAAACATGCAGTAGAGCAGGATAAATTCTAAGGACTTGGTGACTAATTAGACCTGAAAATTCTATTAGACCAATAGAACCTGGTGACTAATTAGACCTGAAAAATAAAAACAAGGGTAGAGTCACCAATGACTCTTAAGCATAAGTAAGTACATGTAGTGATACCATTCACTGAAACAGGAACAGCAACTGAAAGCAGTGTTTGGTTACTGTACGGAAGTAACTGTGCTAGTATAAGAACTCAATGAGGTAAATATTACTCCCATTTCACATATGAGCAAACAGAACTTTAAAGAAATAAAGTAACTTTTTTGGTGAGCTAGTAGGTGGTGAAATAATGATTCAAACTCACAGGTATCCTATAAATGAAATCACTTCCTAATACAAATTAAGAGGTTCAGGGTCATGGTCTTTGAGATGCCTGTGGGACACAGAACTCCTACATATAGAACACAATGGGATAAGCCTAAAACCCAGCAGGAAATTCAGATCTGAAGACATAAATCTAGGAGTGAGAAGCATGGTAAGTTACAGTAAGTAAACCTGCAAACTAAAAATACTTACTATTGGTCTGCACTATGGTTGAAATTTTAACCAGTTGCTCATAATTATTATAGAAATAAGAAATTTCCCATTAAGAACTCTAGATGCCTAATATCTCTTGAAAAACTGAAGATTTGCCAACACTGGATACTATATTATAAAAGAGCAACAATCTGACCAGAGCTCTGAACAGGGCATAGAGACTTTAATCCATCAGCATCTCCATCATCCCTTACCATGTCACTCATTTATGTTACCTATGTGGCCCCATAAGTATTTTACTTACAACTCTTGATATGAACACAATGGTCAAGGCCAAGGAACAAAAATGGAATCACCCAGGGAAAGTTCTCAGCATGATCAAGAGAAGAGAACCAAAGACAGAACCCTAAATAACATTACCATTTAAAGGGTAAACAAACAAAAATAGATCACAAAGGGCAAACTTAGAAAACTAAGATAGAGAATCTTATAAACTGCTCTAAGAATTTCAAAGGAATGGCCTGGTGCAAGTGGCTCATGCTTGTAATCCCAGCACTTTGGGAGGCCAAGGTGGGCAGATCTCTTTGAGCCCAGGACCAGCCTGGGCAACATGGTGAAATCCTATCTCTACCAAAAATGCAAAATTAGCTGGGTGTGGTGTCAAGCATGGTGGTGTGTGCCTGTAGTCCCAGCTACTTGGGAGGCTGAGGTGGGAGAACTGCTTGAGCCTGGGAGGTTGAGATTGAGCCGAGATTGTGCCACTGCACTCCAGCCTCAGTGACAGAACAAGACCGTCTCCAAAAAAGAAAAAGAAAGGAAAGGAAGAAAAAGAAACAAGTTTGGCTAAGAGGGCCAGAAAAGAGACAGCATGTTAATGCAGTGATTATTTATAAACTTTATATTCCAAATAATACATAGCAGAGAAAAAGATATGCATTTTTAAAGGTTGCTACTCCATAGATAATTCAACAAATATTGAGTTTCTACTGAATTCAGTGTTTTCAGAGTATCTTAGAAAATAAAATACTGCAGCCAGATGCGGTGGCTCACATCTGTAATCCCAGCACTTCGGAAGGCCGAGGCAGGTGGATCACCTGAGGTCAGGAGTTTGAGACCAGCCTGGCCAACATGGCGAAACCCATCTCTACTAAAAATACAAAACTTAGCCAGGCATGGCGGCGCATGCCTGTAGTCCCAGTTACTCGAGAGGCTGAGGCAGGAGAATCACTTGAGAGGCGGAGGTTGCAATAAGCCAAGATCACACCACTGCACTCCAGCCTGGGCGACAGAGCAAGACTCCATCTCAAAAAAAGGAAAAAAAAAAAAAAAAGCAGATAAAATGCTGATTAGTTATTTTGGGGGTGAAAAGTGTACTACACAGGGAGTCTCCAATTTCTAAAATTAGAAAACAAAAGTTAGCTGGAGGCAGCATGCTGAAATTGAAACAGCAGAGGCTTTTGACTTAGACAAAACTGGGTTCAAATGCTGGATCTGTCACCTACATGACCCTTAATCAAACTACTTAACCCTTCTGAACCTCCATATTATTCTTATCTATAAAACAAAGATAATGGCTACCTTAAAGACTTTTTGTGAGATTTTGAGAATATCCATATAAAAAAGCTCTAGCAATGCCTACCACAGAGTAAGTTTTAATAAATGGTAGCTACGGCCATTTTGGTGTTAATGCTTTCATTAAAAATGTATCTGTAAGTCAGGAAAGTACACTGTTGTAACTACCAGGTCCTCTAATGTCTCTACTACACTTTGAAAGTTGCAATTACCATCACAACATGCAGTAAAACATCTTGGAAGAATAATATTGAGAAGCAAAATCGTGGTGATTAAGGACCTTCAATCTCAAAACTTAAATTGTTTTTATATTACATCAACGTATACTTACATACGAAATTACGCAGCTAAATGTGCAATCCAGTAATCACACTTTGAAACAATATCTGGTACTCAGTTTACTGGTAAAAAAAAAACACACACACAAAAAAAACAGAGCAAAATGTTCCTTTCCTATCAAGGCAGGAAAGCTTAAAATTCTAAATCTTTCTTTGAAAATGAAAATAATGTATTCCCTTCAACTTCCTTGCTCCTCAGGTAGGACTGGTACAACATCCACCTTAAATTCTTCTGTATCTGCTTTCTATTTAACTTCACTCTATTTTCATCTTAAGTCATATGCTGTTTTTAACTAAAATCAAGGTGACATTCATTGAATTAAACAGAGCTAAATGTTACAATGCATGAGCTCTAGGAAAATACACTGAAATTCATCTGTTCAGGATAGGGAGGAGAAACAAAGCTGCAGAACGGTACAGAGGGTGGCAATGACATACTGATTCCTTCCTTTCCTTTTCTTCCCTTCCTTCCTTCCTTCCTTTCATCAAACAAATACTCAGTAGGTATGAGGAATGAGGCTAGGAGCTGGGATAATGTAGCAAGCAAGACAGACAAGATTTTAGCTCTCTGGGAATTTACAATTTAAGGAGCAAGGCAAACATTAAAACAAATACATGAATATAAATTCCAACACATACTATAATGGAAGAGAAAAAGGTACCACAAGAGTGAAATACTAGGAAGCAAGAAAGACCTGTCTAAAAAAATATTTAAGACAAGGCTTAAAGGTTAGGTAGGTGTTAACTAGACAAAGAGTAAGACAGAAAAACTTGTCCAAAAGACCCAGAAATATTGAAAGAAGAAAAAACAGGTAATACAGCTAAAGCCTTGTGGAGAGGCTGGTAAAAGACAAAGTTGGAGAGAGGGGAAGGAACAGATCATAAGGCCTTGTAAGCCATGTACAGGTGTTCTGAATTTTTGCTAAGATCAGTAGGAAGACACCAAAGGCAAATAGTATGACTCACTTTTTAAAAAGATCATCCCTCTGACTCTTATGTAGCAAAGGGACTGACGGGGATGAGTGGAAACAAAGATTTTTTTTTAGGAGGCTATTTCACAATCTGGATTAAAAATTATGTCCCTCCAGACAAAGACGGTAGTAGTACTGAACACGGACAAGGACTTGCAGTGCATCTAGAAATTAGAATCATCTAAACTTGGCCGGGCGCAGTGGCTCACGCCTGTAATCCCAGCACTTTGGGAGGCCGAGACGGGCGGATCACGAGGTCAGGAGATCGAGACCATCCTGGCTAACACGGTGAAACCCCGTCTCTACTAAAAATACAAAAATTAGCCGGGCATGGTGGCGCGTGCCTGTAGTCCCAGCTACACGGGAGGCTGAGGCAGGAGAATGGCGTGAACCCGGGAGGCGGAGCTTGCAGTGAGTCGAGATCGCGCCACTGCACTCCAGCCTGGGCAACAGAGCGAAACTCCGTCTCAAAAAAAAAAAAAAAAAAAAATCATCTAAACTTGATGACAAATTAGATTTGGTAGCAGGGTAGAAGATGAATGAGTCATGGGTTTCTGGCTAGTGATTAAAAGTGCCCTTACTGAGATGGTAAAAACTGGAACAGGAGGAATGGAAGTTTTCTTAAACGCCAGCCTGGGACCACATGTTGAGGCTCTCCAACATTTCAAGGATGGGTCCTAGAAGAGGAGTTCATACAGAAAATTGACACCAGTAAGATAAGAAGAAAACCATGACTGTGGTGTCACTGAAGCAAAGAAAGAGAGCCTGACGAAAGAGATGGCAGTGACTTCTCAAATGCTGCATTTTCAGCCCACTAGATGTGAAAAGATGGAGACAAACAGTGATCTCAGGAGAAGAATACAGTATGAGTAGACGCCAGAAGAACATTGTTTAGACTTAAGTTTTTATTAGTAAGCCAATGCAATTACACAAGATTGGTAAATAAGACAGAAGTATACCTGTCTAATGACAGAAATAATAATGCTCATCAACCTGAGTTCCTATTTCCCACTTTCAAACTGCCTAGGAGGTCAAGTAAGTACCCATCCAGTGGCTTATTCAGGAAAAAGACTGTGAATGGAATAGTCTTCAGAAATATTTAACTAAGTAAGTAATTAAGCCTGTAAGTTATCCCTAACCCACATCCCGAGAGACTGAATGACTTATTCTTTCCTAGAGGTTAATATGGTGTGAAAATAGTTAAAAGTCCAAATCCTGCTCCCTCGTGCAAATAACTTAACCTCACACAACCTCATATACCTCATCTATAAAGTGAGGGTGGTACCAACAATTTCACAGGGCTGGGGCAAGGATTAACTTACATATGCGAAGCATATACTAATATTGTCCTCAGGACCCCTAATGGTATGTGCAGGCACCAGTCATGGTAGACAGTATGCTGTCTACCACATAGTAAACATCTGACAAACAGTGCCCATCATTATTATGAATTCATTATTATGAATTAAATAGGATTGAGAGAGGGGTTTCAAGATGGGTGACTAGAGGCATTTTGTATTTGTCTCTTCCACTAAGAACCAAAATAGTTAGAAGGTAACCACAATTTGTATAGATCGTCCAAGAGAAAACACTGGAATTCAACAAAAAACTAACAACCAATACCTAAAACAAGGAAGGAAAGGGAAGCAAGGCAGCCTGCTTGGCCAGGAGCCAAGAGAGGCTCCCTAATGCAGGGAAAGAACAGGTTAGAGACCCTCAGCTGTCAACATTCCCACATGGACTTCTGCAATCCTAGCCATGGGAGAGCTCCTAGATCCTTTCAGGCTCTGAAATAAACATAAGGAACTGCGAGGAGATTGTGTTGACAGCACAGCCACAGGGAGGATGCTTATGCTGTATCCCATACATGTTCTAAGACCTAAGCAGCAACAGCAAAGCACCATCTTAAGAGTCTTGTACCCAACAGGCTACACACTGTCCTAGGGCCCAGCAGCGCTAGGACTAAGGCCAAGAGATACACCAGCTACTGCTCCCAGGGTGGAGGCGTGAATGAGCAAAGTGTGGGCTACTGCACACAGGGCTGAGATGTGGGGAACCACTGCTAGGGCTGATGCATGAGTGTTCCCCATCTGCTGGCCTACACTTGCCTCCACTAACATGGCCCTGGGCTCTCCAGTGACAGGGCAACGGTGTGACCAATGCTGCCCCGGCTACCTGAACATTCTGCTGGTGACTTAGGGATCACCCTGCCCCTGCCTACCATGACTGGTACCTGCAAATACCATCAGGGGGCCTGAGGACAAGCCCACCAACCCAGCTTTGCCCCACCCTCAGCCCATGCCAGAGCACACAAGTCTGGAGTACAGGGGACTGCCCAGCGCAATCCAACATCATTAGCACCTGAACACTTGTCCTGGGGATCTGAGGTTAGGCCTACCCACCCTGCTGCTACTGCCACAGCTGGCACCTATCTGCATGTACCATCTGTAGGTCTGGAGACTGGCCTGCCCAGTCCACTGTAGCCACCACCAATACAAGTGCACTCTTCCTGGGATCCAGAGGGTTGACCCACCACTGCCACCGTCTTCGCACACCACACTGGCTGGCTGCAGACCCGAGAACCGTCCAACCTACAGAGCCAACTGCTACCACTACTGGCATCTGAGGAAGTATGGGCCTCCACCTCGAGGCACAAGAATCAGCCTACCTGGACCCACTAACACCAGTACCAGCATATGCCACCCTGGGCCCAAGGTGAGGCATGCTTGGTCCACGACTGAGGTGCAAAGGCTGGTCTACTTGGCATCCTAGTCCCCAGCAAAACTTCACCACTGCCTCCACTAATAATTGCACCCTAAACCACTGAGAAAAATCATAGCCACTGCTGATACTGTTTAAGCCAAATAAATCATCCAGAGATTACATGACTGCACACATCCAGAATCACAACTACGGTGCCTACCCAAGCAACACCATAGATATATCTTCAATAAAATGTTCTCCCCTATGAAAGCAAATTCAAAAAAATTGGGAGAAGCTATTATCACATCAGATGCACAGATATCAACATATACAGGAAACATTAAAAAGCCAAAAAAAAAAAAAAAGCGAGAGAGAGACACCTCCAAAGGGCACACAATAATTCCGTAGGAACACATACCATTAAAAAGTTTTTAAAAATATTGGAAAAATAATTCAAAATTTTAATACTAAAGAAGCTATGTGCGATACAAAATAATTCTGAAAATACAAAGAAATCAGAATGGTTATTCAGGACATGAATAATATGAATAATAAATTAATTATTTATTTTTATTCTGTAATTCAGTAATAATTATATATATATATATATATATATATAGAGAGAGAGAGAGAGAGAGAGAGAGAGAATTTAAAAAGAACAAAACAGAGGCTGGGCACAGTGGCTCATGCCTGTAATCCCAGCACTTTGGGAGGCCAAGGCTGGCAGATCACTTGAGTACAGGACTGCAACATCAGCCTGGCCAACACGGCAAAACCTCATCTCTACAAAAATACAAAAGTCAGCCAGGTGTGGTGGTACCTGCCTGTAATCACAGCTACTTAGGAGGCTGAAGCAGGAGAATCACTTGAACCTAGGGGGCAGAGGCTGCAGTAAACTGGGGTCACTTTAGCCTGGGCAACAGAGCAACACTCCATCAAAAAAAAAAAAAAAAAAAAAAACAAAAAACAATCGAAATCCAAAATGTATTCAGAAGTTTCAACAATAGACTAGATCAAGCAGAAGAAATTCACAACTTGAAGCCAGTCTTTTGAAATAACCCAGTCAAAACACAGTGACCAATAATATGGAAAATCAACTCAACAAAATACTAGATTAAAACTTCCCAGGTCTGGGCCGGGTGCGATGGCTCACACCTGTAATCCCAGCACTTTGGGAGGCTGAGGCGGGCGGATCACAAAGTCAGAAGTTCGAGACCAGCCTGATCAACATGGTGAAACCCTGTCTCTACTAAAAACACAAAAATTAGCCGGGTGGTAGTGGTGCACACCTGTAATCCCAGCTACTCGGAAGGCTGAGGCAGAAGAATTGCTTGAGCCTGGCAGGCTGAGGTTGCAGTGAGCGGAGATCGCGCCACTGCACTCCAGCCTGGGTGACAAAGCGAGACTCTGTCTCAAAAAAAAAGAACTTCCCAGGTCTAGCAAGAGATACAGACATCCAGATAGAGGAGGCTCTAAGATCCCTAAAAACAATGCAAAAAGGTCTTCTCTACGGCACATTTTACTCAGGTTGTCTAAAGACAAAGACAAAGAATTCTAAAAACAAGAGAAAGGTATCCAGTCACCTATAAAAGACCCCCCCATCAGACTAACAGATTTCTCAGCAGAAATCTTACAGTCAACATAGAAGGGGATGATATATTCAAAAGTGCTGAAAGGAAAAAAAAAAAACTTTCAGCCAAGGATATTACATACAGCAAAATTATCCTTCATAAATGAAGGAGAAATAAAGTCTTCTCCAGACAAGCAAAAGCTGAGGAAATTCATCACCATTAGACCACCCTACACGAAATGCTCAAGGGAATTCTAAACCTGGAAGCAAAAGGATGACATTTGCCACCATGAAAACATACAAAAGTACAAAACTCACTGGAGTAAAGCAAATACACAAAGTAAGAAGAAAGAGAAAGGACTCAAACCACCCCTACAGAAAACCACAAAACCACAACGACAAAAAGAAAGGAAAAGAAAGAATATACAAAACAACTAGAAAACAATAGGACAAAAACAAAACCTCACATATCAATAATAACCTTAAATGTAATGGATTAAATTCTCCACTTACAAGATATCAACTAGGTGAATGAATTAAAAAACAAGGTCCAACTACTTATTGCCCACAAAAAACACACTTCACCTGTAAGGATGCATACAGATGGAAAGTAAAGGTATGAAAAAAGATATTTTATGCAAAGGGAAACCACAGGAAGTAAGCAGGAGTAGCTATACTTACATCAGATAAAAGAGACTTTAAGAAAAAAAAAACTGTAAAAAAGATTAGGTCATTATATAACGACAAAGGGATAACCAGCAAGAGGATATAACAATTCTAAATATATATGCACCAAACTGGAAAATTCAGATTCAGAAAGCAAATATTACTAAACCTAAAGAGAGGGATAAACTCCAATACAATAATAGTGAGAGACTTCAACAACCCACTCTCAACATTAGATAGATCACTGGCACAGAAAATCAAAAAACGAACACTGGACTCCAACTAGACTTTAGACCAAATGGACCTAACAGACATTTACAAAACATTTTATCCAACAACTGCTCTCATCAGCATATGGAACATTCTCCAGGACAGACCGTATGTCAGGACACAAAACAAATCTTTAAAAATCAAAATCATATCAAGAATCTTCTCAATTTACAATGGAATAAAATTAAAAATCAACACAAAGAGGAACTTAGGAAACTATACAAATACATAAAAATTAAATAACATAGCCAGGCACAGTGGCTCACGCCTGTAATCCCAGCACTTTGGGCAGCTGAGGTGGGCGGATCACAAGGTCAAGAGATTGAGATCATCCTGGCCAACATGGTGAAATCCCGTCTCTACTAAAAATACAAAAATTAGCTGGGCATGGTGGTGGGCGCCTGTAGTCCTAGCTACTCGGGAGGCTGAGGCAGGAGAATCACTTGAACCTGGGAAGTGGAGGTTGCCATGAGCTGAGATCAAGCCACTGCACTACAACCTGGCAATACAGTGAGTATCTGTCTCAAAAAAAAGAGAGACGAGACGAGACGAGACGAGAAGAGAAGAGAAGAGAAATAACATAACCAGGTGCGGTGGCTCACGCCTGTAACCCCAGCACTTTGGGAGGCTGAGGCTGGTGGACTGCCTGAGGTCAGGAGTTTGAGACCAGCCTGGCTAACATGGTGAAACCCATCTCTTCTAAAAATATAAAAAAAATTAACCAGGCGTGGTGGTACATGCCTATAGTCCCAGCTACTCAGGAGGCTGAGGCAGGAGAATTGCTGGACCCCAGGAGGCAGAGGTTGCAGCGAGAAGAGATCGCATTACTGCACTCCAGCCTGGGTGACAGAGCAAGACTCCATCTTCAAAATATATATATATTTTTAATAACACAATCCACCACTGTGCCAATGAAGAAATTAAGATGGATATAAAAAAATTTCTTCAAATGAAAATGGAAACGCAACATGCCAAAACCTATGTGATACAGCAAAAACAACACTAAAAAGTTTATAGCAGTAAACATCTACATCAAAAAAGTAGAAAGACTGCAAATAAACAATCTAATGATGCACCTCAAGGAACTAGAAAAGCAAGAACAAATCAAACCCAAAATCAGCAGAAGAAAAGATATAATGAAGATTAGACAGAGACCCCCTCTCCCTCTCAAAAAAAAAAAAAAAAATCAATGAAATGAAAAATTGGTTCTTCAAAAGGTAAACAAAATTGATGAACTGCTAGCTAGACAAGGCAAAAAAAAGAGGTAAGAACCAAATCAGCAAAATCAAAATTGAAAAAGGAGACATTACAACTGATACCACAGAAATATGAAAGACAGCAGAGAATAGTATGAATGCTAACAAATTGGAAAATCTAGAGAAAATTGATGAATTCCAAAAAACATACAACCTACCCAGACTGAATCAGGAAGAAACAGAAACCCTGAACAGACCAACAATGAGTAATGAGACTGAATCAGTAATAAAATGTCTCCCAACCAAAGAAAAGCCTAGGACTGGATAGATTCAATGCTGAATTCTACCAAATGTATACAAAGGAACTAATACCAATCCTCTTCAAACTATTCCAAAAATCCAAGAGAAGGGAATTCTCCTTAACTCATTCTACAAGGCCCTGACCAGTCAAGGATACAACAACATCAAAAAAGGAAACTACAGGTCAATATCCCCAAGAAACATCAATGCAAAAATCCCCAACAAAATGCTAGCAAACCGAATTCAACAAAACATCAAAAGGTAATACACCATGATCAAGTGGGACTCACACTTGGAATGCAAGGATGGTTTAACATAATAGGTATCACATCAATAGAATAAAGGACAAAACCCATATGATCATCTCAGATGCAGAAAAAGCATTTGATAAAATTCAACATCGCTTCATATTAAAAACTCTCAAACTAAGCACAGAAGGACCATTCTGCAAAATAATAAAGGCCATATAGGACAAACTCACAGCTAACATTATACTCAACAGGAAAAAGCTAAAATTTTTCCTCTAAGACCTAAAACAAAACAAGAACACCCACCTTCACAACTCTTATTCAACATAATATTGACAATTCTAACCAGAGCAATCTGGCAACAGAAATAACAGGCATCCAAGTTGACTTCCATACGGAAGTAAAATTCATTACTTTGCAGATTACATGATCTTATATGCAGAAAAACTTAAATACTCCACCAAAAGACTATAAGAACTGATAAATTCAGTAAATTTGGAGGATACAAAATCAACATACAAAAACCAGTACTGTTTCTATATATCAATAATGAAATAGCAAAAAAAGAAATCAAGGCAGCAGTCCTGTTTACTATAGTGTTTAAAAAAAAAAAAAAAAGAATACATTTAACCGAGTAGGTGAAAGATCTCTACAAGAAAAATTACAAAACACTGATGAAAGAAATTGAAAAGGACACAAACAAATTTAAAGACATCCCATGCTCATGAATTGGAAGAATTAGTATCATTAAAATGACCACACTGCCAAAAGCAATCTACAGATGCAATGCAGTCCTTATCAAAATAACATCATTTTTCATAGAAATAGAAAAAACAATTCTAACATTTGTATGGAGCCAAGAAAGAATCAGAATAGCTGAAGTAATCCTGAGCAAAAGAACAAAGCTGGAGTCATCATGCTACGTCACTTCAAAATATATTACAAAGCTACAGTAATCAAAAAAGCATGGTATTGGTATAAAAACAGATACCAATGAAACAGAATAGAGAACCCAGCAATAAACCCACTTTTTTTTTTTTTTACAGCCAACTGATTTTTGACAAAGGCACCAAGTACGTACACCGAGGAAAGGATATCCTCTTCAAAAAATGGTGCTGGGAAAATTGGATATCTGTATGCAAAAGAATAGAACTGTACCCCATTTCTAACCATACACAAAAGTCAACCCAAGATGGATTACAGACTTAAACATAAGACCTGAAAGTATAAAAATACTCAAAGAAAACACAAGGAAAACACTTCAGGACATTGGTCTAGGCAAAGATTTTATGGCTAAAACATCAAAATCACAAATAGACAAAATGGGACTACATTAAACTAAAAACCTCCTGCACAGCAAAAGACATAATCAACAGAGGAGGGAGACAAACTGTTGAATAGGAGAAAATATCTGCAAAGTATTCACCTGACAACAGACTAACATCCAGAATACACAAGGAACTCAAACAACAATTAAAAAAAAAAAAAAAAGATACCATTAACAAGTGGGCAAAGGACATGAATAGATATTTCTCAAAAGATAACATACAAATGCTGGGCACGGTGGCTCACACCTGTAATCCCAGCACTTTGGGAGGCCGAGGCGGGTGGATCACCTGAGGTCAGGAGTTTGAGACCAGCCTGGCCAACATGGCAAAACCCTGTATCTACTAAAAGTACAAAAATTAGCTGGGCATGATGGCACGTGCCTGTAATCCCAGCTACTACGGGGGCTGAGGCAGGAGGATTGCTTGAACCTGGGAAGCAGAGGTTGCAGTGAGCCAAGATTGTGCCACTGCACTCCAGCCTGGGCAAAAGAGCAAGACTCCGTCTCAAAACCAAACCAAACAAAACAAAAACATAGAAATGGACAATATATACATGAAAAAATGCTCAACATCACTAATCATCAGGGGAATGTAAATCGAAACCACAATGAGATATCCTATTACTCCAGTTAGAATGGCTATGATTAGAAAGACAAAAATGACAGATGTTGCTGAGGATGTGGAGAAAAATAAACTCTTATACACTATTGGTAGGAATGTAAAATTAGTACAACCACTATATAAAATAGTATGTATATTTATCTAAAAAACTAAAAATACAACTTCCACATGATCTAGCAATCCCAATATCAGGTATTTAAACCAAAGTAAAAGAAATGAGCATATCAAAGGGTTACCTGCACTCACATATTTATCATAGCATTTCTTCACAAAAGCAAAGATATGGAATCAACCTCAGTGTTTTTCAATGGACAAATGGATAAAGAAAGTGTAGTATATACACACAGTGGAATACTATTTGGCCATAAGAAAGAATGAAATCATGTCATTTCCAACAACATGGATGGAACTGGAGATCATTATGTTAAGTGAAATAAGCCAGGCACAGAAAGACAAATACCACATGTGCTCAACTCATATGTAAGACCTGAAAAACTTGATGTCATGGAGACAGAGAATAGAATAACAAATACCAGAGGCTGGCAAGAGTGTGAGGGTAGGAGGGAGAAATGAAGAAAGGTTGTTGAATGGGTACAAACATACAGTTAGATAGAATAAGTAAGTTTTAATGTTCGACAGAAGGCTAGGGTGACTATCATTAGCAACAATACATTGAATATTTCAATGAAGGTAGAAGAGAAGACTTGAAATGTTGCCAACACACAGAAATGATAAACATTCGAGGTGATGGATACCCCACATACCCTGACTTGCTCAGTATACATTCTATGCATGTAACAAACACTCAAACGTCCCCCATAAATAGGTAAATTATTATGTAGCGATAAAAGAAAATGTAAATAAGCAAGCATCTTTAAAATAAACAGGATAATATACACAATAACAGAAACACTTCTGTTGTTAATCGGTCTTCCCTTTCCCTTTGGCAACTAATGAATAAATACAACAGTCTTTATCTTTGGCTTTCCCTTTCTAGACTGTAGAATATATCTCCATAGAATTAATCCATTCATTACTCAGAAATGGTAAAATACAATTTAAGTTAGACCTTTCTTTCCTGAGACTCTCAGCAATCTCAGTGGAATACTGGTGTTCCTAAATCTCTCCAGGCAAGTGTTAACTATTTGGTGGGTTGCTCTATTTTTGCTTTATTAAAGATGAACATTTTTACTCATTATGTATTGCTTCTTTTGACATGATCTATACAATTGAACACAATCATTTTTAAAATTTGAAATACATGCGAAAGTAGGAAAAAATCATCAACAAACTTTTTTTGGTTTTTGTTTTCAGATGGAGTCTTGCTCTTGTTGCCCAGGCTGGAGTGCAATGGCACAATCTCAGCTCACTGCAACCACCACCTCCCAGGTTCAAGCGATTCTCCTGCCTCGGCCTCCTGAGTAGTTGGGATTACAGGCGCCTTCCACCATGCCTGGCTAATTTTTGTATTTTTAGTAGAGACAGGTTTCACCATTTTGGCCAGGCTGGTCTTGAACTCCTGACCTTAGGTGATGTGCCCGCCTCAGCCTCTCAAAGTCCTGGGATTACAGGCATGAGCCACCATGCCCGGCCTATTTCTGTCTTTTAATTCCCTAAATTAACTGTAACTATACACACCTAATAAATTCTCCCTCTTTTTTTTTTTTTTTTTTTTTTTGCTTAAATCAGACAGAATTCACTTCTGTGGATTATATAACAATCAACTCTAACTGATGGTATAATAAGTAAAGAAATAAGATGCTCAAAGATGAAGCTAGGGAGTCAACTCATGTAGAGTCTCACAGGCTACAAAGGACTTTTAAATTTTAACCTAACGGAAAGCCATTAAAACATTTTTAAGCAGAAGAGTGCCATGATTAGAATTATGTTTTTATAAGATCACTTTGGCTACAGTGTGGACGACGCCCTGAAAGACAACAGAGTGGAGTCAGGGAGATGACTTAAGTAGCTATTGTAATATTTTAGACAAAATATTTTAAGTACCAAATTCTGGCCAGAATTATGGAGTGAGAAAAGCAGCGGCTCGAGGAATTTCAATACTAAATTTGGATAAAGGGAAGCCACCAGAAAACTAAAAAGAAATTGTCAAAGAGTTGGACACACATGCTAAGCATAATGTTACAAAAGCAAAAAAATTTAAAATAACATTAAAATAGAAGATGTTTCCAACAGAAGTTCCTAGACAAAGACAAATGTGCATAAAGGTCATCTAAGATGAAGACTAAAAATACCCACTGACTTGGCAATGTGAGAGCCATTCTTGACCTGACTGGAGTAGTTGTAGAGGCCACTAAGAAGTGGTTTGAAAAATCAATCAATAGGAGAATTTCTGTTTCTAGCAACAAGGCAGATCAGACAACCTAAAACCCTTCCTAATTAAAATTACCTAAAAATGAGGGCACATGTTCTCAGGATCTCCTGAGGGCTGTGTCATAGGGAAAAAAAATATTACCTAAAAACAAATACCCGAGTCCACAAGCAAAGGAAATGTCTAGGGGTCAAGAATAAAAAGGAAACTTGAAGGCTTAAAGCTCAAAAAAAAAATAATAATAATCAAAAAAATAAATACATACTCAAAAAATAAGCAATAAAACTTAAAGGCCAAACAGGCTGCCTTAGCAGAGTCGGCCTGTCTCAATAATGTATGAACTTTGGTTTTAATGCCCAAAAGGAAAAGAGATGAGACCTTGTGCCTCTAATGGATGGATGGAAGGATGAAACTGAGATCCTGTTTATATGGCTGAGACTGTCAAAAAGCTACACTTTCAGTGGAAGGGCAGACCACTTAAAAAAAAAAAAAAAAAAACCCACACACAAAAATCACCCAAAAACCACATCATAGGGAGAAAATAATAATACTTGTCCAATTTGGTCTATGCTCTGGATAGGAGGTAAAAAGTCTGCCATATGAATTTATAGCCACATAGTCTTGTGTTCAAATAGACTTTGGTTTGATAAATCCCAACATTAAATTAACATAAGAAGGGACAGGGTGGTGAAGCAAACACAAACTTTTCTGAAGGGATATATCCTTAACCCACGATAAAACTTAAGTTCACAATCCAAAATAAGGAAACATGGAAGGAACCAATCCCCACGATGACAAATCAACAGATACAAACATTTAGACTGCCCTCCAAGACACTTCGAAAATAGAAATGGCAAATAAATATTATAAGATAAATATTTTAAATGATTAAGAACCTAAGAGGATGCATTTTTTAAATGTGAGAAAAGAACACTCTATATAAAAAAGAAGAACACAGAGTATCTTGTAGTGGTAGGCAGAATTCTAAAGACAGGTTGGTGTTTGCTATCCCCTGGTTATTCAATGAAACGCTAATCTAGGTACTGCTATGCAGACCGAATTAAGGCTATTGGTTAGCTGACTTGGAAACAAATTATCTGGGGTTATCTAGAAGGATCCAATGTAATCACATGAGCCTTTGAAAGCAGAAGAGGGGCTGAGTGCAGTGGCTCACTTGAGGTCAGGAGTTCGAGACCAGCCTGGCCAACAGGGCGAAACGCCTGTGATGACACACGCCTGTAATCCCAGCTACTTGGGAGGCTGAAGCACGAGAATCGCTTGAACCCGCAAGGCAGAGGTTGCAGTGAGCCAAGATCAGACCACTGCACTCCAGCCTTGGACGACAGAGGAAGACTCTGTCTCCAAACAAAAAAAAAAAAAAAAAAAAGAAGGTAGAAAGTCAGTGAAAGATGCGGCAGAAGAGAAAGTGAGAGATGCGGCAGAAGGCGAAGTCAGACAGATTCTAAGTGTGAGAAGGATTCAACTCATCATTGCTGGCTTGAAGACGCAGGGGCATGTGCAAGGTCTTTATAAAAGCCTCTAAGAGCTAAGGGTTTCTTTGGAAGCCTCCTGGTAAGAGCCCAGCTGGCCAGCACCTGGATTTCAGCCTTGCAAGACACTAAGCAGAGAACCCAGCCAACCCAAACTTCTACTGGTAAAATATGATAAATGAAAGCTAATGAATGTGTGTGGTTTTAAGCTGCTAACTTTCTGATAATTTGTTATGTCAGCAATGGAAAACTAATGTACTTACAGTGCCAGAAAGTAAGGAAGCATTCAAAGAATAACAGGGATATGTCAACAGAACAGAGAGCCAGCTCAAAGGGGCTCCCACTGGCTAACCTGAACAATTTTCAGCATCACAATAAATCATGAATAATAAATTATAGCCCACAGGAATCCTTAAACACATACTGATATAAACTGAAAATCTGATGGGGAATGGAATATTACATATAGTGTCACAATTTATTCCACAAAATAATTACTAATTGTAAAGGGGGAAAGAAAACCTTTACATTGGGAAAGCCTGATTATGTGTTATTGATAATATGCACTGCAAAGATAATTTCTATAAAATTCCTGCCCCCCAAAACATAATCTGAATTTAGTAATGAAAAATAAAATCCAAAACAACTACGCTGTGATCTCCAAAAACATTGACAACTGCCAAAACTTGAATGGCATTTGAAAACTAGATGGTAGTAATATAGCAGTGTTAATTTTCTGTTCTTAATAGCTATACTGTGATATTGTAGGAGAATGTCCTTGTTTGTAAGAAATACATAAGTATTCAGTGCTGATGGGATACGGTGCGCAACTTACTCTCAAATGGCTCAGAAAAACAAAGTTCTCTCTACTATACTTGCAATTTTTCCATGAGTTTGAGATTGCTTCAAAATAAAAATATTTTCGGATGTGGGAAAAGAACTACGCAGCTCTTTTTTTAAAAAGAAAAACAGAAAACCAAACTACATTCATTTTAAAAGAGACTTCAAAGAATTCAAACTTGAAAACAACATGTTCACTAAAATTCTTCACTCAATAGTCTAATAAAACAATAAATTAAACACAGCTAAAGAGATGATTAGTGAACAAAAACAAACATCTAAACAAATTACTCAGATATAAAAGAGAGATTTAAAAAATGGAAATTACAAAAACTTAAAGAACATTAAGGGCAGTATTCAAATCCAAATATGCCTAACAAAACTTCCAGAAGAAAGAATGGAGAGAATGGTAAGATGCTGTATTTTGAAATATAATGGCTAAGACTGTGTAGGGAATCGGTGAAACGCATGAATTCTCTCAATCAGGAAGCACAGTTAAGTCCAAGGAAGACTTAAGTCATACATAGACATATCACAAAAATAAACAAATGATCTTAAACGAGTGTGTGCTTGTAGAACAGTTTCAGGGGTAGGCGCACAAATAGGAATAAGTAAATTGGGGTTTTTTTTTCTCTGTGGAGGGGTTGTTTTCAAGAGGAAAGATACTAAGAGCACGATTGATGAAAACATAAGAGATGGTGACAAAAAGACGGTCAGGAAACTAAAATAAGGTTTTTTTTTTCCCCCTGGGAAAGACATCTAATATCTTGAGTACAGGGAAAGCAAAGGAAGAGTATGAGGAGTTAAATGTATACATATTAAACATGCATAGCAAAAAGTAAGTTTCCTAGAGAAGTATATTAACATTGCAAAGCAATTTAAATGTCAGCTGCAATTGTTATGAATCAATGAATGATATGAATTTTTACATGGGGTGATTTTTTCTCTATAAACACTAAGCTCAAATAAAGTATAAAAATATGAGTCATCAGGTTAATGAAGGAGAGTACTTCAGCTAAGAGATGAGGCACACCTAAATGAGTACAATCATAAGCCTAAACGAGAAGCATCATGAAACATACATACTACACAGTGATTTTTTTTTTCTGTTTCTTTAAAAAGATTAAAAGAAAGATTTAGTGGGGGAAAAAGTATCAACTAAAATGAAGAACATAATCTTATCAGATATGGTGGTTATCAACATAATTTGCCTTTCTTCATGAATATTTTTGTTTTAAATAAAAACATAAAAGAATGGCCACATTCATTTTTAGAAAACAGAGACAAGAAAACACAATACTCTTGAACCAGTGATTTTAATATAACCATTATGGCCAGGTGTGGCGGCTCATGCCTGTAATCCCAGCACTTCGGGAGGCCAAGGCAGGAGGATCACTTGAGCTCAGTAGCTGGAGACCAGCCTGGGCGACATTAGTAAGATCTCATCTCTACTGAAAAAGAAAAAAAAAAAAATTACTGGGTGTAATGGTGTGTGCCTGTATTCCCAGCTACTCAAGAGGCTGAGGCAGGAGGATTGCTTGAGCCCAAGAAATTGAGACTGCAGTGAGCTATGACGGCACAACTCTACTCCAGCCTGGACTAAGCAAGACTCTCTCTCAAAAATAAAAGAAAGATGTGGCAGAACAATAGGCCAGGCGCGGTGGTTCATGCCTGTAATCCCAGCAATTTGGGAAGCTGAGGCGGGAGGATCACGTGAGGCCAGGGATTTGAAACCAGTCTGGGCAACAAAGCAAGACACTGATTGATTAAATAATAATAATAATAATAATAATAATATAACCATTGTGATAATTTTGTCAATCCCCAGTACTTGCAACTTTTTGCTATGATAAATATCTCTGTATGTCTAGTCTTTTCATATTTTGTACATTTCCTTAGAATGGAAGTCACTTCTATTATTAAGTCCTTTTATTTTTTATTTTTCTAAGACAGGGTCTCATCTGTCACCCAGGCTGGAGTGCAGTAGCGTGATCTCAGGTCACTGCAGCCTCTGCCTCCCAAGTTCAAGCGATTCCCATGCCTCAGCCTCACAAGTACCTGGGATTACAGACGTGCCACCACCCCACCTGGCTCTTTTTTTTTTTTTTTTTTTTTTTGTAGATATGAGGTTTCACCATGATGGCCAGGATGGTCTTGAACTCCTGACCTCAAGTGATCTGCCTGCCTCAGCCTCCCAAAGTGCTGGGATTATAGGCGTGAGCCACCGTGCCCAGTCTATTAAGTCCCTGGCACCACAGTATTGGTACTTTCCTTCTTTCTAGGAAGTTTTCTTCATCTGATTTACCCATTTATTATTCTTTTCCTTGGCTGTAACCATTGCGTTATTACCCCTTTACTGTGTTCCTTGCTTTGACTATTATAAAATATAGCTGAATATATAAAATTTCTTTCTTTTTAAATTTTGTTTCAAATTACTACTATCTTCCCTCATGTCTTATGTTTATTATGCTGATTTGTTTTCTCTCTACAGTTCCATAAAAGACCTAATCTGGGTGGAAAATCAGATTTTCTACTATTGGCAACATGAAATAAAGTTTTTGGCTTCCTAAGCCAAAGCTATAAGCTTTCAGATACACCTTTGAAATAAAAATATTAGTTGCTCCTAATGCATGCATGATGGAAAAAAGTATGAGAAGCAAAATTCCAAATACCTAGCTGTTATTACATAAATATACTATTCTGTTAGGAATGGGCACATACATATATCCAGAGATATATATCCATATGTATATATCAAGAGATCCTGAAATAAAATGACCCTCTGAGTGTGAAACAAGTATATCAGTCATCTATAGAAACAGCCCACCAAGGACATGGTCTACAACTCCAGGTTTAATGAAGGTGATTGGGACATAGTTTCTGCAAATGCAGGACCAGAAGTTAATGTGAAAGGAAGCTGCAAAGTAGTGAAATACATTACACAGAGAGAAAAAAAAGTATTATCAAGATGATGATAATATTTAAACATGATCGAACTGCCTTTATTCTGATGTCCGATTCACTAAGCAAGCACTTTCCAATTATAATTTGTTTTCCCAAGAAGATTACCGTAAGGAAGAATAAGATAAGCAACATTTGGCATTCTTGGCAGTTATTATTTTTAAATCATAGATGATTAAATGACATTCTTCCCTACCTTCATTTCTGAGATTCTGGCTTGAGTAAGCCCATTTGATGAACTCTAGGTATACTGACAAAAGTAAAAAAGAGGATATTAGAATAATCTGTGCAAGAGATGATAAGGACCTGAATCAACACAAAAGAAGAGTTTTGAAAACGATAAAGAAAAATTAAATACAAAAGTCATGTCTAGAAAGCCTCAAATTAGTAAATTAGAAAAAATGTTCAGAAGGCAGCACTTGGTGATTTATGTAATAGTTAAGGAATAGGCAGAGAAAATGACAGACAGGCAGGCACAAACAGTAACTCCAGGACAGAGGTATTTCGGACAAAAAAATACAAGAGGAGAGGAAAGAGATCACTTCTCAGGCGACACTGAGAATTTAAAATAAAATAACTCGCTCAGATGCATAACCGTTGCATATTTAAGTATTATTTAATACTCTTATTTAATCATTAAAGCCCTATTCTGAAGTACACTAAAAAGAAAACGCTTTTGTAAACACATTCAAGTTACTACACATACCTGAAAGAATCAGTTCTTTTGGGGGGAAATCTATTTTTAAAATTTCTAATAATTTAAAAATTCATTAATTCAAATTATGAAGGTTTTAGAAAACTAATTTGGTTTGGTGGGGGGTTTTCTGACAGTGAATGTTTCCACAGTGATTCTCTGTCTTCCTTCAAACTTAATTTTTCTACATGTTCACTTGATCTCTTCCCATCTGCTCCAGATTCTTGATCTATGAAATATCACTCCTTGAATCTTAATCCTTAATCTCCTTTCTACCTATTAAGACTTCACTATTTTAAAATAAACCTGATTCAACCTCTTTCTGTCTTCTCTACCCACATTTTTCAGCCTATACTAGTCTCAGAGTTTCAGTTACTACCCCCTAAGTGGCCTAGTTTCAATTCTCTTTGGTGCCCAAGCTCTATTTAATTCTGTGCTAAACATCTCTACCTAAATATTGTGTTAGTAAATGAATACCCATCCTTTCCAGCTACTGTCATTACCAGTTCTTCTTGGGTAATACACATCTCATCAGTTTGACTTCCAGGATCCTCATTCAGGCCATCAATAAATTTGGTTAGATTGTAACAAAAAACTATTGGGTTACTCTGTTTCAGCATTAGCTCTTTTCCATCTTTTTACATGCTACCCACCAGTTGAAACTTCCTAAAGTACAGGTTTGATTATCTTTTTTCCAACTCAACACCAACTGCTTTCAACTCCTTGGACTAATAGCTAATGTTGTTATTTTTCATATCAAATATCAGTATCTTGGAGGTAAAACATGCCAAGAAAAAAAAAATATATATATATATATATATAAATGTGTGTGTGTGTGTGTGTGTATATATATATATATATAAAACACACACGCTATATATATATATATATATATATACATATATATATATATATATTACTTTACACAGCCTGTGTATTCTCATTCTATGCCATTGCTCATGCTAACTGTACATACCTCAGACTAAGAATCTAGCTCTGATCCCTGTATCTCCAAATAACAAAATTTTACATATTCTTTAAGTATCAGGTCAAACGTTACATTATCTGAATAGCTCATTCCTTCAGCTGAAAGCAATTTTCCCTGGCCTTGAACTCCTACTGACCATTAAAGAAGTTGTAAGTACATCCCTTGAAATTATTACATATATGTATTTCTCTTCCTTTTAGAGTGTATGTTCTCAAAGGGAGGACTCATGTGCCGCATCATTTATCTTTTGCAGTATACTTATTTCCCCAAAGCAACTAACCAGGACCTTACATATAGACATAAAGAAAGAACCTAATATATTCTTGTCAAATGATAAAAAGCTAAGACAGTCTCAAGAAGGAAAGTGCCATATTGAAGATACTCACAGCCTATAAAATTAGCTTTATCAGCATGTTAAAAATGAGGTTTGTAGGGGAGGGAAATGAGTGGATGCATACTTCAAGTGGTTAACAGTAGTGGATTTCACTCTGTAGTTCAGAATACACATGTTCTCTCTGAACTGATCCAGAGTATTTGAGATATATGTTAAAAGAATCAGAGAGTTATCATGATTATAAAACATGAAATATGTTCTCATATTCTTCCTGATCTCAGTGTGAGAAGGGACACAGGTGTACAAAGTGGTCTTCACAAAATCAGACCTAGGAGCCTAGGCCCTTACAAGTAAACAGTTTCAGGAATTCTAAGATCTACCTACCAAGTCTGAAGCAATATGACAAATCCAAATAACTACAACAATAAGAACATATAGTTCATCCCACCTACCACCCAAGGTTATAGATAATTCCTTTCAGGCATCATTTTTTTTTTATGAGTACATACTGCTAACACTGGTTTGTATGGGAAGGTTTCCAAGCTACAATAGGATTAATTTAACACTATTATGTTTAGAACCATGCTGGAGTTTGGTACATACCTATGAATTTAAGTTCTTGCTTTGTTAGTGTAGAACTGTCACCTCTGTCTAAAGAAAAGACACACTTTAATTTCAGATTTTTAATCACCACTTCCTAAAAACCACCATGACAGACAAGTTGAAAAACTGAAGATATTATGATGGGGTGCAGTGTGGGGGTGGATCATCAGGGTTAAAATCCCCATGAAACCTATGTAAATTTAAAAAATTGCAGTGCTCTAAATAAAGAGAGTAGTAATGGCATTACCAGTTAATTTAAAAGTAATTATTACACAACTCATTCCCATTTGTACTGCTTCCCTCACTCAGTTGGAACTTTTCAGCTTCCACCCCTCTTGCAGTTTCAATGAAAGAGTGTAGATTCATTTTCCATTATAAAAGTTAACATGGATACTGGAAACTACTTTTTCTCCCCAGTGGTGGACTCACCAGCCAAATGTGAAAACTACTTTTTCTCCCCAGTGGGGGACTCACCAGCCAAATGTGTTTATCCCTTAAGAGTCTTTGAAGCCTATCTTCAAGGAACCAAGAGCAACAAAATAGCCTGGATACTTTGAAATGGAAAAAGTCTTACCTATAAGTACATGTCTTATACTACCTTATTATAAAGGCTGTGTTAAATTAGTCAAATTCTTTCCTACACAGGCATAATCACAACCCTGCCCATAAGATTTCATACTATTTCATCATGTGTTCTGTCTCCCACAAACTCATCATAGCTCCTTACCATTTCTCTGATTCAAGACAGCAATTCTAAGGTCTAGGTTTACTAACGGTCAGGTGCCTTTCTCTAGAATTTCATTTCAACCCCCTAAACCAATGTGCTTTGCAGCTCTTTACTACGCCCAAGGCCTAGTTCCCTTCCCCTTTTTTTAACCTAATTATCCCTTACCAAGTGATTCACAGTTTGTGTGCATTGAAACAAACTTCGTAGCACTTGTTGTATCCTAGGATGTGACAGTTTACTGTATAAGCATAAAGAACACACTAACTCATAAGAAGAAAAAATGTCTGTTGTGATTAAAAGGAAATTAAATTTAGAATGAGCTAGATTCTCAATCTCCATACTGCTCACAGTGACAACTCATCCCCCATCAGTAATATCTCATTACACACAGTGAATCTCAAATGATACTGGCTTTGGAACAATTATATGAGCCTGAGTATTACTCATCCCACTTCATGGAATCCTATCCACTTAATGCTTCCCTGAAATAAAAAAGGGACACATATGAAGGACAAAAATTCAGTTTCTTATAAACTAGTCTGACAAGCCTAAGTAGAACCCTGTTCTTGAGGGAGAATGTTCACCTCTAAAATCAACTGGCATTTATACGTATACTCATCCTACAGCACCTATATGAATAACTGGTTAACATTACCTCCTCCAACAAACCCTATTTGTTTAGTGAGCGCAGTTGTCTCAAACCAGAAGCATCATAATTAAAGGGAATTTAAAAGTGCAATAAGTGGGACTTGGAACTCAATTAGCAATATACTGCTGTGAAAACTGATCTAAGTAAGCTCTTTGGTACTTTATTTATTTATTTATTTATGAAGCAGAGTCTTGTTCTGTCACCTAGGCTGGAATGCAGTGGCGCGATCTCACCTCACTGCAACCTTCGCCTCCTGGGTTCAAGCAATTCTCCCTGCCTCAGCCTCCCAAGTAGCAGGGATTACAGACACGCACCATCACGTCTGGCTAATTTTTGTATTTTTAGTAGACAAGGGGTTTCGTCATGTTGAGCAGGCTGGTCTCAAACTCCTAAGCTCAAGTGATCTGCCACCTCGGCCTCCCAAAGTGCTGGGATTGCAGGCATGAGCCACCATGCACGGCCCCAAGGAAATATTATATATTTACAGTCATAGATATTGAGTTTAAAGCATATGTCTTCATTTGTTCTTTCTCAGAGAGGATCTTAGGACTTAATGAAGGCGGTTCTTTTGGGTATGTGAAATAACTTCATAAACTTTTGAAATTGGTGTTTTCAGGTAAGGAATTAAGAATAATATTGATACAAAGCAAAGTACTTTAGGAAAACACCTAACCAATTTCAAACACCAATTTAGGTCCACCAGGATAAACTGCATATGATCAGAGAAATTTAAGAAATTTAAAAATTGAAGAAATAATATTAAAATTATTGTCCCAACAAAGGAAAAAGGAAACAGAAAAGTAAGGAAAGATATATTACGTAAAAGTCTCAGGAAATTTCAGAAACTTTTGAGGCAGTTTGGAAAGGGAAAGTAGTCATTTAAATATCTTAAAGAATACTATATGGAGAATTAACTTTAAATCGATGCCTATAAAAGAAAGTGCCTTGTATTTCATGTTTGGTTTTGTGGTGGTGCCCTGGAATGAAGCAGCCTAAGAGATTTCATGATCTTAATAAATTGTAAGTTTAATTTCGCTATTTCACTTAATAGAAGTATTTTAAATGCTTGTAAAAATGATGAAACAAGTAGTATGTATTAAAAGATTATAGTTCAGTTTTATAGTCCAGTTGAAAACTAGCATATCCTCCTCCTAGTTTTCATCTTTATGTCTCAGGGATGGTTTTGCTCTAGTATTTTCTAGGTTCTTTAATAATTTATTTTAGAAGTTGGCTTTTATTCATCTTATTTTGTCAGTATTTAGCTCATCATCTAATAGGCTTGCCATAATTGTTGAATGAATGAAAATTGTTAATTGCTACATTTTCCTAGAATAAGTTCCATATATATTCTTGGGAATATGTTAATTTTCTTTGGGAATTAAACTTTGTATTGGACTGTCTTGTTTCTTTCAGTATAGTAACTTGGTTCTTTGCTAAAGTAATAGAGTTGTTTCATACATTTGTTTTGGCCTTTCTCACTTTTAATATTATTTTGAAATGCTGGTTTAAAGTAGCCAAAGAGGCTGGGCACGGTGGCTCACGCCTGTAATCCCAGCACTTTAGGAGGCCGAGGTGGACCACTTGCGGATCACTTGAGTCTAGGAGTTTGAGACCAGCCTGGCCAACATGGTGAAACCCTGTCTCTACTAAAAATACAAAAATTAGCCAGGCATGGTGGTGGGCGCCTGTAATCCCAGCTACTCGGGAGGCTGAGGCAGGAGAATCGCTTGAATTCAGGAGGCAGAGGTTGCAATGAGCTGAGATGGCACCATTGCATTCCAGCCTGTGCAACAGAGTGAGACTCCATCTCAAAAATAATAATAATCATCTTTCCTTGGTCATTTCACTTGTATTAATTTTTCCAGAATAAGTTTTGTGAAGTAATAAATTTTAGTTTTATAAAGTCCTATTCAAAACATTTTGAAATGCATCAGTTGCTAGAATAAATGATGAAAATAATCCATAGTTTCAACTGTCTAATGAAAGCTTTTTTTTGAAGTTTCACAAATGTGAGATAAATATGACTAAGATATATTTCACAAAAACAAAAAAAAGTGTCCAGAGAAAGAGTAGAAATCAATTGGAGGAAGTATTAGAACATCACATATGAGAACCCAGAAGTATTAAAAAAGAGAGAAAGGGTTAATTCTATCAAAGAGTCTGAAAAAAAAACTTTGCAGGAAGTAAATGCAACTACACTTAGTTTTAATGACTACTTTTACTAGATAAAGTTGGAAGTCCACACCAACAGATACAAACAAGGTCTACGTCAGAGATGTTGCACATAGTAGTATAACATCAGGAAACTACAAGTAGCTTCTATTGATGCAACGTAAAGTCGGGGAGAAGAAGGGATGAGACTGGAGAATCAGATTACAACGAGATGAAGAAAAACTCCACATGCCATGTGAAGGAGTATAAATGTTATCCCATAAGTCCCAGAAAATTCTCTAAGTAAGACAGTTTGACATGGTCTGATTTGCACTTTAGATTGACCATCAATTCTAGTAGCATCTAGAAAAGGGACTGGATAATGGAATGAAGGTTAGGAGTTTGCTGAAACAGTTCAGATGACAATGTAGGACATAACCAAATGGGGCAGTGGAAATACAAAAGAAAAAGAAGTTAAACTGATCAATAATAGAAAAAAGCTTTTTAAAAAAATGATGACTAGGAAAATGAGAGGGTAGAGTTGAAGTTAACTTCCTAGCCTAAGTCTGGTTGAGGTGGCTGAGTATCATACGGAAATGAAGCTTATTAGGTTTTTCGAAATATAAGTCTGCAACTCAGGAGAAAAGTCTAAATTGGAGGCATCGATTTGGGAAGCTAAGAAGCACAGGTGATAGGTGATACTTGAAGCTGTAGGTATGCAGATTTTCCAAGTGAGTACATAAGAGAGTCAAGGAGAAAATAGTGTGAGAAAAAACAATCAAGGACTAATCAAAGAAATCATAAAAGACTGATATAATCTCAGAAAATAATGTATTAGCCAGGCATGGTGGCGCACGCCTGCAGTCCTATCTACTCAGGGGACTGAGGTGGAAGGATCACTTGAGACCAGGAGTTGAAGGTTGCAATGACCTATGATCGATCATGCCACTGCACACCAGCCTGGGTAAGAAAGCAAGATCTTGCTTCTAAAAAAAAATAAAAAGTTAGAAAAAAAAATAAAATTATATAGCTGTAAACGACTATGTTCATAAAGATAAAAGATTCCAATCAATAATCCAACCATCCATCTTAGGTAAGTAAAAAGAGTATGGCTGGGCATCGTGGCTCACGCCTGTAATCCCAACACTTTAGGAGTCCACCTGGGAGAACCCAGGAGGCGGAGGTTGCAGTGAGCCAATATCACGCCACTGCACTCCAACCTGGGCAACAAGAGCAAAACTCCGTCTCAAAAAAAAAAACAAAACCCCAAACACAAAAAATTTCGAAAGAAAAGCTAACTGTTGGGGATGGGGCAGTGGGGGAGAGAAAATACTGTACAAATTTTTCCAGCGAAGCCTAAGAGACTCTCCCTCAATCACCCACAGGGTAAACATCATTCACTAGGTGTCAATCTTACACTTGTACTTGCAATGAAAAATATAAATCCATTACATTGCTCCCATGATGTCTACTTTCTTTTAATCCCAAGTTTATTTTCTAAAGATGTTCAGGATTAAAGAATTAAAGAACAATTCTAAATTTACTTATGCAAACTGAAGATGATGTTAAACATCCTCAGCTTTTACACTTCTCTACCAAATAACAGTAACAAGTTTATTTTATTTTCAAGGATGCTGCCAATCCCTTTTCCCTGTAGATACCTAGTGTTGAGGGACTCCTTGTTATCAAGAGTATTCATTATCTAAGCTTCCGCAGGCACAGGTTGCATAGGGAGACAAGAATTATGAATCAATCTACTAATTAATAAAAAATAACTTATAAGATAAGACTCCCACCCTAACGACCCCTACCCTTAAGGCAACAAGAGTGTCTATGCCTGCTCATTATGCCATTAGTCTCTTGTTGGCTGTCGATACTGTAAACATCTGACAATAAAACCCAAACGCAACACAAATCGACTGCAAATTAAAATACATTAGCAAAATATGCAAGATTTCATGAAGTTAATGAAAATGTATTGAAAAACTGCTTGGAATCAAGCAGTCTTGAACAAATGAGTCGAACATAAACAGTCTCGAACAAATGAGATCTGTTAATAACTGAAAAAGAAAATCAACAAAGTTGACACTAGCCTCAAAACGAGAATTTTTGAACATCAAAGGATTAAGGAATGTTCTTTGGGGAAACTGAAGAAACCTTCAAACATTTTTTGCAAGAATAATCTTCACTATAATTACATTACAAAGATAGTATTTGCCTGATATGCTGATTTCAGAACCCAATGCAGCAAAAGATACAACTCCACTGTAAAAAACCTGGTCCCAAACCAGATGTAATTTAAAAGACTATCTTCCATTTATTCACTATGTGGAATACAGGGGTAAAATAATTAAAGTATTCTATATATTAATAAACCCAAACCCTAAAAAATAAAATTCACATTCCAAGCAAATTCTTCCCCTAGGTACCAATAATTACCTGCACTGGCAAGAGAGATCTCAAAAGAACTAGAAAAACCATTTGTAAAAATAAAAAGACTTTCAGAAACTTAAAACACTATTATCATTTTGCCTTAAAAAGAAACAATAAAAGCCAAACTGATGAACCATATTGACCTATCAGCCTCTTATTGGCAATCTACAAAAATTTTTCACTAAGGTGCTGAACAATTGACTCACTGCAGCACTGGATTTCATCTAATCAATAGAACATGCTAGCTTTCAATCGAGATTCTCTACAAAAGGCAACCTTTGTGATAAACGAACCACTAGAGAAGATTCTAATAAAACTTACCGTTGTGTATTGCATTCAGCAACTCTGAGAACGCTTTTAAGTAAGGAAAAAAGGACTTCAGGTTAAGATCATTCTCAAACACACAAAAGAAATACATAGCCATACACTGAATTAGTATAATAAAATTTCAGTAAGTCTATCATATATCATTGTTTGAATCATTAAAACTGCAAGCTTGGCTCCATTTTTACATGGTATAAATTTTTAAATATTGTATTCCACTTGCCAACATATTACCAACTAAATTGAGATATGTTAAGGTATATTGTCATAACGACAATAATTTCCTTAGTAATAAATATGTATTTCAAATCACTTTTTAAAAGACATTTATGTCAACGTAATGTCTTGCTAAAAGTGAGTCACTGTAGGATGCAAATCTATATAGGTAAATCTGCCTTAGGGCACACTTAACAATATTTATTATAAAGAAAAACCTCATTATATCATCTAACCCTATCAAATATTCTCATTTCCTAGACTTCAGTATAAGAAAGCCTCAACACATGTAGAAGACTTAATGAAAAAAACCACCTAGTGCAAATATACAAATATTGAAAAATTATATTAAGAATAGAAAACAAAATGTTAAAAAAATAAACACATTATTTCAAGAAGGAGGTGAAGTCACAATTCTGCAACAAAAGCACCATATTAAAAGACCAACAATAATTAAAATTTGTACACAACTTGACTGTAATATGGATCTATAACAAGACAAAGCAGTACATTATCTTTGCAGGAGAAAAGTATCTGTTCAATTAAGAAAAACTTGCATTTTGGAATATTAAAATTTAGAGGTTCCGAGGTGGCATAACATACTAGAAAGAGCACTAGAGGAGACAAAAGGCCCGGGTTATCAACCCAGTTTGACAACTTACTAGTTGTTGGGCAAGCTCCATCATGCCGATACTGCATGGAAATTTCTGTTGAGAGGAAGGAAAAAGGAAATCAGTGAAGAAATTGCCAGTGACTCAAGGGTAAAAAAAGAGATAGGCCAGAAAAATGGAGGGAAATTCACCTAAAAGTGTAGTTAAGTAGGCCACCTAGAACTTCAAAAACAAAAATTATAAGCTAATAATTGGGACATGAGGGGGAGAACCAAACAGAATAGAATTCTCACAAATCTTAATGGGAGTGTGTGGAATGTATCTGTGTTATTACAAAGAGTGAGGAAAAGACATAAGGGCTTACAAATGAATCTGTATAACAAGTGTCTGAGAATAAAAGGCTTCATTAATGGGAGAAAGTATGATTCGCAACATGATACATTAATGTGCTTTAGATCTTTTTTTTTTTTTTGAGACAAAGTCTCACTCTGTTGCCCAGGATGGAGTGCAGTGGCGCAAGCTCGGCTCACTGGGTTCAAGTGATCCTCCCACCTCAGCCTCCCAAATAGCTGGGACTACAGGTGCATGCCACCATGCCTGGCTAATTTTTGTATCTTTAGTAGAGACAGGGTTTCACCATGTTGGCCAGGTTGGTCTGGAACTCCTGACCTCAAGTGATCTGCCTGCCTTGACCTCCCAAAGTGCTGGGATTACCGACGTGAGCCACCACGCTAGGTCTAGGTCATTCATTAGATGGGAAGAGCTTACCAAAAACATTTGAATACTATTTTCACATGGAAATCACAATTTAAGTATGATAATTTAGTTGATATATGACCATAAATATATTATGACTTATATAGCAGCATAAAACTCATTAAGTTATATTCAGCTCACTATCTTGAACCATTCATTTTTGAGAAAGATGGCTGGGTGTGGTGGCTCATGCCTGTAATCCCAGCACTTTGAGAGGCCAAGGCGGGCACTTGAGGTCAGGAGTTTGAGACCAGCCTGCCCAATAAGGCGAAACCCCGTCTCTACTAAAAATACAAAAATTAGCCGGGCATGGTGGCACGTGCCTGTAATCCGAGCTACTTGGGAGGCTGAGGCACAAGAATCGCTTGAACAAACAGTGGTTTCAGTGAGCCGAGATTGCACCATCGCACTACAGCCTGGGCGACAGAGCAAGACTTGGTCTCAAAAAAAAAGAAAAGAAAAAAAGAAAAGAGAAAGATAACAAATGAATAAGACATTATTACCCTTACTCTTTTATTCCACCCAAACGAGAAGAACAAGCAGAGGGTGCAGAGAACAAGGAATAAAACACTAATAAAAGCAAAATCTGCTCAGAATATGAGAAATTAATTTCTATATGGCTTTCTGAGGGAAAAATAATTGATAAAACTAGGACCAAGGCTGTGACTCAAAGGACCTGGGTTTGCTAATCCTGGAAACAACTGATATTCCCTTATGGCTAACACTGTTGGCAAAAATTTTTTTAAAGGAGGGATAACTGGGAATTCCTTGGATATTATTTAACCAAAAACATAGCCCCAAAATCCAAAACTTTTTGAGTGCGCCCATGACTCTCATGCTCATTGGTGCATTTTGGATTTCAGATTTTCAGATTAGTGATGCTCACCTGGTAAGTATATATAATGCAAGTATTCCAAAATCTCCCAAAAATCTGAAATTCCAAATACTATGGTCTCAAGAATTTTTAATAAAGGTTACTCAACCTGTACTTTGAAAGGACACAGTATGCCCCAAGAAAGGAAGTGAATGCTAAACCATCAACCCCTTGCAATTTGAGTTCTTTATGCCTCGTGTTCCATTACTGGAACCTAAGCTTGTGGGAGTTATTTATATCCTACTGCTCAAGGTCATCACCAAGGTCTGATTTTTCACACACAAAAAAGCGCAACCTCCAGCATAAATGGGTTAATGAATATCAGACTTTTCTCAGAGAAAATAACAAGATGGTTTTAGTGAAGAAAAAGATGTTCTCAACTTTCACTTTAGTAAATCAAATTTTTGTAATGTGGTGAAGATAAATAGCGAAGAGGAAAGGACAGATTGTCAACTCTTCCAAAACTGTTTTTGATGTTTCAAAAGACCTCGTGCCTAACTGTTCAGAACCCAAAAAAATGTACGTAGGAAAGAGTTCAGTCAAAAAACCAACAAAACCTATAAGCCCCAAACTTAAAACTCTTAGAAATCACTTTTAGAAACACACTAATTTTCCATTTTGTACAAGTCACTATAAAACAGGCCATTTATCAGGACACACTTCAATCCATAATACAAATTTTAGAATCTGAACTCTGAATCAAACATTTTATAGGTGTTTTCTAGGCTTCTACTCTAATTTGATCTACAGTTCCCAGAAAAAATGTACTCTGCTACAATTTGAACATGTCATGAGAGAATTTTGATTACTATTAAAACTGATGCTTTTAGCCAATAATTTCAAGAGGGAATCACATTAGAACCTGACTCTACTCCTGCTTTACATCCTAGTTGTAAAGGAGAAATAACAACATCAAGAGGAGCTGTCCTATTTCACAAGGCTGTTCCAAGGATCAAATGAGAGAGTAACTAAAGAGTTCCTAAGAAACTTAAACGTACTCAAATAAGAGATTATATTAGCATTGCCAAGCTGAATGAGATAGCATTTTTTTTCTTTTCCATTAATGAAATTCTTTCATAATGGTAACTAGCCAGAATAGTTATTTTAAGAAAAAGATCATTAGCCTATCAGTTTGATTTCTTCAGTCTGGCATTAATCTCTCAATGAACCCATCCTACCCTATAAACATCACCTTCACAGTGCCACAAATACAAGCTTCCTGTTCTTATTAGGCTTTTCCCTCAAACAGACCTTTACTTTCTTTTCAGGTAATATTGGCCTTCGTCTTCTGCCTACTTCAAAGTACAATTCAACCTCTCCATGATCTTTTCCAACTTAATAATACTTTTCATCATAAACTGGCAAAATAAATACTACATGAAAAGCTTTAAAAATAGCTGGGCCCAGTGGCTCACACCTGTAATCCCAGCATTTTGCGAGGCTGAGGCAGGTGGATCATGAGGTCAAGAGATGGAGACTGTCCTGGCCAACATGGTGAAACCCTGTCTCTATTAAAAATACAAAAATTAGCTGAGTGTGGTGGCGCGCACCTGTAGTCCCAGCTACTAGGGAGGCTGAGGCAGGGGAACTGCTTTAACTCGGGAGGCAGAGGTGGCAGTGAGCTGAGATCAGGCCACTACACTCTAGCCTGGTCAATAGAGCAAGACTCCAGCTCAAAAAAGAAAAGAAAAGAAAAGAAAAGCTTTACAAATAAAGTAATATGTCTTACAGCTTAGCTATAAACACTCAGAGGGGAAGTACAAAATCATACAGCATACTTCTAACCACATGACATACACTCACGAGACAACTAATGGTATTCATTCATTTCTTAAAATAATGTTTAACGTTTACTATGTCCAAAGCACTGTGCTGGCAGTGGGGATACAGTGGTGTATGTCAGAAACAGCCCCTAGCCTCAGGAGTTAGTATTATAGTGAATGTTATAGTTTAAACAACAGGTGCTTACAAAGGTCATCTTCGACATTACTAAATTATCGACCTGTCATTCAAGAAAGTCAATCTTTTAAAAACAGCATCATGAAAAACAACTTGTGATGATGTAATACATAATACAGTTGTCTTCTGTGTCTGTGGGATTCCACATCTGGGGATTCAACACCCTTGTATAGAAAATATTTGGAGGAAAAAATTGAGTCTGTACTGAATGTGTACAGACTTTTTTTCCTGTCATGATTCCCTAAGCAATATAGTATAACAACTATTTGCATAGCATTTACATGATACTAGGTATTATAAGAAATCTAGAAAAGAATGATTTAAGTACACAGGAAGATGTGCATAGGTTATATGAAAATACTATGACGTTTTATAACAGGAACTTGAGCATCTTGGACTTGGGTATTTATTTGCAGGAGGTCCTGGAACCAAGTCCCCATGGATGCCAAAGGATGACTGTATACATTTTCTCCTTCCTACTTATTTATTATATGGGGGGAAGCTTCTTGTTGTCACAATTACTAAATGATTTCTCAATTTCAAATTAGTCCAAAGGAAAAATTAACTTTTCATACCAATAAGAAACACTATTGCTGAAAGTTAAATTATTGGTTCAAATTTGTTCAGGGATCTCTTTGCTTAAAGTATGACTGACATTACACTAGTGTGGTGTTAGACCCTCATCAGCAAACATCTGTTGAGCTGTCTAATTAAATGGCTCTGGACCCAGGGAAAATGCATATCTCCATCACTTAAAACCTAAGAGAATTCTGTCTCAGTTTCTTGTCCTATATAATGAGTAATAACACTTAATGCTTATTAACTGCTTAACACAGTGTGTGGCACATACTAAGTGTTCATCAGCAGTTAGCAATTCTTAACTTACTATGATTAAAGCAGCACATGAAGCCAAGCCTCTTCTAGATAAGGATACGCTTTTTACTATTGTCAATAAATGTTCTGCACTAAGTCCTAAAATGTTTATTAACATACATAAAACTAAAGAATATATCTCAAAGAGTTTTCAATAATCTTATTCCATGATTATAGCTTTAACAAGACATAAAATATCTTCAGAGTAATTTTTTTTTTTTTTTTTTTTTTTTTTTTTTTTTTTTGAGATGGAGTCTCGCTCTGTCTCCCAGGCTGGAGTGCAGTGGCCCGATCTCGGCTCACTGCAACCTCTGCCTCCCGGGTTTAAGCGATTCTCCTGCCTCAGCCTCCCTAGTAGCTGGGACTACAGGTGCGTGCCACCACGTCTAGCTAATTTTTCTATTTTTAGTAGAGACCGGGTTTCACCATGTTGGCCAGGACGGTCTAGATCTCTTGACCTCAGGTGACCTGCCCACCTCGGCCTCCCAAAGTACTGGGATTACAGGCGTAAGTCACCATGCCCAGCCCCAGAGTAATTTTTTTTTTTTGAGACGGAGTCTCGCTCTGTCGCCCAGGCTGGAGTGCAGTGGTGTGATCTCTGCTCACTGCGAGCTCTGCCTCTCAGGTTCACGCCATTCTCCTGCCTCAGCCTCTCCGAGTAGCTAGGACTACAGGCACCCGCCACCATGCCGGGCTACTTTTTTGTATTTTTAGTAGAGACAGGGTTTCACCGTGGTCTCCATCTCCTGACCTCGTGATCCACCCACCTCAGCCTCCCAAAGTGCTGGGATTACAAGCATGAGCCACTGTGTGCGGCCGCCCCAGAGTAATTTTTAAACACAACGTTTTAAAAATTTATTGGCAGATAAATTTCTTAGGTCATTTATTTTTGTGAACTAATACTTACAAGAATTTCCCCCTAAATTACTATGTTTACCTAATGGTAAGGTAAGAGAAACGAATTCTTTTTTTCTGCCACAGGAGTACCACAAACACTGCCCTCTGAAAGCAACCATCCTATGAGGAACACTATTCCTCACACCTAACATCTCCCCAAATCTGTAACAGATAGGAAAATATTTTCAGGGATGTAAATCAATATCTTAATTTTATTAATTTGAAGATGTGTTTCAAATAAGCATTCCAATGTAATTTCTGAAATTCAGGAATTCCCAGACTATGCTTCAAAACTACAGAAAATCAGTAAAGAGGTCTCCCCACAAAAGCAAATCTAGGCTTTATTTTCTCAGTAAGGTACTCATGTGATTGATTACTACGCCTCTTGCTAAAAATGAAGAGAAATTCAATTTTTTGACTAAATTTGTCTAAAGGTACTTTTTGTGACAAGGGGGCTTACTGCTAAGCCCTTCTAGTTTCAAAGGAAACATATAAATAAAAGCATACATTCAAATATGCAATGTATTTAAACCTTTTCTATGAACTTCTTTCTCACTACAATTTACATGTATTTTCCCCCTCTAAAATAGTGAGCCTCAACCAGAGGTAGTTTTAGTCCTCTGGACACATTTAACACATTAAACAATGTTTGGAGACATTTTTTATTCCCACTGTAGGAAGGGAGAGTGTGATGATGCTCTTGGCCTGTAGGGGGCAGGGACTGGGGATTCTGGTAAATATCCTGCAATACACAGGGTAACACATGAAGACTTGTCCCATCCAAATTGTCAATAACGCTAAGATTGATAAATCCTGCTCTAGAACCATCCTTAATGCATCTAGAGATTCCACTCATTTCTGAATACAAAGAAACTCCTGGCTATGTGATCTTGGGTATCTTATTTCACCTTTCAAAGCCTCAGTGTTACCAGCTGTAAAATGAGGACATCTCATAACTGTTGTTAAATGAGAAAATAAATATTAACAGAACTGGCACATAACAAATCACAGTTATTGTTACTATTTCTCACATCTGACCTTTACATATGATATTCTCTCTCTTGGACTGGTCTTTCTTATTTGTTTATTTATTTGTTTGTTTATTGAAGTTACTACTGTGTATTCACAACTATTAAAACAATCTAAAATTTTGTATTTATAAAATAAACATGAACATTCTTCATTAAATTGTATCATTTTTCCATACCATTTCCTACCTACCCTTGCCACCAACTAATAGAACAAATACAATCCATAATAATTTATCTTACCTAAATTCTTGTTATTTCAACAATCAGAAATCTAAAACTAGAAGAAAGGTTTCAACATTTATTGAAAACCATTTATCTTAAATTCAAGATGAAATTTAAAAGATAAATGCTGACATTTCAGTTAACATCAACTGTTAAGGGTCTGTCTAAAAACATGCATTGCATTTTGAAGAAATTTTTAAAAACTGAAAATAACATTCATAATACAAATTGCAAGTTACAGAAACATCCCAATAGTGTGAATAACAATGTATATCAACTCACTTGTCTTATAATAAAAAGAATGGTAAAATCATGAAGTATATTTGAAAACACAATTAAATCATTTCAGATATCTCCTGAAATAAAATGTGACTGCTGGATTCCATAAATTAAAATCATTTATCACTGATATAAAAATGTCTCAGGATAGGGTAATTCAAGTAGTATCTGTGTGAGGAGTCGTTTAGAAAATGATTACTAAAATTGAAGTTTAGAGAAAGGGAGCTCAAAACAAAACAAAAACCAAAGGGTAAAAACTCTCACACCCTAAATATAAATTCTGCATTAAAAAAAAAATACTGTGCAGGTGAAACAAAAATAGGAAATAAATTCTAAGTGTTTTGTAAGTAATGAATGACCAATAGATTGTTTAGCCTACATTTAATTAAGTAAAATCAAATTAGTGCCGAACATCTTTCCCAAACACCAAATCATCTAAGACTTTAAGATATTTTTGTATTTTCCATTAGAAAATTTAAAAACTGAGAAATTTCACTTTAATTAAATGTCATTTATTAATTTCAAGTATTATCGTAACAACAGTTGAAAACGTTTTGGGACAGAAGAAGGGAGGTGGTGGGAGTGAAGGAGAAAAATAATAATAGGCAAACCCCTACCTGAACCAACTGGAGATGAGCCAACACTGAGGCTCTGTAAACTTCCATTCCTGAGCAATGTAGGAGATTTCTGCAGACTAGAGCTTGTTATGCTTCCTGCAGCTGATGCTACAGATGATGTTGGTGAAGCAGAAGAAACTGAGAGATGAGAAACATTCTCTTGATTTTTGTTTCCTTTGGGTCTGCCAGGCCCATGCTTACTTTGTTTATTTCCTTTCCTTTTCTTTTCCTTTACAGTTTCTTCTTCTATGCCAGAAGTTTGAGCCCGCTTATATCCTGCTGTAGGAAGGCTGGAATTACCCAAATCTCCAGGTGAATTTTCAAAGCTTTTAGGCTGTGAAGTAACAGCTGAGGTTGAAGGGAGGCCAATTAAGGTACTAAAACTATTTACCCCCCCTTCCTGGCTTCCAGACTCTCCTTTATGTACATCTTTGGTTGCTGATGACTGTTGGGAGTGAGAGTAACTGTCATTACGCAGATCTGAGTCTGTAAAGCTCAGGAAATCCTGGGGAGACTGCACTGAACTTCCAGAAGATGACTTTACACTGCCTGGAGTTCCTGAAAAACTGCCTGTAGTTTAAAAAAAAAAAAAAAAAAAAAAGTTGGGGGGTGGGGGGGACAGAAAAATTGGATGCTAAAGTTCCCATAAGCAGCAGACATGATATAATCATTAAAGAGAAGAGTTTAAAAAAATTAACTACAACACTTAGGACATTCGTATATTAAGACTTGTCAAATTTATCCCCAAAATTACCTTTAAAAACATGTGTCATTTTATAGATGGTATTAAATGTTTACTGTGGAATTGCAAGCTATTACTTAAATAATTATTAAGATATAAGATGCGCTTTATTTCACCTACCTTTTGCCACAGCAACATTCCGCAATTCTCCCCCAAACACCTCATGTATGCCTGAGGAAGGACTACAGAACAGTAGTCTCCTTTCCACAGTCATGCAAGAAGACCTAACAAGACTATAATCTGACTCTAAATGTCTAGGGGAACTTCTTTTTTGAATATTGAAGGTATGATTGAAAATGTTCCCAATATACAATAAGAACTTAAGAAGTTTCCTAGGTTATGAGTTCTAAGTTTTAACTTTAAGACATACTAGTGATTGTTATTGTTCAGCTGAATCTACCATAATAGAAAATGGATTTGACAAAATAATGATCATATGGAATCTAATCTATATCTCACATTCTCCCAATCCAATTTTCATGGAACTTCATAAAGAAATCAGCCATCACTGCTTATTCTTTCTTTAAAGAACATGAGTACCCCACCATACCATTCTAAGATATAAGAAACTTAGGCTGGGTGCAGTGGCTCATGCCTGTAATCCCAGCACTTTGGGAGGCCGAAGCGGGAGGATCATGAGGTCAGGAGTTCAAGACCAGCCTGACCAACATGGTGAAACCCCCGACTCTACTGAAAATATAAAAATTAGCCGGGGGTGGTGACGTGTGCCTCTAATCCCAGCTACTCAGGAGGCTGAACCCGTCTCTACAAAAAATTTAAAAATGAGCTGGGCATGGTGACGCATGCTTGTGGTCCCATCTACTTGGGAGACAAAGGTGGAGGCAAAAGCTAATTGAGGGTCTGAAGCAGGAAGAATGCTTGAGCCCAGGAGGTCAACCTTGCAGTGAGCCGTGATCACATGACTGCCCTCCAGCCTGGGCAACAAAGCAAGGCCCTGTCTCAAAATACACACACACACACACACACACACACACACACACACACACACTGAAAACCTGGAAAACAGGTTAGTGTGTTAACCTGTTAAACTTCAAACTTTATAACAAATGCATTATTAATCAACAACTTATTTACTGAGACCTATGTAAATCCCCTAAAAATTGTCTAGTATTTGTTTATCTACTAAAAAATGTAAACCTTGATTGTATTTATTTATTTAGTGGGTTTTATTGTTTGTTTTTGGTTTTTTGTTTGTTTGTTTTTTGAGGCAGGGTCTTGTTCTGTCGCCTAGGCTGGAGTGCAGTGGCACAATCACGGCTCACTGTAGCTTCAACCTCCCTGGGTCAAGCAATCCTCGCACTGTAGCCTCCTGAGGAGCTGGGGCCACAGGCAGACATCACCAAGCCTGGCTAATTTTGTTTGCCTGTCCAAGGAGACAGGGTCTCACTCTGTCACCCAGGCTGAAGTGCAGTAGTGCAATCTCAGCTCACTGCAGCCTCAACCTCCTGGGCTCAAGCAATCCTCCCACCTCGGCCTCTGAAGTAGCTGGGACTATAGGCATGTGCCACCATGCCTGGCTAATTTTGTATTTTTTAGAGAGACAGGGTTTTGCCATGTTGCCTAGGCTGGTCTCCAACTCCTAAACTCAGATGATCCACCTGACTGAGCCTCATAATACTGGGATTACAGGCATGAGCCACTGTGCCCAGTTCACACCCAGCTAATTTTTAAATTTTTTGTAGAGATGAGGTCTTACCACATTGCCCAAGCTGGCCTCAAGAGTTCTGCCCACCTCAGCATCCCAAACTGCTAGGATTATAGATGTGAGCCACCACGCCCGGCCAACCTTAATTGTTTTTAATGTTTAGGAAATATAAATAAAAAACATTTATGGAAAAGACACCAGGAACAGTATCTCACACCTGTAATCCTAGCACTTTGGGAGGCCAAGGCGGGAGGATCACCTGAGATCAGCAGTTCGAGACCAGCCTGGCCAACATGTGAAATCCCATCTCTACTAAAATACAAAAACTGGCCAGGCATGGTGGCATGCACCTGTAATCCCAGCTACTCAAGAGGCTGAGGCACAAGAATCACTTGAACCTGAGAGGCGGAGGTTGCAGTGAGCCGGCCACTGCACTCCAGCCCAGGCAACAGAGCGAGATTCCGTCTCAAACAAAAAGAAGGACTGTTCTACAGAACTCAAAGCAAAGCTCCAGCTTTTATTATTTTTCTCCCCAATTTTAAGCATTATTCCATATCTAGTTAAACATTAAAATTACAATTCAACTCTGGAAGCACAAATCATATTATAAAAGGAAAGAAAAAGTCCCTATTAAAAAAATTTAATAGGAAACACTATCTTTAAAGTAATCTTACTAAAGCAACTAATCATATAATAATCTAGAACATCCATTAGTTATAAGTTCAAAAACAAACCAATTATTTTACAAAGCATAACTATTATTAACCATCTTAAACACAAGTATTTTAACTAAAACATCACTAATACCTTGAGGAAAAGGGCTAGCTGCTGACACAGTTGTTCCTGGATTTCTTCCACCACCAGGCTTTCTTCCCCTTTGACCTGAGCTGTGAGCTGAAGATTTCTTCCCTTTGCCCTCTGACCCTCTAGTCTCTGAAACATCTTTTCCACTAGAGGTGTGTGCAGAGACTTCCTGGAAATTTGCATTTGTAAATCGTGCAGTAGTATCTTCCAAGCGCTTCAATGATCCAGATATAGAGTTGTTGCTAGTGCTTGTATAAGTCTAACATTTTGATTCAAAAAGGGAAGGAAAAAGAGTTGATTACATTTTAGTTACAGAAAACAATGGGTGCCACATTAATAAGAAGAACTTGCAGAATAAACACAAAGTTTCTGTTCTAAAAATAAGTCAGTTCACCTAAGAAAATCATCCAAAAACAATTTAAGTCTATTATAATTACTTTTAAAAAAAGAAAAGAAAAGAAAAAGCCTACATAATTTAAAGATGGCTGTTTCAGGATCAAATTGCAACAACTAGTAAAAGTATGTATTAGTTATATTTATGAAGTGACACAGTAATACTGAAGATACTCATTTGTCAAGCAACATCATTTTTTTTTAACAATGTCTACACTTCCTAGACATGAAATTAAAATAAGCTTTAGTATTCAACACAGGAAGGTGACAATAAGGGAACTAAGGTGCTACAAATCCATTAGAGGACCATATCCATGAGTTTATAAGGCTAGCGGAGGACAGAGCAAAACTTTTGAAGGAAACCAGGTGAGGGCCCCTTTGCAAAAAAAAACAGAAAGATTTGAAACAGAAATCATTTTTCCAATTGTTATGTTGAGGAAAAAGTTATATATCGCAAAGGTAAGATTTTATAACTATCCCTAAAAATGGTTCTCAATCATTCCCTTGATCTGCATTTGTTAAGGTAAAAAGATGAAGACTTGTATAGTTTCCAGTTTTAGCAGTCATTTTTAATACAAGGTATACCCAAATAATGGTGAATAAAATGACTACATGAAAGTGTATTATACCAGATGCACATTAATCACCATGTTTTGAAATCAAAGGTTTATAAAGTCCATAAGGGCAAAGATTTTGATGTTGCCATTAAGTTCACTAAAGTATCTGAGGCATGCACAGCATAAAGTTCACTAAGTGCTTGCTACATAATCGGCACTAAATTTTTGTTGGATAAGTTAATACTTTTTTATTGTATCTATCTAAAATCTCTGCTATAAAAATGAAAAAAATCTGAAAATATGCAAAAGTGAATTTTCCCACATACAGCCACCACTCAACACAAACAATCAGATGAATATGAAAAACGAGAACATGACAATAAAATAAAGTTTCAAAATGGCTGGCATTTTTAGCAAAAACAATTTCAAAAAGAGGAATAAGAGAAGAAATTAAGTGTTTGGAAAACCAAATCTTGCTGCTTTTCTGTCACCCTGTTGCCATCCCCAGCCCCCATCATCTCAGTGCCAATAACAGATATTCATCATTAAATAGAAGAAATATTTCATAAAAACAAAGTACTCCACTATTCTAACAAACTACAATCCACAAACAAGAACAAACGTTTCAAAGTAAGTTTAAAAGGAAAAAAAAAATCCCATTTTACAAACCAATTACATTTAAGCTGATGAAACTTCATGGCTTACTTTAGAAATATGAACCTTTTCCATGCTGGGCAGGTCAATTTGGAAACCACCCCACCTCATTTTTCAAATACTTTTTCCAATTACTTGAGTTGATCCTGAGGTTCTCCATTCCTCTCACATCTGATCCTTGCATGACCTAGTGAAGTTTAAAAGTCATCTAAGAAAACACAGTGGTGTTCTTCACTCATGTATTTTTGCTCATGTATCAAATAAAGAATGGAGAGAAAATTGGGTAGAGTACTACAAATGGAAATACGCTATTCACTTCCACATGACAATCTACATTAGAGATGGTCATTTTTCCCACTTATTTAACAGAACACCCTTGATCAAACCCTCAAGTATAAATCTGTCCATAAAAACCCATGAAAACATGACATTTGGAAGAAACAGTATTACAAAGAGAGCAATGAATAAAACAATCAAACTTCAGTGACAAAAAATCATATTAAAACTGTAACTGAACATTTTTTAAATGTCCAAACCTACGTTTCAGAACATAATCAGACTTAATGTGAAAAAAATGAATTTTAGCTTTAGATGTTAACAATTTTTAAATTACACATAATGACACTAACTAAGGCAATGCAGGGTTCATTCAAAGAGAAACATCTATTTTAATTCCAGGTTTAAAAATGATTTTAAAAGTACTTGTTCCATAATGTGCTGTTGGGACAATATGGCACTAGGGAATTCCATTATAAACATACAATGATCAACTCAAAATCGAAGACAGGTAAAAGGAGACCAGAAGGAGGTGGGAGATGGCTGAAAGACACACTATGAGTAAGCCCAAGACTAAATTCACAAAATCTTGTTTCCTCACTTTTGTATTCTAAATGTCTATCATAGTATGAACATCTCACTGCTCTGAGTGTAATTCTTGTATATAATAATACTTATTTTTAATGTAAATTGGACCACAAAATGCCAACTACTTCATTTGGTGCTCTACTGAAAAATGTAAGTTCTTTTTTTGTTGTTGTTGTTTTCTACTGGAGATAAAACTAGATATTTGGCTGTACTGAGAGTCTCTGAAGTACTGCATACTTTGTTCTACATTGTGATTTACGGGCAACTTAATCTTTTAAAAGGCTAATTCAGAATACACGTCATTTTTATTTCATGGCCAACTATTAGTCCTAAGATAAGCTGCAACACCAATATACCTATACAATAGCATTAAGTGGAAACAAAAATTATTTACTTCAAACAAAAATTTAAAACTAGATCCAAAATTAAACAATGACTCTATAACAAGTAACCAAAGAAACAGCAGCTATGATTATTTACAAAAGGTATGGTTGCCTCAGATTAGTCTACAAGGCTCTGTCATCTGCATTGGTGATGGCAAGTGCTATGCCTTCAACCATTAGAAAACATAATGTGCTGGTTAAAATATTAAAATAAAATAATGTACTATTCAAGTGTCCCATAAAAACCACAAACTTTGTACCAAGCCAACCTTGAGACTACAACATGTAAACTACCCAACATAAATCACCAAAAGAATGAGTACATTAAAAAAAAAACAGTGAGCTGTAGAACAACCTTAAGTAGCCTAATTTACATGCTACTAGAATACTCAAAAAGAATGGGAGGATCAAAACAAACGAACAAAAAATCCCCACAAAACTGAAGAAATAATAGTAGGAAAAATTATAAAATTGATGAAAAAAAAAAAACCCCCACAGTTTAAGAACCTCAAGTAACCCCAAGAAAAATAAATATGAAGAAAAGTAAATGAACTCAGTTCATTATCAAATTGCTTATCTTTAAAAACCAATGATAAAGAGGAAATGTTACAAGAAACCAGGCTTTTCTTTTTTCTTTTTAAGGATGTCTTACACTCCAAAAACAAAGATTAAGAATGAAAGCAAAATCTTCCCTGAAAACATTCGATCTAGAAAACAGGAGAGTACTAAAAGAAAAAACTGTCAACTTAGAATTCCACAGGCAGCTATTATAAAATATCTTTCTAAAACAAATACAAAATAAAGGCTTTTTTGGATATAAAAGCAGAAAGAACTAATCACTAGCAGACCAACACTACAATAAATGCTAAAAGAACTATTTCAGACAAATAATAAATGAAATGTGAATATACCAAAAAGAAGGAAGAGCATTAGAAATGTTCATTGCTAATAGTAAATATAGTACAGAGAGATGATGATGATGTGAAATTTCTCATCACACCACTCAAAACAGTGTGCAAATTATAATGTATTTATTTCTGGAATTTTCTATTCAATATTTTTCAGACCGCAGTTGACTGAAGATAACTGAAACTGTGAAAAGAGATAAGGAAGGAGTAACAGACAAATACAGTAAAAATGGTAAACAATAAAGACTTGTTCCATTATTTTACTTTTTTATTTATTTTTTTTTTTTGAGACAGAGTCTTGCTCTGTCGCCAGGCTGGAGTGCAGTAGTGCGATCTGAGCTCACTGCAACCTCCACCTCCCGGGTTCCAACGATTCTCCTGCCTCAGCCTTCCCAGTAGCTGGGACTACAGACACCTGCCACCATGCCCAGCTAATTTTTGTGTTTTTAGTAGAGAGCGGTTTCACCATGTTGGGCAGGATGGTCTTGATCTCTTGACCTCGTGATCCACCCGCTTCGGCCTCCCAAAGTGTTTGGGAGTACAGCCATGAGCCACCGCGCCTGGCCTATTTTAAACTCTTTACAAGACAGATGATATAGAGCAAAAGTAGTAACAATAAATTGTGTTTTATAATATATGTAAAAAAACAATAAGTGATAAAAATAGCACAAAACCAAAAGGGGAGAAGTATACAGCTACAAGGTTCTTATACTTTATGTAAACTAGTATAATATTGCTTGAAGGTAAACTCTGATAGGCTAACGACGCTATACCGTACTCTCTAAATCAAACAATACAATATAACAAAAAATTATTGCAAATCAGGCAAAACTGAATCATAAAAAAAGTTCAATCAAACATACAGCAGACAGAGAAAGAGAAGGGAAGAGAAATGATGGGCAAAAAGAAAAGGATTAGCAAATGTTAGATTAAAATGCAACTACACAGAGGCCAGGTGCAGTGGCTCACACTGTAATTCCAGAACTTTTGGAGTCAGGCAGATCGACTAAGGTCAGGAGTTCGAGACCAGCCTGGCCAACATGGTAAAACCCTGTCTCTACCTGTAGATTAGCTGCACCTGTAGTCTCAGCTAATCAGGAGACTGAGGTGGGAGATCGCTTGAACCCAGGAGGCAGAGGTTGCCGTGAGCCGAGATCAAGCCACTGCACTCCAGCCTGGGAGACAGAGCAAGACCCTGTTCCAATAATAATAATAATAACAGTATTATAATAAAATACAACCACTCAGAGAATCATATTATCTGTAAATTCTCTAAACACCCCAATTAAAAAGCAAAGATTGCAACAATGAATGAATAAACTCATAACATGACTATACGCTGCCTTAAAAAAACCTATTTTGGCTGGGCGCAGTGGCTCACACCTGTAATCCCAGCTGTTTGGGAGGCGGAGAAGGGTGGATCACCTGAGGTAAGGAGCTGGAGATCAGCCTGACCAACACGGAGAAACCCTGTAGCTACTAAAAATGCAAAATTAGCTGGGCGTGGTGGCACATACCTGTAATCCCAGCTATTCAGGAGGCTGAGGCAGGAGAATCGCTTAAAACCAGGAGGCGGAGGTTGCGGTAAGCCAAAATCGTGCCATTGCACTCCAGCCTGGGCAACAAGAGTGAAACCCCCCCCCCCCCAAAAAAAACAAACAAACAAACAAAAAAGAAGCCTATTTTAAGTTAAATTAACTTCAGGCCAGGCGCAGTGGCTCGCGCCTGTAATCCCAACACTTTAAGAGGCCGACACAGGTGGATCACTTGAGGCCAAGAGTTCAGGACCAGCCTGGCCAACATGGTGAAACCCCGTCTCTACTAAGAATACAAAAATTAGCCAGGCATGGTGATGCACACCTGCAATCCCAGCTACTTGGAAGTCTGAGGCAGGAGAATCACTTGAACCCAGGAGGCAGAGGTTGCAGTGAGCTGAGATCATGCTACTGCACTCCAGCCGGGGTGACAGAGCGAGACTCTATCTCAAAAAAAAAAAAAAAAAAAGAAAAGAAAAAAGAAGCCTATTTTAAATATAAAGGCACAAAGAAAGTATAAGCATGTGAAAAGAAACATCAAGCTAAAGCTAATCAATAGAAAGCTAAATTCACTATATTAATATCAGCCAGTAGATTTCACAACAAAGAATATTAACAAAATACAGTGGCTTACTCATCAAGATACAAAAATCCTAATTGTTTCTGCACCTAATACCCACCGCTCACAATAACTGACAGAACAAACAAGCAAAAAACGAGTAAGGATATAGAAAACTTAATATAAATCAACTTGACCTAATGGACATTTACAGAAAAACTCCACACAACTACAAATGAATACACATTCATTGTTATAAAAAACACATAGAGCCGGGCACGCCTGTAATCCCAGCAACTTTGGGAGGCTGAGGGGGCAGGTCACGAGGTCAAGAGATCGCGACCATCCTGACCAACATGGTGAAACCCTGTCCCTACTAAAAATACAAAAATTAGCTGGGTAAGTCCCAGCTACTTGGGAGGCTGAGACAGGAGAATCGCTTGAACCTGGGAGGCAGAGGCTGCAGTGAGCTGAGATCGTGCCACTGCACTCCAGGACAGAGGGAGACTCTATCTCCCCCTCAAAAAAAAAAAACAAACAAACAAAAAGCAAACAAAAAAAAAACACATACATAGAATGTTTAACAAGATAATCCATGTTCTGCATCAAAAAAGTATCAATAAACTTAAAAGGAATGATAACACAAAAATATTAAATTAGAAATCAGTAACAAAGTGAATATCCAAATATTTCTAAACTAAATAACACACTTTTAAGTAACTCATAGGTCAAAGAAGAAAAGGAAAACCATACAAAGCATTTTTTAACTAAATAAAAATGAAAACACAACATATCAAAATTCATAAAGCCCTACTTAAGAGGGAAGTTTATATCATTAAATGCCTATACTAGGAATTCTGGTTTCTCGTTGAGCATATAAGGAGCAGAGAGAAGTCTTTGCTCTGCCCTAAAACAAACACAAAACTCAACAAACTGAAAATCACCAACTCTTATATCAGTGAATTGAGAGGTCACAGGGCAAACTGCTAAACAAAAAATTGGGGGTCATACCTGTAATTCCAGCACTTTGGGAGGTGGAGGCAGGCGGATCACAAGGTCAGGAGATCAAGACCATCCTGGCTAACAAGGTGAAACCCCGTCTCTACTAAAAAATATTTAAAAATTACCCAGGTGGGGTGGCAGGCGTCTGTAGTCCCAGCTATTCGGGAGGCTGAGGCAGGAAAATGGTGTGAACCTGGGAGATGGAGCTTGCAGTGAGCTGAGATCACACCATTGCACTCCAGCCTGGGTGACAGAGCAAGACTCTCTCAAAAAACAAAAACAAAACAAACAAACGAACAAAAACAAAAATTAGCTGGGCATGGTGGCACATGCCTGTAATCCCAGCTACTTGGGAGGCTGAGGCAGGAGAATTACTTGAACCCGGGAAGCAGAAGTTGCAGTGAGCCGAGATCACACCATTGCACTCCAGCCTGGGCAACAGGAGTGAAACTCCGTCTCAAAAAAAAAAAAAAAGGAAAGACAAATCAGTGCACAGAGAGACTTACAACTTACTTAAGCAAATCCAGCAGCTGAAACCTCTGCAGGAACCAGTACCAGGGAAAGAAAACCTGAACTATTTTAGTTGATACTGCTGGAGGCACAGTGTGAACAAGCCCGAAAAAGAAAACCTCCAGGGGGACCTGGTCTTGGGGGACCCTCACACTTTTGTGAATTTTACCTCTAGGACCTCTAGCAGGCCCACAGAGTGAATACCGGAGACAGAGTCCCCCAGAGATCCCTCCAATAAAGGGGGAAAAGGAACCATTTTGAAATAACCAGAGCTTTCTTTTTCCTAACAAGGCCTGCTATTTAACTATTTAACCAGATCCTAACCTGTGGAGGTTTTTGTCAGAGCCTAACTAACCTAGGGAAGGGAAATGTACAACCTCAGGCGACTCTAACCATCATCCTGTCCCACTTGAGGGAGAAAAAAATAACTAAGAAGCCCCTATGCAGTTCACATTCCAGGGGTAGAGGTTCACCTAAAGACTGAAACCTAATTATAGAAATATAAGATCTCCTGTTCCCCACAATTCACTAGCACGTTAACTAAAGGCCTATTTATAGTGCAGTTCCCTTTGCCAGGATATAATGTTCAACTTGAAACAACAACACAAAAGGCAAAAAATACAGTTTAAATAAAGTGAAAAACCATCAGAAACCAAGTCAGACATGGCAGGAATGTTGGAATTATGAGACCAATAATTTTTGAAATCTATAATTAATATGATAAGGAATTTAATGGAAAAGGTAGACAACATGCAAGAACATATGCATAATGAAAGCAAATCAGAAATGCCAGAGAGATCAAAAACAAACAGAAATGAAGAATGTCTTTGATGGAATCATCAGCAGAGTGGGACACAACTCAAGAAAAAAATCTCTTAAGCTTGAGGATATGACAATAAAAACTTCCAAAATTGAAAAGGAAAGAGAAAAAAGACTGGAAAACAAAAGCAAACAAAATATCCATGAATGCTGGGACATATACAAAACACATGACATAGTTAAAATGGGAATACAGGGAAGAGAAGAAAAGAGAAGAAGCAATATTTGAAATCATAACGTCCAAAAACTTCCCCTCGAATAAATGGCAGTAGCCAAACCAGCTATCAAAGAAACTTAGAGGATGCCAAACAAGATAAATGCAAAAAAAGGAGGGGGTAAGGGAAGTACACCTCCATGCTCAAAGATTAAAATCCACGAAGGAAGCCAGAAGAAAACACCTTACCCACACAGGCACTAAGTGTAAGAATGATATCTGAATTTGCCTCAGAAAACATGCAATCAAGCAGACAGTGAAATAAAACACTTAAAGTGTGATGAGAGGGTGAAAAAAAAGACAAGAAAATGCAATCATATAAAATACTCAATAAAAACCACAAAAGCTGTGAATGACAAAAACAGTAACAAAAATTTAAAAATGAAAAATAATAATAAATATGGTAGATATTAACCCAATTATATCAATAATCACCTTAAATGGCAATGGTCTAAATACCCCAATTAAAAAATAAAGATTGTCACAGATCCAAAACCAAGCAGCAACTACATGTTGTCTACAGGAAACCTACTTTAAATATAAAGACATGTAGAGTTTAAAGGAAATCGTGCTCACTTTGGCAGCACACATACAAAAATTAGAATGATACAGAGAAGATTAGTAGGACCCCTGTGCAAGAGTGACATGCAAATTCGTGAAGCGTTCCATATAAAAGTAAATAAATAAAAAGGAAATGGAGAAAGGTATACTGTGCTAATGCTAATTTTCAAAAAGCAGAAATACTATATTATGAACAGAACAGACTCAGAGCAAAGAAAGTTATCAGGACTAAAGAGAGTAATAAAATAAGATAAAGGTGTTAATACTTCAAAAAGACATAACAATCCTTAATGTGTATGTGACTAACAAAAGAAGTCAAAATATATGAAGCAAAAACTGATAGAAATTGATACTGCAGCCAGAAATTAACAGATACACTAGTGAGAAAATCAGTTAAGGACACAGTTGAGCTCAACAGTACTATCAATCAACTGTATATAATTGACATCTGTAGACTACTTCGTCCAACAACAGCAGATGACACATTCTTCTATTCTCCAGCTTACATGGAACATTAACCAAGATGGACCACATTCTAGACCATAAAACACACCTTAACAAATTTTAAAGAATAGAAATCATACAGTGTGCCTTGCTCTCTCAGACCACAGTGAAATTAAACCAGAAATCAATACCAGAAAGGTGGCCATAAATCCAAAAACACATGGAGATTAAACAAGACACTTCTAAACAACATATAAGTAAAAGAAGAAATATAAAGAGAAATTTTAAAATATATGGAACTAAATGAAAATAAAACATAAAAATTTGTCAGATGCTGGGAAAGCAGCATTTAAAGAGGAATTTATCGCACTGAATGAATATATTAGAAAAGAAGATAGAAGAACAATAATCTTTTTTTTTTTTTTTTTTTTTTGAGACAGAGTTTTGATTGTCACCCAGGCTAGAGCGCAATGACGCTATCTTGGCTCACTGCAACCTCCACCTCCTGGGTTCAAGTGATTCCCTGCCTCAGCCTCCTGAGTAGCTGGGATTACAGGCGTCCGGCACCATACCCAGCTAATTTTTGTATTTTTAGTAGATACGGGGCTTCGCCATGTTGGCCAGGCTGATCTTGAACTCCTGACCTCAGGGGATCCACCACACCTGGCTTTTTTTTTTTTTTTTTTTTTGAGATGGAGTCTTGCTCTGTCACCCGCGCTGGAGTGCAGTGGTGAGATCTCGGGTCACTGCAACCTCCGCCTCTCAGGTTCAAGTGCTTCTCCTGCCTCAGCCTCCCGAGTAGCTGGGACTATGGGCCTGCACCACGATGCCCGGCTAATTTTTGTATTTTTAGTACAGAAAGAGTTTCTCCATGTTGGCCAGGCTGGTCTGGAACCCCTGACCTCAAGTGATCCACCTGCCTCAGCCTCCTAAAGTGCTGGGATACAGGCGTGAGCCACCGTGCCTGGCCTTAATCTTCAAAATAGTAGAAAAAGAAGAGCCAATTAAGCCCAATGTAAGCAAACAAAAATTAAAGTGGCCAGGCATGGTGGCTCACGCCTGTAATCCCAGCACTTTGGTGGGTTAAGGGGGGGCAAATGGCTTAAGCCCAGGAGTTCAAGACCAGCCTAGGCAACATGCGAAACTTATCTCTACAAAAAATTATAAGAAAAAATTAGATGGGCATGGTGGTGTGTACCTCTAGTCTCAGCTGATCAGGAGGCTGAGGTGGGAGTATGCTTGAGCCTGGGAGGTCAAGGCTGCAATGAGCCACTGCACTCCAGCCCGGGCAACAGAGCAAGACTGTCTCAAAAAAAAGTTTAAGCAAGGTGGCAGGATACAAAATAAACACAGAAATTTCAACAGGATTTTTATACACTAGCAAGGAACAATCATCACTGTGGTAAGCTCCAAAGAAACGAATAGATGGTTTGTTCAAACCTATTGAGGTCTAACATGGATGGACTGAAGAAGAGGAACAAAAAGAGCAAGACTAAGGCCAGGCATTGTGGCTCACCTGTAATCCCAGCACTTTGGGAGGCCAAGGCGGGTGGATCACCTGAGCTCAGGAGTTTGAGACCAGCCTGGCCAACATGGTTAAACCTTATCTCTACTAAAAATACAAGAATCAGCCAGGCGTGGTGGTGGGCACCTATAATTCCAGCTACTCGGGAGGGTGAGGCATGAGAATCCCTTGAACCCAGGAGGCAAAGACTGCAGTGAGCCGAGATCACACCACTGCACTCCAACCCTGCCAACAAAGCGAGAATCCGTCTCAAAAAAAAAAAAAAAAGATTAAGAGTAAGAAGAGCAAAGTAGCCCAGTGAAGGGCACAAACTTTCCTGCTTTCACCAACGAACCACTGAATTGCTATTTTTCCTTTGGTTTTTACGTTTTGCCTCAAACCTAGGTTTCTGTTTCTCTACAGTAACTTTTTTTATGGTCATTCTGGAGAGAAGAAGGGTTGCAATGTTCACACATTAGTTGTGATAAGAAGCCAGTTTATTTTAGATTTGGCTAACCAGTCTGGGCTGTGTGACTATATACTCCTGAATTATAGTTTTAAAAGCTTGTAAAAGAAAACACAAAAAAATTCATAAACTAAATTTCATAAAGAATGTCTGCTCTTCAAAAGATTAAAAGAATGAAAATATAAGCCACAGAGTGAGATAAGTATCTGCAAATATGTATCTGACAAAGGACCTGCATCCAGAATACATACTCTCACAAAAGTCAATAACAACAAAACAAGCCAATAAAAAAAAAGCAGGTGGTGGGGAGAGCTTAATAAACACTTCACCAAAAATAACAAATAACAAATATGCACATAAAAAGATACCAGCTAAGCACGGTGGCTCATGCCTGTAATCCCAGCACTTTGGGAGGCCTAGGAGGGCGGATCACGAGGTCCAGAGATTGAGACCATCCTAGCTAACACGGCGAAACCCCATCTCTACTAAAAAAATACAAAAAAATTAGCCGGGCATGGTGGTAGGCGCCTGTAGTCCCAGTTACTCGGGAGGCTGAGGCAGGAGAATGCATTAACCCAAGAGGCAGAGGCTGCAGTGAGCCAAGATTGCACCACTGCACTCCAGCCTGGGCGACAGAGCGAGACTCCGTCACACATACAAAAAAAGCATATACCTACCATGGTGAGCCACACCTACCATGTGGCCCAACCATTCCACTCCTTGGTATTCATGCAAGAGAAATAAAAACATATATCTTATAAGATTTATACAATATTTATAGTAGCTTTATTTGTAACAGCCCAAAACTAAAAACAACCTGAATGTCCATCAATTGTTGAATGGATAAGCTAATTATAGTATATCCATACACACAATTGTGGTTAGCCAAAAAATGAACTATTAAAACATACAACAAGAAAAAATCTTAAAATAATTATGCTGAAAGATGCCAGACAGAAAAAGCATACATACTATATGTTTCCATTTTTTAACATTACAGAAAATTCAAACTAATTTAAACTGACAAAAAGCAGATCAGTAGTTGCTTGGGGAAGGATGTGAACTCAGGGAGAAGGAGATTAAAAGAAGTCACAAGGAAACTGTTGCCTGTGATTGTGGTGGTAGTTTCACTAATGTGTACATATGTCAAAATGTTATCAATGTTTCTATTTTAAATATGTGCAATGTATCGTGTATAATATATTTATGATATATTAGACTTCTGAATACCTTATGATCCTAAGATTGTGTGTATTTCCTTCAAAATTAAATTTACTTTTTAAAAAAGCTTAACTTTTAAATATAATTGTATTGTGTTGTAAAAATACAAGGAAAGAACAGAGAGATAAAGTGACAATAAAAAAGATTAAATCTCCACTTGGATTTCATTATAACTTCAAAGTTCTAAAGATTTCTTTAAAAGATGATCCTTAAAGAAACATTAAAATTTTTAAATTACACATAAAAATTAACTTATTTTACCAAAAATTTTCTCCTGAAAGTCTTAAAAATCAGTACAAAATTTAACAGCTAATTGAAAGGATTTACTTAAAATTAGGTTCTCCTTTATCCTCTTTTAAAAAATGCTGCAAAGAGAAAGAGACAAAAACCTGATCACGTATCTCTGGTGCACGAAAACCTTCCTTAAAACAAACAAAAGCTGTACTTTAAAAGCTAAATTACCTCAAAATTCAAACAACTAAAAATTGTGAGCTATTTATAATGACGCTGAGAAACAACTAAGTCTTCTAATAATAATGAAAGGTAATGTGTTAAAGATTGCTTTTAACAAGCTGTGAGGTTCAATTTGTCAATTTAAAAAGAGAACTGTGGCTTATAAGCATCTACGAATTTCTTTACCAAAATAACATTGACAGCAAGCAAATCTCTATCAGGTCAAAACGAAGACTTTCTCACCTTTTTTTTTTTTTTTTTTTTTTTTGAGACAGAGTCTCGCTCTGTCGCCCAGTCTGGAGTGCAGTGCTACCATCTTGGCTCACTGCAACCTCGGCCTCTGGGGTTCAAGCAATTCTCCTGCCTCAGCCTCTCGTGTAGCTGGGATTATAGGCACATGCCACCATGCCCAGCTAATTTTTTGTATTTTTAGTAGAGACAGGGTTTCACCATGTTGGCCAGGCTGGTCTCAAACTCCTGGCCTCAAATGATCCACCCACCTTGGCCTCCCAAAGTGCTGGAATTATAGGTGTGAGCTACCCCACCTGGCATCTCCCCTTTTTTTCCTTGGCAATATCCTCTTCTACCATGGGAAGAAGGAAACTAGTTTGAAGTGCTCAGAAAGACTATAAATTGGGGAAATCAGGGGAGTAACCACACTTTCCTAAAAACATAAGCTGTCTCTACTTGTTTTGTCATATTAAAGGACTCCGTACATCAAGTTCTTGCAGACACAGAATCCTATGTGTTCCATCTAATCATCTTTTACCTAAGAACCAAAATCCCCCAATCATAGAAACAAAGAGCTATGGCTTCTGGAAAAGACACTTACACTTTTACTCCCTCTGATAACAATCTTAGTGAACAATGCTTATGTATCACCGGTGGTCCACTACCATCGTTACCAAAGATTTGTGTGAAAATATTACACTAGTAAATTATAGTTGCAATATTTAAAAGGTGATAGTGATACCACATTAATAACATAATATTGAAGTAGATACTTGTTGCTAATTTCTAGTTTTAAAACATTTATATGCAAAAGGGTTAAAGGTTAGTCACAGAAAAAGTGCACTAAAAAATATAAGGCAGTATAATCTAAGTTAATAAAGAAATAAATGAAACGGAATTTTTTACTAAGGAGTAAGAGATGGTAAACTAAGGTTAAAACTGTGCAAACACTACATGATACAGACATTTAAAAATTACAGTAGTGAATTAAAGTTCCCTTGACTTTCAATTTAAGTGTGCTCTACCATCATCAACCATGGAGTCTACACATTGTGTACATGTATCAAAATATTACATGTACCTCCAAAATATGTACAACTACGATATATCAATAATTTTTAAAAACCCATATAGTCTAGAAGGAACCCTAAAGTTCTGGGTAAAACAGCCTTTCTTTCCCTGACCTATCCCTATCTTTCCATCAAGAGAAGATAAGAGTGTGGTGAACCAATGTAAAATGACACCGTTCCCCAAAAAGGAACCTATGACTGAAGGCTTCTACCAGCCATCAGGATCAAGAAGAAGCCCATACTACCTCTCTACCCAACCTCTTCAAACACTCAAGGCCTCATCTTATTTGCCTGAAGTCTACCAGGGTCAATCGGATAATGACTTTCTCCCTGTTTTTATGTCAGTCATCAAAAGACTCCTGGTCCATCCTCACCTGCCTCATCCCTACACGGTTGTGAACCTCCCCTATTATGTCCACACCTGCCACCCCTCCTTCAACAGCTGAAAGCCTTCCACTGTGCTCCGAGAACAAGGTGCAATGTACCCCATCCTTTTCTCTGAACATCTCCTCTGATTCTTGTTCCAACAAAAACTTAGATCGACCCTGAAACCCACTGTTTACTCTGTAGCTATCTCAACGTTACTTTGCTCCCACAGCTCTTGTATCACTGGGTATGGAGATGAGGTAGGTTTCCTCATTCCTCAATGTTAATTCTACAACTCTCTAAAACCTTTCAGCAAAAAAATCTCAAGTTACCAGACATTAGCAACCATTAGGTCTCATCATTAGGGTAGGATACAGCAAACTACAGGCCCTCTAGTCATCCACCTGTTTTTGTATAGCTCAACAGCTAAGAATGATTTTAATACGTTTAAATGGCTTTTTAAAAAAAAATCAAAAGAAGACTATTTCATAACACGTGAAAACTATTCTATGAAATTTAAGTTCCAGTGTCCATAAATAAAGTTTTGCTGGAACACTGCCACATCCGCTTGTTTACAAATTGTCTATGGCTACTCTGTTCTACAGCAACAAAGGTCTGAGTATTAAAAAGAGCCAGTATGGCCTACAAAACCTAAAATACTTAGTATTCAGCCCCTGACAGAAAAAGCTTGCCAACCACTACCTTAGTACCTACATTACTGTCAGTCTTCAACACTACTGTTATTTTACTTCTTAGAGAATTCAGTATACATCTAGACAATCTTTTATAACCTCCAGTCTCTCTGTTCCTTGACAGCCTCTCTTCCAATGATCTTGTCTTCTGCCCTACAGCAGCCCCTCATGCCCTGATCACATCCTAGATTCTGATATGATTAAATAATCTCAAACCCTCAATAATCTCCATTTCATATATCCTACTCTTAAATACCACTTCATATTTCTAATTCACTCTTTACTACTCCAACAATCTTTGAGGTCTTACTGAGTTGCCCAGGCTGGTCTCAAACTCCTGGGCTCAAGCAATCCTCCTGCCTCAGCCTCCCAAAGTACTGAAACTACAGGCATGAGCCACCATGCGCAGCCTTCAACAATCCCTTAATTTCACCAGAAACCATGAACCAGTATATACTATCCCTCATCTATTGTCCTCATTTCCCTACCCACTGGGTTTAAATATAATGATCCATCATTATAACCCCCCTGGCATTTACCCTCACTCATTCGCTGTATTCAGATGGTAAAATAACAACCTGACCAAACCCTACTCTGTGCCCACGTCCATAGAGATGGACAAGAATAGAGAAAAACAAAAAGCTGTGTAAATCTGCCTCACCTTTAAGTCTTGCCCATGAACCTTCAGGTGGAACACTGTGACTACCCAGAAATCATAGTAAACATTGTGGAAATTTTCTTTTGCATTATTATAGTTAACCATCTCATGCCTTTTTTTCTTCACTCAAATCTCTAATACTCCTCAAATCGTCACAACTAAAAGCATTGCTTCTTACTTTACCAAAAAACGTCTGGATTTATCACAAGATATTTTCCCCAAAATCCCATCCCTTCTCATATTCTAGGGGACATCACTGTAGCAATATTTCTGTCTTTTCTATCATTTCATTATTCCTCCTCTCTACTGAATCATTCCTATTAGTGTACCTAACATCCTATTATTTATCTTATTTTTAAAATACCCTTCATTATCTCCACTTCCCTAACCTATTCTTCTGCTCCTCTTCATAGCAAAGCTCCTCATTTACACACACTGTCTGACTTTTCTCCCCCATTCTCTCTATAAAGCACTCCAATCAGGCTTTTGCCTCAATCAGTACTTTAAAACTGTTCAAGGTCAGTAATGACCTCCAAATGACTAAAAGGGCTAGTCCTTAATATATGACACAGTTCACTTATCCCCACCTTTCTTTAACTTGGCTTCCAGCATACCACATCCTGTTAGTTTTCTTCCAAACTCTAGCCTCTTCTCAGTCTCCTTTGTCGGTTGTACCTCCTCTTCCAGATCTTTCGACACAGGAGGTCCTGAGCCTCCTAAGGCCTATTTCTCTACCTGCACTCACTTCTCCCTTAGTGGTATCATTCAGTCTTGTGGCTTTAAATAACTCCATATGCATATAATTCCCACATTTAATATCCAAAGTTGAGACCTCTTTTCTGAATACCAGACTAGTTATCCAACTGGCTAGTCAGCATATCTACTCAGATGTCTAATATTAATAGATACATCTCAACGCCAACGTATCTGTGGTAGGCAGGATAGCACCCCTCAACCAAGATGTCCACATTCTAATCCCTGAAACCTGTGAATATGTTATATTACATGGCAAAAGGGGCTTTGCAGATGTAATTAAACTTAAGGATTTTAAAATAGGGACGTTATCTTGGACTTTCCAGGTAGACCCAATCTAATCACATGAGCTTAAAGAGAGAACTTTCTCCAACTAAAAGCAAAAGAGATGCAAAAAAAAATTCCAAGTGTAAGAGGAATTCAACATGCCATTGCTACCTATGAGATGGAGGGGATCATCTGACAATGGCACAAGGAAACAAAAAGAGGCTCTAGAAGCCAAGGGCTGATCCCCACCTGACAGGCAGCAAAGAAGTGGGCACCTCAGTCCTACAACCAATCACAAGGAACCAAATTTTGCCAATAACCTGACCAAGCATATAAGCAGATTCATTCTGCCAATAACCTGACGAACGGTAGAAACAGATTCTTTCAGATAAGAACCCAGACCATCCAACACCTTGATTTTGGCCTTGAGAGACCCTAATTAGAGGAAACAGCTGAGTCCACCCAGACTTCTGGCCTACAGAACGACTAGTAAGTTTATGTTGTTTTAAACTGGTATACTGTAGTAATTTCAACTGCAATAGAAAACTAAAACCACATCCCAAACTGAATTCCTTTCTTTCCCCTCAACCTGCTATGCCCACAGTCTTTCCCCTCTTTGTTAACAGTGACTCTATACCTTCTAGTGATCTGACCCAAAATCTTTGGAATCATCCATGGATCCTCTCTTTCTCATATGCCTCTAACTTATCTGTAAGAAAGTCAGGTGGGCTTTGTATGTATTCAGAATCTGATCACCTATCACTACCTCTGTTTTTACCACCATCTCTCTCTGGACGATTGCATACCTTGCTAATGGCCTCCCTGCTTCCATTCTGACTTTCCACAGCCTGTCCAAAACAAAGCAGCCAGAGGTCCTTTCAAAACCTAAGTCAGACCACGTTACATCTCAATTCAGAAACCTCCAGTAGCTCACTTTTCGATCAAACTAAACACAAAGTCCTTACACTGGTTTATACAGCTTTGCATAATGGGTCCCTCACCCTAGACTCATCTCCTACTGCACTTCCCAACTTATTTATTCTGTCCCAGTCTCCCTCTGTTTTCATATTAACCACAAGATAATAATCCTAATACTACTTAATATTTACTAATTCTCACTATGAACCAAATACTGTTCTAATTGCTTTACACATATTCTGTCATTCCATTTCATTAATAATTTCCCCCACTTTACAAATGATATAATTGAGTTAACCAAGGTTAATTAACCTAAACACTCAATCAGTAAGTGGCAAGGCCAGAATTCAAAATCTCAGATGAATGAAGTCCACCCACAGCCAAAATTCTCTGTCTCAATGATGGTTCCCACTTGTTATCCTTACTTAACAACAGGCTTTGGAGACAAGCACAGAATAAACAGAAGGTAGAATAAGGTAAGAAATGAGAATTCAGGCCAGGAGTGGTGGCTCTTGCCTGTAATCCCAGCACTTTGGGAGGCTGAGGTGGGCGGATCACAAGGTCAGGAGATCGAGACCATCCTGGCTAACACAGTGAAACCCCGTCTCTACTAAAGATACAAAAAATTGGCCAGGCACAGTGGCACGCGCCTGTAGTCCCAGCTACTCGGGAGTCTGAGGCAGAAGAATCACTTGAACCAGGTAAGTGGAGGTTGCAGTGAGCTGAGATTGTGCCACAGCACTCCAGCCTGGGTGACAGAGCGAGACTCCATCTCAAAAAAAAAAAAAAAAAAAAAAAAAAAGAAATGAGAATTCTAAGTGCCTGATATGTGGTTGAAAAGCTGGGAAAAGTTAGGGAATGAAAACAGTTTTTAGAGGTGAAAATCAGCACAATAACTACTTATTACATAAAACAAAATATGATACTTAAAACTTACTTTTTCTGTAGTAACAGTCAAGGATGGAACCAATGCAGGTGATGGTTCTGGCTGCTTCTTGTGTTTCTGTTTGTGTTTGTCCTTCTCTTTATATTTCTAAAAACGAATATAAGTAAAATCCAATTTTAATTTAACTATAACCCCATATATGCAACAGAGATTTTTTTATAACTAGTAATTTAAAACATTAACAAATACTTCTGTCAAAAATCACTTCCTCTGATCATTGTGTTGTTTTATAAACAAGTAATACTAGTGTGAGTTTCTTTTTAGGTAAGTTCAGCTTTTTTATTCTTGATAAGCCTAAAATAATACTAATAAACAACTGAAGTCTGTAATTATTTGCTACATTTACATTCAGCAAAATATACACTTTTTCTCCTTAAAAACACCAAATACGGCCAGGCATGGTGGCTCACACCTGTAATCCCAGCACTTTGGGAAGCTGAAGCGGGCGGATCACGAGGCCAGGAGTTTAGGATCAGCCTGACCAACACGGTGAAACCCCATCTCTACTAAAAATACAAAAATTAGCCGGGCATGGTGGTGTGCACCTGTAATCCCAGCTACTCAGGATGCTGAGGCAGGAGAATCGCTTGAACCCAGGAGGCGGAGGTTGTGGTGAGCCAAGATCGTTCCACTGCACCCGAGCCTGGGCAACAGTGTGAGACTCCGTCTCAACAAAACAAAACAAAACAAAACAAAACAAAACAAAACAAAACAAAACAACACAACCACCAAATACTTTTGTGAACATTTTAAAATAGTACTTTAAAGTTTACATAGCACTTCACATCTGAACAGTACCAGATTTTCCTCTACCATGCATGAGAATTTCTCCAGAAACTAGAGGCACAGAAACTCCAGCAAAAAATTATTTCCTGGGTTTACTCAAAAAAATAGATGAATTAGTTATCTCTAACAAAAAAATTTAGATAAAGTTAGGGTGTGCTATAAAGTGCTAAAACTGATGAGCTAAATATAAAAAGGAATTCAATAAAATAAAAAATTAATTACATATTGGAAGTCCAACTTAATGTCAGATAATTTTAACCAAAATGTTCTGTTGTTTGAATCACTACATTATGAAACAGTATTGGGTGTGAAATTTACTATTTAAAGAGTTCATCGAATTTGTTTATTTCTCATGAAGCTTAAATCAGACCATTGAGGGCCCTTAATCTTTTCAAGCCATGAAAGATTGGTATCTCTGTCATCCTAAAAAGGTTTACATACAAGCAGAACACAATGCATACAAATTAAAGACAGATGTTTTACTTTAATACCCCCAAAATACTGCCATTTTTTCTGCTTTTAATTCCTGATCTAAGTACGTAAGATATTTTCAGGCTGCACTGTCAGTACTTCAGCAACAGTAAATGTAAATTAATATAATAATACTCTTTTCTTTTCTTTTTGAAACAGGGCCTCGCTGTGTCACTCAGGCTGGAGTGCAGTGGTACGATCACAGCTCACTACAGCCTCAACCTCCTAGGCTCCAGCAATCCTCTCACCTCAGCCTCCCAAGTAGTCAGGACTATAGGCACATGCCACCACACAAGGCTTTTTTTTATATGTATTTTTTTTATTTTTGAGAGTGCAGTGGTGTGATTTTGGCTCACTGCAGCCTCAGCCTCCCGAGTAGCTGGGACTACAGGCATGTGCCACCAGGCCTGGCTACAGGCTAATTTTTTATTTTACTTTTTGTAGAGACAGGGGTCTCACTATGTTGCCCAGAGTGTTCTCGGCTATCTTCCCACCCAATGATGCTTCTAATTCAGACTTTTTAGGAAACATTTTTATCCTAAAGTTATTTTGATTGTGGCAGATAATGACTCCCCAAAGAATCATGCCATATTCTCTGCAACGGGTTATCACTGCTCTTCTCATCCTAAGACATCCTCTTCTCCACTCCCTTGAACCTGGGTTAACCTTATGACTTGTGTTACTCAACAGGATGTGGCAGAAGTGATGGTGTATAAGCTCAAGAACCTGGAGGTTTAAGAAGTCTTCATGGCTTCCACCTCTGCCACCTCAGTTATCAGCCACCATGTAAAGAATCATTCCACACTCTACTCATAGAGAGGCCAAATGGAGAATGACATCACAGGGTGAACTGAGGTACTCTAGCCTATAGCCAGCAGCGCCTGGCGCCAGACATGTGAATAAGACCAACACTGAACACCCAGCTAGCCACCAGCTTAATGAATCCTCATGAGTAAACCCGACAGATACCACATGGAAGAAAGATAAATCATCCCTGCTGAGCCCACCGCTTAATAAGCCACTAAAAGTCGTGGAGTGGTTTAAAGCAACAGTGTAACTGAAACCAGACTAGAATACACGATTGGGTCATGGGAGCTAAAGAAAGCACAAACAAAATAACAATACAGGCCAGGCACACTGGCTCACACCTGTAATCCCGGCACTTTGGGAAGCCAAGGCAGGAGGATCACTTAAGCCAAGGAGTTCAAGGCCAGCCTGTGAAACATAGGGAGACCCCATCTCTACAAAAAAAATAAAAAATTAGCCAAGTGTGGTGGTGTAAACCTGTGGTCCCAGCTACTAAGAGGGCCAAGGCGGGAGGATTGCTTGAGCCTGGAAGGTTGAGGCTGCAGTGAACTGTGATCATACCACTGCACTCCAACCTGGGTGACAGAGTGAGACCTCATTTATTTAAAAAAACTAAAATAACAATATTAGGATTTTTGTAAGTTAATACATTGATATGGTTTGGCTGTGTCTTCACCCAAATCTCATCTTGAATTGTGGATCCCACAATCCCCACGTGTCATGGGAGGGACCTGGTAGGAGGTAATTGAATCATAGGGGTGGGTTTTTCCTGTGCTGTTCTCATGATAGTGAATAAATCTCATGAGAGCTGATGGTTTTATAAAGGGCAGTTCCCCTGCACATTGTCTCCTGCCTGCCGCCACGTAAGACTTGCCTTTACTCCTCCTTCGCCTTCTGCCATAATTGTGAGGCCTCCCCAGCCATGTGCAACTGTGAGACCATTAAACCTCTTTTTCTATAAAATTACCCAGTCTCGTGTATTTCTTCATAGCAGTATGAAAATGGGCAACTACACACACCAAAATAACAAATTTATACACTCTAGTCTATGAAGTTGAAATGATCCTGGTCTTTAAGTGTTATATCAATGTTTTTCTCCCTACAAAGATAATTAAGAAGCCTTTCTATCCTCCTTTACTCTATATATTCTACTTCCCATTCTGGGCTTTGTTCTTCAAGGTTATAAGAGCTGAGATAATTTAATGGTGAATGATCCTGAATAACAAAAAAGTAAACAAACAAACCCTAACAACTTGCAAAACAAATGAGAGTAAAAGGCAAAAAATACACATGTACATGTGTGAAAACATACAATATAGAGATGTAAAAAAATCATACAAAGCAAATCATGGAACAATAAAGAACTCTGGTCCTCTGTGATACATCAAGAAATGTATCCTGCAATGAGCATTACAAGTGTTCACTGGAACACACTGTGCATGGCTTATATCCATATGAACAGCCTATCAAATGTGAATCAAAGAAGTCTAATGACTGTCACTAAAAACATATGTTGATTTAAACAGATTAAGAAAGGGAAAACCCAGGAAAAGAGTCAATTATATATGAAAATTTAGTATATGATAAAGAGGAGGTTCCAAATCAGAAGGCAAAGACTAAAATTACTTAATAATGGTACTAGAACTGGTTAATAATTTAGGGGAAAATATCTTAGACAAAATAAAACAAAATCCAGATGGGTTAAAGGGTTAAGTAAAAATTAAAATAACATCAAAGTCAGCTAGAAAGTATTTTTAAAGTATCTGACTTTAAGGAAGGAAAGACTTTTCTAACCTCCCCCCCAAAAAATAAAAAAAACAGAAAGGGAAAACACAGACTTAGCTATGCAAATTAAAAAACAAATCATTAAAAAACAAAAACCAAACTGGGAAGACGGTAAAATTAAAAATTCTGTATTTTAATTCTGTTTAAATTTTTTAATAAATAAGAAAATACATATGCCATTGGACATGACTGGGCAATCCCCCCGCCCCCCGCAAAAAAAAAGAGCCAGTAAACAGCAACAGAAACATGCAACCCAAGTATTAAAACAACTAAAGGTAGTATTTTTCTCCTATATAGTGACCAAAGTTGTTGGGTTTTGTTTTTAATGACAAGATCTAATAACTGCCTAGGGAAATGAGCACTTGCATACATTACTAGAGAAAATGTAAACATATAAAGAACACTTATTTTTGTTCTTAAAGAGACTGGGTCTTGCTATTTTCCCCAGGCTGGCCTTGAAGTCCTGGGCTCAAAGGATCCTTCTGCCTTAGCCTCCCAAATATCTGGGACTATTGGCACACACTACTGAGCCAAGCTGACAATTTTTAAAACAAGAGTTAGAAACTATAAAAATACTCATACCATGTGACCTAGTAATTTCACATCTAACAAGGTGTACAAAGATTTAAATACAGTTTATCATACTTCTATTTGCAATGGGGAGAAAAATGTAAACAACTTGTTCAACAACAGAGGTGTGCTTGAAAAAAAATCATTATGCAAGCATATAATGGCCATTAAAATAAGTCACAGATGGCCAGGTGCAGCGGCTCATGCCTGTAATCCCAGCACTTTGGGAGGCCGAGGTGGGCGGATCACGAGGTCGGGAGATCGAGACCATCCTGGCTAAGACGGTGAAACCCCGTTCTCTACTAAAAATACAAAAGATTAGTCGGGCGTGGTGGCGGGCGCCTGTAGTCCCAGCTACTCAGGAGGCTGAGGCAAAAGAATGGCATCAACTCGAGAGGCGGAGCTTGCAGTGAGCCCAGATCACGCCACTGCACTCCAGCCTGGGCGACAGAGCGAGACTCCGTCTCAGAAAAAAAAAAAAAAAAAAGGGAATAGTCAGAGATTTCGGAAAACTGTTAACAGATGAGCTTTGTGTGTAGTTCACAGATTACATATGTACTCTTCAGAACTGTGAATTCCCCTTGGCCTGAAGATATGAACTTACAAGTATTATCTTCACTGCTTGTTAGGTCAAGACAGCCAACGTCACTCTCAGTTGAATCAGTATGTATAATTAGCAATACAAAATCAGAACTGTAAAAGTTTATATTTTATGAATACACATGATATCTCAATCCTTAAAATAGCCGTGTGAGAAAAATTCTGTTTATTTTTTTTACAGAAAGGTATGGCTTAAACAAGCACAAGGTAGACTCTTATCTACCCCCCCAAAAAAACATAACCAAAACCTAAAAAAAAAAAGTTTTCAAAATTTAAAGAAAGTAGGTAAGGCACCCATGATGAAAATCAAGAGCAAGGGGAAAAAAAGAAAGAAAGGACAGAAACAAAAGGGAGAGAAACGTTTATAATAATAACATTACCAAATAGTTTCAAGGAAATCAATGCAGCATCATTTGCTCTCTGTAATGAACCTAAATGTTAAACTGGGTTTAGTTCCAGAATGAACTGCTTTCCCCGTAAAGAAGCTAAAGACAGTTATACAGGAGAGGGGTTTTTTTGTTTTTGTTTTCTTTTTTGGGATACAGTCTCACTCTGTTGCCAGGCTGTAGTGCGGTGGTGTGATCTCAACTCCCTGCAACCTCCGCCTCCCAGGTTCAAGCAATTATCATGCCTACAGCCATCCACGTAGCTGGGATTACAGGTGTGTACCACCATGTCTGGCTAACTTTTGTATTTTTAGTAGAGACGGGATTTCATCATGTTGGCCAGGCTGGTCTCGAACTCCGGGCCTCAAGTGATCTGCCTGCCTCGGCCTCCCAAAGTGCTGGGATTACAGGTGTGAGCCACCACACCCAGCCTATGCAGGAGTTTTTAACTTAAGTTTAGTGCAAGACAAACAACCAAGAGACAGGTCCAATGTTTCAGTTTTCAAACTAGAACAGGTATAGGACTATTTAAAGGAGCAGTGAAGATAATACTTGTAAGTTCATATCTTAAGGCCAAGAGGAATTCAGAGTTTTGAAGAGTACGTATGTAATCTGTGAACCATAGACAGAAATGTCTGGGACAAATCAGAAAGTGAATTTTACAAAGAATGCAATACTGAGCTTGAAGTTACCTCTCAGGAAAACTCTAGAGTAAATTATTAAAAAGATTTGCTAACATATAAGAAAGAATTTCATTATCACTAATCATCAAGACAAGTTCATCAGAAAGCCCAATACTAGAAATTAATATTTAGGCATAACATAAGAAAGAAAAAGAACATGTGAGTTATTTTAATATGACTCAATTCTTTACACTGAAATAGAACAAATTTCTAGTAAGAGTGCCTATATTCAAATAACACAAAATATCATTACAAATATAAAGCAAACAAATTTTAAGTAAACATGGATCTTAAAATGCTTAAGAGAAAGCTGAAATCACATCACAGATTTTCCCAATGTAGAAAACAAATGAACAGAAACCAGTTAAAAAACAACCAACCAAATGATCCCCAAAAGCAACCAAAATGGGAAGCAGGGGCAGATATTCATGCATTAAACAAAAACTGTCAAGGAGTAAACTAGATTCTATAGTAGAAATTGCCCTAGACTGAGCTACAGGATTCAGCTCTTAATCCTACCCCTTAATTCCCAAAAATTCTGAGAATATAACCGAAAGTCCCAAATCTGAAGAGAGGTGATTTTATATGTTCCTACCTACTAAACTACTTTTTCTGCCTAAAGAGTAGTACTAGCTTCAGGGAAGAAACAGGAAAAACTGAAGGCGAGAGGAAGAAAAGTGAAGAGGTGCTAACTGGAAGTAAAGAATCAAGGCTAAGAACTAACTACATAAAATCCTAGGGGGCCCGGTGCAGTGGCTCTCCCCTGTAATTCTAGTGCTTTGGGAGGCCTAGGTGAGAGAATCACTTGAGGCCAGGAGTTGGACATCAGCCTGGGCAACACAATGACAACCCATCTCCACAAAAAGCAAAAAAATGAGTTGGGTGTGGTGGTGCAAATTTGTAGTCTTAGCTACTGGGAGGTTGAGGCGGAGGACCCAAGAGGTGGAGGCTGCAGTGAGCCATGATCATGCCACTGCACTCCAGCTTGGGGGACAGAGTGAGACCGTGTCTCAAAAAATTACAATTAAAATAAAAAATAAAATAGAATCCTAGGGTATTCCCCATAAGACTAAAATACACCCAAACACTTGAGATATATAGAACCTGGTGCAAGACATTTAATAATGCACTGTGTTAAAAAGGAGAGCCCAGCCTGGAGTTCTACCAAAAAGTGCATACTGCCCTAAGCCAAGCTCTTATACTGCGCCCCTCCTCCCAAGCTTCTATACTGCACCCCTCATTCCCACAGGCTTCAGAAAAATGCAAAATACATAGCCCTTAAACCATCGTCTCAAAAACGAGAAAATATTCAAAAAATTACGTAAATTATAATGGAATAAGTGTCAAAAGTGAGCCTCCCAAGCATAAACAACATTTTAAAAACTGTATGGCAAAGAAACTACAGGCAAAAAATAATACAGAGTCTAATGTGCATGAGATAGCCAAATATCACAACCTAGAAGCATACATAACTGAGTATGAAAATATTTCTCAAAACTGTCCCCATGCCAAATAAAAAATATAACATGAGTTCAAACAAAGCTCAAGAATGAGATGATAAAATAGGAAAAGGTAAGAAGGGAGATAACCAAAGTAATAAGGTTAAGACTAAAACGGTATCATTACAGAATTAGTAAACAAAATAGAAACAGCAAGGAAAATACACATTGCCAAGAATTGTTAAAGTGTTAAAAGAAAGGCTTGAAATAATCACAGTAATGCAAATTTTAAAAAAGATACTAAAGCAGGCAGACCACATCTGACAGGTATAAAAAACAGAGATAATCAAACATAAGATAACGTGTATCCCTGAAGCAGAGAATTCAATGAATGGGGAACAGAAGGTATATTCAAACATAAAATTCCACAAAATGAAAATGGAAAAAAAAAATTCTGAACAATTCTGTTACAGACTGTGTAGCACCAAGACTTACTGTAGTTAAACTTAGCAGAATACAGGGAGAGGGAGGTGTCGTTAGTCATCTCCACAGCAATATTCCAGGACCATTAAGTTTTTAGAAGAAATAAAGTGTGACCCAACAATATTATATACAGCCAAGATACAGTTCAAAAATTAAGGCAAAAGGAAATGTTCTCCATTATGAAAGAAATCAGAGAACACAAGTCCTAAGAACTTATTATTGAAAAAAGTGAATAAAATTCAGCCAATTTAAGAGGAACAATGAACTTACTGGAATAGCTGTGGTAAAAAGACTAATAGTGAGCAGCTAACGAATTTAAATACAAAACAAATGCCTACACAACTATGAGGATTATGTTTACATAAGAGAATGTCACTACCTGAAAAAATAGAAATGTCTTCAAAAACAAACAACCCTGTCAGGGCGCGGTGGCTCACACCTGTAACCCCAGTACTTTGGAAGGCCGAGGTGGGCAGATTACTTGAGGTCAGGAGTTCGAGACCAGCCTGGCCAACATGGTAAAATCCCATCTCTACTAAAAATACTGAAATTAGCTGGGCATGGTGGCATGTGCCAGTAGTCCCAGCTACATGAGAGGCTGAGGCAGGAGAATCGCTTGAACTGGAGAGGCAGAGGTTGCAGTGAGCCGAGATTGCACCACTGCACTCCAGCCTGGGTGACAGAGTGAGACTCTGTCTCAAAAAAATAAAAAATAAATACATAAAAATAAAAACAACCTGGATAGCAGGAAAAGCAAAATGACTATAGGGATACTAGCAGCCTTCACTGTAGGAGCTCAATATAAAATCTGACACATGTAATTAAAACAAAACATAAGTCTGCCAAATAGTGACTAGACATAAACATCTTTCTTGCTGACAAAGTCCTGATTTCTTAAGAAAATTCATGATCACCTTCTCATGTCCTCATAAAAGTGTATCTATTCCCCAGCCCAGAGGTGAACATGGATGAGTCCAAGGTAATTAAGAGAAATTGATTCTCTTTAGCCACTGACTGCTTTAGGCCTGGAATAGGTTTCAATCAGGATAATAAAATAGAAGTTAAATTTTTCTTTTCTTTTTTTTTTTTTTTTGAGACAGAGTCTTGCTCTGTTGGCCAGGCTGGAGTGCAGTGGCTCAATCTTGGCTCACTGCAACCTCCGTCTCCCCGGCTCAAGCAATTCTCCTGCCTCATCCTCCCGAGTACCTGGGATTACCGGCATGTGCCACCACACCCAGCTAATTTTTGTATTTTTAGTAGAGACGGGGTTTCACCATGTTGGCCAGGCTGGTCTTAAACTCCTGACCACAGGTAATCTGCCCGCCTCAGCCTCCCAAAGTGCTGGGATTAGAGGCATGAGCCACCGCGCCCGGCTACTTCTTCGTATTTTTGTTTTTTAAACGGAGTTTCGCTCTTGTTGCCCAGGCTGGAGTGCAATGGCACGATTTCAGCTCACTGCAACCTCTGCCTCCGGGTTCAAGCCATTCTTCTGCCTCAGCCTCCAGTGTAGCTGGGATTACAGGCGTCCGCCACCACGTCTGGCTAATTTTTTGTTATTTTTCATAGAGACTGGGTTTCACCGTGTTGGCTAGGCTGGTCTCGAACTCCTGGCCTCAAGTGATCTGCCCGCCTCGGCCTCCCAAAGTGCTGGGATTACAGGCGTGAGCCACTGCACCAGGCCAGAAATTGAAATTTTCTAGCTGTTCTCCTCATTCTTAAGAGGTATTCCCTTCCTGCCTTTAGATGCTCAAGTGTTAGACCATGATCCTCAGAACAACTGCAGTGTCCTGGCAACCATGACTGCAAAAGCCAAAAAAATCACATGAAAGTCAACAATGCTCTGCCACAGCTGAATTGGCTACTGTTAAATTAACCAATCTTAGAAAAGCCTAGCATCTGATCTTACATGAAGTAATAAATTTCCAATTGCTTCAGCCACTCTGATTTGAGTATTCCATCACTTAGAGCTAAAAGCACCCCAACTAGAAAGACAGTCTTACCTCTTCAACGTCTTGTTTGCTTTTGTAATTTCTATTATTAAACTTAAAGGTATCTTTGAGGAAATAATATTTCTTGTGGTAAGGGGGGAAAAAAGTTTTTTTGGTCTCATTCTGCCACCCAGGCTGGAGTGCAGTGGTATGATCATAGCTCACTGCAGCCTCAAACTCCAGGCTCAAGGCATCCTCCCACCTCAGCCTCCGGAGTAGCTGTGACTATAGGCACGCACCACACATTCAGCTATGTTTTGTTGCTGTTGTTCTTCTATACAGACAGGGTCTCTTTCTTTTCCATCTATACAGCCAAATAAATCTGCCTTTGGTGTTTAAAACATCAGTAGGTTTCACTCAATTTAATAATTTTTCTCTAATTATCCTTTTTATGTATGTATCTATGTCTCTATGCATAGAAAAAATCTGTGATATTTACTTAGTAGTAAGTGATGGCTATTTCTCAATGGGAGATATGGAGTGGGATTTTGTTTTTTAACTTTCATTTTTTAAATGCTCTGTCTTCTGTCATTCTCTGTAATTACATACAAATTAACAAGAATGGGCTAAAATGAGGTAGAGACAGCCTATTCGCCAAACTCATTTCTTTTTATTTGGCAGGTAACTAGACATTTCCCAGCATCCTTTGCAGTTACATGCAGCCAGTGCACTGGGTTCCAATCAACGTAGTCTGAATGAAAATGATGTGTGTCACCTCTAGGCCTGGTCCTTAATAGCCCCAAATTTCTAGTATCCACACTGATTCCTTTTACATGGATAACAAAAATAAGCATTAAAGCCATAGAGGCAGCATTTTAAAGAAGGCAGTCACAAGATGGAAGAAACCTAAGCCCCTGATTCACAACTTGGAAGAATTTGTTTGTCAATCAAGGACACCTCTTTTGGACTTAGCTGTGAATCAAAAACATTGTGTAAAGTCAATCATAATTTGAGAATTATTCATGTGTCAGGAAACCATGCTACACAAGTCTCTCTTATTTCTGCATGTCTTTTGAGTTAGGCAATGGCAACCCATTATTCTGGATTATCTTTTCAAGGTTGCTCATATAGTGAATAGCCTCAGAAGACAGAAAGCAAAGGTCAGCTATGCTTACTGTCTATTACAGAAGATTCAGGTGCCCTAAGCTCAGGGCTCCTCTCCTGTAATGCAACACACAGCACAAACAGATTTTATCTGGCCTTCTTTGCAGTGCCCTATGGGAACTGGGCTTGGGAAATGACCAAAAATTACTGATACTCTGGTTACAGCTATTGCTCTAAGTAATAAGTTGTCTATCTCTTGACCCAGAAGTTGCATCTCTTAATTAGCTACTTTACAAGTAAGATCAAATGATAGACTTCTGTGATATTATGATATATACATATATATACACACACACATATATGTGTGTGTATATATATTTTATGTAATATATACACCAATATATGTATACATATATATTATATAATATATATTATATATAATACAATATAATATATATTATGTAATATAAATATTTATATTACATAATATATAATATATAATATAATATAATATATAAATATTATATAATAATATTTGATATTATATATAATATATATGTATACATATATTGGTTTTGTCCACAGTCCCTGGGTCAAAACTCCCAAAGTCCTTGCCATTTTTTAAGTAACTAAAAAAACAGGCGTATCTTTTGTTAAAGTATTTGGCCTTTTGTCCTTGGTTCCTGATGCAGCTTCAGAACAGCGGCAGAGTAACAAAGGTGAAATGACAGTCCTTTGTTATAATGGGGTGCTTTAGGCCTCAGAAAACAGAATCTCTCTCTTTCGGACCTTTCCTGCCCTCCTTTTTCTCCCCAAGACAGGCCATGAAAACTAAAAATATGCTCTAAACTTCCCCTACTTTTCTATCATGGAGCTGGACATAAAGAAATTCTCTGACCTACCTTGTCTGATTGTGGGTCATAAAACCCCCATTTCAGAAGGGGTTCTGCCCCAATACCCAGAAGAAAATAATGCTGCACAGAGAGGCCAAGAAGCGTGTGAACATACAGGCCTGCTTGGGTTTCCCTACTCAGTCTATTAGTGTTCGATCATACCTTTGTCCAATCACATTTCTACACAGGTGTCCATGCTTCAGTCATGCCTGTCCAGTGAACTCGGTATAACAAAGGCCCAAGAGGATGGGGAAGCTCTGCCTCCCTACCCAGTGACATACTTCACACTATTCATCTCTTCATCTGTATACTTCGTAATATCCTTCATAATAAACCAATAAACATAAGTAAGGGTTTCCCTCAGTTCTGTGAGCCACTCTAGCAAACTAATCCAACCCAAGGAGGGGGCTGTGGGAACCCCAAGTCACAGTCAGTTGAACAGAAGCACCTGGGGCTTAGAATCAGCATCAAAAGTGAGGCTCAGTCCTGTGGGACTGAGTTCCCAACCTGTGTAATCTGATGCCATCTCCAGGTGGATAGTGTCCAAACGCAGATGATGTCTGCTGCAAAACTGACAGCTTGCTTGGTGGGGAGAAATCCCCATACATTTATGGGTCACAGAAGCATTCTGTATTGTGAGATTACAGCAGGAGAAACTGTTTGTTTTTTCTATTCCACCTCTTTCATAGTTCTTGACAGTTTGGTGATGAGAGAATATAATGCTGTTAGGGGTATGGCTATTTAGAAGAGGAAAATTAAAGGCCTCACAGGCCAATTAATGGGATCTGAGGAAAGTCGAAAAATGAAAAATTGTACGGTCAACTAGGCAGTTAATGGGTCTTCATTTTATTGCCTGAATAATGAGGAGAAACTGAAGAGGTGGCTGTAGGCTAAGCACCAGAAACTATGTTTAAACAGAGCTGCCCAAGGATGCTGTGCTGGCAGCTAGCCTACTCTGGTTAGGTGGAGAGGACTTCCTCACCAATCTGGCAGTCAGCTTCATTTCTACCCCACTGTAACAATTAGGTGACCTCAGTGCTTTAAGAAGAAAAATAATTAGAGATGGGGATGTGCACTCCCTATCCCCAAGAGGCCTCAATGGCCACATGTAGTCATCCAAGTATGCTATGGAATTTGAGGAGAGGAAAAGACACGATTTATTTTTTTAAATAGTGATGGGGTCTCACGCTCCTGGGCTCAAGCAGTCCTCCCACCTCAGCCTCTCAAAATGTTGGGATTACAGGCATAAGCCACCGTGCTCAGCCAGAAAACACAAGTTTTTAAGACTCTGTTGGATACAGGCACCCAGATCACTATCCCACCTGGACCCATGAAAGGAAAAGATCCCAGGATTCAGTGGGCAGGATTCTCAGGGGGTAAGGAAGCTAACATGACTTTGTAGGTGGGGTCTTTGGGGAATTAAACTGTATGTTCACTACTGCCTGGACATCTGAAGGTATAAGAGGAAATGATATGTTATATCAGAAGTCAGCAAATTATGATACCTAAGCTAAGAGTAATGTTGCATCTTTAAAATATTCCTTAGTGCCCCCGCCCCCCTCCCCCCACCAAAAAGAAGAATATATGATAGAGACTAAATGCGGTCCACAAAGCCCAAAATATTTACTATCTGGTCCTTTAGAGGAAAAGTTTGCCATCCCCTGTATTATATGCTTATCTTTACCCATCCATAAGTGCAAAAGGTATTCTCCCCACCAAGAAGAGCAGCACGTAGAAATGCTAATGAGACATGTAAATCACTCTCCAAACCATGTCTCTTTCCTGGGTGGTCCAACAGAAACAGCATAGGATTCCAGAAGGACAAAGGGAAGCCACAGCTTCGATAAAGGACTCAAAGGTACCAGGGGTAGGAAGAGATGCAATATCTCAACACAAAAGCCCTGCAAGGCCAGTGAAAAAAGGCTAGTAAGAGCAGGAAGCTAACAGTGAATTAGCGCCAAGTGAGTTTAGTTATTGCTCTTATAGCCCCAGCTGTTACAGACTAAATCCACTACACACTGATGGTACTTGGTAGGTTGTTCTGGACATTTCTAATGCCTCTTTGCCATAACACTCATACCTAAGGATCAAGATCAGTTTACATCCATGTGTCAAAGCCCTCCAATATGTCTGAAGTGCTTTCCCAGAGGGGTGACCTAAACTCCCTTGCCACTTGCCACAAATAGGTATGTCAGGACTCAGTACCTCTACCCTGTGATTTTCAAAGCTCTCACTATTAGCTGGTAAATTAGAAGCCTCAGTCTCAATAGCTCTGTAATGTTATCTCCTCTGTCAGCACAGTTGGTGGAAACTCCAATAAATTTCAAAGACCTGCTCAACAAGTTTCTGGAAAGTATAGGAACAGATTCACAACGCCAGATTCCTCTGGCAGTCAAGGATGGTGGGGTCTCTTCAGAATCCCACCATCGAAAAACAGGCTGAACACCTTACTGAACTCTTTAAATAACAGGGGCTCTATGACACTCACTTCAACGTTCTGCTTTTCCTTTAAATGTCAGCTATCCTGTAAATATGCATCCTATGAGAGTAGCCCAAAACCCACACACTGTGTTGGAAGCTAGGTAGGAAGCTGAAGCACATTGTCTACCTTTGGAACCCCACAGGCCTCATTATGCTTTTAAGCTACATGTTTCTATGAATTATGATTTTGCCAACTGAATCCTCTGGCAAAAAAGCCTCCACCCACAGGCACCCACTGGAGATTTGGACTTGATGCCCCAATGACATGGCTATTAAGTGCATCCTTTTTGAAAAGGAGCTATTAGCTTGCTACAGAGTTCTTACTGAAACTGAACGCCACACCCACTAAGGCCTTATGAGGAAGGAAGAAAAAAGTAATGATGGCTTTCCATGACTTCAGCAAACATCTCTAACTCCGTTAGTATCTGCTGATTCTGTTCCCTATTCCTAATTGCCTATAAATGTATACACAACTACCATATTATAGTGAATGCAACAAGAATTAGTTAAGTACTCACAAGCTGTCAACAACACTACCTTTCTTCTACTACCTCACACCTGACACTCAGGGTTTAAAAAAAAAAGCTACTAAAAATACAAAAATTAGCCAACGTGGTGGCACACGCCTGTAGTCTCAGCTACTTGGGAAGCTGAGGCAGGAGAATGGCTTGCACCCTGGAGGCAGAGGTTGCAGTGAGCTAAGATCGCACCACTGCACTCCAGCTTGGGCAACAAGAGTGAAACTCCGTCTCAAAAAAAAAAAAGAAAAGAAAAGAAATCATATTAGGCACTATAAAAGAACATTAAAACATAAAAAATATAGATCAGCTTTGAGACATGATACAGTCTGACAATAAGACATATACATATATAAAGACAATATAAAAGTGAAATGAAAATATAAAAAAATCATGGGCCGGTCGCAGTGGCTCAACCCTGTAATCGTAACACTGGTAGGCCAAGGCCAAGGTGGGAGAAGGATAGCTTGAGCCCAGGAGCTCAAGACCAGCCTAAGCAACATAGGGAGACTCCATCTCTACAAAAAATATAAAAACTTAGCCAGGCAGCGGTGGTGCATGCCTATAGTACCAGCTACTCCAGAGGCTGAGGTGGGAGTATTGCTTGAATGCAGGAGGTTGAGGCTGCAGTGAGCCATGATCATGCCACTGCACTGCAGTTTAGGTGACAGAGTGAGACTCTATCTCAAAAACAACAACAACAACAAAACCCATGCAAAAGACAGAGATACAGTATGAGTCTTATAAGTCAAAGGAAGTCTAGCTTCACCAGAAAGGCAAGGCTAGGTTAAGTGCTGAATTTGGGTACAAGAGGAGCAAGAAAAGAGTAAAACGAAGAGAGCTATGATTTGACAGAAGAGGAGTAAACAGAGCAATGTAAAAAAAAAAAAAAAAAAAAAAGGCCAGGTGCAGCGGCTCACGCTTGTAATCCCAGTACTTTGGGGAGCCAAGGCAGGCAGATCACCCAGCTACTCGGGAGGCTGAGGCTGGTGAATCTCTTGAACCCGGGAGGCGGAGGTGGCAGTGAGCTGAGATTGCACCATTGCACTCTAGACTGGGAGACAAGAGTGAAACTACATCTCAAAAAAAAAAACAACAACAAAAAACAGCAAGAGAAAATGGTGGCAGCAACATAGTTTCTCATCCTTTCTGAATCCCAAATATAAAAACAAAGCAAAGAGCCTGTAATCCCAGCACTTTGGGAGGCCAAGGTGAGCAGATCACTTGAGGTCAGGAGTTTGAGACCAGCCTGGCCAACATGATGAAACACAGTCTCTACTAAAACTACAAAAATTAGCCAGGTGACATGGCATGCACCTGTAATCCCAGCTACTGGGGAGGCTAAGAGAATTGCTTGAACCCAGGAGGCAGAGGCTGCAGCGAGCCAACATCATGCCACTGCACTCCAGCCTGGGCAATAAAGTGAAACTCTGTCTCAAAAAAACAAACAAGCAAAGCAAATAGATAATAAAACTAAAAACTCATGGAATAACACAACAAAACCAAGTGTAAAAGCATCACCATCAACCCCAAAATACAAGGAGGTAAGGAAAAGAGTTACAAGGCCCACATGGTAACAGCATTCATGAGGAAGAAGGAAGTGACAAGAAAAGCACTAAATATTTAGTCAACAGTACTTACTGGAAAGCACTGAGAGCCAATTTGAGAAACGCAGCTGAAACCAGGAAGAGTTCTGCACTGGCCAGTAACAGGTAAGCGCATGGGGTACACAGTAAGAAGGACTGGTATGATCTCTCAAACTGCTGAAGGGTCCATTCTAGGACAGAGACACACTCCAAGTAGATATGCTACCTCCACTAAAAGAAACCAGTGTTAGAAAATGAGCTGATTCAAGGTCTGGGGCAGAAAAGAAGACAAGATAAGCCTACAGCATCTGTTTTACTAGAAATTAAGGAAATTTTTATAAACTGTTGAAAAATTTCAAAAGGGCACAAGTGCCAAGTTGAAGGACTCCCATTGGCCAAATGTGGGACAATCTGAGCATTAAGATGAATAATAACAGGAATTACGTAACACAGTGAACTTAAAAAAATAAACTTGAGTCTACTCGATACTGGAGAGATTAGTGAATGGATGGATGTTTGGATGGACAGATGAAGTTCTTCATAACCAAAGCATGCCAAGAAATAAATATGGAAGCATTGATAGAAACAGAAAATCATCACATTATTACCACCAAAGTTACAACAGATTCAGGCAAAGATCATCAATGGATATATTAAACACACTGCATGAAAGACTATTGGGGAACAGAAATTTCAAAGCCTCAAGTAATATCTCACAGGGAAATGAAAGCTTCACAGTAGATCTGGTAGACGACACCTTAACCAAGGGATCAAATTTAGTATCACGGATGATGGGATAAACTAATATCATATGTCCCTTGATACAATGCACTGAGAACAAGACATCATCTACGTGGTATTTCCATCAAATATGCTTAACATGAATCTTTTCAGGAGGAAACAAATCAGACAAATCCCAGCTGAGCAACACTGCAAAACAACTAGTCTGAACTCAAGAAAATGTCAATGTCATGAAAGGTAGAAAATCCTGGTAACTGTTTTATTTTTTGAGACTGAGTCTCGCTGTGTCACCCAGGCTGGGTGTGATCTCGGCTCCCTGAAACCCCTGCCTCCTGGGTTCAAGTGATTCTCCTGCCTGAACCTCCCAAGTAGCTGGGATTACAGGCACGAGCCACGTCACTCGGCTAGTTTTTGTATTTTTAGTAGTGATTGGATTTCACCATATTGGCCAGGCTGGTCTCGAACTCCTGACCTCAAGTGATCCACCCACCTTGGCTTCCCAAAGTGCTGGGACTATTTTAGATTAAAGGAGACTAAAGAGACAACAACTAAATGCAACGTTTGATACTTGACTTCTACATCAATTTCTTCTTAAACTGGCTATCAATTAGGACATTGCTCGAACAACGAGATGCTTGGTTATGGATTATATGTTTTTTAATAGTATTATATTAATGTTAAATTTCCTAAGCTAATTACATTGTGGCTATATAGAATCAACTTCTTAGGTGATACATTCCTAACTGTGTAGAGAGGAAGCATCACAATGTGAAAAACTAATTCTCAAATGAATCCATAATAATTTTTTTGAGACAGGGTCTCTGTCATCCAGGCAGGAGTGCGGTGGCACAATCTCAGCTTTTGTGGCCTCGACTTCCTGGGCTCAAGCAATCCTCCCACCTCAGCCTCCTAAGTAGCTGGGACTACTAGAAGTGCATACCACCATGCCCAGCTTATTTTTATATTTTTTGTAGAGATGGCTTCTTGCCATGTTGCCCAGGCTGGTCTCCAACTCTTAGACCCGCCTTGGCCTCCCAAAGAGCTGGGATTACATGCATAAGCCACTATGCCTGGCCTAAAAATCTCCTAACCAAAACTGGGAATACACTATGTATCTTTCACTTATATTAAAAACATCTTTGCACTTCATTAGTCTTCTAAATCATGATTCTAAATCATAAGTGTTACAATAATAATGTTGGTTAATAACTAAGATGCTCCTGTGTTTTCTGTCTAAACAACCAGGTTTTCAGTTAATATGTGCCAGGACATTTTACATGTACTAACTAATTTAGTTTTAAAAACTCTATGAGGTAAGCACTAAAATCAACTTGATGCAGATGAAGAAACTGAGACACAACATAATGCCCCATTTTTACAGATGTGCCATAATTTATTCATCTGTTACGGGCAATTTACATGGTTTCTAAATATGAGCTACCATAGTGATGAACAATCATATACACATCTTTTAACTGTATATGCAACACCTGAAAGAGTTAAAAGGAACTCTAAGTTCTTTGACATGCCATGTTTAATAGATCCTAAGAGATTTATTTATTTAAATAAATCTCTAAAATCAGGTTATGTATTATAATACTGCTGTGTCATAGTTTACTTGGCATGATTTTTTCTTAGTGGCACATAAAATGAAGGTGCATCCTACAATCAGTAGGAGATTAGATTATATACCACAGTTAAATGGCTTCTCAGATAAGTCAGATCTATCTACTATAACACTCTCACTGCTTATAGCTACATTTCTGAAAAAATACAAAAGAGAGGCCATAGAAAGGAGCAGAAAAGTTTTAAAAAATAAACCGGATTCTACTGGTGTTATGCCCCCAAATACAAAACTTTAAACAAACTGTTCAATATTGATTGTGACTCTCCAGATTTTTAAATTCTGTTTTCCCAAGGATTGAGCATGGTGTCTCGAATTGAGTAGACGCTTTGTAAACATTTATCAAATCTAATTAAACCTTCATGTCCCTAATTCTTCATCTATAAAAATGGAAATGAAAACTAGGTCATTTGCCACAGGTGATAAATACATTAATAAATATTTATATTATTAATGGAAAACAATAGGCTATCATTACTTCATCTCCATGATGCTATAATTAGATAGCTGGAATAAAATTCTAAACACCTACATGAATTAAACATGAGTCTTTGCATTACATGCAATCTCAACCTTACAAGTTGCAAAAAATAACTCTATTAAATAAAGTTAATCCTCAGCCAATTCAGTTAGCCATAACATTCTATTTCATGGACATGCCAATTAATTGATGCACACTATATTACTGTTTGTCTTCAACATCTGAATTCAAGCTAAATTTCAAAAAGACTATTCACATCTACTTTCACTTTTTATCTTCTTTTAACAAGTTATTTATTTAAGCAAGCAGGTCTTCAAAATTTATTCTCCCAAATACTACTCAGTTAAATAATAGCTTCCTGGAACAGAACAGAGGATTGATAAGGCATATTCTGTATTAGCATTCTTTTGAGAACATGTGAAAACTTCACCATTTGTACTAAAACCAAAAAAAAAAAAAAACCAAAAAAAAAACTCTTCAAGTTGTAATACAGATTTATCTAACTTTCAAAGGGGATATGATTCTTACCTCTGATATCGTTTGGCTCTGTGTCCTCACCTAAATCTCATGTTGAACTGTAATCTGCAAGTGTTGGGGGGGGAACCTGATGGTGGGGTGACTGAATCATGGGGGCAGACTTCCCCCTTGCTGTTCTCCTGATAAGAGTTCTCACCAGATCTGGTTGTTTGAAAGTATGTAGCAGTTTCAAACTTTCCCTCTTCATTTTCTCTCTCCTGCTCCACCATGGTAAAGATGTGTTTATTTCCTCGTCGCCTTCTGACATGATTGTAAGTTTCCTGAGGCCTCCCAGCCATGCTTCCTGTACAGCCTGCAGAACTGTGGGTCAACTAAATCTCTTTTCTTCCTACTAAATTACTCATTCTCATTTATAGCAGTGTGAGAATGGACTAATACAGCCTCCAGTAAAGGCAGAAAGATGTATTTAAAAAAAAAAAAAATTCCAGGGACTTCGTAGTCAGACATAGTTCATCTTAAATTCCAGCTCTATCATTTATTAATAGGTGTCTCTTTATCTCTTCGTCTGCCCATTACTTTTCTTTTTTTTTTTTTTTTTTTTTTGAGACGGAGTCTTGCTCTGTTGCCCAGGCTGGAGTGCAGTGGCACCATCTCGGCTCACTACAAGCTCCGCCTCCCAGGTTGACGCCATTCTCCTGCCTCAGCCTTCCGAGTAGCTGGGACTACAGGCGCCCGCCACCATGCCCGACTAATTTTTTTTTGTATTTTTTAGTAGAGACAGGGTTTCACCATGTTAGCCAGGATGGTCTCGATCTCCTGACCTTGTGATCCGCCCACCTCGGCCTCCCCAAGTGCTGGGATTACAGGCTTGAGCCACCGCGCCCGACGTACTTTTCTTTAGGCAACTCTTTCCTGCTACATGTGATCTTGGTAAGACCTTGAACCACAGTATCCCAACATCCCTGGACCACAAGAGTGGGTGGGTGTGCTAGCGAGTTAAGGCCAACTGTATGAACAACTCGCACAGTCCTCAAATATTCTCAATTTCAATGGCTTTCATTCAGACTCTCCTTCAGTATGCCTAAAACCACATCTTGGTGTCAAAAACTACAAAGAGTCTAAGATCTTACTGTACTTGTAAAGTGACAAGTTAGTTCACCACAGTTTCATAGATGCTGGTAGAAGATGACACAAGACTCCTGCATTGGACACAGAGGACTTTAATACTCGTGGCAATAGCAAAAGCCAGACTGTTAGCATTTGCCTAAGTTCCCCATTCTGACAGGGTGACCTGGGGCAAGATGACATTTATACACACAGTGGACTGAATTACAGGAGAAATTTGAATGATAGTGCCTCTGTTTTCCAAGGCTGTTTGCTTGCTATATAAACAACATAAACAACCTTGAAAAGAACAAAGGCAGTCAGGGCTGCCACTCACAAGATGTGTATAAATGTGAGAACCATGGAGAACTGTCTTCCAACACCTGGAAGCTGCCATCACCCAACATATCCCAATGAAATATTAAACCACAATGATCTACTCTTTCTTCATAACCTTGCAGTTAATTCACACTCTTACTATACTTATTCTTGAACCTTACTGAGCCCTCTAGGCCCATGCTCCAATATCTCCTGTAACTCTATGTTCCAGCCCTTCCCTAGTTCCACTACATCTATTATCCCACCTCAATCTCATGATCCATTATTTTAAACACTTTTGAAAATAACGCACTTGGCCTCCTTATTTGTATACCCAATCTGCCTAGCAATATCTCTGATAGGGTTCAACCCACATCTAGTTTCTTTGCTCTACTACCCAGGTGACCTAGTTATTCACCTACATGCTTCTCTTCTTTCTTCCCCACCAAAACAGAAGAAGACATAGTATCATTTTTCCTGCCTCCTCCCTTTTGTCTTCAAATCTGAGATTCTTTTTTAATTTTTTGTTTTAAGAGATGAGGTCTCATTCTGTTGTCAAGGCTAGAATGCAATGGCATGATCATAGCTCACTGCAGCCTTTAACTCCTGATCTCAAGAGATACTCCCACATCAGCGCTCCAGCAGCTGGGACTATACACGCAAGCCCAGCAAATCTGAGATTCTTAAGAGTTAAGTACTCTCACTACCTGTACTTCCTCACACCCACTTTATCTACCAATAAATATATTGAAACTCTACATTGAAACTCCTCTTCAATGACTTCCTTGGTGCTAAATCCAAAGAACATAACATTTATCCTTCTACTACTCAACCTACTCTTTTATTTCCTCTGTAGACTCCACCCTTCCCCACTATTGACAATGATACAATTAGAAAATTACCTTTTGTCAACTATTATTTATTTCAGGCTAGACTCATCAGTGAATGCTAAAACTTGTGGGTGAAAATTTAATAAGAAACAGGATATGTGCCTAAATCTCAAGGTGTGGTAGAAAGCCTCCATGCCCCCAATGATCTTTGTACCTGTGCAGTGCCTACCCGTACTGAACAGGCTTACCTATGCATCCAATAGAGAGTAAAAATAACAATATGCCATCAAAGTGGTTAAAATGGCAAATGTTATGTTATCTATTCTTACCTCAAAAAAACCTTAAAAACAAATAAAACAAATAAAAAGACAAATAAATTAAAAAAATAAATAAGACATTTAGTCAGAAAAAGAAAATGATACCGTGTGACTTCCGAGGCCAGGCTATAAAAAACATGGCAGCTTTTGGGTTGCTCTTAGAGCAGTCCGTATGGGAAAAGCTAGGTGCCATGTCACATGGCACTCAAAAGGCCCTAAGAAAAAATTCATGCAGCAAAAAAAAAAAGGCAGCCACCAAACTGTCAACCATGTGAGTAAGTCATCTTAGAGAATATCCTCCAGCGGCTGGGTGTGGCAGCTCCTGTAATCCCAGCACTTTGGGAGGCCAAGGTGGGCAATCACCTGAGGTCACAAGTTCAAGACCAGCCTGGCCAACATGGTGAAACCCCGTCTCCACTAAAAATACAAAACTTAGCCGGGCATGGTGGCACACACCTGTAGTCCCAGCTAATGCGGAGGCTGAGGCAATCGCTTGAACTTGTGAACTTGGGAGCAGAGGTTACAGTGAGCCAAGATCATGTCACCGCACTCCAGCCTGGGAGACAGAGCGAGACTCTGTGTCAAAAAAAAAAAAAAAAAAAAAAAAGGCAGGGCACAGTGGTTCATGCCTGTAATCCCAGCACTTTGGGAGGCCAAGGCAGGCAGATCACCTGAGGTCAGGAGTTGAAACCAGCCTGACCGACATGGCAAAACCCCATCTCTACTAAAAATACAAAAATTAGCTGGGCGTCGTGGCAAAAGCCCGTAATCCCAGCTACTCGGGAGGCTGAGGCGGGAGAACTGCTTGAACCTGGGAGGTGGAGATTGTAGTGAGTCTGAGCCAAGATTGCACACCTGTACTCCAGCCTGGGTGACAGAGCTAGACTCCGTCTCAAAAAAAAAAAAAAAAAAAAAAGAGAGAGCATCCTTCAGCTTTAGTCTGGCCTTTAAATGACTATAATCAAAGACAACATGAAGGCAATCTGATAATAGACACTAAATCCAAATTCCTGACCCACTGAAGCTGTGAGACTATAAATGTTTATTGCAGTTTTAAGCCAATATATTTCAGGGTAAATTGCTATACTACAATAGTTAACTAACACAGATTTACAGATTACTCCTGGTTATCTGTTACCAGGAGACGGATGTTCCCATACAATAAAACCTGAAAATGCAGGCGCTGCTTGGAATCAGGTAGTAGGCAGAAGCTGACAGGACTTGCAGGAGAATATCAGCAAAAGCTTGATGAGCAATGAAGAGATTGTCACTAGAAACCTCATGGCCCTTAGCAGGCTGCTACTAAAGGCTTAAACCAAAGTGAGAAAAAGGTAACTGAAAATTGGAAGAAGCTGAATACTTCATAATTAGTAACTGAAAGTTTAGGCACAACCTTGCCTGTGGTAACATGAAAAATAGAAAATGTATTTAATGAGTTGCATAATTTAACAAGGAGATTTCTAGGTATTCGGTGGAAGATGCAGTCTAATTATTTCTTACTGTTTATAGTAAAAAGCAGGAGTACAGAAATAAGTTAATGAAAAGACTGTTGACCAAAAAAAAAGAGCCAAGACTTGCTGGTTTTAAAAATTTCCAGTCTCTGCAGATAGCAAACAATGCTCAAATCAAAGAATGGCTCCCAGAGAAAGATAAAATCTAGGCCACTGTTAGAAAACAGCTGTATGAAGATTTAAAAAAGAGTATGGCTACAAACCCCTTTTTTAAGACCTAAGAAAGACAGAAGGCAATACCTCAGATAACCTGAAATAGGACTTTAAGAGATGTCAAGGTCACAAAAGACAATGAATAAGGACATATTCCAAACTGGGAAATACTGAATAGACATGACAGCTAAATGCAACTTGTGATCTTGGATTGGATCCTGGACATGGAAGAGAAAAATGTTTCCCCCTTTGGTGTAGATGACATCAGTGGCTGCAATTTGAATATGATCTGTAGATTAGATAATAATCTGTAACAATATTAATTTATTGATTTTGATCACTGTACTGTAATTGTTTAGGAAATTCCCCTTTTAATTAAAACTATACACTTTAGTACTTGGGCTAAAGAGGCATTGTTATTTGTAATTTACCCTGCAATGGTTCAGAAAGATTCTACAGAGAGTAGAGGAGAAAGAGAGTGAGAGAGATAGCAAAGGAGGGTAGAGCGAAGGACATGGTAACATTAATATGGTAAAATGTTAACATTTTTGGAATGAGTGAGTAGTACAGCATTATTATTTGTAGTATTTTTGCAACTTTAAGTTTGAAACTATTGAAAAAACCAAAAGTTTAAAAAAAAAAATTAATCCTACTGGCTGCCTGGCTCAATGCCCAAGGACGAAGTCTAAAACTCTAACTGCTTATAAATTCTTCATAAACTAGCCTCTTCTTAGCTAGTCTCATGTTACCATACTCTTCAGTCTCACCCAACACACCCTCACATTCTAAACTGATGTTCCTGAAAAGACCTGTCCTCTCTTAACTCTTCACATATACAGATGCTGAAAGGTTCAACTTGAGCACAAAATTCCAAAAGGAAAGTACACAAAAAGGGCAGGTACCAGGTAACTCTCAATGCTAGAAAACTTTTACAAAGACAAAGAGAAGTCATTCCAATGATATGACTGAGAGTTTTATTCCTTTGAGGGCCACAGAAGAAAGTAGTCTAGCTCTCTTCAAAGAGGTGAGTAATCCTATTCTATGGTTTAAGTGTGGTGTGTTCCTGCCAAAACTCATGTTGAAATTTGCCAATGTGACACTATTGAGAGCTGATGGGGCCATTAAAAGGCGTTTGGGTTACGGGACTACTACCCTCATGAATGTATTAATGCAGCTTTCATGAGGCTGGGTTGATTCTTGCAGGAATAGATTAGAAGGCTGCCTCTCATGTTTGGTCTCCCGTTCTGCACACGTACCTGCTTCCCCTTCAGCTTCTTTGCCATGTAAACATAAGAATCATAGACTTGGGGGGTGGCACGCGTGCGAGATTTCTAGTCATTTTCAAAATGCCTTGCACTGGTTCTCACGGGCCCAGCCACCAGCCCCTGCTCTGCCCTGGATTGATAGCTTGTATCGATCTTGATGAAAGAGCAATTGATGCTCTCAGGGAATTTAATAAAGAAGGAGCTCTGTCTGTACTACAGCAGTTCAAGGAAAGTGACTTATCACATGTTCAGAACAAAAGTGCATTTTTATGTGGAGTTATGAAGACCTACAGGCAGAGAGAGAAACAGGGGAGCTAGGTGCAAGAGTCCACAAAGGGACCTGATGAAGTGAAGATCAAGGCCTTGCTTGAGAGAAATGATTATACTCTGAATGTAACCACAGGACAGAGGAAGTATGGTGGGCCTCCACCAAACAGTGTGTACTCTGGTGTGCAACCTAGAATTGGAACAGAGGTGTTTGTAGGTAAAATACCAAGAGATGTATATGAGGATGAGTTGGTGCCCCTTTTTGAGAAGGCCAGTCCCATTTGGGATCTACGTCTTATCATAGATCCACTGTCTGGTCAGAATAGAGGGTAGGCATTTACCACTTTCTGTGGAAAGGAAGCTGCACAGGAAGCTGTGAAACTGTGACAGCTATGAAATTCGCCCTGGTAAACAACATGGAGTGCGCATTTCTGTGGCAAACAACAGACTTTTGTTGGATCCATTCTGAAGAATAAGACTAAAGAAAACACTCTGGAAGAATTCAGTAAAGTCACAGAGGGTTTGGTGGACGTCATTCTCTATGATCAACCTGATGACAAAAAGAAGAAATGGGGGTTCTGCTTCCTTAAATGTGAGGATCACAAGTCAGCAGTACAAGCCAGATGCTGGAAAAGTAAAAGTATGGGGAAATGTAGTTACAGTTGAATGGGCTGACCCTGTGAAGAACCATATCCAGAAGTCATGGCTAAGGTAAAAGTATTCTTTGTGAGAAACTTGGGCACAGACGAAATATTGGAAAAGTCATTTTCTGAATTTGGAGAACTCCAAAGAGTAAATAAGTTGAAAGATTATGCATTTGTTCATTCTGAAGACAGACGAGCAGCTGTTATGGCTATGGATGAAATGAATGGCAAAGAAACAGAAGGGGAAGAACTTGAAATAGTCTTAGCCAAGGCACCAGACAAGAAAAGGAAAGAGCGCCAAGCTGCTAGACAGGCCTCCAGAAGCACTGCATATGAAGATTATCACTACACCCTCCTCCTCGCATGCCGCTTCCGATTAGAGGTTGGGGGAGAGGTGGATATGGCTAACCTCCAGATTACTATGGCATGAAGATTACTACAGTTATGATTACCACATCTATCAAGGAGGTTACGAAGATTCCCTACTATGGCTATGATGGTGGCTATGCAGTAAGAGGAAGAGGAGGAAGGGGAGGGCAGGGTGCTTCACCACCACCAAGGGGGAGGGGAGCACCACCTCCAAGAGGTAGAGCTGGCTATTCACAAAAGGGGGCACCTTTGGGACCACCACGAGGCTGTAGGGGTGGCAGAGGGGGTCCTGCACAACAGCAGAGAGGCCGTGGCCGTGGTTCCCGTGGATCTCAGGGCAATCAGGGGACAATGTAGGACGCAAGAGAAGGCAGATGCTTACAACCAACCTGATTCCAAGCATCGTCAGACCAACAAACAACAGAACTGGGTCTCTCAACCCATCGCTCAGCAGCCGCTTCAGCAAGGTGGTGACTATTCTGGTAACTATGGTTACAATAATGACAACCAGGAATTTTATCAGGATACTTATGGGCAACAGTGGAAGCAGACAAGTAAGGGCTTGAAAATGATAATGGCAAGATACGACTGGCTCTAGATCTACATTCTTCAAAAAAAATTTTGTTTAACTGTTTCATCTTTAAGTAGCAATTTGCTGCCATTTGTATTGGGCTGAAGAAATCACTATTGTGTATATACTCAGGCCTTTTTATTTTTCCTCTTTTCATAAATGCTCTTGGACATTATTGGGCTTACAGAGTTCCCTTATTCTGGGAGTTATGTTTTTATCATTTCGGGCTTCATTTTAGCTTCAAAACAAGCTGAACACACTGTTAAGTCATGATTTTGCAGAACCTGTGGTTTTGAAGAATTTCATTTTTTTGGATCTAGGATAGATTACATAGGAGTATGGAGTATGCTGTAAATAAAAATACAAGCTAGTGCTATGTCTTAGTAGTTTTAAGAAATTAAAGCAAACACATTTAAGTTTTCTTATACTGAAAATAACCTATGATCGTATGTTTTGCATTTTTAGAAGTAGGTTAACTGTGTTTTTAAATTGTTATAACTTCACACCATTTTGAAATCTGCCCTACAAAATTTGTTTGGCTTAAACGTCAAAAGCCATGACAATTTGTTCTTTGATGTGATTGTATTTCCAATTTCCTGTTCATGTAAGATTTCAATAAAACTAAAAAAATCTATTAAAAAAAAAGAACCATAGATTAAAAGTCAACATAACTCCATTTTCTTCTAACCACTATCAGTTACTGCAAATCACTGACCTTCGAACAAGTCATTTAAACTCTCTGTGAAAACACAGCTTCACAATTCTTAGAGGGCTTTTTAAAAGTTTTCAGATTGAGTGGGATAGAAGTGAGGTTGGTGCTTTTAAAACTTTCTAACAAGTATAAAAAGAGTTAGAAAAAAACAAATAGAGTCCTTTGACAGCAATGACTTCCTTATTAAAGATTATTCCTAGTGATTTTGACTAGTCAAATCAACTGTTCATTCTATGTATCACTTGTGTTACTGAAGGAAAATAAAACTCTATTTTACAGTTGTGACATATATAATAAGTGTGTGTGTCTTTGTGTGTATATTTGATCTCTGCCCCCAGTTTCTGGCACAGAACTTCTAAAAATCCTTTGATGTCCTGAGTGATGGGGTGATAAGAGCATTTTTTGTTATAATATTTGGTCTTATTCTCAGATTCCTGGCACAGAGCTTGTAAAACTCTTTGAATTCCCCTAGTGCTCATAATAAGCCCCTTTCAACCATACTTGAGTTTACACTAATAAGGTAAATCTTGGAGGATAGACGCTGATCACCAGAGGAACCAACCATGTGATCAGAGATTTGGAACCTTAAGTCCTACCCCGGTACCTCTGTTGAGGGGTGAAGGGCTGGAGGTTGAATTCAATCACCAATGACCAACGATTTAATAAATTGTGCCTACATAATGGGAAACCTCCAGAAAAAATCTTAACAATGAAGTTCTAAGAGCTTCCTGATCAGTGAACACAACCGATGCTGTGTGGGTGGAGCACCTGGAGAGGGCATGGAAGCTCTACCTACCTCCCCATAACTTGTCCTATGTGTCTCTTCCATCCAGCTGTTCCTGAGCTGTATCCTTCACAATACATAAGTAATAAAAAATAGTGTTCTGGAGTTCTGTGAGCTATTCTAGCAAATTACCTAATCTAAGGAGAAGGTTGTGTGGAACCCCCAATTTATAACCAGTTGGTGAAAAGTACAGGTGACAATCTGGGACTTGCAACTGGCCTCTGAAGTGGGGGCAGTCTCGTGGGACCCAGTATCTATGGGATCTGCACTAACTCTGGGTAATATCAGAACTGAATTGTAGGATACCCACTTGGTGTCCACAGAGAATTGGGTGATTAATTGGCGTAGAAAATAACCCACACGTTTGTTGCCAAAAGTGAACTTATAGAACAGCAGCATGCTTTCCTTTTACTAATCAACATTAACTAACATTAACAGGCATAACAAATATTAGAAGGCATTCTACAAAAATAATAATTCACAATTTGAACTCTTAGTGACTGAATTTAATCCTGATAGGCACAGCTTTAATTGATTTTAAATATATGCTCTGGTTCCTTTTAAAATATATACCAAATTTTCAATTTTTGCAGAAACATCCTTTAATCAGCCTGGGTGGTGGCTAACGCCTGTAATCCCAGCACTTTGGGAGGCCAAGGCAGAATTGCTTCTACGCAGGTGTTAGAGACCAGCCTAGGCAACATAGGGAGACCTCGTCTCTACAAATTTAAAAAAAAAAAAAAAAAAATTGGCCGGCATAGTGGCATACGCTGGTAGTCCCAGCTACTCAGGAGGCTGAGGGAGGAGGATCCCTTGAGCCACGGAGATCAAGGCTGCAGTGAGCTATGGTGGTGCCACTGCACCCCAGCCTGCGTAACAGAGCGATACTTCATCTCAAAAAAAAAAAAAAAAAAAAAAGGAAAAACAAAAGAAACAAGAAAAAACAAACTATCCCTTATTCGAAGCCATATTTCACCATTAACTTTTCTTCTCTCCTTGCTCGCACTACAGTTAGTACCTAACCAGTGCTAATACAGCTTGAATCACACAGAGCTTCTCTGAAAAGCAAAGGCTATATATTTTTAAATTTTTCCTAAAACCATATGAAGTTGTAAATTAAGTTATTTCATTTTTAAATAATTTGGATACCACAGTATTTAATATTAAATATAAAATAACAATATCACTTATTTATACTTCGATAAATAGTATTTTTAAATACACAAAGAGAAACAGATGCCAGGATCAATGCGGTGGACCAGGCCTGAGTCACGACAGAAGAGGGACCCACATTCATGGGAAATGAAACTGGTCTTCTCTTTCACCCCACGGGCCCCTCGTCTCTCCTTTACGCCCATGGGCAGTGCATGGGAGGCAGGGGTGTGGAATCCCAGTAGACCTCCCTGCCCCTGCCATCTCCCTCGTGGCGCCAGTGGGATTGGGGGCGGGGGCGGGGTGGGGGGGGCGGAGGTCGGTTCAACACAACAGGCACACCTCGCTCACCTACTTTTAAAAAATTAAATTCTTGGCTGGGCGCGGTAGCTCACGCCTGTAATCCCAGCACTTTGGGAGGCCGAGAGGGGCGGATCATGAGGTCAGGAGATCCAGACCATCCTGGCTAACACGGTGAAACCCCGTCTCTACTAAAAATACAAAAAAATTAGCCGGGCGTGTTGGCGGGCGCCTATAATCCTAGCTACTCGGGAGGCTGAGGCAGGAAAATGGCGTGAACCTGGAAGGCGGAGCTTGCAGTAAGCCCAGATCGCGCCACTGCACTCCAGCCTAGGCAACAGAGCGAGACTCCGTCTCAAAAAAAAAAAAGGGGAGCGGGGGGCGGATCACGAGGTCAGGAGATCGAGACCATCCTGGCTAACACAGTGAAACCCCATCTCTACTAAAAAAAAAAAAAAAATACAAAAAATTAGCCGGGCGTGGTGGCGGGCGCCTGCAGTCCCAACTACTCGGAAGGCTGAGACAGGAGAATGGCGTGAACCCGGAGGCGGAGCTTGCAGTAAACCGAGATTGCGCCACTGCACTCCAGCCTAGGCAACAGAGCAAGACTCCGTCTCAGGAAAAAAAAAAAATTCTTGGCAGGGTATGGTGGCTCACGCCTGAAATCCCAGCACTTTAGGAGGCCAAGGCGGGTGGATCACCTGAGGTCAGGAGTTCGAGACCAGCCTGGCCAAAGCTAGTCCCTACTAAAAATACAGAAAATTAGCCAGGCGTGGTGGCAGGTGCCTGTAATCCCAGCTATTCGGGAGGGTGAGGCAGAAGAATCGCTTGAACCTGGGAGACGGAGGTTGCAGGGAGCCAAGATCGAGCCACTGCACTCCAGCCTGGGCGACAACAGCAAGACTCCGCCTCAGTAAACAAACGAACAAACAATTTTAAAATTGTAAATTTAAAAAAAAAGAAAAATATGTGCCAGAATGAAGGCAGATAAAAGAATTCAGAAAGAAAGTGGTTCAATGTATATCTTATGAACAGTATCACCAAAATTTAGCTCATAATATACAATACAGATGCTCCTCACCTTACAATAACCCCATCATAAGCTGAAAATATCCTGTTAAAAATGTGCTTTCAACTTACAATATTTTCAACTTACGAAAAGTTTATCCTGACATAACTCCATGGTAAATCTAGAAGCACAATAAATGCATAGTTTTCATACCAGTGTACAGTCTAAAAATCGTAATTCAAACCATTTCAAATTGGGAACTGTCTGTTTTAAAAATACTAATGTCTGACTTGATTATGAGCGTTACCTTTCAATGCAACACTAAAAACATGCTAGGCATATTTTCAAGACAACTCTACTGAACATAAAAATTTTAAAAGAGGGGCCAGGCATGATGGCTCACGCCTGTAATCCCAGCACTTTGGGAGGCCGAGGCAGGTGGATCACGAGGTCAGGAGTTCGAGACCAGCCTGACCAACATGGTGAAACCCCGTCTCTACTAAAAATACAAAAATTAGCTGGGCGTGGTGGTGTGCACCTGTAATCCCAGCTACTCAAGAGGCTGAGGCAGGAGAATCGCTTGAACCCGGGAGGCAGAGGTTGCAGTGAGCTGAGACTGCGCCACTGCACTCCAGCCTGGGCGACACTCCAGCCTAAGCGACAAAAAAAAAAAAAAGAAAAGAAAAAGAAAAAAAAACTTAAAAGAGGTAAGGAGGGAAGGAGAAAAAGATAGTCTATAACACTCAATCTTTTAACTATAGTATCACTTATAATCATCCCATATTTTTAAAGTCCTTTCCCAAATATTCCCAAGCCAAGCAAGCATGTCTAATAATAAACTTACAGTATGTTTCCTTCATTTAGTGTGCTTACTTTGTAGATGACCAGTAAATCTCAGTTATTAAAAACAAAATGTAAAAACAGATTCAAGCTTGACAGCAAAAACTCAAGTTATATTAAACTTATATATGCGAAAAGTAAAATCCAAATAGTATTTACATACTTCTAAATATTAAAGCTAAACAAGTTTGACTAAACGTGTTTTTTAATCTAGCATCCACTCAACCACCACAAAAAATTCTTAAAATACAAAATTTCATTCATTCCCAGAGCAATAAAAGATCTATACGTGTAGTCATCAGCACTATATTCATTCAACACCATAACATATTTAATAACTGTCCTTCAAATAACATGATAGGGCATATCTTAAAATAAATACGATCATATAGTAAGCGCTTTTTATACAAGATAATATGCATGAAATGGCAGAACAGAAGACCATTAATAGTGAGGCTTCCCTCTTCACAATTTATAATGAGCCCTGCCTAAGAATCCTTAGTTGATGACTTAAAAAGCTTAAATAAACTTTCATGGTGCTTATTACTAAAACTGCTAATTAAACTAACTCTGCTATTTTTTATCAGCAATCTAATCAACAATAAACAAGACAGGCTCCTACTACCGTCACTTTATAACAAAACCACCTCAAAAAGAAATCAAGATATACATGTTTACTTGCTGCCTGAGATCTAAAAAAAGTGTGTGTGTGTGTGTGTGTGTGTGTGTGTGTGTGTGTGTATGTCACCAGGCACGGTGGCTCACGCCTGTAATCACAGCACTTTGGGAGGCCGAATCGCATGAGACCAGGAGTTGGAGACCAGCCTGGACAACATAGTGAAACCCTGTCTCTACTAAAAATACAAATAAATTAGACAGGCATGGTGGCATGTGCCTGTAATCCTAGCTACTAGGTAGGCTGAGGCACGACAATCACTTGAACCCGGGAAGCAGAGGTTGCAATAACACGAGATCACGCCACTGCACTCTAGCCTGGGCGACAGAGTTACTAGGGAGGCTGAGACACGAGAATCGTTTGAACCCAGCAGGCAGAGGTTGCGGTAGACTGAGATCACACCACTGCACTCCAGCCTGGGCAACAGAGTGGGACTCTGTCTCTAAATAAATAAATAAATGCCAAACAACAGCCCTAAGTTATAATTATTTCACTCATGATAGAGAATTTACTCTCAAAACTACTTAAGTTTCTACAATGTTTACCTTGAAAAAGCACTAACTCAAACCAAAAATTTTTTTTTTCTTTTGAGACAAGAGTATCGCTCCGTCGCCCAGGCTGGAGTGCAGTGGCATGATCTCGGCTCACTGCAATCTCTGCCTCCTGGGTTCAAGCGTGATTCTCCTGCCTTAACCTCCTGAGTAGCTGGGATTACAAACAACCACCACCAGGCCCGAATAATTTTTTTTTTTCGTATTTTTAGTAGAGACACAGTTTCACCATGTTGGCCAGGCTGGTCTCAAACTCCTCCACCTCCCTCAGCCTCCCAAAGTGCTGGGCTTACAAGCTTGAGCCACCACGCCCAGCCCAAAATGTTTTTAAACAATTATTTGTTGGCATTTACCAAATCATATTTACAAATGTGAAAATGATAAGAGATCTAAATTTTAAATACAGTCTGCAGAAACATTTCCAAAACTAGCATATACCAACTTTGTAAGAAAAATATTCTTTTCCATTTGACAATGTCCTTTTTATCTTCACTTCCTTAAACACAATTCATAATAGATTCATTTTTAAGAGACAGGGGTCTCACTCTGTCTCCCAAGCTGGTGTGCACTGGCACAATCCCAGCACACTACAGCCTCCACTCAAACGATCCTCTCGCCTCAGCCTCCTGGGTAGTTGGGACTACAGGCGCCCACCACCATGCTCAGCTAATGGCAATATGTTCTTAAAGAACATATTAAAGAACAAATTAAGTACAAATGATTTTCCAGTATTATTTTTTAGTTTATTAAAAAGTATTTCCTATAAAGCAAGTAAAAATGTAAGCGGGAAAAACAGGCAAGTCAGAAAAAGACAGATTAGTATTTAGGCAAGCTTTTAGTGTTTTAATTAAAAGACAAAATATTCTCAAACAAAAGACATGACATGTAGCCACTAGAAAAAATTAATAAACCAGTAGCACCACTGAAAAAGAAAAAATAGCCAAGAATATATAGAACTTCAAAATTGTTCTATTATAAAGGAAAAAAGCTGATAATTACTTACAGGCGAAGAAATCAGTTAATAATATATAGCAACGAACTATTATTGCTGAAGTCACCTAAAGATTTCGCAAGATGACCACAGTAACACATGCAAGAAATTTCCCTCATGCTTTCAGTAAAGTTGTAATCTAAATGTTCAGTTGCAATGGGTAAAACCATATTCACAAATATGGCATTAAACCTATCATTTCATTAAATACTCTTTATTAGCCAAAATGTTTCTATATTTCAATGTCTCCATTTAACTATCAAGAATGTAATTTTATCTAAAAAGGCAAAAAAAAATTCTATTAAGTAGATGTGCTACAAATTTAGCAACAACAAATCCACTTACTTTTTTCTCTTTCTCATGATGTTTATCCTGAGAGTGAGAGGAAGAATCACTTAAACTTTGATCATATGACCTATTAGATCCCCGTTTGCTCTTTTTCTAAAAAAGAAAATATATATACATATATGTATATGTATATAAAACTTTTTAAACAAATCTTTTTGTTAGGCTTAAACCAATTCAACTATAAAGTATTTTTAATGTCTACTGAAATTTTTAAGTCTATTTCAATCTATATAATCCAGTTTAGACACCATTCATATATCATCCATTGCATTATAAAAGAAAATCTAAACATTAATGCCATATTTTTGTAAATTAATTAAAATGTGTGAAAACAGATCATCTATTTTCAAATAAGCTACTATATATTTTCAACATCAGCTTAAAAATAAAAAGTTTCAATACAAAGAGAAAATGCCGTATTAAAAAAGGGTGCCAAGACTAGAAGAATAGAAAGGTAAATATTTGAAGTGTTACTTTATGCCACTAGGAAAAGCAAAAAGACTTTTAATCTTATACCATCAGTATTAAGGTATACAGTTTTCTAAAAATTTATCTCTGCAGTTCAATAAATAATTCCTGCACATTTTATTTGATAGAGCAAATAAAGAAAAAAATTAAAAAATTAAAGGAAATGTCAGTATTAGACTCATGCACTTTTCAAAGCATTACTAAAAAGCATCACACATTTCTGTTTAAAACACTTGTACCATTGCATAATTAAGTATGAAGGTGAGAGTTATTTGAGGTGTTTAAAAGTTGGTACCACATCGAATTGGTGTAAACTAGATAAAAATGACTATAAAGAAGTTCAAATTCCATGCAAATGTAAAGATTATACAATCTTATTAAATTATTAAACAGATATTTTTCCCAACTATCAAATGGGATAACATCATGTCTATAATTAGCAATAAGAAAATTCTATTTGCACAAACTTCAAAATCCATTTTTTTATTTATATCATCTCTCATTTAGAAAATGAGTATTTCAATATGCTTATTACACCTAGGAAGAAAAATTTTCAATTTTATAATCTCAAAATTTTTGTTAAGTCATTAAAATAAAGCATTCAGCATCAAAGGATACACAGATACACACTCTTAAGTAATTCGTATACAAGAACCAAAATATTAGAGGCCTAAACTGCTCATTTCATAAAACAGGGGCCCCTTGTAGTATTTATTTTCAAAAGAAATAGCCCCATTCACAAGGGAAATATAATAATTTAAAAATTAGAAACCAAAAGAAAAATAAAGAAGCCTTAAACCTTCAGTGTATTAATATCTACCATTAAAAAGAATGAGAAGTAGATACTCGGGACTTCAGGCATACTGACCCTTCAAAGGAACATGGATACAAATATGTAACACCCAATCAAATGTTACTAACTCAATCACCATGATCCTGTGTGACAGCAAATAGTGACCAAATCTAAAGAATTCCCAAAGTTGTATTTAAATATATTTTTCTGAAGGTTTTTAAGCAAGTTACAAAACAGCCTTACTTCAGTTTTACTATTTCCCAGTAAATAAAAATGAAAATAAATAAATGGGTAATAGTAATTAAGCAGAAAATGAGAAACAAAGTGATAATCACAAAATGTAAAATTGGCACCAAAAATCCAATTAACTAAAGACCTTAAAAATATAAAGTTTCCTACAGATTAATTTTTTCACTAAATGTATACCAACATTCACTATCAATATTTATATATTTTCTTTTTTTTTTTCTTTTTTTTTTTTTTTTTGAGACGGAGTCTCACTCTTGTTTCCCAGGCTGGAGTGTAATGGCAGGATCTCGGCTCACTGCAACCTCCACCTCCTGGGTTCAAGCAATTCTCCTGCCTCAGCGTCCCAAGCAGCTGGGATTACAGGCATGCACCAGCACACCCCGCTAATTTTGTATTTTTAATAGAGACGAGGTTTCCCCATGCTGGTCAGGCTGGTCTCCAATTCCCAACCTCAGGTGATCCACCCGCCTCGGCCTCCCAAAGTGCTGGGATTACAGGTGTGAGCCACAACACCCGGCCTAATATTAATATATATTCTAAATGAGAGTACTTTAGAATATTCACCTTTACAAATACACCGAAGCAAGCAAAATCTTTTAAAATTACTATTAACAGATCTATTTACTTCCAATAAAGAACATGCTAAACACAATCTCCAGCCAAAAACTCAAGGAAAAAGGAACTGTTATATGCTTTTTTTAATAAAACAGTGTCATTCTATTGTCAAAACTAATCATAATCATTTCATTAAATCCAAGAGAAATTCTTACCAGCTTACTAAAATGGTATTTACAGTAGCCACAGTATTGGACATTATCGGCACCATTACCTTCTTCTTCACAAAGCAGTCCGGCAAACTGAGCGCTGAAAATAAAAGCCAAGTATATTTATTGATATACTAAAATCACAGTACCTGTATATATAAGCAAATAAAATTTACTTCCAATCATTCATGCTCTGAGAAAATAACATCTCCTAAGAAAAAAATGAGAAAATAAAAAGCTTTATTCTAGCTGTGACCAAGTGTATTTCACCCCAACCTGCAACTGATCTTTTTTTAAAGTTATGTTTATGGCTTAAAACAAACTCTTCACACATCTCATATTAGGATGAAGATGTACACATGTTTTATGTCTCCAAATAGATATTAAGTTTAAGATACATTCTCTTCCCCCTCAATCCCACCCCATCAGTTAACACTTCATTTTACTTTTTCAATCTGTCACAGGTACAAATGGAAAGGCCATGCCTCTAAAGGGCCGAAGTGATGGTATTTAGCCCATGGATGCAGATTACATAACCTTACAAGGAAAACATGCATTCACTCAAGACTAAATTTGCAACTCTAAGTGCTTTAAGTCACAGCACAATAAGCGAGATAAACATAAATTGTGCTTTTCAGTAAAAAGCAATGGAAGAAATGAAAATGAAACCTAATGTTACAATATTCTTTTTTTTTTTTTTTTTTTGAAAAAAAAAAACAGGGTTTCGTTCTGTCACCCAGGCTGGAGTGCAGTGGTGCAATGAAAGCTCACTGCAGCCTTAACCTCCTGGGCTCAGGCAATCCTCCCACCTCAGCCTCCCAAATAGCTGGGACTACAGGAGTACACCATCACACCTGGCTAATTTTGTTTTTATTTTTAGTAGAGATGAGGTGTCTTGCTATGTTGCCCAGACTGCTCTTTAACTCAAGCGATCCTCCCACCTTGGCCTCCTAAAGTGCTGGGATTACAGGCATAGCCACTGCACCCAGCTAATATTCGTTTTGTTTGTTTTTTGTTTTTTTTTTTAGATGGAGCCTCATTCTGTCACCCAGGCCAGAGTACAGTGGCATGATCTCAGCTCACTGCAACCTCGGCCTTCTGGGGCTCAAGCAATGCTCCCATCTCAGCCTCCCGAGTAGCTGGGATTACAGGCATGCTTCACCATGCCCGGCTAATTTCTTCATATTTGTAGTAGAGATGGGGTTTTACCACCTTGCCCAGGGTGGCTCTGAACTCCTGAGCTCAGGCAATCTGCCCACCTCTGTCTCTCAAAGTGCTGGGGATTACAGGCGTAAGCCACAGTGCCTAGCATATTCATTTTTAAAAACACAAAACGCTGAAGTTTCTAATCACCATCTTTTCAATTTGACCTTTCACACTTTTAACATTCCAAAATTATATTAGTATACAGATCTCATACCCCAAAAACTACTTTCATCTTTGAGAAATTTGGTACAGTCATTACGAGAATTTATAAAAGTCAAAAACCGTTTTCCATTTCACAATAGTAGTATAAAACAGATTTCATATAACTACACACTAAAAACTCAGGAAATGAGCATGTACTTACACTGGCAGTGAAGCATAGACTGATTCTTAAAATTAGTGCACAGATTATTCCCAAACTTTTTATTTGGAACTGTTACCTATTATGTAAAATATATTGTTGTAAATAATTTTTGCCCTTGAAATTTTGTTGCTGAAAGAATATCTTTTTTTTTTTTTTTTTTTTTTTTTTGAGACAGAGTCTTGGTTTGTCGCCAGGCTGGAGTTCAATGGCGCAATCTCGGTTCACTGCAAACTCCACCTCCCAGGTTTAAGCGATTCTCTTGCCTCAGCTTTCCAAGTAGCTAGGATTGCAGGCATGTGCCACCACACCTGGCTAATTTTTGTGTTTTTAGTAGAGACACGGTTTTGCCATGTTGGCCAGGCTGGTCTGGACCTCCTGACCTCAGGTGATCCACCCACCTCGGCCTCCCAAAGTGCTGGGATTACAGGTGTGGGCCACTGCACCCGGCATGAAAGAGTATCTTAAATAAGTTTTTGTGAAGTCGCCATTGTAATATTGAGAATGACAGTGGTTACACTACTTCTCACTTGAGACACAGAAGGTAAGGAAGTACTATCATTCACCGAATCCTTGTATTCAGACACTGCACTAAGCTTACCTAGATTAGCTCATTTAATCATAATAACAAATCGAAGGATAGGTAATCAATACCAAAATTTTAAACAAGACGAAACTGAAGCTTACAGAGAATAAAACATCAGAACCAGAGTCCACTTATTGCAAAATCACTCTGGTAAATACATTCAGTTATTAAAATTATCTTTATTACAAATAAGTAAATGTGAACATAGAAACTATACCAATAAAGTTTACCATAATTAATGTTTGAGTATCTAAGTCTTTAACTTATGATTGTTACACAAGGTATTTACCAAGTTCAGTTCTGTGCAACAATGGAAACATCCTTACCATGTTACATGGAAAGCCTGTCGACATCCATGTTTATTACATGTCATGCAAGCACCAGTGGCTGCTTTGCTTTCTCTTCCTTGTTCATCACAAATGTAGCAAGTCTTGGGGTTAAAAAAAAAAAAGACAAAAATCATACATGTTCTTAACATGAATCAGAATTTTACAATTATCTTCAGAAATGAAGATCAGGTATACTAAGTAACCTATCTTAACTCAAAATATGAATTCATTTTGGACAATAATCTAATTTTTGCATACAATACAAACAGAAAAATATAAACAAAGACATACAAATAGTCCTATTAAAAAAATTCACAAAGGCATTATCTTCATCAGTCTCACAAACTTTGCAAGACAGGAAGACTCTTCCCAGGCACTGAGGCTGGCGGGCCAGGACACAATCTACCACACCTCTTCTTCCCAACACCTTGTCATCAAGACTGATTCCTGTAACAAGGGTGTAAAAACAATGTTTATCTTTCCCCTCTGCAGGAAATAATCATATCTAAGAGGGTTTGAAACAGGGTATTGGGACCTAAGAGACAAATAACAGCCCTACACGAATTAGCAACGTTTAGGTCATTCATTTCCACTGTCTGTGAGGAATCCTATACGGGTAGGCTGTCATTCAGCCCCACCAAGCTGACATATGTGGGCTACAGAAGAAGATACTTTAGCTAAGTAGGTCAGAAATGCCCAAGAGATACAAAGCCAATGAACACCCCGAGAAACTTTGACTGACATCTTCCATTTTCCATGTGCAAGTAACTAATACGCAATATTAACTTTTCACAGCTCAAAATCATGGCTGGTCATGTGACAGAAGACTGAACTGCAAAAACAACAATCTGTAAGTATCGGTGTATAATGAATAAAATCAGCAGACTCCAAGTTGAGGATACAAAAAGTTATGTCTAACTACATATAATCAGGTGATACATGTTGAAAAAGAAACTAATTTCTAAATAGTAATAAAGCATAACCTAGCCCAACTTCAACACAACCAAATGGTTTCATTCACTTTGCACTGTGGTGCCAAATAACACCATGCAACAATATTTACAAGGACACAGAAAAAAAAAAAAACTAATTATCTAACTAGGTACATGATTTCAACTCCTCTATTGAAAACCTAGGATTCTCTGGGCGTGGTGGCTCACACCTGTAATCCCAGCACTTTGGGAGGCCGAGATGGGTGGATCACCTGAGGTCAGGAGTTCGAGACCAGCCTGGCCAACATGGTGAAACCCTGTCTGTACTAAAATTACAAAAAAAAAAAAAAAAAATAGCCGGGCATGGTGGCAGATGCCTGTAATCCCAGCTACTCAGGAGGCTGAGGCAGGAGAGTCGCTTGAACCAGGGAGGTGGAAGTTACAGTGAGCCAAGATCATGCCATTGCACTCCAGGCTGGGCAACAAGAGAGAAACTCCATCTCAAAAAAAGGAAAAAAAAAAAAAAAAAAAAGAGAAAAAAGAAAGAAAAACTAGGATTCAGACTCAACTGAATTACAAACATCATTTTATACCTCTAAAAAGTAAAATCCCAAATAACAACAAAACCTATCTAGACACACTGAATAAAAGTATTCCTAAGTACTAGTTACAATGGAAGAATTTAGCATGCATTTTTGCCTACAAATGATCAAAAAAATTTAAAAATAGAGCACATTGAAACAGTAACACTCTATATGGCAAAATTTGGGGAAAATATGCAAAAGAGGCCTCAAATACCTCAGTAACTTCCAAAGAGCTGACAGTGAATAGAAATCATTACTTAACCATCCCATAAAACTTAAAAATATGATAATTTTTATTTATAAAAAAAAAAAAAGAAGGGGGGTGAAACATCCAGAATGGGAGATCTCCTCCCCAGAGAAGTAACCATTTCACAGGTGAAAAACAGTCAAGTAGTCTCTGGAATTGTCCTACCGACATACAGAAAAAAATTTACCCAAGTAAATCTACTAAATCTCAATAATGACACTAAGAGTCTATAGCATTTAAGTCACAACTTGCTCCCAGCATCCCCACCCCAACAGCTCCCTATGACAGATGGTCCACTCTGGATGGTGTGGCCAAGAAGATGAGGGCTCCCTCCAACTCAGCTTCTAGTCTAGGACTATAGTTTTACCCTATGACGGCCAGGCTGCCAGTGTCTCTGATTCAACTCAGACCTGGTAGCTCCCATTCACAGATCCCCATCCTCACAAAAAGCCAAGAATGCTAGGGTCCTATCATCCCTGCCCCAGCTTTTAGTAGAGTGGAAAGTTCCATATTAATTATGAGAAACAAACTGGAAAAACAAGAAGCTATCATACCCTTCCCTTCTCTCAATACCCTCTTATAGAGCAAGAGTGTCTCTTCAGAAGAAGGCTACTCGTCCCATCCCCAGTTCCAGAGCAGTAGGGCAGAGGGTGTACACTTAAGGGGACTGTAAGAACCAAAGAATTCAGCAGCTCTGCCTGAGGACAGACTTTGTTTTTTAACAGGCTTAGAGTTCATGCTTAAGGTTTTTGTCAAAAATAATGGAGAATTCACAATCTGTGTATGTGCGTGTGTGTGTGTGTGAGAGAGAAAACATCACACTGTACTCTGCAAACATACACAATTATGATTTGTCAAACAAAAACAAGTAAGAAAAAAAAGAAAACTAATAAAGAGTACCTGAATTCTATTTTCCAGTGTACTCACTACAATTTAAGTAAAGTCAGAGGGAAAAAACAAAACAATGGACACTTGTTAGCAATTAGGACAAGAACGATAGTTACAAGGAGAAACAAGTACAACAACTGAACAGCCAGAAGATTAACAGAGTGAACTAGAGAAAGACAGCAAGAAGGGCCCTCCTGGGATCACACTTATCCCTGGGGTTCTAGAATGTTGTGCACATGAACTAGGCTGCACCCAATGGGGAGAAATTGTATCAGGATTTGTGACGAACCTAAAAGCATTCCCTAAGCCAAATACAAATGCATCAATCAATAAAGCTCAGGGGGCTACAGTACAACCTCTGATCAAAAACTGGCTGAAAAGTTAGTTACTCTGACCCGGGGCAATTCCTCAAAAGTCAAACTTCAAAGTAAAATCACATTCATACCTAACGGTCAAAAGACTGTGCATAAGCTCAATTGTACACCCTCTAAGAAATGATTGGAAAATAACCTCTGATATCCTTGGAAAATAGTGTCTAAACAACAAACACCTCCAAAAGGAAAGAGTGAAAATGTAACTGGCTAAGAGGTTAAGGACAATAAGTGGTTTATGTGGCCCCAAGGTGTGGCAATCCTAGGAGGTCAAGCTAAAAAAAATGGGGAACTGGTGGAGGGAAGGTGGGTCCTACATTTGTTAGAGCAGGGCCATCTGAGGTTGTATACTATTGGAAAAATAGACTTCAGAAAATCAGTCTGGCAAAGTGATTAAACAAATAAATGACCAAACAAACAACAGTAAGACACACAGGGAGAAGAAAGAATCATTATCCAGAGGGGCTATATTACCTAAAATAGGTATTCAACAAAAAAATTAAAAAATAAAGAACACACACAGGAAAAAGGAGCAGTAAGAAAAACTGTCTTTGAGAGTACCCAGATGTTGGACTTAGGAGACAAAGACCTCAAACAAATGGAAAATCTGGAGTTTGAATTTTATTTAAAAGACTCAAAAGCTGATTTAATTGGGAGAAGAAAAAAATTAGCAAACTTAAGAAGAGATCAATAGAGATTACATAACCTAACGGACGGTTTTTTCCTTAGATTATACAACCTAAAGAACAGCCTGAAAAAAATGTGGGACACCATTAAATTTACATATGTATCAATAACCAGAAGAAGAGAAAGGGAGATAGAAACTACATTTGAAAATCTAGTGCTGAAAACTTCCAAAATTTGATTTTAAAAAAATTATACATACAAAAATCTCAACAAACTCAAAATAAGATGAAAACAAAGAGATTCACATTAAAAATAATGAAAGTGGCTAGGAGTGGTAACTCACATCTGTAATCCCAACACTTTGAGAGGCTGAAGCAGGAGGACTGCTTGAGCCCAGGAGTTCAACACCAGCCTGGAAAACATAGCAAAACCTCACCTCTACTTTAAAAAAAAAAGAAAAAAATTATCCAGGCGTGATGGTGCAAGCCTGTAGTCCCAGCTACTCAGGAAGCTGAGGTGAGAGGATGGCTTGAGCCCAGGAGATCAATAACTGCACTGAGCCTTTATCGTGCCACTGCACTCCAGCATGGGCAACTGAGCAAGACCCTGTCTCAAAAAAAAAAAAGCCAAAAATAAAGAGAAAACACTTAAAACAGAACAAGAAAAATGACCTGCCACATGTAAGATAAATACAATAAAATTAACACCTGAGATCCAATCAGGAACTATGGAGGCCGGAAGGCAATGGAATAACATATTCAAAATACCAAAAAAAAAGAAGAAAAAAAAAAACACCTGTAAATCAAGAATCCTATAACTAGCAAAACTGTCTGTCAAAAATAAAGGCAAAATATAAACATTTTAAAATAAAAATTTAGAGATTTTCTTGCTCCAGATGTGACAAAAAAGAAATACTAAAGGAAATTATTTTAGCTAAAATCAAGTGACACCAAACAGCAATTGCAATCTACATGAAAAACAAACAGCTCTGATAAGGACCATGTAGGAAGTAAGACAGTGTGATTAGGTATTTCTTCTTCATTCTTCTCTTATCTATTTAATTTAAATAGCTGAATTAAACAATGTCTACAAATTGTATTGCCAAGACTGTAACATATACAAATGTGACAATAATACAATGAAACAGGATTAGGACAAAGCTATAATGAAGAATTAACACCTAGCCAGGGGTGGCTCACGCCTGTAATCCCAGCATTTTGGGAGGACAAGGTGGGCGGATCACCTGGGGTCAGGAGTTCCGAGACCAGCCTGACTAACATGGAGAAACCGTGTATCTACTAAAAATACAAAATTAGCTGAGCGTGGTGACGCATGCCTGTAATCCCAGCTACTCAGGAGGCTGAAGTGTGAGAATTGCTTGAACCCAGGAGGTGGAGGTTGTGGTGAGACGAGATCGTGCCATTCCACTCCAGCCTGGGCAACAAGAGCAAAACTCCATCTCAAAAAAAAAAAAAAAAAAAGCATAGAGTACATAAAACAATAAGTTTAACAACATATTGTTGAGTTTTTAACATTTATAATGTTTATTATAATAATAGCAAAATGTGGAAGAGGGCAATGGAGCTTTACAGGAGAAAACTGTTCTCTGCAAGTCTTTATCTTTTTGCTGGTAAAAAGTCCTGCCTCAGTGTTGATGGCTTCTGACTCACTGAGGTGGTGGTTGTGGCACTTTCACTACCTTTCAAGTAGAGACAAGGTCTTGCTATATTGCCCTGGGTGGTCTCAAACTCCTGGCTTCAAGCAATCCTACTGTCTCCAAAAGGGCTGGGATTAAAGGTGTGAACTACCACACCCAGCCATTTATAACAATAAAGTTGGCTATATCAATTGACTCTTCCTTTCATAAAACATTGCTCTGTAGTATGTGCTGCTGTTTGACAGCATTTTACCTACAGTAAAACTTTCTTCAAAATTGGGGCCTATTCTCTCAAACCTTGCTGCCACTTTATCAACTAAGCATAGGGCATATTCTACATCCTTTGTTGTCATTTCAACAATGTTTACACCATCTTCAGAGGAAATAGATTCTATCTCAAGAAAGCACTTTCTTTGTTCATCTATGAGAAGATATACATTCAAGTTTGACCATGAGATTGCAGCAATTCAGTCACATCTTCAGGCTCCACTTCTAATTTTAGCTCTCTTGCTATTGGCCACCACATCTGCAACCTCCATCAAAGTCTTGAATCTCTCAGTCATCCATGCAGGACAGAATCAACTTCTTTCAAACTCCGGTTCATGTTGATATTTTGACCTCCTCCCACAAAACACAAATGTTCTTAATGGTACCCAGAATGGTGAATTCTCTCCAGAAAGTTTTCAATGTACTTTGCCCAGATCCATCAGAGGAATCATCCTCTGTATAGCAGCCATAGCCTTTCGAAAGGTGTTTCTTAAATCAGACTTCTATGTCAAATTGACTCCTGGATCCACAGACTGCAGGATGGATGTTGTTAGCAGGTATGAAAAGAACATTTTCTTGTACATCTTCAACAGAGCTCTTAGGTGACTATGTACCTTGTCAAAGGGTTACTAATTGGCCTACATTCAATATTGTTGTGTCTTAGGGAACAAGGAGGCCTAAGGAGAGTAGAGAGAGATGAGGGAACAGCCAGCTGGTACAGCAGTCAGAACACATACAACATTTATTAACTTCACCTCACAGTAACGTCAAAGGTCACGGATCATACATAACCATAACAGATATAATAATGAAAATGTGTGAAATAATATGAGAATTAACAAAAAGGGACAAAGAGTCACTAAGTGAGCACATGCTGTTGGAAAAATGAAACCGATAGACTTGCTTACTCCAGGGTTGCCGCAAAACTTCAATTCGGTAAAAAAGAAAAAAAACATGCAATTTCCTGTGAAGTACAATAAAAAGAAGCCCAATAAAATGAGATATGCTTAAGAAAAAAAAGATATGCTTATACATCTTACTAAAATTAAGTACAGTCTAGCAAGTTAAGATAAAGATAGTAAGCCCTACAACTACCACTAAGAAAATAACCCAAGAAAAATAGTTTTAAAAATCATAAAGGCCAGGCCAGTGAGCCAAACACCTGTAGTTCCCAGCACTTTGGGAGACTAAAGCAGGAGGATAGCTTGAGCCCAGGAGTTTGACACCAGCCTGGGCAACATACCCAGTCACTATAAACAATAAAAAACTTAGGCATGATGGCATATGGCTGTAGTCCCTGCTGCTTGCGAGGCTGAGCGGGGAGGATCACTTGAACCCGGGAGGTTGATGTTGCAGTGACCGTGACAGTGCCACTGCAATCCAAACAGGGTGACAGAGCAAGACCCTATCTCAAAAAAATATATAAAATAAAATAACAATGAAAAATAAAAGAAATGAAAATGGCATACTAGAAAGTATCTATAGATGGTATCCAACTTAAAATCATTCTACTTACAGTTTTTCAACTTTACCACCATGATGCAAACCTGATACACATCAGTACAATATTCTCTTGTGATGCTGGGCAGCGGCAGCAAGCCACAACTCCCAGTCAGCCACGCCATCATGAGACTAAACAACCAATGCTTGCTTGTCCAGTGAACTGTGTAGACAGATGATTTTTCCCAACTGTAGGCTATGTAAGTGTTCTAAGCATGTTTAAGGTAGACTAGGCTAAGCCAAGATGTTAAATAAATAAGGTATATTTCTTTCTTTTTTTTTTTTTTTTAAAGAGATGGGGTCTCACTATGTTGCCTAGGCTGCAGTGAAGTGGCTGTTCACAGGTGCAATAATCACACTCTAAAGCCTCAAACTCCTGGACTCAAATAATACTCCTGCCTTATCAGAATGTAAGCTCATCATAACTCAAGAAGCATCTGTACTTAAGATTAAAAAGGTAGAAATAAAAAAAACAAAAAATAGGAACTAAGCAGTCATAAGAAAAAAAAAAAATGGGCAGGCTGCCAATCCAGGACCAAGGGGTAAGGCCGTGTCAATGCACCTAGAGAACGGAATATCAAGCCACAGAGAACTATTTTCAAGTCTCAGAACTGAATGGAATTTGTCCTGCAGACTTACAAACCTGCTTTAAACCCCTTTTCTCCTTCCAATTTATCTCTTTTGGAATGGGAATGCTTCTTCACCTGTCCCACCATTGCATCTCAGAAACAGATAACTTGTTTTCTATGTATCACAGCTTTAGAAATAGAAGTTATTATTATTTTTTTTAAACAGTCTCACTCTTGCCACCCAGGCTGGAGTGCAATGGCACAGTCTCGGCTCACTGCAACCTCTGCCTCCCAGCTTCAAGCGACTCTCCTCCTCCGCCACCCGAGTAGCTGGGACTACAGGTGTGTGCCACTACACCTCGCTAATTTTTGCATTTTTAGTAGAGACAGGGTTTCACTGTGTTAGCCAGGCTGGTCTTGAACTCCTGACCTCAGGTCATCTGCCTGCCCAAAGTGCTGAGATTACAGGCCTGAGCCACCAGAGATGCCCAGCAGAGATAGAAATTTTGCTTCAGGATTAACCAAAGTCTTAATCCATCGCCAATTCCAATGATTCAGAAGATGAGATTTGGGACTTTCTGAGTTTATTATATTCAGGTAAGATGTGAGACTTACTTACAGAGTTTACATCAAAATGGATTAACAGTTTTGGGGACTACTGGGATACAGCACACCTATTTTGTATGTGGAAAGAACATAAATTTTGGGGGGTCCAGAAGGCAGACTGCTATGGGTTGAACTGTGGTCCCCAAGAAATGTATGTGAAGTCCTTAACACCCAGTATCTTACACAGTAACCTTATTTGGAAAAAGGATCATTGCAAATGTAATTAGGATGAGGTCACATGATGGAGTAGGGCAGGACCCTAATCCAATATGACTGGTCTCCTAATAAGAAGATAGCCATATGGAGACAGAGACAAAGGAAGAATGGAATGTGAAGATAGCAGCAGAGATTAGGGTGATTAAAAAAAAAAAAACAAAAAAACAAAAACTGTCAACCACTGACATCCATCACTAGAAGCTAGGAAGCATGGAACAGATTTCCCTTAAGAGTTCTCAAAAGGATCCACCCAGCTGATATCTTGATTTCAGACTTGTAGCCTCTTTAATTGTAAGAAGAAATTTCTGCTGCTTCAAGTCACCCAGTTTGTGATATTTTGTTACAGCAGCCCTACTACAGGGGGTGTATGAAAAATTGGCTATGAGCTGGTCATGTGTTAGAATTGGGTGATGAATCTACACAGGTTGTTTGTTATATTATTGCTTACTGTTTTATATATTTGACAATTTCAGAAATTCTTAATAAACGAATGTTATAATAAGTAGATTAAGTATTAAAGCTTTAAAAGCAGAAGCAGACAAATTAGGAAACATTTGAATAAAATTGGAAATAAGCCCCAAAGCTCTTCTTTATATCAGGCATAAAAGAAATTGATCAAGGCCAGCACAGTGGCTCACATCTGTAATCCCAGCACTTTCAGAGGCTAAGGTGGGCAAATCACCTGATATCAGGAATTTGAGACCAGCCTGGCCAACATGGTGAAACCCCGCCTCTACTAAAAATACAAAAAAAAAAAAAAAAAAATTAGCCGAGCACGGTGGTGGACACCTATAATCCCAGCTACTCGGGAGGCTGAGACAGGAGAATGGCTTGAACTCGGGAGGAGGAGGTTGCAGTGAGCCAAGATCGCACCACTGCATTTCAGCCTGGGAAACAGTGAGATTCCATCTCAAAAAAAAAAGAAAAAAATTTTTTGATTAAGAGTTAAGATAGGCCGGGCGCAGTGGCTCACGCCTGTAATCCCAGCACTTTGGGAGGCCGAGGCAGGTGGATCACCAGGTCAGGAGATCTAGACCATCCTGGCTAACATGGTGAAACCCCGTCTCTACTAAAAATACAAAAAAAAATTAGCCGGGCGTGGTGGAGGGCACCTGTAGTCCCAGCTACTCGGGAGGCTGAGGCAGGAGAATGGTGTGAACCCTGGGAGGTGGAGCTTGCAGTGAGCCGAGATTGCGCCACTGCACTCCAGCCTGGGCGACAGAGCAAGACACTGTCTCAAAAAAAAAAAAAGAGTTTAGATAAAGGAAAAAACTCCATTTAAATGTTTATGTGAAGAAAACCATAATGGATTACATGGCACAACAACAGTTTCAAAAAACTAAAACCAATTTGAAAACATTAATCATCACAGTTACTTATATTCCCTTAAAAATGATCTATATGCCCCTAGTGTCACATAAGATAAGTTAATCTAGGAGTCTATCTCACTCAGACTTTTTGCAACTAACATGCATTCCTTTGTTTCTTCATCACTGTGGGGAAGAGGTGGTATATACAAAAGATTCTTGACATAACCCTATAAAAAGATTATCACATGGTGTGTTATCTGAGAATTTAAATGGTCACAATTCCAGGATATGTCAATGCTACCAACTTTCAAAAAAAAATAAATAAATTTGACCTATAACGGGGGAGCCAGCTGGGGGTAGGGGAGAAAGAGGCAAACTGTGTATCCTGGAATTTTGTAGCTGGATAAACCACCAGCAGCAGCAGCCTGATCAAAACTGCAACTTGTTGCCCACCTGGACAACCCATCTCTCTTTTCTAGAAATTAGCATCTATGCTCAATTTCTAATAATGGAATGGTGCCTAGGTACTCATGTTTGTCTAGGTGAAAATAGCTTCTAAATCCAGGTGCTTATACCAGAATTGTTCTCCTGGAAATTTAGGACTGAGACATTGAGTCAGTTACCTGTAGGGTAACCTGTAGAATCACAGATTTCTCAAATTTGACCTGTCTTATTTTAATACCATGTTGCCCAGCAATGTAACCTTCCCTGAAGTATCAGTTTTTGTAAAATCTCCCAATCAATTTCTTATCAGATTATATTAAATACCTATCATCTAGAGTACTCCAGAAGCCAAATAAATATTAAAAACAAAAACAAAAACAAAAAACTGAGATAGGGCCAGGCATAGTGGCTGACAGTAATCCCAGCATTTTGGGAGGCTGAGGTCGAAGAATAACTTGAGGCCAGGAGTTCACAACCAGCCTGGGCTATATATAGCAAGATGCTGTCTCTCTACCAATTCTACCAATATTTTTAAAAAAACTAGGTGTGGTGGTGGCACCTGTACTCCTAGTTACTCAGGAGACTGAGGTGGGAGGACTGATTGCTTGAGGCCAGCAGTTTGAGGCTATCGTGAGACATAACTGTCCACTGCACTCCACCCTGGGGTGATGGAGTAAGACTCTATCTCTAAATAAATAAATATTACAAAAAGAAAAGCACTGAGATAGGCAATGTTGGTGAGTGAGATTACAGATTTTAATCTCATGAACAATTTTAAGCTGCTACTATACACTGCCATTTCCAAAAGTTTAGATTGGAATGCTTGCTGCCTTTGGTAGCTAAGAGAAAAGAAATAACAATGAGGGATATTATAGTGTCATTCTTCCACAGTCCTTATCAAATAAATAGGCCTTTGAGTCTTGGAACTGTTGAGAGTAAGAAAGCAAATAATATATCAAGTTGACAAGCACAAAAGACACAAAGAGGCCAGGCATGGTGGCTCACGCTTGTAATTCCAACACTTTGGGAGGCCAAGGCAGGGGGGTTGTTTGAATCCAAGAGTTCAAGACCAGCCTAGGCAACATAGTGAGATCCTATCTCTATAAAAAATAAAACAAAAGTAGCCAGACATGATGGTGCATGCCTGTAGTCACAGCTACTCAGGAGACTGAGATGGGAGGATTGCTTGAGGCTGGGAAGTAGAAGCTACAGTGAGCTGTAATTGCACCACTGCACTCCAGGCTGGGCAACAGCAAGACCATGTTGGAAAAAAAAGAAGAGGGGAGTGGCAGGGGAGGAGAGACCACAAGAAACAAATATAATGAATAATAGTTTACTATTCCTGAGAAAAAGAGAATACCAAGTGTAAGAGAATGTGTAACTAGGGTTGGGGAGAGGGGGGCTGGAGAGAGAGAACACACAAAGACAGCAGAGAGAAGTCAAATAGAAAATTTCAAAATGAGAATCAGCTGATGTATCAAAAAGAGCAAAAGAATTTTTTTACAGCCAGAACTGCAAGATTTTGCTTTTCAAAATGATTCAATTTTCCAGAAAAGAAAAATCAATTTAAGCACTCACCTAAGTAACTAGTATAAAGTGTCAAGCAAAAATAAACATTTATTAGATATAGACAAATGCAAATATATTCAATGCTTTCATACAAATATGAATATCAGGGGCCTTATTATCATCTCGTTAATACATGCCAGTGAACAATTTGTAGACACAAGACTTGTTTTACAAACAGAGTAATATGTTTCATGAACATAAGTCAGGAATTTAAAACTTAGTGTCTATCTCTTCATTCTAAGAAATGTTTCAATTAACTGTGTGTGTGTGTGTGTGTGTGTGTGTGTGTGTGTTCTATCTCAGGAAAGATTCAATATTGTAAAAATATATTCATCCCTAAAACAGTATTTCACTGTAACTCTAATACAGTCTAAATTGTGCTTTTATTAGTCCTAATGTTCATCTAGAAAAATAAATACATGATAATATTTGTCTTACCATGTACTAAAATGCATATAAAGCCACAATAATTTAAAATAGTGTGTGTGGTGCCAGGATAAAAATAGACACACCAAAGGAACACATAAAAAGTCCAGAAACAAACTCAAGTATTCAATAATTTAGTAATGATTCAAATAATATTTCAAATCACTATGGAAAACATAGATTATTCAGCAATAGTGTTGAAAAAGTTGACTAACCAGGTGGGAAGGGAAAGTTGGGCACATATCTTACCATATTCTAAAATTATTCTAGGCTAATGAAATGTTTATATCTAAATAATTCCTTCTTTGGTCTACCTTTGCTCCTTTTCTACTTGAACTATTTTAGTCTTAAAGCCACAAGATGGGGCTGGGCCCATATAGTGGCTCATGCCTGTAATCTTAGCACCTTGGGAGGCCAGAGCAGGCAGATCACTTGAGCTCAGGAGTTCAAGATCAGCCTGGGCATCATTATGAAACCTCAACTCTACAAAAAAAATACAAAAAACTTAGCCGGGTGTGATGGGTGTGCCTGTAGTCCCACATACTTAGAGGGCTGAAGTGGAAGGACTGCTTGAGCCCAAGAGGTCGAGGCTGCAGTGAGCCAAAACTGCACCACTGCACTCCAGCCTGGGTGACAAAGTGAGACAGGGTCACTTTGATCAAATAAGTAAACTATTAAAAATATTAAGAGTCAGGTTTCTGTCTGAGAATCATAAATATGGGGGAAAAAATTAAAATGAACCCTGTTTTGTTGGGCTAGATTTGGAGAAGTTACCATGAGCATATGGAGTTCAATATATAGAGATGGATACAGTAATAGAGATTAGTGTGTGTATGTATATTCACATAATGAATCAAAGTATTGTGACCTCACAGCTTGTTCTTTTTGTTTTTTGAGATGGAGTCTCATTCTGTCGCCCAGGCTGGAGTGCAGTGGCACAATCTTGGCTCACTGCAACCTCTGCTTCCCAGGTTCAAGCAATTCTCCTGTCTCAGCCTCCCGAGTAGCTGGGATTACAGGCGTCCACTACCATGCCCAGCTAATTTTTTTTTTTTTTTGAGATGGAGTCTCACTCTGTCACCCAGGCTGAGGTGCAGTGGTGCGATCTCGGCTCACTGCAACCTCCGCTTTCCAGGTTCAAGCAATTCTCCTGCCTCAGCCTCCTGAGTAGTGGGATTACAGGCGCCTGCTACTACACCCGGCTAATTTTTGTATTTTTTAGTAGAGACGGGGTTTCGCCATCTTGGTCAGGCTGGTCTTGAACTCCTGACCTCGTGATCTACCCGCCTGGGTCTCCCAAAGTGCTGGGATTACAGGCGTGAGTCAGCAGGCCCAGCCAATTTTTTTTTTTGAGACAGAATCTCACTCCGTTATTCAGGCTGGAGTGAAGTGGTGTGATCTTGGCTCACTGCACCCTCTCTGCCTCCAGGACTCAAGTGATTCTCGTCATGCCTCAGCCTCCCAAGCAGCTGGGATTACAGGCGTGCACCACCATGCCCAGCTAATTTTTGTATTTTTAGTAGAGACAGGGTTTCATTAGCTAGGCTGGTTTCGAACTCTGGACCTCAAGTCATCCCGCTGGCTTCGGCCTCCCAAAATGCTAGGATTACAGGCATAAGCCATCGCGCCTGGCCCACAGTTTTCTACATAGATATAGAAACAATAGATGTGAATTTATAGAAATATGTATCTCCGTAGGAATACACACACACACAAACACACATTTCCTAGCCATGCTGACTGAGAGTAGCAATAACCCACACCTAGCACCCACTTTGGCTTCTAAATATTATTCTCACCAAAAAGAAATCAAGGTTACTCAGAGAAATGGTGATTTCAGAACTACAGCAGGAATAACACAAGATGAGCCTAGATTATACTGTTGTGTCAGAAGTAGAGAAATGCTTCTCTGAAATGATAGGTCAAAAGACACAGAAGCCAGCTTAAAGAGGTCCCACCAGGCAAACCTGAGACAGTATGAACATCAAAATAAATGACATTAGTGGAATATGACCCATTAAAATAAAATAGCATAAGTCCATACTAATACAAATAATCAGCAAGTAAAGAAAGCTTCACCTTACAGTGGAATGTCAACTGATGAATGTAAAAGAAAGGGTGAAATTAGAAAACCACTACTTGCCATCAATCCTAGTCATAAATTAGGTCAAGAAACATCAATGAATGCTAAAATTAGTGAGGAAAAGGCAAAAGGAACAAGATGTTTATATATGAAGTACTTCCCCCACAAAATCCATACTGACTATAAAAAGAAAAAAGATTAACCTCACTGTGGAGAAAACTGACAGACACACCTTAACCAAGTGATCAAGGAAAAACTGAAATTATGTACCAACTGATAGGATGCAAAAAAAAGAACACAGAATCACATATGTGATACTCCTGCTAAAAACATAACTGTATTTAATCATGATGAAACATCAGGCAAATCCAAATAGGGGGTCACTCTACAAAATAACTGGCCTGTAATATTCAAAAGCATCAAATTTCTGAAACTCGGGGAAAGACTGAGTTACCATTTGAGATTTAAAAAGACCAAAGAGACCCGGGTGGGGTGGCTCACGCCTGTAATCCCAACACTTTCAGAGGCTGAGGGAGGCAGATCACTTGAGGCCAGGAGTTCGAGAGCAGCCTGGCCAACATGGCAAGAGCCTGTCTTTACTAAAAGCACAAAAAAATTAGCTGGATGTGGTGGTGTACACCTGTAATCCCAGCTACTCGGGACGCTGAGGCACAAGAATCACTTGAACCCAGGAGGTGGAGGCTGCAGTGAGCCGAGACTGCGCTACTACACTCCAGCCTGGGTGACAGAGTGAGACTCTGTACAAAAATAAAAATAAAAATAAATAAAAAGACCAAAGAGTCAAAATGCAGTTTGTGATTCTTTTGCTATAAAGAATATGCCTACAAAAACATGAATGGGTTCCAAAGATCAGAGAGTAATAATGTATCGCTGTTAATTTCCTTATTTTGACGGCATATTGTATATTCCCAAGAGAGTATCCTTCTTTATGGGAAACTCTGAAGTATTCAGGGGTGACAGCATATTATATTGGTAAGTTACTCTCAAATGGTTTAGGGAAGGAAGAGTTCTTTTGTACTATTCCTGCAACCTGTTTGTAAGTTTTAATGCTTTTAAAATTAAAAAGAAAAACAAGGTTTTTAAAAACGAACTTCCAAAGCACTAAAAAAAAAAAGTGCATTAATATAAAGATTTTCTTTGCACAGCATCAAAGGCAGAAACAATAAAGAGCATTTGTGTAAATTACCTCGAAAATGTAAACTTCTGCATTACAAAAAATTAACCTGCTAGAATCCCAACAACAAAAGCTATGAAGACGTAACAAAATTAAAAACCAAATGTTAAATTATGGGAAAAAACACACACAGCAAATATACAAGACAAAATAATATGATCTCTAACATAAAACACTTTGTAAAAAAAATTATAATATTAAAATAAACAGATATGGAAGGTCAATTAACATACATGAATAATCTTCAAAAAACAAACTTTAAAATAATTAACCTTACCAGTACTCAAACTCTTTCAAACATTTTAATATTTTTTTTTTTTTTTACTAGAAAGAATAGCAAAGTTTTTTAAGGGTAACACAGTGTACCTAACATAATATAGGGTTATGAGCAATCTCACATATAGCTAATACAGTGTAACTTCCAGAGGACAATTTCACACAATGTATTTATTGAAGCTTCCAAAATGTTCACACACTTTTACACAGATGCTAGCAGTGTATACTAAATGCCAGACACCAAACTAGGCCCTTCAACCACAAAGGGTTGCTTAATTAAATTTACAGTTTGTTGAATCTCATGTTTTGTATTACAGACTAAGTATCTATTAAAAATACAGCAGAAACACAATTTATTGACTCGCAAAAGATGCTGTGTAAGTTCCAAAAGCAAAGAAAAAATATAAGCGAAAACGATTCAACTTTTTTGTAAGCATATACTATAAGCAAAAATACACAGAAAAAAACCTGGATGAACCTGAATAAGATTATGAATGATTTTTGTCTTATATTTATTTACTTGTCTGTATTTTCAAGTTTTTAAAATAAATATTAATTACAAAATAAAAAGGTTTTTTACACAAAAACATTTAAAATCTTAAAGCTGGCTGCAATTTCTTCCACGGATGGAATGTGTACCTTCAATTAAATAATAAAACTATATTTAAAGGCACATTGGGTAATGGTAAAACCTAAAATGCACAGGAGAATAAAACAATAATATATATGTACTAAATGAAGAAAAATATACAGGAAAAAAGCAAACTTTTTTTTTAAGGCCAACAATAAAAACCATATCTTGGGGTACAAATAACTTTGGGAGGAGGAGACAAGTAACATTCTAATATAGGACTGTTCTTCAAAAAAGAATGTATGATACATTGTAATGAATATTATGCAAAATAATAATTAATTCAAATTTAACAGGCTCTTGATACTTGAAAGCGCAAAAGAGGTCAGTAATTCATAAAGCACCAATCTGTAAGGATTAAAATATCCTGTATATCGTAGAATACTAAATACCTAGGTTACTATAAAAGGTAACACAGTTTTGCTTGCTTTGTACTCCTGTGACCTTAGTAACATATTAATAACATTTTAATAACTGCAGTTTGGAGTAGTAATTTTTTTTCCAAATCTCCCTGGATTTGATGGAGACCTGTGATTTTAAAAACACAAAAACTTCCTTTCTACTTCCCAGTAGTGATATTCAAACAGTAATAAAATAATATCCACTGTACCTTATTATAACGATCATGCGGAACAGACTGTAAAACAATTGGTTCCATTGTGGAAACATTGGCAAATTGTACCTCTGGAATATACAGGGCACAAACCACATGGGCCCAACCTAAAAATAAATAAATAAATGTCATCTTTTCAGTTTTATCGAAAGCAAATTAACACCGTTAACTTCCTTAACAGATCCCTTAAATGTCTATTGAAATAAATGCACAACAAGGACATTAACAAATTCTCATTGCTGTCTTACTTCCATTGCTTGAGAATACTCAAACCACTACCAAAAAAAAGCATTCTTAATCATTTCCCCAGTTATGATGTACAGTTACATAAATAAAGGGAAACATTTATAAATTCAGATGTTGGCACTAACACTTCTTATACAGGCAGACTAAATATTCAGATCAACGCTACCTCTGAGAACCACTATAAAAGGAGTTTTTAAAAGTTTAATACTTACGACAAAATTTAATTATCTTAATCATTTTAAATGTCAACATGAAATTATTTTTATCTTAGTGTCAATATTTTTAATATTAGTAATAATCATTTCACTATTTTAATTTGAAATGTGTTAAATTTCATATTAAATTTTTTTTTTTTTTGAGATGGAGTTTCACTCTTGTTGCCCAGGCTGGAGTGCAATGGCGCGATCTCGGCTCACCGCAACCTCCGCCTCCCAGGTTCAAGCAATTCTCCTGCCTCAGCCTCCCGACTGAAGGTATTAAAGAGCTGATATGATAGTGAGGAGTTTCTGGGCTAAAACCGGAAAAGAATGAAAGTCCTAGGTACAGTTTTTGGCCACTTTTGCCCAGGGAACATTTGCCTATTTCAGAGAAAGCGGTGGTGAGGATGAAGGGTCCTTTTTTTTTTTTTTTTTTTTTTTGAGACAGAGTTTCGCTCTTGTTGCCCAGGCTGGAGAGCAGTGGCGCGATCTCGTCTCACCGCGACCTCCGCCTCCTGGGTTCAAGCAATTCTCTTTTACAATACAAATGACCCAGTAGCTGGGATTACAGGCATGCACCACCACACCCGGCTAATTTTGTATTTTTAGTAGGGGTGGGGCTTCTCCATGTAGGTCAGGCTGGTCTTGAACTCCCGACCTCAGGTGATCCGCCCACCTCAGCCTCCCCAAGTGATGGGATTACAGGCATGAGCACCACGCTCAGCCTGAAGGGTACTTTTGACAAACTCAGAGGCCTAACAGTACAGGGATGTACATTCAGAAACAACCAACAGAAAAAGGGAACAAGTAAACCCCTCTCGTTTCAGATGCAACACTGAAGGGCAAACTAGAGCTAAGAATACACAAAAAGTACATAGACCCTCAAAGAGACTACACCAGGCCTCTGACCATCTCAAACTGAAATTTGACGAAGGTAATCCTAAATTACAACCCCCAAGGCACCAAGCAGATGCAAATATACATCTATCCTCTCTAAAAGAAAACAGTATCATCTTGGCTACAAATAATTTCCACCTTTTTTTTTTTTTTTTTTTTTTTTTTTTTTTTAAAGACAAAGCCTTGGTCTGTCGCCCAGGCTGGACTGCACTGGCATGATTTCGGCTCACTACAACTTCCTCCTTCCAGTTCAACCAATTCTCCTGCCTCAGCCTCCCAAGTAGCTGGGATTACAGGTGCCCACCACCACACGGGGCTAATTTTTGTATTTTTAGTAGAGACCATGTTTCACTATGTTGACCAGGCTGGTCTCGACCTCCTGACCTCAAGTGATCCACCAGTCTCAGCCTCCCAAAGTGGTGGGAATACAGACATGAGCTACCACACCCAGCCTAAAATTTCTTCATTACATATAATTTCCAGCACAATAAGTACCAAACACATGACAGACAAGACAATATGAATGAAAATAAGGAGAAATAAGAAAATCAAAACAGATCACCATTTTGGAGTTATCAGATAAAGGTTTTAAAATAAGTATGCTTACTATGATCAAGTACACACAAGACAAAATTCTAAATTGATGCAAATAACTGAAAACTATAATAATAAATTAAAATTCCAGAAGTAAAGAGGAAATTTAGAAATCAGCCAGGCACAGGGGCTCACACCCGTAAGCCCAGCACTTTGGAAGGCTGAGGCGGATCACTTGAGATCAGGAGTTCAAGACCACCCTAGGCAACAAAGTGAAACCCCATCTCTACAAAAAAAAATAATGAGTCAGGTGCGGCAGCATGCACCTATAGTCCCAGCTACTCAGGAGGTTGAGGTGGGAGGAGTGCTTAAGCCCAAGAGTTGAAGGTTGCTGTGAACTGTAATTGTGCCACTGCAATCCAGCCTGGGTGATAGAGACCCTATCTCAAGACAAAAAAAAAAAATCAATGGGTGGGATTAACAACGGTTTAGACATGGATGAAAAGAGAATTAGTAGGAACAAAACAGGTCAGAAGAAATCCAGAATGTTAGCACAAAAGTAAGAAATACAAAAAATGGAATAAGACACATGAAAAATGTAATAGGCAGGCAGATCTAACACACATGTAATCAGAGTCTCAGAGAAAATATGAGAAAGAAAATGGCATGAAAGCATTATCTGAATTGATAATACCTAAAAATTTTCCAGAACAGAAGACCCAAAGCCACTGACTGAAGAACCACTATAAATCAGAGTAAATAAAGACATACACCAAGAGACAATAAAACTACAGAAAACTGGCCGGGCGCGGTGGCTCACGCCTGTAATCCCAGCACTTTGGAAGGCCAAGGCGGGCGGATGAAGAGATCAGGCGGTCAGGAGATCAAGACCATCCTGGCTAACACGGTGAAACACCGTCTCTACTAAAAATACAAAAAATTAGCCGGGCAAGGTGGCAGGCGCCTGTAGTCCCAGCTACGCGGGAGGCTGAGGCAGGAGAATGGCGTGAACCCCGGGGGGTGGAGCCTGCAGTGAGTCGAGATCGCGCCACTACGCTCCAGCCTGGGCGACAGAGTGAGACTCCGTCTCAAAAAAAAACAAAAACAAACAAAAAAAAAAAAACTACAGAAAACTAAGGGAAAGAAATGAAAATCTTAAAGACAAAAGGCAAGTTATCAAAAGAAAAACTAGATAACTAAATAAAGCCAGAAAACATTTTTTAAAAGTTTTCCATTAAAGGGAACACCAAACAATTTTCCTTGAGTAATAGGAAAATGATTCCAGAAGGAAGCTCAGAACTGAAGAAAAATATAAAGAGTGATAAACATGTAGGTACATTTAATATGTAACGAACATACAAAACAATAATGCCTTCACACTCATTTACAATACAAATGACCACTTACATTAAATATTAAAACACTGGTAGGGTTTGTGAATGTATGTAGCTTTCCTATAAAACTATAACAAAGACTGGAAAAAAAACAGGTAAAAGAAGTCTATATGGTTTCATTCTACATTTCGTGTTAAGTGGCACACACAGGCCAGGTGCAGTGGCTCACGCCTGTAATCCCAACACTTTAGATAGCCAAGGCAGGCAGATCACTTGAGGTCAGGAGTTTCAGACCAGCCTGGCCAATATAGTGAAACTATGTCTCTACTAAAAATACAAAAATTAGCTGAGTGTTGTGGTGTGTGCCTGTAGTCCCAGCTACTCAGGAGGCTGAGGCAGGACTGCTTGAACCTGGGAGGTAGAGGTTGCAGTGAGCCGAGATAGTGCCACTGCAGTCCAGCCTGGGCAACACACCGAGACTCCATTTCAAAAAGGAAAAAAAAAAAGTTGTACACTCAGTAGAGACTGAATTTACTGATAAGAAAATTATAATCCCTACAGCAACCACTATATAGATAAATATAAATACTTGTGTATATATATATAGGAAGAGATATGGCCAAAAAGGCAATTTAAGGCAATTTAATATAATTAAATTTAAATGCAATACTAACTAGTTGCATTGTTAAACTGATTAAAATACAGCACTAAAAAATAATCACAAAAAGAACAGAAGAGAAATAAGAAATAAGAGGGAAAATCAATGTTACGAACAAACAGCAGAAGACTTCTACTTCTGTCCAAGATAGACTAAGATAGTCAAGAGAAAGTCACAAGGGAAACTGGAAAATGTCTTGAACGGAATGGCAACAAATATGAAATTTATCAAAACTTGAGACATAGGCTGGGGACAGTGGTTCATGCCTGTTAATCGCTGGAGCTCAGCAGTTTGAGACCAGCCTGGGCAACATGGTGAAACCCCGTCTCTACAACAAATACAAAAACATTAGCCGGATAAGGTGGCGTGCACGTGTAGTCCCAGCCACTCAGGGGCTAAGGTAGGAGGATCGCTTGAACCCAGGAGGTGGAGGCTTCACTGAGCCAAGATCACACCACTGCCCTCCAGCCTGGGTGACAAACTGAGACCCTGTCTCAAAACAACAACAGCAAAAACAAAAACAAAAACAAAAAAACACAACTTGTGGGATTCAATAAAAGCAATAGAGAGGAACTTACAGCATATACATTTTCATTAGAAAAGAATATCTAAAATAAAAGACCTAAGGTTCCACCTTTATAAGTTAGAAAACAAGAGGAAAATGTAACACATAGTAAGTACTAGGAAGGAAATAATAAAGAGCAGAAGTTTAACAAAATAGAAAACAGGGAGATGGCAAAAAAAATTAACAAAACCCAAAACTTTCTTTAAAAAGGTCAATAAAACTGAACAATTCTATTTGGACTGGTCAAAAAAATAAAAATAAAAACAAAGAAAAAACCAGAACACAAGTCACCAACATCAGGAATAACAACGGGGTAATTACTACCATTGCTAGCAAAATTAACAAAATAATAATAAAATACTACTGGCGGCCGGGTGTGGTGGCTCCCGCCTGTAATCCTAGCACTCTGGGAGGCCAAGGCGGGTGGATCACCTGAGGTCAGGAGTTCAAGACCAGACTGGCCAACATGGTGAGATCCCGTCTCTACTAAAAATACAAAAATTAGCTGGGCATGGTAGTGCCTGCCTGTAATCCCAGCTACTTGGGAGGCTGAGGCAGAGAATCACTTGAACCTGGGAGGTGAAGTCTGCAGTGAGCCGACATCACGCCACTGCATTCCAGCTTGAGTGACAGAGCAAGACTCCATCTCAAAAAAAAAAAAATACTATTGGCAATGTTAGTCCAACAATTTCAGCAACTTATACAAAGTAGTTAAATTTCTTGGAAAAATAGAGCGCACCAAAATTGACTTAAGTTTATAAAAATAGGTCAGGCCCAAGGGCTCAAGCCTGTAACCCCAACACTTTGGAAGGATGAGGCAGGAGGATAGCTTGATCCCAGATGTTCGAGACGACCCTCGGCAACAAAGTGAGACGACGTGTCTCTACAAAAAATACAAAAAGAAAAAAATATTAGCCAGGCATGGTGTGCCTGTGGTCCCACCTATTCAGGAGGCTGAGGCAGAAGGATCACTTGAATCCAGGAGTTTGAATCTGCAGTGAGCTATGACTGCATCACTGCACTCTAGCCTGGGCAACAAAGTGATACACTGTTAAAAAAGAAAGAGAGAGAGAGACAGACAAAGGGGAAGGGGAAGGGGAAGGGAAAGGGAAAGGAAAGGGGGAAAAGGAATGTCCCTATAATTTTGCCAAAAAACGAATTTATCAAAAATTTTCCCAGAAAAGTTTCAGTTTCTCACGAAGTTCTATATAGAATTCAAAGAAAAATAACACCAAATTTACACAAACTGTTTCATTTTAAGTGACTAGCATAATCCTCAACAAACACCTGACAAAACCACTATAATTCTTAAAGAAACAGAGAATGAAAGTACATGACAAAAATAAAATATATGTCTGGAGATGGACAAGTGAATTTACAGTATCCTAAAAGTTTCAGAGGATTCAGAAAGAGGAAAAAAGCACATAGTAATGTTAACTTTTTTAAGCTAATAGGGTAGAATGGAACAAGTGAAACAAACCAGAATAGGAAATATTTAATAAGATGGAAGGTTTACACCAGGTGCAGTGGCTCATTCCTGTAATTCCAACACTCTCAAAGCTGAGGCAGGAAGATCACTTGAGCCCAGGACTACAAAGCTACAGTGAGCTAGGATCCTGCTACTTGTAATTCAGCCTGAACAACAGAATGAAAACCTGTCACTTAAAAAAAAAAAAAAAAAACTTTGGAATAGTGAAGGCCTTTCTAACTAATAACTCAAAATACAGACATCATGAAAGATTAATAAATTGAACAAAATTAAAATCAGAAACTCATGCACGGTAAAAAAAAATTTTTTTAAAGCACAATATAAACAAAGACTGACCAGATGGGCAAAAATTAGTCCAACTCATATCAAAACAGCATAATAATATATGAGGGGCTCCTTATGAACACTCCAATAAATCAAAGTAAAAAGATCAACAATTGTGGCTGGGCATGGTGGCTCACACCTGTAGTCCCATCACTTTGGGAGGCCAAGGTGGGTGGATCCCATCTCTACTAAAAATAAAAAAATCAGCTGGGCGCGGTGGTGTGTGCCTATAATCCCAGCTATTCGGGTGAGTGAGGCAGGAGAGTCCCTTGAAAGGGGGAGGCAGAGGCTGCGGTGAGCCAAGATCAAGCCACTGCACTCCAGCCTATGTGACAGAGGGAGACCCTGTCTCAAAAAAAAAAAAAAAGAAAAAGATCAACAACCAAGTCAAAAAACAGACCACAGAAGAGAAAAAACAAACTGCTCTTCAAACTATAAAAAGATGTGAACCTCACTAATATTAAGAGAAATGCAAAACTACTGCTTGGATATACAAACTTTTACCTGTTAGATTACCAAAGGTATGTAGAACAGCTTTTTTATTCATATATTGGTAAAACTGGGAACATATATTGGTAAAACTACAGGGCAAATAATTTGGGACTATCTATCAAAATTAACGGCAAAACTCCTTTGACTCAATGTTTCCACCTATGGAAATTAATAATCCTATAGATATACTTGTATACAAGCAAAATGACATACATACAAGAGTTAGTCATCAAAGTAGAAGATCAGAAAGTGCATCAAGAACTGATTGATTAGATATTAGATAACATGGTTAAAAAGAAAAAAAAGCTCTATACTGAAACAAGATAAACTGTTCATGCCGGGTGCAGTGACTCACACCTGTAATCTCAGCACTTTGGAAGGCCGAGGCAGTAGGATCATTTGAGGTCAGGAGTTCAACACCAGCCTGGCCAACATCGTGAAACCCCATCTCTACTAAAAATATAAAAATTAGCCGGGCGTGGTGGCACATACCTGTAATCCCAGGAACTTGGGAGGCTGAGGCAGGAGAATCGCTTGAGCCCGGAAGGTGGAGGTTGCAGTGAGCTGAGACTGCACCACTGCACTCCAGCCTGGGCAAATGAGCGAAGCTTCAAAAAAAAGAAAATCGAAGAAAAAAGAAAAGCAAAGTCTCAAAAAAAACAGATAAATTGTTCAGTGAAATAAATTAAGAGGCAGAAGAGTATATAATATTAACCCATTTGTATAAAGATGGAGGGAGTAAATAAGTCTTTATTCACATTTGAATATGCAAAAGAAACCTAGAAAGATATGCAAGAAAGTAATTATTACATAGTAGCAGGAAAACTATTGATAAACTGGGCAGATGGGGAAGAGGAATAACAGGAAGAGTTTTCAACATATTTTTAAATTCTGTACAATCTGACTGTATAACATAGTCTGAAGATTAAACTGTAAAATATATATATCTAGCCAAAATCATTCTATTTTTCCCTTTTATTTACTCACACCATTACTCTAGCCTATGCCAAAACTACTTTAGAAGTGGCTACCCAAAATGGAGAAGAGTATAGTAGTAATAGCAGCTTAACCTTTTTTTAGCTGCCTCATCATATATGCCATGGTCTAATAAACTCATGTCTACACATTTCAGAATAGTACTGAGCTGTAGAAAAATATGATTTCTCTGACAAAGATAACTGAAAGTGGAGAAGAAAATGAGTAATATACAAGGGTTCATAGGAAAGCATACCAAAATGTGATACAGAAGTCAGCTTTTTTTTTTTTTTTTTTTTTTTTGAGGCAGGGTCTCACTCTCACCCATCCCAGGGACTGAAGTACAGTGATGTGGCCATGGCTCATTGCAGCCTCGACCTCCCAGACTCAAGCCATCCTCCTGCTCAGCTTCCCAAGTAGCTGGAACTGCAGGCACGTGCCACCATGTGTAACTCAGTCTTTTTATTTTTATTTTTTATATTTACTTTTGCAGAGACCAAGGTCTCCCTATGTTGCCCAGGATGGTCTCAGACTCCTATGCTCCAGTGAGCCTCCTACCTTGGCCTCTCAAAGAGCTGGGATTACAGGTGTCAGGCAGCACACCCAGCCTAAAAGTCAACATTTCTTTATATTCAAGCAACAAAGATCTTCAGAGTTAAATAAAATTAACATTCACTAGAAACATCATCTGTCTAGAGATACACAAAACAGAAAAAAAGAATCTAAAACAACAGATTTTAGGTCTAACAACAACAACAAAAAAATGTGGCTCATTTTTCAAAAAAAAAAAATTCCTAACATAAGAAACTATATCCATTTAAAAAAAATACTTTTTTTTTTTGGAGACAGTCTCCTTCTGTCACGCAGGCTAATGGGCAATGGTATAATCTCAGCTCACTGCAACCTCCGCCTCCCAAGTTCAAGCGATTCTCCTGCCTCAGCCTCCCAAGTAGCTGGGACTACAGGCAGGCACCACCACACCTGGCTAATTTTTCTATTTTTAGTAGAAACCAGGTTTCACTATGTTGGCCAGGCTGGTCTCGACTCCTGACCTCAGGTGATCCACCTCCCTTGGCCTCCCAAAGTGCTGGGATTACAGGTGTGAGCCACCTCGCCCAGCCAAAAACATAAGAATTTAAATTAGAAGTATGTATTTAATAGATCATACTGCATAAAATACCCAATGCTTAAGTTTGTCCACAAAGTAGAAAAATTGTGGGTCAATACAATAAGGATTTATAAATTATAGCCACCACTGTTAAAAATGAGTAGAAAACGCTGTTTAATTTGATAAAATAAAATAAACTACCAAATATTTGAAAATACTCCACTGTCCCAGTTTTCAATAAAATTTTTTTCAAGAAATCTCTGCACTTACCCCCATTATCTGTTCTTTTTAAAGCTCCATCCTTATGGGGACAAAGTTCACATCTCTATAAAAAAAAAAAAAGAAACAGGTAATGAATATTTCAGATTATCAAAAATGTAGTATCTTCCCTGCAACGTCAAAACTACTGAAAATGTGAGAGCAGCATTTGTCCTAGTTGCCCCCCAAGAATATTTCAGAACATTCTTCACAAACAGTTGTTCTTGATGACATGTGATCTTCTTCAGAGGACAAGTAATTTTTTTAAAGTACATTTTAACTTTTAAATTCCTGCCATGGGCCAGGCGCGGTGGCTCAGGCCTGTAAATCTTAGAACTTTGGGAGGCTGAGGCAGGCGGATTAGCTGAGGTCGGGAGTTCGAGACCAGCCTGACCAACATGCAGAAACCCCGTCTCTACTAAAAATAAAAAATTAGCCAGGCTTGGCAGCGCATGCCTGTAATCCCAGCTACTGGGGAGGCTGAGGCAGGAGAATTGCTTGAATCCGGGAGGTACAGGTTGCGGTGAGCCAAGATCGCGCCATTGCACTCCAGTCTGGGCAACAAAAACGAAACTCCAACTAAAAGAAACAAAACAAAACTCCTGCCACAATTTTTTAAATCTTACATTAATAAAAACACAAAGATGCTGGGATTATTTACCTGGGGAGCGGGAGAAAAAACAAAAAGGTCCTCTCAACACAGGAATGGGGCAAGGCTTTTAACATATGCCTGTTACCTGTTTACTTCCTGTCTTATGGTCAGCTAGGACGACTGCCGTCAAGTAGGTCTGGTTTCTCTTAAAGAGCCTAACTCTAGAATTTAGAATTTTAATTTAAGTGGCAAGAAATGATCTCATGCATGCTGATTTCCCTTCTGAAAGGAATTAGGATAATCAGTTATTATTATTCAAATACAATAGTACTCAAAATTTATTGTGGATCCCTCTCCTTCTCATGCTCAGAATTTAAAACCAAAAATAAAAGTAGAGCCAGTACTACCACTTCTTATGAAACACAGTAAGTTTCAGTGGCACTGTCTTACCAAGAAGAATATGTTCCTGAAAGTCTCACTTGAGTATTATTTATATCCCACTTTGTTTCCAAAAGAGGTTTTGCAGCATACTATATAGTAATATAGGCCGGGCACAGTGGATCACACCTGTAATCCCAGCACTTTGGGAGGCTGAGGTAGGTAGATCGCTTGAGCCCAGGGGTTCAAGACCAGCCTGGGCGACACGGCAAAATCCCACCTCTACAAAAAACAAAAACAAAAAATTAGCTGGGTGTGGTGGTGGCACACCTGTAGTACCAGCTACTCAGCAGGCTGAGGCGGGCAGATCAATTGAGCCCAGAAGGTCAAGGCTGCAGTGAGCCACGATTGCGCCACTGCACTCCAGCCTGGGTTACAGAGTGAACCCTATCTCAAAAAAAACAAAAATAAAAAAAAATGTATATATACATATACATATATATAAACACACACACACACACGTACATACACACATACGTATATATATGTGTGTATGTATACATACATATGTATGTGTATATAAACACACACATTATATATATATACACACATACACACATACTTTATATATATATACACACACTATATATACACACCCTACATATAAATATATATACACTTACATACATATATAAATTACAACAAAAAATTGGAGTAGAAAATTAAGTTGAAATAGTATTAAAAGTACAGAAAGCATAAGCCATAAAAGCCTAATGAGGCCGGGTGCAGTGCCTCACACATATAATCGCAGCACTTTGGGAGGCCAAAACAGAAGGACCACTTGAGGTCAGGAGTTCGAGACCAGCCTAAGCAACAAAGTGAGACCTCATCTCTACAAAAAATAATTTAAAAAAAAATAGAGCCTATTGGCTGGGCGCGGTGGCTCACGCCTATAATCCCAGCACTTTGGGAGGCCAAGGCGGGTGGATCACGAGGTCAAGAGATCAATACCATCCTGGCCAACCTGGTGAAACCCCATCTCTACTAAAAATACAAAAAATTAGCGGGATGTGGTGGTGCGTGCCTGTAGTCCCAGCTACTTGGGAGGCTGAGGCAGGAGAATCACTTGAAACCGGAAGGCGGAGGTTGCAGCGAGCAGAGATCATGCCACTGCACTCCAGCCTGGGCAACAAGAGCAAAACTCCATCTCAAAAAAAAAAAAAGGCTGGGCGCGGTGGCTGACGCCTGTATTCCCAGCACTTTGGGAGGCTGAGGCGGGTGGATCACGGGGTCAGGAGATCGAGACCATCTGGCTAACACGGTGAAACCCCGTCTCTATTAAAAATACAAAAAATTAGCCGGGCGTGGTGGCAGGCGCCTGTAGTCCCAGCTACTTGGGAGGCTGAAGCAGAAGAATGGCGTGAACCCAGGAGGCGGAGCTTGCAGTGAGCCGAGATCGCGTCACTGCACTCCAGCCTGGGTGACAGAGCGAGACTCCGTCTCAAAAAAAAAAAAAAATTGAGCCTATTGATAAAGTTTGGATATTTGTGCCTCCAAATCTCATGTAAAAATGTAATCCCAATGTTGAAGGTGGAAACTAGCAAAAGGTGTTTGGGTAATGGGGGCAGATCCCTCATGAATGTCTTGGTGTTTTCCCTGTGGTAATGAGTGAGTTTCTTGCTGTTGTTAGCTCATGTGAGATCTGATTGGTAAAAAGAGCCTGCCACCTTGCTCCCTTCTCTCACCATGTGACACTCCTGGTCCCCATTCCCACTGCCCCATGAGTAAAAGTTTCCTCAGCCCAAAGATGTTGGTGGTATACTTGTACAGCCTACAGAACTGTGAACCAAATAAACCTCTTTTCTTTATATTAATAATCTACCCAGTTTCAGGTATTCCTTTAACCTGAAACAGGCTAATACCACTATACTTCTTGCCTTTCAGTATTTCACTCTCCTGATTTTCCTATTACCTCTTTGGCAGCACCTTTCTGATCACCCTATCAAACCTTTAAATGGTGAAATTCCTCAGGGCTCTGGCCTAAGATGTCATCTTATTTCACATGAAACACTAGGCAATCTTACTCATTGTCCAAATTTCCATTACCAACTAAATTATAAAAATGTAACAGTGACTCCCAAATTTTATCTATTTGTATCTGTCCTCAGGTTCAGGTATAAAACTCTATATGCTACATAAACACTTTATTTTATTTTATTTTGAGATGGAGTCTCACTCTGTTGCCCAGGCTGGAGTGCAGTGGCTCAATCTCGGCTCACTGCAACCTCCAGCTCCAGAGTTCAAGCAATTCTCCTGCCTCAGCCTCCCAAGGAGCTGCAATTACAGGTGTGTGCCACCACGTCCAGCTAACTTTTTCTATTTTTAGTAGAAATAGGGTTTCGTCATGTTGCCCAGGTTGGTCTCAAACTCCTGGCCTCAAGTGATCCACTCACCTCAGCCTCCTAAAGTGCTAGGATTACAGTGAGCCACCTCACCCAGCCTACATAGACACTTGAAACGCTCCACAATTTATGACAAAATCTGCTCTTCCTGCTCTTTTCATATACTGGTAATGATATTTTCAATGACACATTGCTCACGCAAGACACCTAGTATACGTCATCTTTGACCACTTCATGCCTCACTCCCTAATCTCACTTTTAATCCATAACTGTATTGTGCCCTTCCTCTTCCTAAATACTGGTGAGATCTGCCTCTCTCTCTCCATCTCCACTATTACCCTACTTAAAGCAAGCATCACCTTTCATCAGGACCACTTCAGTCACCTCCTAAATGCAGTAGTCCCCCAGTTATCCATGGGAGAAACATTCTAAGAACCCCAGTGGATGTCTGAAACAACAAATGGTACTGAGCACTTGATTCTGTTTTTTGCTATACATACATACCTATAAAAAGTTTAATTTATAAATTAGGCACAGTAACAGATTAACAACAACAATAAAATAGAACAGGCTGGGTGTAGTGGCTCACACCTATAATCCCAGGATTTTGGGAGGCTGAGGCGGGCAGATCACCTGAGGTCAGGAGTTCGAGACCAGCCTGGCCAACATGGTGAAACCCTATCTCTACTAAAAACACAAAAAAATTAGCTGCATGTGGTGGCACGTGCCTGCAGTCCCAGCTAAGCAGGAGGCTAAGGCACAAAAATCGATTGAACCTAGGAGACTGCAGTGAGCCAAGATCGTTCCACTGCACTCCAGCCTGGGCAACAGAGAAAGAGACTCCACCTCAAAAAATTTTTAAAAATTAAAAAAAAAAAATAACAATGTACTATAAGAAAAGCTATATGAATGTGGTCTCTCTCAAAATGCAGTCTGCATAACAACAACCACATATACAGTGGTGGTCCCATGAGATTAAATGGAACTAAAAAATTCCTATTGCCTAGTGACGTAATGATGTAATAGCCATAGTAACATGACAGAGCAATTTTTAAAATAAATTTAGTGTACATTAAGTGTACAATGTTTATAAAGTCTATAGTAGTTGTAGCAGTCCATTCTCTCACTGCTATAAAGAACTACCTGAGACTGGGCAATTTATAAAGAAAAGAGGCTTAATTGACTCACAGTTCCACATGGCTGAGGAGGCCTCAGGAAACTTTCAATCATCACAGGAGGGGAAGCAAGCACATCTTACATAGCAGCAAGCAAGAGAAAGAGAATGTGTACATAGGAAAAAACTGCCACTTTCAAAACCATCAGACCGCAAGAGAATTCACTCGCTATCATGAGAACAGGATGGGGGAAACTGCCCCCATTATCCAGTCACCTCCCTCCTTCAACACATAGGGATTACAATTCGAGATGAGATTTCAGTGGGGATACACAGCCAAACCCTATCAGTAGTGTACAAAAATGTCCCAGGCTTTCACATTCACTCACCACTTACTCACTGACTCACCCAGAGCAACTTCTAGTCCTGTAAGCTTCATTCATGGTAAAGCCCTATACAAGTGCATTTTTTAAAATCTTTCATACCATTATTTTAGCTGTACCTTTTCTATGTTTAAAAACACAAATATGGCTGGGCGCAGTGGCTCACGCCTGTAATCTCAGCACTTTGGGAGGCCGAGGCAGGCAATCACGAGGTCAGGAGATCGAGACCATCCTGGCTAACACGGTGAAACCCCGTCTCTACTAAAAGTACAAAAAAAATAAGCCAGGTGTGATAGTGGGCGCCTGTAGTCCCAGCTACTAGGGAGGCTGAGGCAGGAGGATGGTGTGAACCCGGGAAGCAGAGCTTGCAGTGAGCCGAGATCGTGCCACTGCACTCTAGCCTGGGCTACAGAGCAAGACTCCGTCTCAAAAAAAAAAAAAAAAAAATTCACTGAACATTAAAAGAAAATACACAAAATAGGCTGGACACAGTGTCTCACGCCTGTAATTCTAACACTTTGGGAAGCCAATGCAGGCAGATCATGAGGTCAGGAGTTCGAGACCAGCCTAGCCAACATAGTGAAACTCCGTCTCTACTAAAAAAAAAAAAAAAAAAAAAAAAATGAGCTGGGCGTGGTGGTGTGCACCTGTAATCCCAACTACTCGGGAGGCTGGGGCAGGAGAATTCCATGAACCCAGGAGGCAGAGGTTTCAGTGAGTCAAGATCGCGCCATTGCATTCCAGCCCAGGCGACAGTGCAAGACTCTGTCTCAAAAAAAAAGAAAAGAAAATACACAAAATAGGACGGGTGTGGAGGCTCACGCCTGTAATCCCAGCACCTTGGGAGGCCGAGGCAGGCAGATCACGAGGTCAGGAGATCGAGACCATCCTGGCTAACACAGTGAAACCCCGTCTCTACTAAAAATACAAAAAAAGTTAGCCAGGCGTGGTGGCGGGCGCCTGTAGTCCCCACTACTCAGGAAGCTGAGGCAGGAGAATGGCGTGAATCCAGGAGACAGAGGTTGCAGTGAGCCAAGATCATGCCACTGCACTCCAGCCTGGGTGACAGAGCAAGACTCCATCTCGAAAAAAAAAAAAAAAATACACAAAATATATTAATAGGACTGTGATAAGGATGGTAAGATTATGAGTGATTTCTTTTCTCTATTCCAAATTATACCATTTCCGTTATATTGTCAAGTTTTACGGAAAAATGTCACTAAATGCTAATTAAATCTGCCCACTGAAGATAAACCTATAATAAATAAAACAGGATGTCTCAGCAACAACAATAAAAAAGAAACTATAAGCCGAGCGTGGCAGCACCAGTCTGCAGTCCCAAATACTCAGAAGGCTGAGGCAGGAGGATCACTTGTGCCTGGGAGTTTGAGGCTGCAGTAATATAATAGCAATACTGCACTCCAGCCTGGGCAAAAGAGCAAGACTTGATCTCAAATTAAAAAAAAAAAACAAAGAAAAAACAAAACAAAAAAACAAAGAATTTTTTAAATACTAAAAATACAACATGTGAAGTAAAAATTTCACTAGGCAAGCTTCATAACAACAAATCTGAGATGACAAAAGAGTCAGTGAACTTGAAGCTACATCAATAGATAGAATCTAATCTGAGGCCAGGCATGGTGGCTCACACCTGTAATCCCAGCACTTTGGGAGGCCGAGGTGGGTGGGTCACCTGAGCTCAGGAGTTCGAGACCAGCCTGACCAACATGGAGAAACCCCGTCTCTACTAAAAAATACAAAATTAGCCAGGTGTGGTGGCACACACCTGTAGTCCCAGCTACTCAGGAGGCTGAGGCAGGAGAATCACTTGAACCCAAGAGGCGGAGGTTGTGTTGAGCCGAGATCGCACCACTGCACTCCAGTTTGGGCAACAAGAGCGAAACTCCACCTCAAAAAAAAAAAAAAGAATCTAATCTGAAAGAGGAAATAGAGGTAAAACAAACAAACAAAAAAAAAAACCAGGGCTTCAGGGACCTACAGGACAGTACCAAAAGGTCTCACATGCATAACCAAAGGCCTTAAAAAGAAGAAGAGAGAAAGAATATGAGGCAGGAAAGAAAATTTTGAAGAAACGATGGCTGAAAATTTCTTCAATTTGAAAAAAGACACATTCACAGATTCAAGAATCTCAGCAAACCTCAAATAGTCAAATGCCTTGCTAAACAGCAAACACAGAGGGAAAAATCTTGAAGCACCAAAAGAAAATGTCACATTACACAGAGGGCAGAGGGAACAGTGACTGGATAAATGGCAGATTTCTCATCATAAAATATGGAAGCCAAAAGAAAGTAAACTAAAATACTTAAATTGCTAAGAGATAAAGCACCGTCAACACAGAATTCTAAATCCAACCACAATGCCCTTCAAAAATAAAGATGAAATAGGTACTTTCAGATAAAAGAAAGAAAACACAATTTATCACCAAAAGATATGCCCTGCAAGAAAGGCTAAAGAAATTCTTCAGAATTAAGACAAATGATGCTAGAAAATGCCAATCTTCAGAAGACTACCACAAATGGTAAATATCTGGGTAAACTTAGAAGACTTTCAACTCTTAAGTTCTTAACATTACATGATTATTGAAAGCCAAAATTATATTGTTGTTTTCTGGGGCTTATAATATACATAGTTCCAACACACATGACAATAGCATAACTGACAACAAACAGAGGTGATATAAAAGAACAACTTACAAGCTTTGTATACTTTACGACTTGTACAATATTACCCATAAGTGGTAATACTATAAAAACAGACTGAAAAGAGTAAAGAAATATACTTAAATTGCTAGAGGAATGTGCAAAAGAATTAAGTTGAAACCCTTCCTGATACTATACTTAAAAATTAATTCAAAAGTGAATCGCAGATCTAAATGTAAGAGCTAAAACTATACAACTTTAGAAAAAAACATAGGAGGTAAGTCTTTAGGACTCGGTTAAACAACAGTTTTTAGACATAACACTAAAAGCAGAGGCAATAAAAGAAAAAATAACTAGAATTTACCAAACCTACAGACTTTTTTGCTACAAACAAAACCATCAGGAAAGTAAAAGGATGGAAGAAATATTTACAAGTCTACAAGTCGCATGTCTGACAAGTAGTTTGTATCCAGGATACAGAGCTCTTCCACTCAAAAATAAAAAGCTATACAGCCCAGTTAAAAATTGAACAAAGGATCTAAATAGACACTTCTCCAAAGAAAATATATAAATGACCAATAAGCACATGAAAAGATGCTTAACGTCATTAATCATTAAGGATTAAAAATCAACACCAGGCCAGGTGCAGTGGCTCACGCCTGTAATCTCAACACTTTGGGAGGTCTAGGCGGGTGGATCACCTGAGGTCAGGAGTTTGAGACTAGCCTGGCCATCATGGTGAAACTCCAACTCTTCTAAAATTACAAAATTAGCCAAGCGTGATGGCGGGCACCTGTAATCCCAGGTACTCAGGAGGCTGAGGCACGAGAATCGCTTGAACCCGGGAGGCAGAGGTTGCCGTGAGCCAAGATATCACACCACTGTACTCCAGCCTGAACAACAGAGTGAGACTCTGTCTAAAAAAATAATATAATGAAAAAAATAAATAAAAATCAACACCACAATCAGATACTACCTCATGCCCTGTAGGATAGCTAAAACCAAAAGCCAAACAATAAAAAATGTTGGCAAAGAGATGGAGAAATTAAAACCTTCATATAGGCTGGGTGCGGTGGCTCACACCTGTAATCCCAGCACTTTGGGAGGCTAATGTGGGCGGATAACCTGAGGTCAGGAGTTCAAGACTAGCCTAGCCAATATAGTGAAACCCCATCTCTACAAAAATACAAAAATTAGCCCGGCATGATGGTGGGTGCCTGTAATCCCAGCTACTCGGGAGGCTGAGGCAGAAGAATCACTTGAACCCAGGAGGTGAAGACTGCATTGGGCTGAGATTGCGCCATTGCACCATTGCACTCCAGCCTGGGCAACAGAGGGAGACTTCCGTCTCAAAAAAAAAAAAAAAAAAACCTTCATCTATTGTTGCTGGTAATTTAAAATGTTACAGCCTCTGTCAGTTTTTCAAGATTAAACAGAGTTACAGCATGAAACAAAAATCCTACGCCCAAGAGAATTCAAAACAAATGTCTGGATTTGCAGACAAATGTTCATAATAACGTTATTCATAACATTGCAAAAGTATATACAACCTAAATGTCTATCAATTAATGAATGAGTAAAGAAAATGTAGTATAGCCATGCAACAGAATATTATTTGACAACAAAAGGGAATGAAGTTCTAATGCTACAAAACAAATGCTTGTACATTATGCTAGGAGAAAGAAGCCACTCACAATACACCATATATCATATGATTCCATTTATATGAAATGTCCCAAATAGGGATAGAGACAGAAATGAAGATTAGTGATTGTCAGGAGCTGGGGAAGTAGGGTAATGGAGAGTGACTGTTAATGGGCCAAAGGGCTTCTTCTTGAGGGGATACAAGTGTTCTAAAATTGATTGTAGTGATGTAGACACTGTTTCAAAACAAAACAATTGGCCGGGCGCAGTGGCCCACGCCTGTAACCCCAGCACTTTAGGAGGCCGAGGCGGGCGATTCACCTGAGGTCGCGAGTTCAAAACCAGCCTGATCAACATGAAGAAACCCCATTTCTACTAAAAATACAAAAATTAGCCAGGTGTGGTGGCACATGCCTATAATCCTAGCTACTCGTGAGGCTGAGGCAGGAGAATCGCTTGAACCCGGGAAGCGGAGGTTGCAGTGAGCCGAGATTGTGCCATTGCACTCCAGTCTGGGCAACAAGAGCAAAACTCCAACTCAAAAAAAAAAAAAAAATTGTGTATTAGCACGGATAGAAAAGTAAACACAAGGTGTCTGTAAGAAACACACTTTAAGTGAAGACACAAACAGGTCAAAAGTAAATGGAATGGCCGGGCACGGTGGCTCACACCTGTAATCCCAGCACTTTGGGAGGCCGAGGTGGGTGGATCACAAGGTAGGAGATCGAGACCAGCCTGTCAACATGGTGACAACCTAGCTCTACTAAAAATACAAAAATTAGCCGGGCGTGGTGGCGGGTGCCTGTAGTCCCAGCTACTCGGGAGGCTGAGGCAGGAGAATGGCGTGAACCTGGGAGGCGGAGCTTGCAGTGAACCAAGATCATGCCACTGCACTCCAGCCTGGGCGACAGAGCGAGACTCCATCTCAAAAAAAAAAAAAAAAAAGTAAATGGATAGGCTGGGTGTGCGGTGGCTCACGCCTGTAACCCCAGCACTTTGGGATGCCAAGGCGGGCACTTGATCACTTGAGGCCAGGGGTTCGAAACCAGCCTGGCCAACATGGCAAAGCCCCATCTCTACCAAAAATACAAAAATTAGCCAGGCACGGTGGCACACACCTATAGTCCCAGCTACTAGGGTGGCTGAAACAGGTGAACTGCTTGAATCTAGGAGGCAAAGGCTGCAGTGAGCCAAGATCACACCACTGTACTCCAGCCTGGGTGACAGAGTAAAACCTCATCTCATAAAAAAAACAAACAAACAAACAACAAGAAAAAAAAGATGGTGAGTGGCTACATAGTAAAGAGAGGGAGGGGCATTTCACAGTAAGTCAGACAATGAAGAAGTCATAATAATTATAAATGTATGCACCTAAAAACAAGGCTTCAAAATACATGAAGCAAAAATTAGCATAAGGCATAGTCAGAATACTCAGTGCCCCAAACGTGGTAAGATATTTTAACACTCCTCTTTGTGACTGACAAAACCAAACCAAATAAAAATAATAATAATAATCTAAGCAATGTTAAAACCACTATAAACATTCTTTTCAGGTAAACTTGGTGCATACCCCATGGAAGACCACATACTGAGCCATAAAGCAGGACACAATAAAATGAAAATAATGGAAATCATACAGATTATGTTCCCTAACCACATTAGAAAAAAAGATATAAAATTAATGACCTAGCAGCCGGATATGGTGGCTCACGCCTGTAATCCCAACACTTTGGAAGGCCAAGGCAGGTGGATCATCTGAGGTCGCAAGTTCAAGACCAGCCTGGCCTACATGATGAAACTCCATCTCTATTAAAGATACAAAAATTAGCTGGGCATGGCAGCGGGTGGCTGTAATCTAAGCTACCCAGGAGGCTGAGCTGAGGCAGGAGAATCGCTTGAACCCGGGATGCAGAGGTTGCAGTAAGCCAAGATCGCACCACTGCACTCTAGCCTGGGTGGCAGCACAAAACTCTGTCTAAAATAAAATAAAATAAAATAAAATAAAATAAGTAGGGTTCTACCTAAAGAACCTATATATAAAAGAGTAAAGTAAACCCAAAGTAAGTAGAAAAAAGAAATAGTAAAAATGAGAGCAGAAGAAATGAAAAGAAAAGTAACAGAGAATTTGAAGTCAAAGTTGGTCCTTTTGTCAGAGGCCTCTGAACCAGAATGCCTCTATCTTGAACAGGGGCTGGGGAAATCATAAGGCTGAGTCCTGCTGGACTGCAGTAAGTTATGCATTCTAAGTCACAGAATGAGATAGGAGGCTGGCACAAGATACAAGACATAAAAACCTTGCTGATAAAACAGGTTGTAATAAAGAAGGGGGCCAAAACCCACCAAAGCCAAGATGGTGACAAAACTGACCTCTGGTCGTCCTCACTGCTCATTATACACTAATTATAATACATTAACATGCTAAGAGACACTCCCACAAGCGCCATGACAGTTTACAAATGCCATAGCAATGCCAGGAAGTTACCCTATATAGTCTAAAAAGGGGAGGAACCACTAGTTCTGGGAATTGCCCACCCCTTTCCCAGAAAACTCATGAATAATCCACCCCTTGTTTAGCATACAATCAAGAAATACTCATAAAAATGGGAAACCAGCAGCCATGGCACTGCTCTCCCTATGGAGTAGCCATTCTTTTATTCCTTTACTTTCTTAATAAGTTACTTGCTTTCACTTTACTCTATGAATCCGCCTCAAATTTTTTCTTGCACAAGATCCAAGAACCCCTCTCTTGGGGTCTGGATTGGGACCCCCTTTCTGGTAACACTTTGGAAAAACCTAAAAAGTTGACAATCTGCAAGCTAAATTAATTTTTTTTTAAATAGGAAGAATACAAATTACCAATATCAAGAATAAAATGGGAATTACCTCTACAATCCCAAAGATATTAAGAAGGCCAAAGATTATTATTAATGACTTTATGCTAACCAATTCAACAGCTTAGATGAAAAGAAAAAATTATTTGAAAATGAAACTTATCAAAACTGATAAAACAGAAAATCTGAGAAGCATTTTAAGTTGAATTCATTATCAAAATCCTTCCCAAAAAGAAAACTCTAGACTCAGATTTTTTCACTGATAAGTTCCTTCAAACACTATAAATCAATCTCACACAAGTATTTCCAGAAAACAGAGAAGACAATGCTTCCCAAATCATTTTCTAAGTTTAGCATGAAGAATACCAATGAATATACCAAAAATACCAGCACTTGACAAAAAGCAACAAGATTACAACAAAATCCCTCCCATACAAAGTTGCAAAAATATTTACTATTAGCAATTTAAGTCCAACAATATATAAGAAGAATAGGCCAGTTGTGGTGGCTCACATGGATTACGAAAGTAATCCCAGCACTTTCGGAGGCCAAGGCGGGAGGATCACTTGAGGTCAGGAGACCTGCCTGGCCAACATGGTGAAACCCTGTCTCCACAAAAAAAATTAGCCGGGCATGGTGGCACGTGCCTGTAATCTCAGCTACTTGGGAGTCTGAGGCAGGAGAATCACTTGAACCCAGGAGGTGGAGGTTACACTGAGCAGAGATTGTGCCACTGTACCCATCACTAAAAAAAAAAAAAGAATAATACACCATGACACCAAATGGCATTTAGCGTAACATTTGAAAATAAAACAATGAAATTTACATTAATATCTTTAAAAACATAGCATTATCTCAATAGATACAGAAAAAGCTTTTGAGAAAACTCAATATCCATTCATGACACAAACCCTCAGGAAGCTACTCAGCTGTGTATTCTCCATGGCATGGCATGACTATTCCTCTTGGGGTCTGTGACTATAACAAACTATCTTTTCAATGGCAGTCATGCTGGGTTCTGTTGGCCTTGCCATATCTAAATAGTAATAAAAGCTATATTTGAAAGCAATCTGATAAACTTCATCAATAAAACCCCTACAGCTGACTTATAATTGATGGTGTAACACTGAATGCTCTCCTCTAAGAATGAAAACAAGATTAAGTCCATTCTGTAAGGGAAGAGAATAAAAGGAATTACAAATGGGAAAAAAGAGATAAAACAGTGTTTTATGACAATCATCTATTAGAAAAATCTAAGTAATCTACCTAAAAAACTAGTAGAATTAATATGACTTAAGTAAGGTTGTAAGAAACAGGTCAATATACAAAAATTCTATTTCCAACAAAAAATTAGAAATTTTTATAATACTTTATAATTGCTAAAAAATGTATTTAATATTTTAAAATAGCATCAAAAAAAAGACAAAATATTTAAAAATAATTTTAGGCCAGGCGTGGTGACTCATGCCTGTAATCCCAGCACTTTGGAAGGCCGAAACAGGCAGATCACTTGAGGTCAGGAGTTGACCAGCCTGGCCAACAATGGTGAAACCCTATCTCTACTAAAAACATAAAAATTAGCTGTGCTTAGTGGTACATGCCTGTAATCCCAGCTCCTTGGGAGGCTGAGGCAGGAGAATTGTCTGAACCCAGGAGATGGAGTGAGCAAAGATTGCACCACTGCACTCCAGCGAGGCAACAGAGTAAGACTCTGTCTCAAAAAAACAGGAAAAAAAAAAAGTAATTTTAAAACAGAAGACATGCAAGACCAAAGGCTAAAAGCAACAAACGACTGCTCAGACAAAGCAAAAAAGACCTAAATAAATGGAGAGATATACTATACTAATGATTAAGACTCAATCGTTGTTAAGATGTCAGTTCTCCTCAAACTGATCAACAGACTCAAGACAATTATAATCATGATCCCATCAGCCTTTCTTGGAGAAGACAGAAAAGAGATTATTAGAATTTATATGGAAATGTGAAGGACGGAGAATATGCAGAACTTCGAAAAAGAAGAAAAAGGTTTTAGGACTTGCAATTCTGACTTCAAGACAATATAAAGTTACAAAATTATCAGAATAACAGGGCTAGACAAACAGATTTTTGGAGCAGAATAAAGATTTCTGAAAGATATCCCACTTATGCAGCCATGTGATGTTCCCAAAGCAACCCAGTGAGAAAAAGAGACTGTTTTCAACAAATGGTGAAAAACAACTGGATAGCCATATGCAAAATACTCAAACCTACAAAAATAATTTCAGATGCATCACAGACCTAAATATAAATTAGCAAAAGCAAAACCTTTTAGAGGAAATAAAGGAAATTACCTTCATGACTTCGAGGTTAGGCAAAACTGTCTTAGCTCACAGTAAGCAATAACTACAAAAGAAAACACTGATAAATTAAACTTATCAGATATAAATATTTCTGCTCATCAAAAGGTACAGTTAAAATAAATAGTTAAACCATATAGACTTGGGGAAAGTATTTACAAAACATTTATCAGACACAGGATCAGTATTTAGGACATATAAACACCTTCTGCAACTCAAATAGATGAAAAAAGAAAACAAAGAATAGCAAAGGCTAAATGAACAAACTCATCACAAGAGAACACACGAATGGTCAACACACAAGCTAAAATGTGCTGAATATCATCAGTTATCATGAAAAAGTAAATTAAAACCACAATGATACCACTTCTGGTCAAGATGGAGTGAATAAAGGGGACCAGATATAGCCTCCTTGCACGAAATAATAAAAACCTAATAAAATGAATGAAACAACAGCACTGAAGATATTGGACAAGCAACAAAACACAGTCATCCCTGGAAGACAAAAAACAAATGGGCCGCACGTGTGCCCAGCTTACTGCCTTGAGAGAGTTTCCAGGTCGTGGAACAGGGAGGAGGAACCCAGGCAGAGCCTGTAGTCTCCCCAAGTTGAGGAAATGAAGCTGGAAGTCCAAGGAGGCCAAGGTGCCTAGAGCTCACAAGGGAGACCAGCACTGAGTAGAGAGCTGGAGAGAGAGAGAGAAATGAAGAGATCTACAAAGGCTCACCCTAGAACTTTTGGTTGAATGACAAATCAGCACTTGCAATGTAAAGGAGCTATCCAATGGCAAGATGAGAAATCACCAAAAGAATTAGAGGTAATAGCATCCAGAACTGACATAAGGATGTGAATAGTACCCATACCCAAAAGTCCAAAAGGAAATGATGTGATATAATTTATATCACATTGTAGATATGACATAGGAGTACTAAGAAAGTCTTCAGAAGGAGGAAAAAATTAACCCTAAACACAGCCCTGGTCCAGTCAAAGAAAACATGAAAGACCCAACAGAAAGAAACTGTTTTCAAGCAACTCAATAATGCCACAGAACAAAGTCCACAAATATTTGTAAAAGGCAAACAAAACTAGAGAAACTAGAAAACAAGGTAAAATTCACAGTGGCTAAAAAGTCAATCAAAATTTATAAGACTTACATAGAAGCAGGAAGTTACACCCCATAATGAAACAAAAAATAAACCAATTTTGAAATGAAACAGAAAAGAGAATTAGCAGACAAGTCCTTTAAAACAATTATGATGATATTTCATATGATCAGAAGGCTAGAAGAAACAAATATATTAAGTAAAAATATGAAATATTTTTAAAATTTGAACTTCTAAATTGAAAATTACAAAGTCTAAGATGAAAAATACACTTTGAGATTTACAACCCATGAAACCAAAATTACTAACCTAAATGAAACACAGAAAAAAAAAACCACTAAAAAATGTAATACGTGATAATTGAAATAATTTCAAGAGGCCAAACATACTTGTAACTGGAGCCACAAAACAGGAGATAATATAGAAAAAAAAAGTCTTTAGAAATCATGGCCAACAACTTTCACATATTTGATGGAAATTATAAGCATGTATAACAGGGCACTCTTTTAATGAACTATCAGTCACTGGAAACATGAAGAAAAGTGGCTGAGCGCAGTGGCTCATGCCTGTAATCCCAGCACTTTGGGAGGCCGAGGTGGGAAAATCACTTCAGGCCAGGAGTTCGAGACCAGTGTGGGCAACACTGCAGAACCCCATCTCTAAACACACACACACGCGCGCACACACACACACACACACACACAAATTGGCCTGGCACAGTGGCTCACGCCTGTAATCCCAGCACTTTGGGAGGCCGAGGTGGGCAGGTCACCTGAGGTCAGGAGTTCGAGACCAGCCTAACCAACATGGACAAACCCCATCTCTACTGAAAATACAAAATTAGCTGGGCATGGTGACACATGCCTGTAATCCCAGCTACTCAGGAGACTGAGGCAGGAGAATTGCTTGAAGCCAGGAGGCAGAGATTGCAATGAGCCGAGATCATGCCATTGCACTCTAGCCTGGGCAACAAGAGCGGCACCCCGTCTCAAGAAATAAAAACAAAAAACACACAAAAATTAGCCACAGGTAGTGGCACACACCTGTGGTCCTTCTAGCTACTCGGGAAGGCTAAGGCAGGAGGAGGTCAAGGCCATAGTGAGCCATGATTGTGCCACTGCACTCCAGCCCAGGCAACAGAGCAACACAGGAAGACCCGGTCTCTACAAAAAGATTTTTTAAAAATTAACTGGGTGGGCCGGGCATGGTGGCTCACACCTGTAATCTCAGCACTTTGGGAGCCTGAGGCGGGCAGATCACCTGAGGTCAGGAATTCGAGTCCAGCCTCGCCAACATGGTGAAACCCTGTCTCTGCTAAAAATACAAAAATTAGCCGGGCATGATGGCGCACAACAGTAATCCTAGCTACTCGGGAGGCTGAGGCAGGAGAATCGCTTGAACCCAGGAGGTGGAGTTTGCAGTGAGCCGAGATCACGCCACTGCACTCCAGCCTGGGCGAGAGCGAGATTCCATTACAAAAAAAAAAAAAAATTGGCTGGGTATGGTAGCATATTGCCTGTAGACCCAGCTACTGGGGAGGCTGAGGTGGGAGGATCATTTGAGCCCAGGAGGTGGAGGCTTAATGAGCTATGATTGTGCATGCCACTGCACTCCAGCCTAGGTGACAAAGCAACATCATGTTCAAAAAAAAGGAATGATACTAATAGCAGGACCAGCAGACAGAAAATCAGTAAGGATACAGAAGCTTGAATAACACCATTAACCAAACTGACCTAACTAACTATACAACACTCTACACAAACTACCAGAATACGCATTCTGTTCAAGTGCATTTGGAACATTCACCAAGATATACCATATTCAGGCCAAAAAAACAACTCTTGGTAAATTTAAAAGGTTTCAGGTGTTACCATGAATTTTTTCTTACAACTGTGATATTAATCTAGAAATCAGTGACAAAAAAAAATCAAAGACAATCCCAATATTTGGAATCAAAACATACTTCTAAAATAACCAGTGGGGGCCAGGAGCAGTGGCTCATGCCTGTTAATTCCAGCACTTTGGGAGGTCGAGGCAGGTGTATCACAAGGTCAGGAGTTCAAGACCAGCCTGACCAAGACGGTGAAACCCCGTCTCTGCTAAAAATACAACATTAGCCGGGCATGGTAGCAGGCTCCTGTAACCGCAGCTACTCAGGAGGCTGAGGCAGAGAACTGCTTGAACCCGGGAGGCGGAGTTTGCAGTGAGCCAAGATCTCGCTGCGGCACTCCAGCCTGGAGACAGAGGGAGAATCTGTCTCAAAATATAAAATGAAATGAAATGAAATAAAATAAAATAACCAAGGGGTAAAAAAAAAGACAAAAATATCAAGTATTTTTAAGACAGTTAAAGCAGTAATTGAAATAGAAATTTATACAATTACATGACTATATTAGAAAAGAAACAAATCAGTGATTTCACCTTGTTCCTTAAGAAACTAGAAGAGCAAAAGAAAGATCAGAGCAGAAGTCAATGAAATAGATAACAGAAAAATAGGGCACACTCAATGAAATCAAAGGTTACACTTACACTTCTAGGAGGATGGAATGGACATACTTTTCCCTATTCCTCCCACTAAGTACAAATTTAAAATGTGAATATTATAAATAAAACGAATTTTCTCTGAAAGGTGGAGAGAAGGCAAATTAGCTCAGGATCACAGGACACAAGGCACAATATAGCAGTAAATTCCCTGGGTATTCTCTTCTTTTTGCCTAATGTATCCTACTCCTGGAATGGAAGAAGTGAGTACATCAGGAACACCGATGGGCACTGACCAAATAAAAGAACCCCCAACAAGGCCGGGTGCGGTGGCTCATGCCTATAATCCCAGCACCTTGGGAGGCCAAGGCGGGTGGATCACCAGAGGTCAGGAGTTGGAGACCAGCCTGGCCAACATGGCAAAACCCCATCTCTACTAAAAATAAAAATTACCCGGGCGTGTTGGAAGGCGCCTATGATCCCAGCTACTCCGGAGGCTGAGGCACGAGAATTGCTTGAACTCGGGAGGCGGAGGTTGCAGTGAGCAGAGATCGCACCACTGCACTCCAGCCTGGGTGACAGAGAGAGACTCTGTCTCAAAAAAAAAAAAAAAAGAAGAAGCCCCAACAAAAGCCTTCTCTCTCCAGACCAGATTACCAGTAAAGTGGTATGTTAACCAGAAAGAAAACTTGAAGAGTAACTGCTATAATCCAGCATAACACCATAGAAAACCTAGCCCCACCCATACCAGCAATGATCACATGGGGAACCTAGATATCCACCCTCATGAGACTGTAATGAAAACAATCCAAGATTCCCACCAGGTAGTGTCAGAGAAAATTAAGCAGGGGATTGGAACCTTCATTCCAATTGGCTAGTTAATGAGCATCCACTCCCTACTGTGTCAGTGGAGAAAAGTAGGGAAGACTGGACTTCCACCACCATCTGCCAGTAATAAGGCATCCCTCCCTGTCCCTACTGGAGTGGTAGCAGAGAAGACCTAGTAGAGAGTGAGAACTTTCACCTACACACAGTAACAAACAAGGCCACATCCACCACAGAGATCAGGTAGAGAGCCACAACTCCCAATTCTGCAAACAACTAAAAGGAAGTTTGCCTCAAATGTCAACACAGACAAGGTAGATAACCTGAACTTCATCCCCTACCTGGCTTAACAAAGTGGCACCAACACTCTCCCCTTGTTAGATAAGTGTAAGAGAACACTAGTTAAAACAGTTGTTTAAGTAAGTGCATAGTCTCATGACAATACAAAAATGCCCAGGTTTCAATCAAAAGTTATTTGTGATACCAAAAAGATACCAAGGCCGGGCTCGGTGGCTCGCGCCTGTAATCCCATCACTTTGGGAGGCCGAGGTGGGTGGATCACCTCAAGTCGGAAGTTCGAGAACAGCCTGACCAACATGGACAAACTCCGTCTCTACTAAAAATACAAAATTAGCCAGGTGTGGTGGTGCATGCCTGTAATCCCAGCTACTTGGGAGGCTGAGGCAGGAGAATCGCTTGAACCCGGAAGGCGGAGGTTGAGGTGAGCCGAGATCATGCCATTGCACTTCAGCCTGGGCAACAAGAGCGAAACTTCGTATCAAAAAAAGAAGAAAAAAAATTTCAGTGGAACAAATATCCAAACCATATCAATGAACTAAAAAAAAAGATACAAAACACAATAAAGAAAAATGGTTTGGCACAGTGAATTGGGGTAGAAGAAAAAAATAAGAAAAATGGAATTCCAAAAATGTTCAAGTAACCCAAAAGAAAGCAAGAAAAACAGTCAAAAAAACAAAAACTAAAACAAGGCATGGTGGCTCAGGCCTGTAATTCTAGCACTTTGGGAGGCCAAGGTAGGTGCATCACCTAAGGCCGGGAGTTCAAGACCAGCCTGGCCAACATGGTGAAACCCCATCTCTACTAAAAATATAAAAATTAGCTGGGCTTACAGTAGATGCCTGTAATCCCATCTACTCGGGAGACTGAGGCACAAGAACTACTTGAACCCGGGAGGCAGAGGTTGCAGTGGGCCAAGATTGAGCCACTGCACTCCAGCCTGGGCAAGAGTAAGACTTTGTCTCAAAAAAAAAAAAGGGGGTGGGGGGGAGTCTGACAACATCTATAACTATGTAAATGACCCAAATACCTAAATACAGCAAATAAAAGACAAAAACTGGCTAGGTACAGTGGCTCACAACCGTAATCCCAGCACTTTGGGAGGCCTAGGAGAGCAGATCACCTGAGGTTCAATGTTCAAGACCAGCCTGACCAACACAGTGAAAACCCATCTCTACTAAAAATACAAAAAAAAATTTAGCCAGGCGTGGTGGTGGGCACCTGTAATAGCTACTCTGGAGGCTGAGTCAGGAGAATCGTTTGAACCCACTAGGTGGAGGGTGCAGTGAGCCGAGATCATACCACTGCACTCTACCCAGGGTGACAGAGAGATACTCCATCTCAAAAAAAAAAAAAAAAAAAAAAAAAGCCAAAGATTGACAGACTGGATTTTAAAAACATAACCTAAAGCCAAGCATGGTGGCTCATGCCTGTAATGCCAGCAGTTTGGGAGGCCATGACAGGAGGGTCTCTTGAGCCCAGGAGTTCGAGACCAGGCTGGGCAACATAACAAGACTTGGTCCCTACAAATAATAAAAAAATCAGCCAGGTGTGATGGTGCACACGTGTGGTCCCACTTACTTGGGAGGCTGAGATGGGGGAACAGTTTGAGCCCAGGAGGTCCAGGCTGCAGTAAACCATGATTGTGCCACTGCAATGCAGCCTGGGTGACAGAGCAAGACCATGTCTCAAAAAAAAAAAAAAAAAGGCCAGGCACAGTGGCTCACACCTGTAATCCCAGCACTTTGGGAGGCCGAGGAAGGCAAATCACGAGGTCAACAGCTCGAGACCAGCTTGGTCAACACAGTGAAACCCCGTCTCTACTAAAAATATAAAAAATTAACCAGGCATGGTGGCGGGCGCCTGTAATCCCAGCTACTCGAGAGGCTGAGGCAGAAGAATCGCTTCAATCCGGAAGGCGGAGGTTGCAGTGAACCAAGATGACACCACTGCACTCCAGCCCAGGCTACAGTGCAAGATTCCATCTCAAACAAACACAAAAAACAAAGAAAACATAACCTAACACTATTTTGTGTACAAGAAATTTACTTCAAATAAGCACGTTGAAAGCAAAAAAAAATTAAAAAGGTATATGATGCAAACATTAATTAAAGAAAAGCTGGAGTGACTATATTAACATCAGAAACACTATACTTTTGAGCAAAGAAAAAGTACTAGAGACTAAGAAGGAAATTATTTATGGAGAGAGAGGTCAATCCACCAAGAGGACATAACATTCCTAAATGTGTATGCACCAAAAAACAAGACTACAAAATATGTAAAAGAAAAGCTGATGGAACAGAGTGGAGAAATGCACAAATCCACTATAGAGACTTCAATATTTCTCTGTAATAACTGTTAAAACTATACATATATTCATAGCAAGAATATTTAATTCAACGCTATGAACTAACTGGATCCATGAACATTTTACAGAACAACAGAACATTCCACTCACCAAGAGTGGAATACCTTTTTTTTTTTTTTTTGAGATGGAGTTTCGCTCTTGTTGCCCAGGCTAGAGTGCAATGGTGCGATCGCGGCTCACTGCAACCTCCACCTCCTGGGTTCAAGCAATTCTCCTGCCTCAGCCTCCCAAGTAGTTGGGATTACAGGCATGTGCCACCATGCCCGGCTAACTTTTGTATTTTTTTAGTAGAGATGGGGAGACTCTGTCTCAAAAAAAGAAAAAGAAAATAGCCAAAACTGATGAACAGAGGACATATAAAGGTACTAGTGCTTGTCTCAACAGCACATATACCAAAATTGAATCAATACAGAGAAGATTAGCATGCTCCCTGAACAGTAATGACACGCAAATTCTTAAAGTGTTCCATATTAAAAGAAAAAAAAAAAAGATACCAAATAAGCACCTGAAAAGATGGTCAACATCATTAGCCACTAAGTAAATACGTATTAAAAACACAATGACGCGTGTGTAGTGGCCTGTAATCCCAGCACTTTAGGAGACCAGTCGGGAGCATGGCTTTAGCTCAGAAGTTCAAAACCAGCCTGAGCAACATAGCAAGACCCCATCTCTTCAAAAATACATTTTTAAAAACAATGGCTGGGTGTAGTGGCATACACCCATAGTCCCAGCTACGCGGAGGGTTAAGGCGGCAATAAGCCATGATCATGACACTGCCCTTCAAACCCTAGGTAACAGAGCAAGACCCTGTCTCAAAAAAAAATAATAATAATAGGCCGGGCACGGTGGCTCATGCCTGTAATCCCGGCACTTTGGGAGGCCAAGGCGGGTGGATCACGAGGTTAGGAGATCGAGACCATCCTGGCTAAGACGGTGAAACCCCGTCTCTACTAAAAATACAAAAAATTAGCCAGTCGTGGTGGCAGGAGCCTGTAGTCCCAGCTACTCGGGAGGCTGAGGCAGGAGAATGGTGTGAACCTGGGAGGTGGAGCCCGCAGTGAGCCTAGATCGCGCCACCACACTCCAGCCTGGGCGACAAAGCAAGACTCTGTCTCAAAATAATAATAATAATAATAATAATAATAATAATAATACACACAGTGAGATATCACTACCCGCCTATCAAAATTACTAAATGAAGACTTATGCTCACATGAAAACCCATGTAATGTTTATAACAGTTTTATTCTTAATAACCTACAAGTGGAAATAACTGAGATTATCTTTCAGCAAATAAGTAATTAAACAAAACGCAGTTTAACTGTAACAAATACTAAGCAACAACCTGGAGGAATCTCCAAGGAATTAAACCAAGTGTAAAAAACTCAATCCCAGAAAGTTACATGTTGTTTTGTTCTGTTTTTAGACAGAGTCTCACTCTGTCGCCCAGGGTGGAGTACAGCGGCACAATCTCAGCTCACTGCAACCTCTGCCTCCTGGTTTCAAGCAATTCTCATGTCTCAGCCTCCCAAGCAGCTGAGATTACAGGTGCCCGCCATCACACCTGGCTAATTTTTGTATTTTTAGTAGAGACAGGTTTCACCATGTTGTCTAGGCTGGTTTCAAACTCCTGACCTCAAGTGACCCACCCGCCTCAGCCTCCCAAAGTGCTGGGATTATAGGCCTGAGCCACGCGCCGGGCCTCCAGAAAATTACAAGTTCTATCATCCCATTTATATAACATCCTTGAGGTAACAAAATTACCAAAATGAAGAATACCTTAGTGGTTATGACTAAGTCTGGCGGCAGGAGGAAAGCAGGTGTGGCTATAAAAGCACAGCAGGAAGGGAGAGGATTCTGGGAAGATGGTGCAATAGGAAGCACCAGGAACCTGAGGTTGGGAGTTCAAGACCAGCCTGACCAACATGGAGAAACCCTGTCTCTACTAAAAATACAAAATTAGCCAGGTGTGGTGGCACATGCCTGTAATCCCAGCTACTCAGAAGGCTGAGACAGGAGAATTCCTTGAACCCAGGAGGCGGAGGCTGTGGTGAGCCAAGATCGTGCCATTGCACTCCAGCCTGGGCAACAAGAGTGAAACTGTCTCAAAAAAAAAAAAAAAAAAAACAAAAAAAACAAAGTATATGTAAGTCAGCAATGAAGAAAACGCAAGATTCGTACACAGAAAAATCACAAAACTTTACTGAAATAAACTGAAGACAATATAAATAAATGGAAAGACATTTCACGTTCTTGGATTGTAATACCTTAATGTTGCTAAGATTTTACTACTCCAAAGCAATCTCCACGCCAGGTGTGGTGGCTCACACCTGTAATCCCAGCACTTTGGGAGGCTGAGGCAGGTGGGTCACTTGAGGTCAGGAGTTTGAAACCAGCCTCGCCAACATGGTAAAACCCTGTCTCTACTAAAAATACAAAAATTAGCCGGGCGTGATGGCGGGCACCTGTAATCTCAGCTGCTTGGGAGGCTGAGACATGAGAATTGCTTGAACCCAGGAGGCAGAGGTTGCAGTGAGCTGAGATTGTGCCACTGCACTCCAGCCTGGGCAACAAGAGTGAGACGCCGTCTCAAAAAAAAATAAATAAATAAATAAAAAAACAAAAATAAAAAAAAGCAATCTACACATTCAATAAAATCTCTATCAAAATCCCAAGAATGTTTTTGGCAGAAATAAAAAAAAAATACGTTCTAAAACTCATGTAGAATCTCAAGGGACCTCAAATAGCCAAAACAATCTTGAAAAGGAAGAATAAATTTGAAGACATCACACTTCCTGATTTCAAAACTTACTACAAAGCTACAGTAATCAAAACAGTGTTGCCAAGCACAGTGGCTCACGCCTGTAATCCCAGCACTTTGGAAGGCCGAGGCGGGCAGATCAACCAAGATTGGGAGTTTGAGACCAGTCTGACCAACATGGAGAAACCCCGTCTCTACTAAAAATACAAAGATTAGCTGAGCGTGGTGGGGCATGCCTGTAATCCCAGCTATTCGGGAGGCTGAGGCAGGAGAATTGCTTGAACCCAGGAGGCAGAGGTTGCAGTGAGCCAAGATTGGGCCACTACACTCCAGCCTGGGCAACAAGAGTGAAACTCCACCTCAAAAAAAAAAACTGTTGTACTGGCATAAAAACAGAGCACTGAAAGAGAATAGAGAGTTCAGAAATAAACTCTCGCTTATATGGTGAAGTGATTTTCAACAAAAGTGCCAGTATCATTCAGTGGGAAAGAGAGTCTTTTCAACAAATAATGCTGGGAAAACTGGATTATCTACATGCAAAAGAATGTAGGTGGACACTTATCTTACACTGCACACAAAAATTGGCTCAAAATGGATCAAACACCTAAACTTAAGAGCTACCACTGGGCCGGGTGCAGTGGCTCACGCCTGTAATCCCAGCACTTCGGGAGGCCGAGGTGGGCGGATCACGAGGTCAGGAGGTTGAGACCATCCTGGCTAACATGGTAAAACCCTGTCTCTACTAAAAATACAAAAATTAGCCGGGTGTGGTGGCATGTGCCTGTAGTCCCAGCTACTCGGAAGGGTGAGGCAGAAGAATCGCTTGAACCCAGGAGGCAGAACTTGCACCCAGGAGGCAGAACAGAGCCAAGATCTCACCACTGCACTCCAGCCTGGGCAACAGAGCAAGGCTCCGTCTCAAATAAATAAATATATAAATAAATAAAAGAGCAACAACTATAGAAACATTTAGAAGAAAACACAGGGGAAAATCTTCACTGCACTAAATTTGACAATCATTTCTTGGATATGATACCAAAAGCACAAAAAACAAAAACTAAAAAAAGATAAATTGGACTTCACCACAATTAAAATCTCTGTGCATAAAAGGACATGACTCTCAACAGAGCGAAAAGACAACACACAGAATGGGATAAAATATTCACAAATCATGTATCTAAGAACGGTCTGGAATCTAAAATTAGATACTGGGTCTAGGATCTAGAAGTAGATAAAGAATACTGACATTTCAACAACAAAAAGTCACACAAAAAGAGCAAAGGACCTGAACAGAAAATTCTCCAAAGAATACACACAAATGGCCAAGAAGCAGATGAAAAGATGCTTGTATCACTAATGACTGGGAAAATGCAAATCAAAACGACAAGATACCACTTTACATCATTAGCAAGGCTATCATCAAAAACCAGAAAATAGACCAGATGTCATGGCTCACACTTGTAATCCTAATACTTTGGGGAGGCTCAGGCAGGAGAATTGCTTGAGTCCAGAAGTTCAAAACCAGCCTGGACAACATAGTGAAGCTACCTCTCTACAAAAATCAATAAAATTAGGTGGTGGTGGTGGTGGTGGTGGTAGTACGTGCCTGTGATCCCAGCTACACAGGAGTCTAGGTGAGACAACTGCCTGATCCCAGGAGGTTGACGCTCCAGTGAGCCATGTTTAAGCCACTGCACTTCAATGCTGAATGACAGAACTAGACCCTGTCTCAAAAACAGTAAGAACAACAGAAAATAAGAAGAATTGAAGAAAACTGAAAAAGACTTGAGTGGAAAAAGACTGAACCTTCATGCATTGTTGGTAGGAATACAAAAAGCTGAAGTCTCTGTGAAAAACATTTTGGCAGTTCCTCAAAAGGCCAAACAGGCCAGGCGTGGTGGCTCAAATCCCAGCACTTTGGGAGGCCCAGCCCGGGCAGATCACCTGAGGTAGAGAGTTCGAGACCAGCCTGACCAACATGGAGAAACCCTGTCTCTACTAAAAATACAAAATTAGCCGGGTGTGGTGGCGCACGCCTGTAATCCCAGCTACTCAGGAGACTGAGGCAGGAGAATCACTTGAACCCGGAAGGCGGAGGATGCAGTGAGCCAAGATCACACCATTGCACTCCAGCGTGGGCAACAAGAGTGAAACTCCGTCTCAGGAAAAAAAAAGCCAAACGGAATTACCATGTGATCCAGCAACTTCATTCCTAATGTACACCCACCCGACCCAAAAAAAAAAGATTCAAACAGATGCTAGAATACCAGTGTTCAGCTCAGCATTATTCACAATAGCAAAAAGGTAGAAACAACCCAAGTTTCCATCAACAGATGAATGGATAAACAAAACACGGTATATACATAACAATGGATTATGTAGTATTCAGCTATAAACAAGATTCAAATTCTGGTACATGCTACAACATAGACGAACCTTGAAAACATTCAAAGTGAAATAAGCTACGTACAAAAGAACAAATATAAGATTCCACTTACATGAGTAGCTAAACTAGGCAACTTGAAAGAAAACAGAAGTTACCAGGGGCTATAGAGAGGGCGAAATGAGAGTTATGCTTACAAGGTACAGAATTTCTCTTTGGAATTAGTTCTGGAAATATATACTGCTGACGGTTATAAACACTGTGAATGTACTTAATGCCACTAAACTGTATACATAAAAATGGTTAAAATGGTATATTTTGTATTATGTGTATTTTACCACAATGAATATGGAAAATCTGAATAATCAGATTACCATGTTCATGGATTCAAAAATTCAAAACTATATATAAAGATGTCCATTCTTGCCAAGCGCAGTGGCTCATGCCTGTAATCCCAGCACTTTGTGAGGCCAAGGCGGATCACAAGGTCAGGAGTTCGAGACCAGCCTGGCCAACATAGTGAAACCCCTTCTCTACTACAAATACAAAAATTAGTCAGGCGTGGTGGCGGATGCCTGTAGTCCCAGCTTCCTGGGAGGCTGAGGCAGGAGAATCACTTGAATCCAGGAGTCGGAGGCTGCAGTGAGCCAAGATTGTACCACTGCACTCCAGCCTGGGCGACACAGCAAGATTCTGTCTCAAAAAGAAAGAAGAAGTCCATTCTCCCCAAACTGATATACACAATCAATGCAAACTCAAACAAAACACTAGCAACATTTTTGTGGAACATTATGGTTCAAAATATTTATCAAATGCAAAGAGCTAAGAAGTGGCAAGATACTTAAAACAACAACAAAAAAGGAACACAATATAGAAGGACTAATTCTTTCTGGTATCTTGTATCCAGAGTTATTATTAATATGAAGCTATAGTAATTTTAAAACTGTGGTTCTCGCACAAAGGCACATAAAAAGAACACAAAGTTCAGAAAGAAATGCATACAAATATTAACAGCTGATTTATGACATAGTGCCACTGTGGAACTGAGAGGAATAGTGTCAAAACAAATAGATGTCTCTACTTAAAATTTAAAAAAATAAAAATTTTTTGAAAAGAGGTTGGGCACAATGACTCATGCCTGTAATCCCAGCACCTTGGGAGGCCAAGGAGGGAGGACTGCGTGAGGCCAGGAGTTCAAGACCAGCCTGGGCAACATAGCAAAACCCCACCTCTATTCTTTAATTAAAAATTAAAAAAAAAAAAGAAGAAGAAACTTGCTCAGTCATATATTTAGTTCATCTGACTCCAAAGCCCATGATCATATTTTGATTTTTTTCTTTTTTCTTAGAGATAGGGTCTCCTCTGTCACCCAGGCTGGAGTAGAGTGGCAGGATCATGATCATAGCTCACTGCACCCTTAAAGAGTGAATGAATAGGAGTTTATGTTATTTTAGGATATTTAATATACTTAAACCTAAAATTTTTAGAAAAGGATTTGAGGCAGTCTACAATAAAGGACAAGTATTATAACAATTAAAAAAAGAAAAATAAGGCCAAGCACAGTGGCTCACGCCTGTAGTCCCAGCACTTTGGGAGGTCGAGGTGGGTGGATCACCGGAGGTCAGTAGTTCGAGACGAGCCTGGCCAACATGGCAAAACCCCATCTCTACTAAAAATACAAAAAATTAGCTGGACGTGGTGGCAGGCACCTGTAATCCCAGCTACTTGGGAGGCTGAGGCCAGAGAATTGCTTGAACCCGGGAGGCAGGGGTTGCAGTGAGCCCAGATCGCACCACTGTACTCCAGCCTGGGCAAAAGAGCGAGACTCTGTCTCCAAAAAAAAAAAAAAAAAAGAAAAAAAAAAAGAAAAATAATAAAAGCCAGTATGATAGACATCTATTGTTTTTCTGCTTCATAAGCATCCCCCTTGTTTTGCAAACAGCACCCACCCCCCTGCATTATGGAAACTGCTCTTACCCCTGACTCCAACTATGTAGTTCTAGTGAGGGTTGCCATTCACAGTACCCTCCCCACTCCAGCCACAGAGATGATGGGCACATGATCCAAGACAGGCCAATCAGAGTCCTTTCCAGGATTCTTCTAGAGAGCCCCTTCTTCTGGTAAAAGGGGCTGGAAACAAGAGCTGCCAGCAGTCATGGTTCCAGCCTCATGAAGTAGAGTCTGTAGTATGAGAGAATGAAATCAACACGCAGAGAAACAGAGATAAGAGGTGAAGTCCTAAACCCCACGGAAGGAGAAAGAGGGAACAAATATACTAATAATGATATTAATATAGCTGATGTAACTAAAGACCAGATTTGGTTCTAGGCTGCCTGGTAACCAGGACAAAAAGACAAACAGAATGTATTTCACAGATCTATCAAAAAGGAGGAAATATACCAGATACGCAAGGGAGATAATTTTCCTGATGCTTTATTATTAAAAGAACTTCTTGTACGTGGATCTTTTATGTTAAGAGTCACTGAAGAACAAAATGGACAGTGTCCATGATGAAAGTGTTATATCAAATACAGATTTCATAAACTATTACTTATAATAACTGAGTTATAACTCAATCATTAAGCACAAGGGGAAAAATAACAACACAGTAGGCATTTGAAGAAGTGAATCAACTAGTTTTATTTTTTCAGGAAGTTTAACAGCGAAGAGGAAAAGACAAAAGGGCAAAAATGTAAATGGAAAGCAGAATTCATGAGATGATTCAAAAATGTTTGTGAGTTGAGTGGGAAAAAATCAAGTAAACAGGATAGACTGAAGACTAGTACTTGGTAAAACAAAACCCTGTAAGAAATATAAAAGACCACATCAGAAACACAAGTAGTTAATTCCACTTAAACACTACCACCTCTCCTTCTTGAAACGCCAAATGACAACTGAGATAAATGGCATAAAGCCATAAATATAAAAAAGAATATCCCTGGAAACTAGAAAGGACATATGACAAGTGGTAAATGACTGAGGACCGAAGAAAGCTGCTGTAGTAAGACAAGCCCAAAAGCAATGCATCAGAGCACCAGAAACTGGAGGAACGTTAGACACCAGGCATCGGGGGTGGGGAGATGCACATGCGCAGTGATGTTCTATGTATCCAGGAGTGACGTTTTCAGATGAGGCTAACCAACAGGAATTGCATACCATCTGAAAAGCAATCAAAACAATCCCTTATTCACTACATACTAACGCGTAACTGGCTCTCACCTGCCCTAGAAAACTGCAAAGCTTAATTTCCTAGAGAGGGTAAATGGAAGAAATCTACACTCAGAGACACCAGGAGCAGCTGAAGAAAAACAAGAATCATAAAAGTGTAATTCTAAATCCTCAAATTCCAACATCCATCTGGCTAAAGGAATATTGGTAACCAGGTTTGTCAACCCCAAACAGGTGATCATGATCAGATATATTTCTCTCTTACTAAGCTAAGAACCCCGCTAGATCACTTATGATGAAGTCTATCACTCAATAATGTCTGCTCACACAAAACTTCCAATCCACTCATTAAGAATTTGTCTTAAATTTGAGGCTGGGCACGGTGGCTCACACCTGTAATCCCAGCACTTTGGGAGGCCGAGGAGGGCGGACCACCCTGAGACCAGCCTGGCCAACATGGCGAAACCCCGTCTCTACTAAAAATACAAAAATTAGCCAGGTGTGGTGGCGCATGCCTGTAGTCCCAGCTACTCAGGAGGCGGAGGCAGGAGAATTGCCTGAACCCGGGAGGCGAAGGTTGCAGTGAGCCGAGATCGCACCATTGCACTCTGGCCTAGGCAACAGAGCGAGACTCCGTGTCCAAAAAAAAAAAGGGCCGTGCACAGTGGCTCACACCACTTGAAAAAGTGCTGTAATCCCAGCACTTTTGGAGACGGAGGCAGGTGGATCACCTGAGGTCGGGAGTTCGAGACCAGCCTGACCAACATGAAGAAACCCTGTTCCTACTAAAAATACAAAATTAGCTGGGCATCGTGGTGCATGCCTATAAACCCAGCTACTCAGGAGGCTGAGGCAGAAGAACCACTTGAACCCGGGAGGCAGAGGTTGTGGCGACCCAAGATCACACCAGCCTGGGCAACAAGAGTGAAACTCCCTCTCAAAAAAAAAAAAAAAAAAATTGTCTTACATTTGAATCAAGGCTGAGAATCACCAGATTTTTACATAAAGTCACTAACACGAAAGACAGGCCAAAACAGTACAAAAGAAGAGTTCAAGGAGCAGAAGAAAGTTTCGTAACTGAAACAAAACAAAAACCTCCAATTAAAGTATCAGCCAGGCATTGTGACTCACGCCTGTAATCCCAGCACTTTGGGAGGTGGAGGAGGGTGGATCACCTGAGGTCAGGAGTCTGAGACCAGCATGGCCAACATGGCAAAACCCAGTCTCTACTAAAAATACAAAAATTAGCCAGGCGTGGTGGCAGGCGCCTGTAATCCCAGCTACTGAGGAGGCTGAGAAGGGAGAATTGCTTGAATCCAGGAGGTGGGGACTGCAGTGAGCCAAGATCACACCACTGCACCGCAGCCTGGGTGACAGGCAAGACTCTGTCTCAAAAAAATAAAATTAAATTAAATTTAAATTAAAATAAATTGTATCCAAGAAACTTGAACAGAAGATTACAAAAATAAGGAGCAGCTGAGAGCATAAAGAGTCCTTAGAAATTAAAAAGTATGGCCGGGCACAGTGGCTCACGCCTGTAATCCCAGCACTTCGGGAGGCCAAGGCGGGTGGATCACCTGAGGTCAGGAGTTCGAGACCAGCCTGACCAACATGGTGAAACCCCGTCTCTACCTAAAATAGAAAATTAGCTGGGCATGGTGGCGTGCGCCTGTCATCCCAGGTACTCGGGAGGCTGAGGCCTGAGAATTGCTTGAACCCGGGTGGTAGGGGTTGCAGTGAGCCAAGATCGCACCAATGCACTCCAGCCTGGGAAACACGGCAAAACTCTGTCTAAAAAAAAAAAAGAAAGAAAGAAAGAAAAACAAACAAAGGAAGAAATTAGTATAACCATCTTGAAAAATTAAAGTGAAGGGGCCGGGCCCGGTGGCTCAGAGCCTGTAGTCCCAGCACTTTGGGAGGCCGAGGCGGGCAGATCACGAGGTCAGGAGATCGAGACCATCTTGGCCAACATGGTGAAACCTCATCTCTACCAAAATACAAAAAAAAAAAAAATTAGCCGGGCGTGGTGGTGCGTGTCTGTAATCCCAGCTACCTGGTAGGCTGAGGCAGGGGAATCACTTGAACCCGGAAGGCGGAGGTTGCAGTGAGCTGAGCTCACATCACTGCACTCTAGCCTGGGGTCAGAGCAAGACTCCATCTCAAAAAAAAAAAAAAAAATTTAAGTGAAGGAGGGCCAGGAGTAGTGGCACGCCCATAATCCCAACTCTATGGAAGGCTGAGAGAATCACTTTCAAGGTCAGCGTGGGCTACAATATCAAGATGCTGTCTCAAACAAACAAAAAAATTTTTAAGTGAAGAGTTGGAAGAGAAAGTGAGGAATCACCTCAGAAAATAGAGTAAAAAGAGTTAAAGAACTGAAACAGAAAATACAAAAATTATAGGATCAGATTAGAAAGTCTAACATCCAAAATTTTTTTTAAATACAGAAAAGGCAAACAAAGCAGAACTGAGGAAATTATCAAAGAAATAATTCAAAAACTTTCTCCCTGACCTAAACTCACATTCCAAAACAGGAGCTAACAAATCAAAAGGACCACTGTGTACCTAGTACAATGAGTATAAGCAAGCACACCATCGTGAGTATCAGAATAACCAGGTTAAAGAGAAAATACTAAATCCAGAAAGAACTACCACATACAAACGATTAAAAAGAAATCAGAATCGGCTGGGTGCAGCGGCTCATGCCTGTAATCCCAACATTTTGGGAGGCTGAGACGGGCAGATCACCTGTGTTCAGGAGTTCGAAACCAGCCTGGCCAACATGGTGAAACCTCATCTCTACTAAAAATACAAAAATTAGCCAGGCATGGTGGCGCATGCCTATAATCTCAGCTACTCGGGAGGCTGAGGCAAGAGAATTACTTGAACCCGGGAGGCAGAGTTTGCAGTGAGCCAAGATCACGTCACTGCACTTCAGCCTGGGCGACAGAGAGGCCCTGTCTGAAAAAAAAAAAAAGAAAAGGAAAAGGAAAAGAAATCAGAATTGCAGCTGGGTGTGGTGACTCATGTCTGTATCCCAACTCTTTAGGAGGCTGAGGCAGGTAGATCACTTGAGGCCAGGAGTTTGAGACCAGCCTGGCCAATATGGCGAAACCCCCATCTCTACTAAAAATACAAAACTGAGCTGGGCATAGTGGCACACGCCTGTAGTCTCAGCTACTCGGGAGGCTGAGGAAGGAAAATCTCTTGAACCCGGGATGCAGAGGTTGTAGTGAGCAGAGATCACACCACTGCACTCCAGCCCAGGTGACAGAGTGAGACTCCTTCTCAAAAAAAAAAAAAAAAAATTAGAACTGCTTTGGACTTGCTAACAGTAACACTGAAAGCTAAAAGGCAGTAGAGAAATATCTTCAAATTCTGACGGAAAATGATTTCCAACCAAGAATTCTATGTATTCTGTCAAACAATCAAGTAAGATAGCAATCCCATTTTATCAACCATGCAAAACCCTAATTTATTTCTCATGCGCCTTTTCCTATGAAGCTGCCAGAAGATGTGCCTTCTTAAATATAAAGAAACAGGGGAGTAGGGGGATAGAAAAACAGGGAATCCAATATAAGCAAGAAGAAAACTCCAAGATAATGGTGAAGGGATGTTCCTTAGGATGCTCCAGCAAGCCTAAGGAGCAAACAGACCAGATGGGAGCAAGCAGATGGTACCCAGAAGAAGGTCCCTGGTTTAAAAAGGAAAGGAAGGGGGAGGAAAGACAAGGGAAAGTAAAAGGGGAGAGAAGAAAGAGGGAGGAGGAAGGCGCAAGGAGGAACAGAGAAGAATAAAATCAAAGAGAGGAGAAAGAGGAGACGGAAAGAAGAGGAAGAAGAAAATAAACAGAAAAGAAGATAAAAGGAAGGAAAGGAAAAGTGAATCTATAAACGACCTAATACGATAACCATGCAGATTATTTAAGAAAGCAATGAGAGAGGCCGGGCATGGTGGCTCACGCCTGTAATCCTAGCACTTTGGGAGGCCGAGGCGGGTGGATCACCTGAGGTCAGGAGATCGAGACCAGCCTGGCCAACACGGTAAAGCCCCGTCTCTATTAAAAATACAAAAACTAGCCAGGCGTGGTGGCAGGCGCCTGTAATCCTTGCTACTCAGGAGGCTGAGGCAGGAGAATCGCTTGAACCCAGGAGGTGAAGGTTGCAGTGAGCTGAGATCACTGTCACTATACTCTGGCCTGGGTGACAAAAGCAAAACTCCATCTCAAAAAAAAAAAAAAAAAAAGCAATAAGAAGATATACAAAGATTTAGTCTTATAGTCTTAGAAGAAAAAAAACACAAGGAAAGCTGAAATACAGAACAAATATTAATCACAGAGGAAAAAAATAAAAATTAACACCAAAAAGTAATAACACTGCTGTATATTTTTGTCTTGGAAATTAGCAAAAACCAGGCAGGGTAGCTCACGCCTGTAGTCCCAGTACTTTGGGAGGCCAAGGCTGGAGGATCCCTTGAACCCAGGAGATCGAGACCAGCCTAGCAACATAGTGAGACCCCATCCGTACAAAAAATGTAGAAATTACACAGGCATGGCGGTGTGTACCTATAGTTCCAGCTACCTGAGAGGTTGAGGTGGGAGGATGACCTGAGGTCAGAAGCTCGAGACCAGCCTGGCCAACATGGTGAAACTCCGTCTCTAAAAATACAAAAATTGCCCAGGCATGGTGGTGTGTGCCTGTAATCCCACCTACTTGGGAGGCTGAGGCAGGAGAATCGCTTGAACCCGGGGAGCAGAGGTTGCAGTGGGCTGAGATCACACCACTGCACTTTAGCCTGGGCAACAGAGCGAGACTCTGCCTAAAAAAAAAAAAAGAGAGAGAGACAGAAACTATTAGACTTAATTTAAAAAAAAAAAAAAGTCTAAACACAAAAACAGAATAAACAGATACCATATGCTAGGCAATTTATCAAAGTACATCTATGTTTTCAATTCTCTTACTAGTTTTGTAGGGAGGTTAGAAAAGAATACAAACAAGTATTAAGCACCTGCTTCATTCCTGCCCTTATGCTAGCCTTTTCTCACATTAAAAGGAAAAGGAATTCAAGAAACAAGCAAGTAAAACTGGCTATGTTATCGGTCTATGATGGTAAGCACCAAATGTGTTAATTTTTGAAAACCACCTCTTTGAAAGCTATAGGAACTTACGATATTATGCTGAATTTAAAATGAAATACTAGATTATGAGTCAGCAGTAACAAAAAAAAAGTTAGTAAATGTTCAACTTTAAAGACATTCTATTTAAAGTGTACAGGCTAAAAAGCCTGTACAGAAATAAAAAAGTTATTTGTGTTATGTAAAAAAAAAAAAAAAAAAAAAAAAAAAGGTACAATCCGAGTACTTTTTGGCACTCAGCCTGGCTTCTTGCACTTAGAAATCAAAGATAAGTTGGCCGGGCACGGTGGCTCACGCCTATAATCCCAGCACTTTGGGAGGCCGAGGCAGGCGGATCATGAGGTCAGGAGCTCGAGACCAACCTGACCAACGTGGTGAAACCCCGTCTCTACTAAAAACACAAAAATCAGCCGGGCGTGGTGGCGCGTGCCTGTAATCCCAGCTACTCAGGAGGCTAAGGCAGGAGAATCACCTGAACACTTGAACCTGGGAGGCAGAGGTTGCAGTGAGCTAAGATCGTACCACTGCACTGGGTGACAGAGCAAGACTCCATTTCAAAAAAAAAAAAAAAATTAAAGATAAAAGAAATCTGAAAACAATTTTTAATTATGTGAATAAAGGTAACTCTCCAGGTGGCAGAAATAAAAAAGAACTTTAAAGCTAAATAAGGCCGGACGCCATAGCTCACGTCTGTAATCCCAGCACTTTGGTAGGCTGAGTCAGGCAAATCACTTGAAGTCAGAAGTTTGAGACCAGCCTGGGCAACATGTGAAACCCCCGTCTCTACTAAAAATACAAAAATTAGCTGGGCTTGGTGGCACCCATCCGTAGTCCCAGCTACTCATAAGGCTAAGGAAGGTGAATCGCTCCAACCCAGGAGGCGGAGGTTGAAGTGAGCTGAGATTGCATCACTGCACTCTAGCCTGGGTAACAGGGCAAGACCCTGTCTCAAAAACAAACAAAAAGCTAAAGGAATCAGTATTAAATTGAAGCTGGGGCAGTTAACGAAGCTATCAGAAACAATACCTTAGAGGGTAGGACTGACTATGACAGCAACATAGACTAAAGATATGGAGAAAAGCTCTAACTGGGTTCCCTATATAAGGACAAGAGCTGATAAGGATCCATGTCATAACAGGAAGAGACTCTAGAAAACCATGTGCTGGACTACTAAGACTAGGGAAGCTGCACAGAAATTAGATGCTTGCTCCAGATGTGAGTAGATGACTCACTCTAGAAATCCAAGGGGATACTGAGGGAAGGTATGGGGCCCAAAATCTATTATCTAAAGGATGTAGAAATCCAAGCCAAGAAACAAACTTAGAGACTGGCCTGGAGCAATGAACCCCATTAGGCAAACTGTAACAGACTCTGCAGCTACCAATCCAAGTCTATTTTCTCCTTCTTCCCTACTAACAGAACTCTCACTTTAACCAGTTTATCAATGGGCCCAACTTTATGACCACATTTTGCAGGCTCAGTAACAATTAAGAGCCAGTAAAATTAAGCCTAAGTTGTTGAGTGGAGCCTCAAGGACAATTAGTTTAAGAGTACAACTCAGAGCTAGGCGCGATGGCTCACGCCTGTAATCCCAGCACTTTGGGAGGCCAAGGCGGGCAGATCACCTGAGGTCAGGAGTTTGAGACCAGCCTGGCCGACATGGCGAAACCCCATTTCTACAAAAAATACAAAAATTAGCCAGGCATAGTGGCACACACCTGTAATCCCAGCTACTCGGGAAGCTAAGGCAGGAGAACCCGGGAAGTAGAGGATCGCGGCCACTGCATTCCAGCCTGGGCAACAGAGCAAGACACTCTCTCAAAAAAAAAAAAAAAAAAAAGAGTACAACTCAGTTAGAGGACCACACTTGAAGCTTACCCTCTCCCCTTCTTTCTGCCTGGGACTTCTTTTGTAGTCACAATGACTGCAGTTCCAGCTGCCATGCTTTGACTATGGGATAACCCTGAACATGAAAACTATGTGCTAAGGCTGATACAGAAGGAAGATAGAAAAAGCATACTCCCTAGTGACTTAAGAGAGCTGTCATCGAAGCTTCAAAATGCCTTTTGCTTTTAAGTAAAAGAATAACTGGACGGGTGCAGTGGCTCACGCCTGTAATCCTAGCACTTTGGGAGGCCAAGGCGGGCGGATGACGAGGTCAGGAGATCGAAACACAGTGAAACCCCATCTCTACTAAAAATACAAAAAATTCGCCAGGAGTGGTGGCACATGCCTATAATCCCAGCTACTGGGGAGGCTGAGGCAGGAGAACTGCTTGAATCCGGGAGGTGCAGGTTGCAGTGAGCCGAGACTGCGCCACTGCACTCCAGCCAGGGTGACAGAGCAAGACTCAAGTCTAAAAAAAAAAAAAAAAAAAGGAATAAGCTCCTGACTTGTAGAAACCATTATAATCTGGTCGGCCAAACACAATTCTTAAAAGACAGAGAGCAAAGGCAAAAACCCCACAGTGACATCTTCACAACTCATGGTAGAGGAACAGGAATCCCAGGAAAGACAACTCCACCTGAAGATTAGCCTGCAGTCAAAAATTACACAATATATAAAGACATCTATCACCAGAGTTAACAAAGAATTCCAAAATCTGAGAATCTTTACAATAAGTATGTTTTAAATGTTCAAATAAAAAAACGAATATAATTCTTCAAACAATAAAGCAAGATACCCTGAAAAAAGAGACAAATTGAAAAATAAAATCACACAAAAATTCTAGAAATTTACTCAGAAAAAAATTAATTCACTGAATTAAAAATAAGCATAAATCTGAAGACAGAGTTAAAGATATTATCAGTAATGCAAAGATAAGACAGAAAGGCCGGGCACAGTGGCTCACACCTGTGATCCCAGCATTTTGGGAGGCAAAGGTGAGTGGATCATGAAGTCAGGAGATCAAGACCATCTCGGCTCACATGGAAAAACCCCGTCTCTGCTAAAAATACACAAAATTAGCCGGGCGTAGCGGCGGGCACCTGTATTCCCAGCTACTTAGGAGGCTGAGGCAGGAGAATGGCGTGAACCCGGGAGGCGGAGCTTGCAGTGAGCCGAGATCGCAACACTGCACTCCAGCCTGGGCAACAGAGGCTCCGTCTCAAAAAAAAAAAAAAAGATAAGATAGAAAATATGAAAGACAAATTAAAAGACATGAAAAACAGAATGAAAATCCCAAACATATACCTAACAGTTCTAGGAAAAGAAAAGTTAATGAGAAGGTTACAGTATTTGAAGAGACAGAGTAGAAAATAAAAAATGGAAGGACACTGAGTCCTCAGAATGAAAAAGCAGACCAAGTCTCAAACAGGATAAACAAACTCAAAAGATTGTTTATCAACCAACAGACACCAGAAGACAAACTAGAATAAAATCTTTAGTTACAGGAAAATAGCTATTATCAAAGGATTCAAACTAGCTTCCAAGAGAGCAAAATAATGAAATTCGTAGACACAAAAAGACTAATATAACTTTCTTACTTATTACTTACTAGCCTCAGACCCTGAGAAAAAAATACCAAAACCTTCAAAGTAAAAAAAATGAACCCACAAACAAGGAAAATAAAAGGCTAGATTGAACAAAAACATGAGTAATATTAAGCCTAATTATAAATAACTATTTTTTTAAAACACACGATTATTTAGAAGATTCAAAATAAGACGCACAGTGGCTCACGCCTGTAATACCAGCACTTTGGGAGGCCAAAGCAGGAACATTACCTGAGGTCAGGAGTTCAAGAACAGCCTGGCCAACATGGTGAAACCCCATCTCTATTAAAAATACAAAAATTAGCCGGACAAGGTGGCATGTGCCTGTAGTCCCAGCTACTCAAGAGGCTGAGGCATGAGAATCGCTGAACCCATGAGAATCACTTGAACATGAAAGGCGGAGGTTGCAGTGAGCCGAGATCACACTACTGCACTCCAGCCTGGGTGACAGTGAGACTCTATCACCAAAAAAAAAAAAGAAAAAAACAGATGGAGTAATTCCAGCTACTTAGAAGGCTAAGGTGAGAGGATCACATGAGCCCAAGAGTTCCAGACCAGCCTGGGCAACACAGTGAGACCCTATCTTAAAAAAAAAAAAAAAAGAAAACAGCAGAGTAATAAAGACAACAATAACATAGATTGTGCGAGGGAAAAAGAACCAAAGGAATCAAGGCGTCCCAAGGACCTTTGTTTTGTTCAAACGGAGTACAGATATTAAGACTCAGAAAAACATTAAGTATGCATGTTAAAACTTTAAGTGCAATCACTAAAATAAAAGAAATAGAGCATATGACCTCCAAATCAGCAGAGAATTAAAAAAAATAAAAGAATGAAGGGGTCAGGCGGGGTGGCTCACACCTGTAATCCCAGCACTTTGGGAGGCCAAGGCAGGAGGATTACCTGAGGTCAGGAGTTTGAGACCAGCCTGGCCAACATGGTAAAACCCCATTTCTACTAAAAATACAAAAATTAGCCAGGATTAGGGCCGGGCATGGGAGTTCACGCCTGTAATCCCAGGACTTTGGGACGCTGAGGCACGTGGATCACCTGAGGTCGGGAGTTCGAGACCAGCCTGACCAACATGGAGAAACCCCGTCTCTACTATACAAAATCAGCCAGGTGTGGTGGCGCATGCCTGTAATCCCAGCTACTTGGGAGGCTGAGGCAGGACAATCGCTTGAACCCGGGAAGCGGAAGTTGTGGTGAGCCAAGATTGCACCATTACACTCCAGCCTGGGAAAGAGCAAAACTCTATCTCAAAAAAAAAAAAATTAGCCAGGCACAGTGGCGGGCACCTGCAAGCCCAGCTACTCGGGAGGCTGAGGGAGGAGAATCACTTGAACCCAGGAGGCAGAGGCTGCAGTGAGCTGAGACTGCGCCACTGCACTCCAGCCTGGGCGACAGAGACCCTGTCTCAAAAAAAAAAAAAACAAATTAGCCAGGAGTGGTGGGGCGTGCCTGCAGTCTCAGCTACTCGGGAGGCTGAGGCAGGAGAATCGCTTGAACCTGGGAGGCGGAGGTTGCAGTAAGCGGAGATCACACCACTGCACTCCAGCCTGGGCCACAGAGTGAGACTCCATCTCAAAAAAAAAAAAGTAGAATATTTACAATCTAAAATGTCCTCTCTGGCCAGATACGGTCACTCACACCTGTAATCTCAGCACTTTGGGAGGCCAAGGCAGGAGGGACTACTAGAGCCCAGGAGTTCAAGACCAGCCTGAGCAACATTGTGAAACCCAGTTTCTACTAAAAATACAAAAACTAGCCAAGCATCGTGGCACATGCCTGTAATCCCAGCTATTCAGGAGGCTGAAACACAAGAATCACTGGAACCCAGGAGGCAGAGGTTGCAGTGAGCCGAGATCACACCACTGCACTCCAGCCTGGGCGATGGAGCAAGACTGTCTCAAAAAAAATTAATTAAATTTAATTTTTAAAAATTCTTCTGTATCTCATCAAAATTATGTAAGTAGATAAATTTCTAATAAGTCACTGCAGCCTGCAGTAATTCAGAACAAATGCTCACTAAATAAAAAATAGGCCAGGCATGGTGGCTCACGCCTGAAATCCCAACACTTTAGGAGGACAACACGGGAGGATCTCTTAAAGCCAGGTGTTCGAGACCAGCCTGGGCAACATAACAAGACCTTATCTTTACCAAAAATTTTAAAATTAGCCGGACATAGTGGTATGCACCTATAGTCCTAGCTACTCAGGAGACTGAAGTGAGAGGATTCCTTGAGCCCCAGAGTTCGATGTTGCAGTCAACTAAAATCGCACCACTGATTCCAGCGTGGGCAAAAAGCGAGACCCTGTCTCTAAATACATACATACAAAAATAGTCATGAGAAAGTGTGTTTAATTTTTTTGTTTTGGGAGACACGGTGCTTTTTCTAAACAATCAATGTCTATCTACAAAGAACTTCCCTTAAAAACCAAACTTTCCTCAACCTCATCTCCTTTAATTTTTCTCTTTCCTTATACTTTCCACACAACAATCAAATCCTCTATCTTCCATGCCCTACAACCAGGGTTCTACCCAAACCAGGAAGCTGTATTAGCTGTCTCAAAAACTTTTCTTAGTCCTTCAGCGTTCCTGGCAGTACTGTCACTATCAACTTTTCTTTCCTGAACACCTAGTTGTCTCTGTGGCGACTGTACTTTTTAGGTTCTTTTCCTGACAGTTCACTATCAATCCTTGATAATCAGTTCTCTTACTCTCCCAAATGTGAACATTTCTCTTCTCTAGCAAAAAAAAAAAAGGCATGTGGTTCCCTGTTTTCCCTCTATGCAGCTTCAACTCTGACTTCACTCTGTAACTGTATCCTAAATTTCCAATACAAAAATCTTTTTTTTTTCTGAGATGGAGCTTCACTCTTGTTGTCCAGGCTGGAGTGCAATAGCGCGATCTCGGCTCACCACAACCTCCATCTCCCAGGTTCAAGCAATTCTCCTGCCTCAGCCTCCCTAGTAGCTGGGATTACAGGCATGTGCCACCACACCCGGCTAATTTTGTATTTTTAGTACAGACGGAGTTTCTCCATGTTGGTCAGGCTGGTCTCAAACTCCCGATCTCAGGTGATCCGCCCGCCTCGGCCTCCCGAAGTCCTGGGATTACAGGCATAAGACACAGCGCCCGGCCTCCAATACAAAAATTTTAGCAGCATCAAAACCAACATGCCCAAAACAGGTCTTTCTTTAGTCTTCACTTGCTCTCCTTCCTCTACTACAACTGCTCTAATATTTATTAATGGTATCACCATTAATGAGTGAGCACCTTGATATCTAAGAATCATCTTTGATTATTCCCTTCCCTTTACCTAACATCCATTTCTGTCATTTCATACTTCAAAATGCTCCCTTCTTTTCTACTCCTTTTGTATTCCCACATCTTTATAGTAATAGCATCCTAAGTCCATCTCTAACCTTCCCTTTCAAGTTCATTCTATATAGTACCTAAATTTTCTGAAAATGCTCCTTTACTTTTCTGAATCTTTACTGTTCGGTATCTGTCAGGGTACTGCCAGGTCATAATCCCCCTTCCCTGAGAAGTTAGCTATCCCCAGTCCAGAGAGTTCTTCCTGTGTCTGAGCAACTTGACCCTATTGTCTCACCATAGCAAAACGGTCCAGTGCTAGGTATCTCATCCAAGCCAAACCAAAGTTGGGCTTTTGTTTTATTGTCTTCTCAAAGGAACATGAGATTGGGACTGAATTTACTCGCTTTTGAGACAGGAGATGGAAAATATCAGGAGCTGAGGTATCGTCATCTTTCACCATAGGAGGCAACATGGTGGTTAAGAGGTAACACAGTGGTTAAGAGCTTAATCACATCCCAGACTGTCATAAAACATCTATCTCTCTTAAAACTATAGTATCCTTACCCATAAAGTAAGAATAATATCCACCTCATAGATGTGACAGGATGCTTAAATGAAGTAACTGGCATAAAACATTTAGCACAGTATGTGGGCACATAGTAAACACTCAAAAAGTTAGCTACTCATTTTGGAACAAGTAGCACAGTAAGTCGGCAGAAAGAAAAGAATGGAAGCAGGCATGCAGACAAAAGTAGAAAAAAGATTCATAAGACTAATTCAATTCCCTTTCTGGGTGAAATACATTTCCATGTTAGGGTTCTTGACTCCTGTGTCCTTATAATACAATGCCCTTTCTTTGCTTATCTGTTTCTTACAAAGGACCCTGCCTTTCATAATTATACACTACAGACCGGGCATAGTGGCTCACAATGGTAATCCCAGCACTTTGGGAGGCCAAGGTGGGCAGATCACCGGAGGTCAGCAGTTCGAGATCAGTCTGACCAACATGAAGAAACCCCATCTCTACTAAAAATACAAAACTTAGCTGGGCGTGGTGGCACACACCTGTAATCCCAGCTACTCCGGAGGCTGAGGCAGGAGAATCGCTTGAACCCGGGAGGCGGAGGTTGCAGTGAGCCAAGATGATGCCACTGCACTCCAAGCCTGGGCAACAAGAATTAAACTCTGTCTCCAAAAAAACATAATATATATTTTTAAATATAATTTTAAAAAGGTTTTGCTTTTGCCTCTTCTTTAAAAATCCTTGGCCAGGCAACATGGCTCACGCCTGTAAACCCAGCACTTTGGGAGGCTGAGGCGGGTGGATCACCTGAGGTCAGGAGTTCGAGACCAGCCTGGCCAAAATGGAGAAGCCCTGTCTCTACTAAAAATACAAAAATTAGCCGGGCATGGTGACGCATGTCTGTAACCCCAGCTACTGGGGAGACTGAGGCAGGAAAATCGCTTGAATCCAGGAGGTGGAGGTTGTGGTGAGCCAAGATTGTGCCATTGCACTCTAGCCTAGGCAACAAGAACGAAACTCCATCTCAAAAAAGAAAAACAAAAAACTAGCCGGGCATGGTGTCTGTAATCTCAGCTACTCCGGAGGCTGAGGCAGGAGAATCACTTGAACCCGGGAGGCGGATGCTGCAGTGAGCCGAGATCGCGCCATTGCACTCCAGCCTGGGCAACACAGCAAAATTTCGTCTCAAAAAAAAAACAAAAAAAAAACCTTAATGTCACCCACATCCCACCAAATGATGTTAAAATAAAATGCCCCCCTGCAAAAACTTCTTTTTCTTAAAGAGGGTTTCACTTTGTCACCTGGACTAGTGTGCAGTAGTGTGACTATAGCTCATTGCAACCTCAAACTCACAGGCTCAATGGATCCTCCTGCCTCGGCCTCCCACGTAGCTAGGACAAGTACACCACCACATGTGGTTAATTTTTTTTTTCTTTTTGTAGAGATAAGGTCTCACTATGTTGTCCAGGCTGATCTCCAACTTGTGGCCTGATCTCCAACTCAGGCGTGATCCTCTCACCTCGGCCTCTCAAAGCACTGGGATTATAGGCGCAAGCCACTGCTCCCAGCAGCATCTAATATATATATATTTTTTTGAGACAGAGTTTCACTCATTGCCCAAGATGGAGTGCAATGGCACGATCTCAGCTCACTGCAACCTCTGCCTCCCGGGTTCGGGCGGATCTCCTGCTTCAGTCTCCCGAGTAGCTGGGATTACAGGCGCTCACTACCACGCCCGGCTAATTTTTTGTATTTTTAGAAGAAACGGGGTTTTAAGATGTTAGCCAGGCTGGTCTCGAACTCCTGACCTCATGTGATCTGCCTACCTGAGCCTCCCAAAGTGCTGGGATTACAGGCTTGAGCCACCATGCCCAGCCCTAATACACCTTTTAAGTTAACTACCTTATTCACACTGACACTTTGACCATGTCCTCAGAGAGAATAAAAGAGTGGAAGCACGTAACAAGTGGCATTTGAGGCAAATGATGCTGGCATTCTGACACTCCCTATTCATTATCTTCTCTCTCTGAATACCCACCTTATTTTCCTATCTTTTCCAGCCTTCAATCTACTGTGACACCCCCAGGAACAGCCTCATCTCATTGTCAGTGTTTACTAATAAACCATACGTTCCACTGCGTAGTGACCTATTCACCACAAACCGTAACATGATACAAAGAAAAAAAAGTCAAAGAGTAACGCTATAAAGATTTCACCAAGTCCCAAACTTTCTATGATTGATTTTATCCTCCATTTGCTAAATCACACTAGAATAACAGCTGTAATTCTATTAAAGTGCATTCTCACACACAACCAAAACATATCATCGGAACTATAAAAAAATTGCTCTGGCCGGGCACGGATGCTCACACCTGTAATCCCACCACTTTGGGAGGCTGAGGTAGGAGGACTGCTTGAGCTCAGGAATTCCAGACGAGGCTGGTCAACAAAGCAAGACCTCATTTCTAGTAAAATTCAGGCCGGGCGTGGTAGCTCACGCCTGTAATCCCAGTACTTCGGGAGGCCAAAGCAGGCAGATCACCTGAGGTCAGGAGATCGAGACCAGCCTGGCCAACATGGTGAAACCCCATCTCTACTAAAAGTACAAAAATTAGCTGGGTGTGGTGGCGCATGTCTGTAGTCCCAGATACATGGGAGACTGAGGCAGGAGAATCGTTTGAATCCAGGAGGCAGAGGTTGCAGTGAGCGGAGATGGCGCTACTTCACTCCGGCCAGGGCGACAGAGCGAGACTGTCTCAAAAATAAAATTAAAAAATTAGCTGGGTGTTAAGTGCTACAGGCCTGTAAGTCCCAGCTACTCAGGAAGCTGCGGCAGGAGGATCTCTTGAGCTCAGGACTTCAAGGCTGCAGTGAGCAATGATTGCGCCACTCCACTCCAGCCTGGGGAACAGAGCAAGACTGTCTCAAAATAATAAAATACAAATAGTTCTGAGACTCAACACATTTTTATAGGTTACTCAACCATTATTTCTTTCTTTTTTTGTGAGACGAGTCTCGCTCTGTCGCCCAGGCTGGAGTGCAGTGGCGCAACCTCAGCTCACTGGAACCTCTGCCTCCCAGGTCCAAGCGATTCTCCTGCCTCAGTCTCCCAAGTGGCTGGCATTACAGGTGCACACCACCACACCCAGCTAATTTTTGTATTTTTAGTAGAGGTGGGGTTTCGCCATGTTGCTCAGGCTGGTCTCAAACTCCTGACCTCAGGTCATCCACCCACTTTGGCCTCCCACAGTGCAAGGATTACAAGCACGAGCCACAGCACCCAGCCCATTATTTCTACCGCTCAAAAATTGCCCAGGCAAACACAAAAGCTTCTGCTTTTGCTATATGCCTAGGTAAAGAAGCTAAAATGTTTGTTCTCTACCTTCAGTCTAATTCCATAATCAACACCAAGGGAAAGGAATTTGCTATAACAAGATGTCTTGGAATAAATAATAAATCAATAAATATAATAAGATTTTAAAAAGGAACTATCATATTTTAAATGGTAGGTTTGCATAACTAATGAAAATAAAATCTATTTCTGATATTTTCAGAAATCCAAATGGGAAAAATGCTTGTGGATACAAAGGATAAACATACCTCCCTCACTGTGTTTTTTGTGAGACAGTCTCTCACTCTGTCACCCAGGCTGGAGTCATGGTTCACTGCAGCCTCAACCTCCCAGGTTCAAGCAATCCTCCTGTCTCAGCTTCCAGAGTAGCTGGGAGTACAGGTGCAAGCCACCACGCCCAACTAATTTTTTTTTTTTTTTGAAACAGTCTCACTCTGTTTGGAGTGCAGGCTGGAGTGCAGTGGCACAATCTTGGCTCACTGCAACCTCTGGCTCCCTCATTCAAGCGATTCTCCCGTCTTAGCCCCCAGAGTAGCTAGACTATAGGCACGCGCTGCCACATCCAGTTAATTTTTTGTATTTTTAGCAGAGATAGGTTTCACCATGTCGGCCAGGCTGGTCTCAAACTCCTGACCCCAAGTGATCCGCCCACCTCAGCCTACCAAAGTGCTGGAATTATAGGCATGAGCCACTGTGCCCAGCCCCAACTAATTTTTAAAATTTTTCTTTTGTAGAGACTAAGTTGACCAGGCTGGTTTCAAACTCCTGGACTCAAGCAATCCTCCTGCCTCGGCTTCCCAAAGTGGTGGGATTACAGGTGTGAGTCACTGCACCCGGCCTACCTCCTTTTTGTTTTTTTTTTTCCTTTCCTGAGAGTCTTGCTCTGTCACCCAGGTTGGAGTGCAATGGCATGATCTCAGCTCACTGCAACCTCCGCCTCCCAGGTTCACGCCATTCTCCTGCCTCAGCCTCCCAAATAGCTGGGATTATAGGGCGTGCCACCACGCCCAGCTAATGTTTGTAATTTGTTTTTCTTTTTTTTGAGACAGAGTTTCACTCTTATTGCCCAAGCTGGAGTGCAATGGCACCATCTCAGCTCACTGCAACCTCTACCTCCCGGGTTCAAGTAATTCTCCTGCTTCAGCCTCCTAAGTAGCTGGGACTACAGGTGCTTGCCACACCCAGCTAATTTTTGTATTTGTAGTAGAGACGGGGTTTCACCATGTTGGCCAGGGTGGTCTCCATCTTTTGACCTCGAGATACTCCCGCCTCGGCCTCCCAAAGTGCTGGGATTACAGGTGTGAACCACTGCACCCGGCACCTCCTTCATTCTTATAAGAGGTTTAGAAAAGTTCTGAAATAAGGTAACCACCCAAGTTAAAAAAAAAAAAAAAAAAAAGATTTTTATGTTGGTTTGCCAAAGGGACTGAATGCCTGAAATCAGTGAGTGTTCGAAGTTAAACTATACACCCAAAGATGTAGTAAAAGGAATATGATAGTCACTAAAATTATTGGGTTTTTTTCCCATTACACAAAACCTAAGAGAATTATCAATGTAACTTCCTTATGTTTCTATTTCCATTATATTTTAACTATGATTAGCCAGTGTAACCTTCAAACTTCTTCAAGCTTTCTTGATTCTGTAACTAGTTAACAAAGCCCAAATATGACTATGTATTTTTGTTTTCAAAGTATCCAAAATATACTCACTTGATTCCATTTGTTTTTCAGTTTTACAAAATCTGTTTAATACTCCAAGTCAATATTTGGCCTAAATTATCTCTTACATTATGATATTTGAAGAAATGACTGACAACCCCACAAACCACAACAGGAGTGCAGTTCCTAATTTCCTAACCTACTCACTAAAGTTTAATGTTTTTGATAAATAGTCCTTACCACTCTGGCTGCTCTCTCCTGAGATTCACATTTCCTGCAAAACCACGGTCCAGTGGGTACTTGAACAATGCCATAGCAAGCTGTTGAAAAATGAAATGTGTTAAAATGTTAAGATTCGAAGAACTATGGAAAAATCAAATACCCTTTCAAAGCCCTATTAATCCACCTGTCACTATTCAAGTAAACTACCTCTTTACAGAGAAGTAAAACAGTTCACATCCTATTTATCACATATACAGCTTACTTAATTAACAAGTAAAAATTTTAAATGCAACTCTTTTGTGTTACCTCATCTAAATAAATCAAGGCTGGGTGCAATGGTTCATGCCTGTAATCCCAGCATTTTGGGAGGTCGAGTTGGGAGGGCTGCTGGAGCCCAGGAGTTCCAGAACAGTCTAGGCAATACAGTGAGACTCCATCTCCACAAAAAAAAAAAATTTTTTTTAATTAGGCCAGGCGCAGTGGCTCACACCTATAATCCCAGCACTTTGGGAGGCTGAGACAGGCGGATCACCTGAGGTTGGGAGTTCAAGACCAGCCTGACCAACATGAAGAAACCCTGTCCCTACTAAAAATACAAAATTAGCCAGGCGTGGTGGCACATGCCTGTAATCCTACTACTCAGGAGGCTGCGGCAGGAGAATCGCTTGAACCTGGGAGGCAGAGGTTGCAGTGAGGTAAGATCGCACCATTGCACTCCAGCCTGGGCAATAAGAGTGAAACTCCGTCTCAAATTTAAAAAAAAAAAAAAAAAAAAATTAGCTGGGCACGGTGGCATGTGCCTACAGTCCCAGCTACTCAGGAGGCTGACTTGAGCCTGGGAAGTCAAGGCTGCAGTGAGCCATAATCACACCACTGTGCTCCAGCCTGGGCAACAGAGGGAGACCCTATCTCAAAAAAAAAAAGGTATGTTTATTTCTAAATACATAATGATGTGAATGCTCCAAATGATTTAATTATACATCACATATCTAATCACAGTCTTGTTTTAAAATTGGTTTTTAAAGTTAATAATTAGCTCAAAACTGAAAATTTTCTAAAACTCTAAAAACACTAATAACCAAGTAGACTTCTGCATGAGCTTGCTAGGCAGAAATATGAAAATATCTTAAATATTGGAAAGCATTTAAAGAATATAAATTCAGGTCGGACGCGGTGGCTCATGCCTGTAATCCCAGCACTTTGGCAGGCCGAGGCAGGAGGATCACCTGAGGTCAGGAGTTCCAGACCAGCCTGGCCAAGATGGTGAAACCCCATCTCTACTAAAAATTTTTTTAAAAATTAGCTGGGCATGGTGGCAGGTGCCTGTAACCCCAGCTACTTGGGAGGCTGAGGCAGGAGAATCACTTGAACTTGGGTGGCGAAGGTTTCACTGAGCCGAGATCACGCCACTGCACTCCAGCCTGGACAAGAAGAGCAAAACTCCATCTCAAAAAAGAAAAAAAGAAATTAGCCAGGTGTGGTGGTAGTGCCTGTAGTCCCAGCTACTCAGGAGGCTGAGGCAGGAGAATCACATGAACCCGGGAGGTAGAGGCTGCAGTGAGCCGAGATTGCCCCACTGCATTCCAGCCTGGGCGACAGAGGGAGTCTCCGCCTCAAAAAAATATATAAAGAAAGAAAGAATATAAATTCACAAAACAGAGTACTACCCACTGTACAATCACAGCAGAATATAAATTCAGTATAACTTTTTAAAACTCCAAAAGCTAAACTTCCACTTCCAGTTAAACATTTGTAGGACCAGGCAAGGCAGCTCATGCCTGTAATCCCAGCACTTTATGAGGCTAAGGCGGGCAGATCCCTTGAGCTCAAAAGTTCGAGACCAGGCCAGGTGCAATGACTCACACCTGTAATCCCAGCAGTTTGGAAGGCCAAGGCAGGCAGATCACCCTGGGGTCAGGGGTTCAAGACCAGCCTGACCAACATGGAGAAACCCCATCTCTACTAAAAAAAATACAAAAATTAGCAGGGCATGGTGGTCCATGCCTGCAATCCCAGCTACTCGGGAGGCTGAGGTAGGAGAATCACTTGAACCTGGATGCAGAGGTTGCGGTGAGCCGAGATGGCACCATTGCACTCCAGCCTGAGCAACAAGAGCAAAACTCTGTCTCAAAAAAAAAAAAGTCAAGACCAACCTGGGCAACCTGGTGAAATCCCACCTCTACCAAAAATACAAAATTAGCCCGACATGGTTGTCCAGGCCTGTGGTCCCAGCTACTGGGAAGGCTGAAGTGGGAAGATGGCTTGGAAGGTCAAGGCTGCAGTGAGCTGTAATAGCACCCTGCATGCCAGCCTGAGCCACAAAGTGAGACCCTGTCTCAAAAAAACAGAATTTGTAAAATGTGTCTCACTATAAATGCTCTATCCGTCAAAAAACACAGCATAGGTGTCCAAAACACAGCATCATTGCCCAAAAACTTTATTCAGGTGTACTTCTAGGAAGGAAAATTTAAGATTTGAATAAAAATTTTCTATATTGGGACATAGAAATTATCAAATTTTGATAGTTTATCATCCAATTCATAAGAAATTCCAATTCATAAGAAATTCATTGGCCTTCAAAATGCCAATGAACATGGGATGACCTTAAAATCAGTATCTGGTTTGACACGCATTGTATTCACTCCCTAAAAAAGCAAGACATGCAACTTGGCTCTTCTTTAAAAGTCTAGGGCCAGGCGCAGTGGCTGACGCCGGTAATCCCAGCACTTTGGGAGGCCGAGGCAAGAGGATCACCTGAGGTCAGGAATTTGAGACCAGCCTGGCCAACATGGCGAAACCCCGTCTCTACTAAAAAATACAAATTAGCCGGTGTGCTAGGGTGTGCTTGTTATCCCAGCTACTCAAGAAGCTGAGGCAGGAGAATCAATCGCTTGAACCCAGGAGGCAGAGGTTGCAGTAAGCTGAGATGGCACCACTGCACTACAGCCTGGGTGACAGAGCAAGACTCCGTCTCAACAAAATAAAAAGTAAAAAAATAAAAGTCTGGGAATAAACAGCATTCTCAGAGTAAGTACACTACCTCAGAATCATCACCACTGCTTCTAAAGTCTCCCTTTCCAAGTGTGACATTCGTTTCTCTACAAAATGCACTTTAGCAGATGTTCAAATTTTCGTCTCCCTTTTGGTGGTAGTCCTTTCCAACAGACTACTAAAAACATATGCATCGCTTAATGCCAGATTCAGAAATGCGAAGGGACATGGAGCCACCAAAAAAGAATATAGACTGTTTTGTCCTGGATTCCTTACCACGTGAAATGGGGAAAAGTCGGCCACTTCAAAGGCCAGAAAAGTATCTTACTAGTGTCCTCGGCCTTCTTGTATATCCAAAAACCTCATCAATTGTTAACAACCAGAAATAAACTAAGAGGCTCCCCAAAAGTGACTTGGCACCGCCACCTCTTCAGCCACCTAGGCTGGTGGTGGCCTGCCGCGGCCACCCCACAGGCGCTGCAGCAGCCCCGCCACTCCCGCATGGTCAGCAACGGACTCCGCCATCTCCTCCGCAGACAGCTACCGGGCGGCGGCGGCAGGGCCCGAGCCTTCTGGCTCGGGGTGCAACGGGCCCCGCATCCCTCCCCATCTAAAGAGGCAAGGCGACCCCCAGCCTCCCCACACTGGCGCCGCGTTCCCGAGCCCGTCTCCACGCCACAGGAAGTCTCCAAACACTGCGGCAGACAGGCGGCTGCAGGCCAGGGGAGAAGAGGGCGCTCCACTCTCCCAAACCCACCCCCGTGGCCCCGGGAACCCCGGGAAGGGCGCGCACCGCCCCCGCCCCCGCCCCCGCCCCCACCCCGGCCCAGATCTCGAGGGCGCGGCCGCCGCCCTGCCCCGCCCCGCCCCGCCGAGTCAGCAGACCCCGGCCCCAGGCGCAGGCGGCGGCCGAATGACACTTGAGAGAGTGAGAGCGGAATCACATGACAGTCCGGGCCACACGCACTTTCTCCCACATGCGCGGCCCACACCCCCCGCGCCCCGCCGCGGACCCTCCGCGTCCCTCCCGCGGCCGCGGCACGGGGCGGGGGCGCCGGCGGTTGCGGCCCAGGTGGGGGCGGCGGTGACCGTTGGGCGCAGGCCGGCGCGCCCCGGCGGGCGGTTGGGTGTTTACCTTGATGCACCGCGACGCTGCAGCCGTGCCCGTCGCAATAAACCAGCGGGTTCTCGGCCCAGCCTCTCTCGTCTGAGCAAACGCAACAGCCTCCAATCATCTCCTTCATACTATGGGAGACCTCGTCCTCCAGTGACACGGGCCGGTCGCTAGAGACCATCTAAGAGGGAGTTGGGGGGACCATTAAAAAACACATGCAAGCCGATTAGTGCTTCCCCCCCACACAGCCCCCCGAGCCCGCCCCGGCGCCCCCCGCCCGGCCCGGCAGCCCACCGCTCGCTCACTCGGGCTTTGCCGCTCAGTCACTCACGTTCCGCACAGGAGTCAGGAGCCATGTCCTTGCTGATTCCCCCCACCTCCCCTCCACCGCCTCCTCCGCCTCCTCCTCCTCCTCAGCGTCTTCCCTCCCCACCTCCACCCGGCCGCTAACGCGGGCGCCCGGAGAGGGCACACATAATCAAGAGGGCCTCCGCACAGGCGCACTGGGGGGAGGGGGGGCTCCCGCTGGGCCAGGGGCAGCGAGGGAGGGGAAGGGGGCTGCGCTTCCTCCTCGGAGCGTCACTTGGCGTGCGCGCCCGTCCTGCGGCCGGCGTGAGGGAGGAGGCCTGGGCGAGGCTAGCCCTGCGTGCGCGCTGCCGCGGCCTGTTGGCTGCCCCCGGCCTACCTCCGGGGCCCCGTCCCCCTCCCCCGCGCCGCTCGCCGCCGCCGAGGTGTGCTGGGGGTGGGCGCGAGGGGAGCCGGCGGCGCGCGGAGGCCGGAATGAACGGGCGCGGGGGCGCGCACGCGGGGGCGGGGACGTTAGGGCCGCCCTCTGCAGCGCTGGTGGCGCGGGCCGCGTGTGAGCGTCGGGAAGAGGCCTGGGAGGTGGCGGGGGAGGTGGACGCCCAGGGCTGGGAAGGGGTTTTCTCAGAATCGCCAGAGGGGAGTCCCCGGGGGCATCATCTCCGTGCCCTGGGAACCTACCTGCTGGCCTTTTCCTCCAAGACTGGCCCGTGGAAAACGAGGGTGGGGCGAGTGTGCCAGCTTCCATGAAGGGTGTAATGAAGCATGGCTTCCTGCAGTTGGCCGCGCTAACTTCACAGTGCTGCCGCAGCCACTCCACCCATTAAATTCACGTCCTGGACTCTTCCCAAAGTTCACCCGCTGGAAGTCCTACCAAATCTGCCGCCCATTTTCGCACTACGTGGGCCCCAATGACAAACGAAAGTGTATTCCAGGCTGAAGGTCAAAAGCCTGTGTTAGGGCTGCACTCGGAGAGGGAACGCCAAGGCGCCCCTCAGCTCGGTGTGCAGGACAAATGGTGGTTTATCCGGAATTAGCAATATAATACGATGATCCGGAAAATGCAGTTGTATTACACCAAAAGGAAGAAGGAACTCTAGCCCTCCTAGTCAGTCGCTAAAACATAATTAACGCCATCAGACAGTGGCGTCCAGTTTTGATGGAGGATTCCTCTGATCCGGGTCTTTTCTCCAAATTTATACTTGGAAATGTGAGGTCATTTAAAAGTGGCAGAAAGATGAGAGCTCCCACCTCACAAACAAATGGAAAATGGATTAGGCCTATCTGCATAGATTAATTAGCTGGATGCTGAGCACTTTTAAACTAAAATCTTCCACTGTCTGCCTATTCCTTATGCATCCGTAAAGCCCAATATTGATGTTTAAGCAAAAAATGTCTAATTAGAAAAGTTTCGCATGAAATCAGAATTATGCATAGATTGTTTAAATGACAAGCCCAGTTAAAAGGCGAATTCATGACTTTTGATTAATACCTTGCAGGTACAAAATGGTTCTTTATCAGCAATTCGCATTATAAATGTGCTGATCTGGAAGATGCACTTTCACAGTGCTAAAGCATAGAGAACCCAAGTTCTCCTAGTCGGTCGCCAAAAGATAATATAATGGTTTGGGCTTTAAAAGCCTTCTAAATGTTCTTCTGATAAAGGGGGGTTAGAAAAGGTATCATGGCTGTTTTTCTATTTCAAATTAATTGCTAGAAATCTGTGTAAGAGTGATAATAGGTATACAGCACAATGAGAGCATATATAGCAAATTCAGATGTTTTAAAAGCTGAGATATACAAAGTAATGGCAATTAAAATATACACTAAAACAATGAGAATTCACATAGTGCATTTAGAAAAGGTGACTACAAGACTACATAATATGAATTCTTTTTTGGGATGTGACAACAATTAATACATTTCTGGATATATAATAATTATATTTTTTAACTACCTTAAAAATTTATGAAACTAAAACGGGCTTCAAACAAAACTATACTGTCTTGTGTATCTTAACCATATATTTTATCTTCACCCTTATACAAAGGATACCAGCTCAATATCCAAGTCCTGTTCAGACTCTTACTATAGAGCAATTCTGAGTTAAAAATCAGTGTGAAACTTCCCCTCCCAAACACTGCAGCCAAGCCTTAATGCATTAAATTATTTAAAAACACATTTGTTTTATTTTTAATGCATTGGAGCTTAGTTCTTGTGAAGGAATTAATTTGTATGTAAAGAAGGATGGGTACCTTGCCCTATTCTTTAACACTTAAAACAAATGTAAGTAAACACTTGCTATTTCCTAAACAAAACAAAAAAAATGTATCATTTGTAAGAGGTTTCAGAAATTTTTAAAAATAGGGAAAATGTATTATTTCATAACAGCCTGTATATAAACAATAGTATCTGAAACAAATTTTGTTAAAGATGTATACATAAGTGTTCACAAAATATAATTCAAATTATTTAAAACTGATTTTAACATATGTTGAGTATGAAAATTATAAGAAAAAACATGAGTGTAAATAACTCATTTTCATTTTAACTTGTACCAGATATCAAACTTTTTCTTGTATATCTGAAGTATAATATTTTGTATATTTCTATAAAATGTTAAGTGAAAAGGAAGAAAAGCAGACAGTATAAAACAGTAAAACAGTTCAAATACACAATTAATTATTCATTCAGTAAATATTTATTCAACATTTACTGTGTACTGGGGACTGTTTTGGATATGGGGAATATAGCAGTGAGAAAGTTGTATTTGTCCTTTGTGAGACATATATATATATATATATATATATATATATATATAGTCATATATGTAACAATTGGCTGAATATGCTAATTTTCCTACCTCAAAATGGATAAAACTTGTAATTACATTGGCAGAATTGTTAAAGTTCAAGTATGCTTTTTAAAATACATAGCAATATAAAAATAAATTACCATAGGAGTTATAAAATAACTTTGTGAAAAAGAACAATTTCAACTGTAAAATGTTACCCTAAATTTTTATTTTATATTCTCAAAATATCCTTCAAAAAAGTGTATGTAGTACCTCTAGAATAAAATGAAACCCTGTTGTCTCTAAACATTGCTTCACATAACAGCAGCTAACTCAGTACTAGCTCATCTGTTTCTCCAAACTAATCATCTGAGGCAAACCACAAAAAACTCAAGTAAAGTATTTTATGATGTAACCTCTAACCCTACTATAATGGGAAGATGTATTTTCGCTCTATGGGTAATATATCTTCCAATAATTTTCTTTATTCTTTAAGGTAGGCACCAAATTTCTGTATTTGCTTTTCCATAATTATTTACATAAGTAGATATTATGAAAGAAATATTTAAAACCATATTCATTTCAGAGGTTAGTACTATTCATATTTATCTCCTTTGTAAATTAAAGTTTTATTTGCCTTCTGTTTGCGCATATTATATTTAGTCTATTGTACCCATTGTCAAGGTATATATAAATTTCTACAATGGGGTATAGAAACTGAGGTCTATTTCTACATCCATGTGAGGTATACTTCTATAATGCTGAGACTAGATACACTTTCCTGAACTCAGATTCTTGACTTCCATAGTGTGTAAAATTCTATATTGGCTCTTCGACTAAGTTTTTTAAGCAAAAAGCAATTAGAATTCCTGCATCTGCTAAACCTCATTGGAGTCTATCAACTTCTTTCTAAATAAATTAGTTGAAAAACTCAAAAAGACACTCTCTTATGATCTGTGCAGACTTTCAGATATATCCTCTTTTACATAGAGGAATCTCTGTTTTTTGTTTTGCTCATTTGGTACCCAAGAGTTTTTACCTTTTTCATTAAAAGTTTATTATGAGCCATATATTTATGCTAGTATGATTAAAATACTGAAGTGTTTCTGAAACTAGCTTTGTTATTAATATGTCACCATAAATGAGTATCGTGTCTTTATAGATACAAAACCACCATGGCACCTATATCATGGAGTACTATTCGAAATTTCATATAAAAATATTCTTTGCAATTATGTTTTGAATTGAGATTCTGTTAATGGCTTTTTCAAAAATCTATTTAATGAAACTTGTTAATCTTACTAGGTGATTATTTTTTACTCACCATCACACCTAGCAAGTGTCTTGCACATAGTAGGTCTAGAGTAAATGTTTGTTTAATGTCCTCAATTGGTGTTTAAAAGCTAATTACACTCTGAGCTTTATTCTTCAAAGTAAAGCAAGATTTTATTTTGTATGTACAATTGAACTAATATTTGTAAGTAATGATTAACAAAAATTTTCAGGTGAATTGATTTATCTGAAGATTTTCAATAGTTGAAATTAATATCAGTTTTTATTTACCAGGTAGTTTAGACTTGACTATTCTAAATAGCCCTCAAATGTTTACCACCTTTTCATGTAACAGTCATCATTTTATTACAAAACAATCTCCAACTTAGAATCAATTATAATTAATATTGTTTTTAGATACACTTTAATTTTCTGAAAGTTTGGTAGATAATTCTGAAATTTAAATTTTGTGTAATCTAAATAAAAATCTTTTTAAGAATCGAGGTCTAATATTTGAAAGGTTTGGTTTGGTTAATCGTGTTTGGCCTCGGAGCTATTTCTTTTGCTATAAAATTGATATCAAATGGCTGTATTTACATTTTTTGAGTAAAACAGCATGCAATTATCAATATAAAAATGCTATCTAAAAGATGCCTTTAGGCATTCTAGGTGTTACCTAAACCTCGTTAACGATTCAGAGTTGAACTATTTTTTTCCATGATGCAGCAATACTGAAAGGTGTTATATTTTGACTTTTCAGAGTATCATCAATATAGTGTGTATTGTAAGGTCCATGTTCTCATTTTTTACTGACACTGAAGATCTGCATCTCTGTTATAATTAAAGTGTGATTAAAGTGACATATTTAGGTGTCTGTTTATAGGCCACATAAGATTATCTGAGTGAAAAGATTCTGGACGTGGAAAAGAGGAAAATCAGTTTTTGAAATGGAAGAGAACCTTGAAAGAAATGCAACATATCTTAGACTGAAAAAAAAGAAGAAATTAAACTGAATTTATAAATACTATTTGGACCAAAGAAGATCACTTTTTAAGATTTAAATGTTTTCCTCTCCAAAAGGGGCCACTGCTTACCAAATCCAGAAACAAGCCCAAGAATATGTTAATTAAGTGCATTGTGTCCCAGAAAGAATGAGGTTGACAAATTCATTTTTTATTCCTTCGATTAATAAACTGTTGGTCTAGTACATCTTAGATTTTTAAAATCTATAATGTGCATATTTACCTCTTGAAACTGTATAGTAACAGTGCCAAGGACCAACATGACCCCATAGGGTGAATCTTATGAAGCTTAACATTCCTGGCGAATTAAACACACAAGCCTCGGATCACTTTTTGTCAGCCTTATTTTACTGCGGCGCTTGAGAGCCAGAAGGTAGGTAAATTTTATATGGTGGCACTTTACCCCAATTAAAAAAGCAATGATCGTTGGTGCAAGCAGAAGTGGAAAATATAATGACATAAAATTAAAGAAAGGTATCACAAAGACTGACCAGGAATGCTACTTGTCCCTCTCCATCCCCACCCCCATTCATGCCCTTTTTCCATCCATTTGTTGTTTTTCTCACAAGAATACATGACTCCTAAGAATCTTTTTACTTTAAATGAAACAAAAAATATCTGAAACAGTGAATGATGTAAAACGATTCACCTTCTACTATCAACTACATAACAGATAATCATGTAAAGCTATTCTAAATATTCAAAGACAAACAAAAAATGTAAATTGATGGGGGGAACTGTGGGAGGATGAGTGTGGAACGAATGAATAGATTGAAAATACTTGATTTTCAACAGCGATTTTTTTTTCTGTTCAAACCTTTCCATAGTTACGCCTCAAATGATATCTTACATAAGAATTTCTCCCTATATCTCGAAATAACTGAATGATTTCCATGAGGAAATGCAAGTTTAGAAAGAAGACCCGCAAAATGAAAGTGTTAAAATGCAAGCAACTTCTACAGCATTTCAAATGCAAAAATACAACAATCACTACCTTTAACTGACTCTTAAGGGGTCTTTTCAAACAGATGCTATTTATGAGCATCATCTGTTAACTCCTTTCTTGTAATTCAAAACTCTGTCAAATGATGTTTTCATGATGACGTGTAAATATAATATTCCATTAAAGATCAATTCTAATTGGTTTTTTAAAATCTACCTTGGGAAACAGTGCTTCATAACACACAGACTACTAATGAGTATTTTAGAAGGAATTTCCGCAAAGTCTATCATAAACCTAAGTCGAAATTACTCTCTTGCCCTAGTAAGGTTTGGACCACAGGATTGAAATTATTTTTTCTTGGCCTTTCACGCACGATGACTTTGGTCTTGTCGACAAGACTCGCAAGCACTTGTTGGAAATCTTCATTTAAAAAAAAACAACTGTGACGTTGGCCAGAAATATTTCTTCCATATGCCTCACAAAGGAAAACAGACAGAGTTTATTAAGTGGATTGCAATTATTTGTTTCCAAAACGTGGCTTAAAAGCAAATTAAACGTTTTTCCCTTTTGAAATTCCCTATTTTGAAAACGCACTTCACGTTAAAGGAAGCCCGTTTTTGAAAGGGCTAGCTCAGCCTTTCCTTTTAAAACTAGACTTTCTGTGTACAAAGAAGAGCTGAGTAATCAGTAATAAGGATAGCGAAACGTGCTTTTCCGAATTCCTTTGAACCTTTTTTTAAATGGATTTTTGAATCCATACTTTTCAAGATATTTCAAATATTATATAATCTACTGTAACTTTCCGGATCCAGAATAATAACTGCCCACGGGTGTCTCTTATCTATTTATCACTTTATAAACATATCTATGTTGCTTTCCCTTTTTCTCATAACGTGTGCGTTGCAGGCTCGCCCGGCTTCCTTCAATTTCGCAGCACGCTGTAAAGGCTCCTTCCTCCGAGGTCTTCAGCTGGGAACCCCTCGCTGGCTGAGTCTGACCATCAAAACTTGCCGCGCCGGCCCGACCCGACCCGGCCGGAGCTCAGGAGCCCGGGGAGGCGCCGACGGGGGTCGGGTTGGCCCGCGGGGCCCCTCCCTCGGTCAGGACGTGCTCGGCTAACAGCGGTGCTAGGGCAGAACAATGGGGGCGGCCCGGCGGGCGCGAGGAGCCAGGTCCCGCTTCCTCCGGCGCGCCGGCCCCGCGCCCGGCCCCCGCCCCCCGAGGCCTTCCCCGCCTGCCTCTTCGCGCTCGCCAGTCCCGCCGCGCCTTCCTCCAGCTGCCCGGCCCGGCGCACGCCCCGCCGCCCGCACGCCTTCTTCCCCGCCCGGACCTAGCGGGCCCTCCTTCCCCCGATTCCAACCCACTGCGCTTCCTCCCAAGACTCCAGCTTCTTCCCCTCAGCCGCCGCCTTCGCGCCCTTTTCTGAATGTATTTTTACAATTTCCCCCTTCATTTCCAAAAGTGGCTGAGAAGTCTCGCTTCCATCTTAATGTTGATTTGCTATTTCCCTCCGGAAAAGATTTCCTCAGGAAACCCCAAATCTAGAAGGAAATACAGCAAACCCTAGAACGCTTTTAACCCTTAAGACATCTTGTATTAAAAGAAAAAAAAAGCATGTATGTCTTAAAACCGGCCAAAGAACCATCTCCTCGCTCTTTATTTCCTCCTGTAAATGCTATTATTTTAAACTCTCCATTTTAAACTCGTCCTTCGGACGAGAGGGCAGAGAATGTGCCCGGCAGCACGCAGCAAATCAGAGGTTTTATCTTACGCCTCCTGGGACTGGGAAAAAAAGTGGAACGTGGCCGAGGGAGCTTCCAGGGCAGAAAAGCGACACAATTCGCTGGGGACGCCGCTGGGCCAGGCCAGGCGGGGGAGGCGCGGCGGGGGCGTCGAGGGCTCTCGGGCTCCGGGCCGGGGCGCCGCTGCGAGGAGGGGAGGCGGTTTTAAGTCATGGGGGCTGGGAGGGCGGCGGCGGGTCGGGCGTGACGAGACTTTCGGAGGCAGGATGGGGCGGCGGTGGAGTTGCCTGGGCTTTCTCAGCACCCCCCCCAACACACCCAAATAAAAAAAGGAAAGTTAGAAGGAGGCGGAGAGGAGGACAGCCATCCCCATTTCCTCCCCGCGACGCCGCGGAAGGGCTGGGGCCGCTGCGAGCAGAGAGAGGGCGCGGGATGAGGCGGGCCAATCGCAGTCAACAGGTCCAGGCCTCAGTGGGGCAGCTGAGCCGGGAGGCCGGCGCCCCCTCCCCTCGGCTCCCCGTCCCTCCCCTCCCTCGCAGGCCCGGCGCGGTAGGGGAGGCCCGGCCCGGCCCTCCCCGCCCCGCGCGGACTCGCTGCGGCCGACTCCGCCGGGGCAGTCGGGGTGGGGGTGGGGCGGGGGTTCCCCGCCGGAGAATCCTCCCCCGGGGCTGGCGGCGGGGGCGGGGAGCGAGAGCCGGGAATGGAGGATTAGGAAGGACTCCAGCTCGGCACGAGCGCGGCCCGCGCGAGGGATCCTGGGTAAAAAGTGGCCGCGCGGCACCGGAGAGCGCGGAGAGGAGCCGGGGTCAGGGGTCACGGCCCTGGAGCCCCGCGTGCAGAGCCCCCCACGTGAACGCAGCGAGCAGGAGGAACCTTTTTGTTTTCGACCGCGCCAGCATGCTCCCCTATTGACCGAGCTGCTTTTCCTGGGCTGCTGGGGAGAGGAGCTCCATTGCGGAGCTCTTAACCCCACCCCCACCTTCCACCGCCAACACACTTCCCAACTCAACCCTTCCTCTCAACTCTCATCCCAGCCCCCCGTCCTGAGCTTGCAATAACGCAGTAAATTTGCTTTAACAACAAGTGGGGGTGGTTGAATTTACTCCTCCCTCTCCTCTCTCCTCCCCTTCCTCTTGCTGCGGTTCTTGACACTACTACAAACCAGGACTATAAACATAAACATGTGTCACTGTAACAGGGCAGGTAATATACGGATTTTGAGGCGGGGTGGGGTGGAGCGGGGCTTGGTCGCCGCTTGGAGGGCAGTAAAAAGTCGCGTTTCACGTGCTCGACGGCTTTGGGGACTCCCGCACACATCGATCCGTTTATATAATGCCGAAGGCACTTGGTCACTTATTCAGCCACGCAGACCCACAAAGCCAGACTTGCGGATAACCAGCGTACCCCAAAGCAAATGCATTTCAATACGAATCCCTCTCCTTTCCCAGCCAGTGCTGCCATTTCTTCTATTAGCAAACAGTAACGTGATACTTGAATCCCCTTTCCTTTTTAAAAATTCTTTTCCAGATAGCCATGAGATCATTTTTCGACCTAAATAGTACATCTCTCCCATAGCCACTACCTACACATTTTGTGCGCAGAAACCCCTTCAAACAGCAAGAAAGTCTATTTAAATGACTGAGTTCGAAATCTGGTGTGCAAAGGGTATTTCTTGGGCTTTGCCTCCGTGCATTGAGCAACTTCTGCTGCAAGTTGCTGACACTGGCGCGGTGGAGATCCGCCACAGCAAGCCTTTTTTATTATTATTTAGTCTATATCTGCCTCTCAACTTTTTTCTCATTCTTAGTTCAACAAGCCAGCAACCACTACTTAAGGTAGAGTAAAGCGAATCCCTTCCCAAGCTTTTTGGCTTGAAACGGAGGGAGATACAGAAAATGTTCAGATGGGGAAGTGGTTCCCTTTGTTCTTTCATTGTTTCTCTACGAACTGGTGGATACAAGGACAAACACTTACCTTCTCTTCTTTTTGCTCCACAAACCAGACGTTCCCATCAGCCTTAAAATACACAATCCACCTTGAAAGTAACTACGGATGTCGGGAGAGTTTGTATTCCATTCTTTTTCGCTCTCTGCCCTCTTTTAGCGTAGGATTAAGTTGCAGAGCACGTTGCTGCAAGCTGTAGCCCCCCCCCCCCCCCGCCTTAGTGAATCGGTCACGTTTAGGACCCTCTAAGTCCATCCTAATTCTGCCAGTAGAATTGAGGGTATTGGAGCTCTAAACTTTCAAAAGGAAAGGGGCCTGCAACTCTCCAGAAAACTTACAAATACCCCGAAATTTTTTACCATTGTGTTTTTGCACCACATCACCAAATAGTATTTGCCAAGAAATAATAGATATGTCTTTGAGAAAAAAAAATTTTTTTAAGTTTATACTTAGCAATGCGCTGCTTAGACAGATGTAGTAAAAGGCAGGTTTGTATCGGCATTTAACGGAATGAGTGCGTTTTCCATAACGTTTGTTGTGCCATGTGTTTTTTTAAAACACAAACAAAACACTACCCCAACTGAGAAAGGAAATAGAAGTTTGAATTAAAATGTTGTGGAACAACTTTAAAAGAGACGTTTACTTGAAATTTATTAGTGTAAAAATTGGCCTCAGAAGTGAAAAGTAAGCTTTTCAAAGTTAAAAGACTTAATTTTCACCCTATGATTCCATAACAAAAAAGCGAATTTTCTGGTTAATATGTGATACTGTCAGTGTTGAGTGTCCAGTCTTTTGGGTCTTAGTGTCCAAACCTTGCTCAAATCTGATTATGATGTGATTTGCTGATGTCATGAATATGAAATGATACTTGTGTATCCATAAATTCGAACTTGTGATTTTTTTTTTTTTTTTTTTATCTCCCGCTTTTTTGTAGGTTCCCAGTAGCTGCAGCAGTGAAAGACAGTGATTGGCTCCAGTGCTCCCAGAAGGATTTGGGCTGAAGCCAGGGGAACAGAACCAGAAGAGGATTCCCTTTCCAGAGACCATCAGGCTCCTCATGTCTTGTCTCTCCTCTCTCCCCTCGTGGTGGCTCAGGATTTCAGTATGGCTGAGCAGCCCATAGGTAGGCCTCAACACTTGGTGTCACCACTTCAGTCTCTATATGTTTGGCCCTTGTGTAAAATAAACAAAAACTTGGGCAACCCTAACAAATTGTGGTTCTGGATATTTGTGTATTATTTAATATCTGAAGGTCAAACTCTACTTTCTCTGATTTTTTTTCTTTTGCATTCAGGATCAATTGTGAAAGGCCCATGTGTCTCATAGGAAAATATTACAACAAAACAAGATAATTGGGGGGAAAGGCGGTTGCAGTAGGAAAAGTGGCTTTTCTTTGATAGCATTTAATTGGAATTAAAAGATTCTTGAGCTGTAAACATTCTTTATTTATTCAGCACACATAAGCAGGCATTGTTTTATCACCATCATAATTATGGTGTCCTTTAAACTGGCTGATAGCAGGAAAGATAAGGGAATGTGCCCACAGATTCAGATCAAGTCTCACTCCTTTCTTTTCCTCCCTGCCCCCTTCCCCCCACCCCATTCCTTCCTTGGTCACTAGGGTCCCCCACAGCCCTTGAGATGAGAAGAGCAGGAAGATTGTGGCCTAGCCGTTTCTTACATCATGAAAGTGATTTGTACCTCACTCTAATTTGATGCAATCTATAACCTCCTTGTCTCCTATGTTTATAACTGGTTTTTAGCTTGCAATATATGTTATCTGGAGGTGCCTATTGCTCACCTGTGTAAAATCTCATCCACTAGGATTTGTTGCTTTACCTTTGTCTAATTTAGAAAGCACACTCTTAGGGCTTTTTCAGAACAAAGCCTCACAAAAACCCCTTTACCTCCAAGGATTTGCAAATTTATAAAGGCTGCATTGAATTCAAGATGGGTCAGGGGGCAAAAAAAGGGTAGAAGGTCACTGCATTTTGATTATGGGTCAGTAGACAACATGGCATATACCCTGTGTCCCAAACTTCTGTTAAAGACAGGGTTTTTAAATGCCTAAGAACAGAGGGATGGGCCCTTTTGGAGACTTACCCTGATTTGTTCAAATGAACCAGAAAGAAAAAAAATTAAAGGAAATATACTAAGTTATCATTTGTTTCTCAATTTAGCCATTTTCTACTCCTTCATTCCCATTTTCCCATCCCAAAAAGCAGAGAAGATGTGATATTAGATAAACTTAGCTAAAGAACTGTTGAGATTTTATTGTCTTATATCCTCAACTAATTCAGCCATATGAGACTTTATTATTATTTTAAACTTTTATCTTGTGAATATTATAGTTACTTTTAGTTAATAGCACAAGGGGCTTTTATTCTTTTAACCAGCATACTTACATTGTTGAGGCCTTTGTGATGTTCCTTACTCTTTTCTGTCTGAATTCACTTTGAACAAAATGTGCCCAGCAATCACTAAAACAAACGTATATGGTGAAGAGCTGGTGGCGGGGGGGGGGGGGGGGGGGGGGGGGTGGCTGTGATCCTCATTTAAATTATGTATGTATGGGTGAAAGCTTGGAAGGAAAAGGATTATTTTAATGCTCTTCAATACTTTAATTATATGACAGTTGTAGTGTAGAAATGCAAAAGTACTCTTAGGTTTTCCTTCAGGTTTTCAAAAGAACTTTCCCCATTAGTAAACTACTCCTGCAAATTGCTATTGCATTTCCCAGCTAACCATTTAAAAGACTGTAAATGCCGTGTGCATTACTTCGCTCCAGAGGAAAGAGGTCAGACTGAATTGCAATGGTATTGAAACATAAAATACAGTGAAAATAAATCAAAATAGAGCATCTAAAGGTAAATCTAGCACATTCATATGGGATAAGTAAAGACAAATATGTTCATATTTTCATGGCCCTTCACTTTAAAAACTGAAAGTGCTGATTTTTTACAATAAATGCAGAAGTAAGTGGACATTAGGAATATATTTCAATCTCTATTTGCTAAAGAGGATTTTCCTTTTGCAAGCAGCTTTGTTTTCAAAGCTAAAGCACTTTTTACAATAGTGTGTAGATTAGGCATTCCTCACTGAGTAAATAATCACATTTAATTAAACTCAATGCATATCATACATGTGCCTAAATTCACAATAATTTCCTGGACCCACAGAGAAGGATATATATATATAAATGTTAATTTGGACATATCTATCTACATATGTACTTGCATTTGAGAAACATAGAAGTTGATATATCTTTTCTTAAAAAAATTTGAATACAGTCCATTATCTGAATTGGGTTCATCTTTGATTGTAGAGTCAGCTGACATGGTCAACAAATTTATCAAAGAAACCCCCTGGCTTTTGAAGAATAGTACTTTATACATCTGGATCTGCACATCAGGCAAAGTAAGTAAATTATTGCATAACTTTAAGCATAATTGATAACAGACACCTTTAATTTTTCATCCCCATTCTTTTGGCCAGCTTTCACATTAATAATCTAAGCCATAAATGTTGGTAGCTATTGATCGAAATCCCCGGTGTGCATGCAAATCCATCTTAAAGTCCCCTGCCTTTCATGTGTGAGCGCTCAGGGGCCTCTGCTAGATCTTTTTATCGGGATCGACCCCCAATGTGCCTGGAGAAGACCCCGGATATGCAACGTGTGCTGATGGCCCAAGAAAGCTGTCTGTCACATTCTGTGTTTGTGTGTGTGTGTGTGTGTGTGTGTGTGTGCATGCACTCATTCAAGCAAGAGTGCTGGAGCCTAACACACACATACACACAAGGATGGGGAAGTTAAAGGAACAAAAGAATGTATTAGACACGAAGAAAGATGTGTAATAGTAGTATTAAAAATGTATAAGTGTAAAGGTGTCTGAGTGTACATATAGAGATACTTGCACAAAGTCTATATAGACACATTTCTCAAATTCCCTAGCCTTTATTTTTCTCTATTTCACCCAACAGATTATGCCCTTAGTTAAAAAAAAATAACTTAATATGCTACTAGTTTTCAAAACCACCTATATTGCCAATATTTTAAAGGTGGAAAGAGAGGAAGAGAGAGGAAAAGAAGGTAGTTTTGAAATAGCTACTAAATCATGTTGCTATGTGTAGGAGGACTAGGAGAGAGAGAGAGAGAGAGGAAATATAAACAGGAATGGAGAACAACTAAAACTACCTGGAGAAAAAAAAAAAAGGATGCTCTAGCCAACCTTTTGTACTGTCTTCTCAAAAGCTTTTTCTGAGTTTACTATTTCTTGGCTGACTCTTTGGTCTAATTCTTAAAGCTGGGGGAGGGGAATGGCGGGGGTGGGGGTGGGAGGGCGAGGGCTGGCAGTACTATATAAGTGCATCAGAAGGAATTTTAAAACGACATTATTGTTGCTGGCAATAGAAAGACTCTGGTCATTCTACTTTTAAAAACAAACACCAGCATCTGCTTTTCCTGGAAACTTCGCTTTCTGCCTAAACCTTGTGCATTTTGTCTCCTGTGAAAGTGAAAGAGAAAAACACGGTGTAATAGATCCAGATGCAAAAGAAAGCCAACTCGCTGGATGGTATTAGCTGTGACGAGGCATTGTTCATTGCTGCCTCTCGGTTACGTTTAAAGCCTGAAATATCACGAGATCCATTCAATGATCCTTCTTTCATTCAAGGGACAAAAATGTAATTTGCTGTAGCTCTGATTTCTTGGATGGAAATGCTAGCCTTAGATTTCAAAGGCAAGAACTAGACATCGCGGTTTGTACATACATTGATTAAGTTGAAGAGCGGCGATTACATCTGTGCTGAGTGCAACAGTAGTTCAGGGGCTGACTTTTCAAATCCCAACCTCCTGAGTTACAGACTCTCTTAAATAGACTTCCTTAATTTCCGGATGCACTTCTTGAAATTCCCAATTCTTTTCAAAATTCCTGGGAAATTACAAAGGAGATGAGGGTGGGGGTGGGGAATTATGGCCGAGATTTCATCTTGTCAGGCAAACTACCTTTTTGTATGTCTGATTCCTCAGTTTTTATCTTTGTTTTCTTTTTTGAGCCATACCTGCTCGTGCCATCCAGACCAGAGCAGGGGAAGCTGGGACTTTTGAATGTGAAAAAAGAAATTACTGTATAATTTTTTTCTTGCAGGCTCAGAAATATCCGTTTATTCTTTTAATCACGCGGATGTGTCTATTTTTGGAGGAACAAGGAAACACATAAATGCCTGGGTTGCATTTATGTTGTAGTTGCAAACACTGAACAGTTAAGAAGATTTTGCCGAATTTTGCAAAGCAGCCAAGGAGCCGCCTTGGGATCGTGGTAATGCGACTGGGAGGACCCTTGCTCTCATTTGGCAATATTTTGGATATCCTTGAAAACGACACCAAAATTTGCCTTAATTTGACTAAGAAGAGGTTAAACCACATTGATTTTCATCCAAAGTGATTTTGTTAAAGCAGATGCTTGACTTTGATGGAAAAACTGGGAGTTGTGGAAGATTTACCTAAACTACCAACCAAAAGCATCACAAACCACTGAAACAGTCTGCATCGTACATCAGCACTTTCTTTTCATTGTTATTACGTAAAACCTCTGGAAGCACCTTGGGCGTTTGACAGTTTCTTTTCTTTGCTGCAGAAGGAAGCAATCTGCTCCCTGGAATTCTGACCTGTGGTGAACAGGACCCTGGCAAAGGCTTTGCTGGGGACTCTTGGACGATCCCGCCTCCAATCCAGTACGGTTAATTGTGGAAAAGTGTACACATTTCTGGCTTATCTATGCTTTGTTATGGGTCTGACGTGAAACTACCTCCTCCCCACCCCACCCCCCAGCAGAGAACCGAAATCCAGTTGAATTGTTACAGTGTTTCGGAGCTGGAGCCTTGAACTGCTTCCTTGGTCAAATAACTTTGTTTCTGGTTGTAAAAAGGCATTTCAGGAAAAAAAAAAAAAAAAAAGGAAAATCGAGAGAAATTCCAAACGTAAGTCCGCACTGGGGTGGTTCACGGGGCGGGTTTAACTTTGGAGCTCCCAGCCGGTCTCCTTCCCCACTCCTGTAAGGGAAATACCAGGCTATTCTGCACATTTTCCCTTAAGCTCCATTTTCCAAAAGGAAAAGGGGGTGGGGTATCTCTCTTTCGGCTTGATAATGTTTTTTAAATGCTTTTCTTTGAAATGATAATAGCTGTATCGGTAAAATGCAAATAAACGAAAAAAATAGGCAGTATTTCTTTAAAGGCGAATATACGGTGCGGTTTTTTTTTTTTTCTCCCTTAAGCGTACACACACTGCTTCTGATGAAGTCTGTGAGTCAGGCTGTTTCTGAGCTCCGATAGTTTAATGGAAAGATTTATATACCGACTGTATTATTTACTTTGGGAGGGGAGGTGGCAGTATAAGGGTATGCTAATTAGTGGGAGATTTTGGGGGGAAGGGGTGGAATATCAATTTTTATTGCATCACCTGTCAGGAGTGTCCAATCAGCGCTGGCTTTAGGGGAATTAATTGATGAAGGTGTCTCCGGACGAGCTCACTTCACTCTGTCATTTTATTTGTAGCTAAAGCAGCGGCGGGAATAGCAGCTGCATTTCTTTTCTCTTTCTCCCTTCACATTCCATTATCATAGTGCTCCAATGGAGAAGGAAGGAATAGAGGGGCCCAGGTACTGATCTGCATCGGGGACTCAGACCAACACACTGGCAGATCAGAAACCGGATGGTTTTTTCCCTCTTTTTTAAAAAAACGAAAACAACAACAACAAAAAAGCAAGAATCAAGTCAGTGTAATTTCATGGGGTTTCCCCCCCCCCAATAATTTCGCCTAGAGTTTGGCACTTCCTTCGCCGGGAATAACAGTCTTTGTTATTTTATTAGCAGGATGCCTTGAGACACACGCAGCATCTGGCTGAGGATTAACATACATACATGTGTATGTATGCGTCACGTATATATTTACTGCAAATGGTGGGGATCATTTAGTGCCCGAGATGGGAGACCTGAAGTCAGGTTTTGAAGAGGTGGATGGCGTGAGGCTCGGCTACCTCATCATTAAAGGGAAGCAAATGTTTGCCCTCTCCCAAGTCTTCACAGATCTGCTGAAAAACATCCCGAGGACGACCGTGCACAAGCGCATGGATCATCTGAAAGTGAAGAAGCACCACTGCGATCTGGAGGAGTTGCGGAAACTCAAGGCAATTAACAGCATCGCCTTCCACGCCGCCAAATGCACGCTCATCTCCCGGGAAGACGTGGAAGCGCTCTACACCTCCTGCAAAACCGAGCGCGTCCTCAAGACCAAGCGCAGGCGGGTCGGCCGGGCCCTGGCCACAAAGGCGCCGCCGCCAGAGCGCGCCGCTGCCGCCAGCCCCCGCCCGGGATTTTGGAAGGACAAGCACCAACTTTGGCGGGGCCTGAGCGGAGCCGCGCGGCCCCTGCCAATCAGCGCGCAGTCCCAGCGCCCGGGCGCCGCCGCCGCGCGCCCCGCCGCCCATCTACCTCAGATTTTTAGCAAATACCCCGGCTCGCACTACCCGGAGATCGTGCGCTCGCCGTGCAAACCCCCTCTAAACTATGAAACTGCCCCGCTCCAGGGAAACTACGTCGCCTTCCCCTCGGACCCTGCTTATTTTCGGAGCCTGCTGTGCAGCAAACACCCGGCAGCCGCCGCCGCCGCCGCCGCCGCCGCTGCTGCCGCCGCCGCCGCCGCCGCCGCCGCCGCCTATTACCAGGTATCGGCGGCCGGGCCCCAGCCCAAGGCAGCGGCGGGCGCCGGAGGCCCGGGGAGCCTGAGCTACCGCTGCAAGCGCAAGCGCGGCGGCGCCAAGGACTGCCTGCTCGCGCCTCACGCCGGCGCGCGGCGCCTGCTGCTGTTGCCCAGGTCCTACAAAGCCAAGGCGGCGGCGGCGGCGGCGGCGGCGGCAGCGGCGGCGGCGGCCGCCGCGGGGGCCACTTGCCTGGAGAGGTTTCATCTGGTCAACGGCTTCTGCCCGCCTCCGCACCACCACCACCACCACCACCATCACCACCACCACCACCACCACCGGGCCCAGCCGCCGCAGCAGAGTCACCACCCCCCTCACCACCACCGGCCGCAGCCCCATCTGGGCAGCTTTCCCGAGAGCTGCAGCAGCGACTCCGAGTCCAGCTCCTACTCGGACCACGCGGCCAACGACTCGGATTTTGGCTCCAGTTTGTCCAGCTCCAGCAATTCTGTGTCCTCAGAGGAAGAGGAGGAGGAGGGAGAGGAGGAGGAGGAGGAAGAGGAGGAGGAGGGGGGCAGCGGGGCCTCGGATTCCAGTGAAGTCAGCTCGGAGGAGGAGGACTCGTCCACCGAGTCGGACTCCAGCTCCGGCTCCAGCCAAGTGTCAGTGCAGAGCATCCGATTCAGGCGCACCAGCTTCTGCAAGCCTCCCAGCGTGCAGGCGCAGGCCAACTTCTTGTACCATCTGGCCTCCGCCGCCGCTGCAACCAAACCCGCTGCTTTCGAGGATGCCGGCAGACTTCCCGACCTCAAGAGTAGTGTCAAAGCGGAGTCGCCGGCGGAGTGGAATCTGCAGAGCTGGGCCCCCAAAGCATCTCCGGTGTACTGCCCGGCCAGCCTGGGGAGTTGTTTCGCTGAGATAAGGAACGATAGGGTATCTGAGATTACATTCCCACACTCTGAAATTTCCAATGCTGTAAAGAGAACTGACCTGACAATTAACTGCCTGGCAGAGGGGGCCTCTTCACCTAGCCCAAAGACAAACAATGCATTTCCACAACAAAGAATACTCCGAGAGGCTAGGAAATGCCTACAAACAACTCCTACTACACACTGTGCAGATAACAACACAATAGCTGCTAGGTTCTTAAATAATGATTCTTCAGGAGCAGAAGCAAATTCAGAAAAATATTCCAAAATCCTTCATTGTCCTGAATTTGCTACGGATTTGCCCTCTTCGCAGACTGATCCTGAAGTGAACGCTGCAGGAGCAGCAGCAACTAAAGCCGAGAATCCCTGCACTGACACAGGCGACAAGACATTGCCATTTCTGCACAATATTAAAATCAAAGTAGAAGACAGTAGTGCTAATGAAGAATATGAACCTCACCTTTTTACAAATAAGCTAAAGTGCGAGTGCAATGATACAAAGGGTGAGTTTTACAGTGTGACTGAGAGTAAAGAGGAGGACGCCTTGTTAACCACAGCCAAGGAAGGTTTTGCATGCCCTGAAAAAGAAACTCCTTCCTTAAATCCACTGGCTCAAAGTCAGGGCCTTTCATGCACTTTAGGTTCTCCAAAACCTGAGGATGGGGAATATAAATTTGGTGCCAGGGTGAGAAAAAATTACCGGACACTAGTACTGGGAAAGCGACCTGTCCTTCAGACACCTCCAGTCAAACCAAATTTGAAATCAGCTAGAAGCCCTCGTCCTACAGGTAAAACTGAGACAAATGAAGGAACACTGGATGATTTTACAGTTATAAACAGACGCAAAAAGGTAGCCAGCAATGTAGCATCAGCAGTGAAAAGGCCATTTCATTTCATGGCAAATTTTCCTTGTCCACCATCACTCATTATTGGGAGAGATGGGGATTTGTGGCCGGCGTATTCCTTAAACACCACTAAGGATTCTCAAACTCCTCACAAGGCCCATCCTATATGGAAATGGCAGCTGGGCGGTTCTGCAATACCTCTTCCACCTAGTCACAAATTCAGGAAATTTAATTCATAAAAATGTTTTGGAAGATATTTTCTTGAACCATATTACCTTCCTTTTGTTGTAAACTGCACAGGATGGTTTGTACAAGTCCATTAATGTGTTACACCCCCTTTGGAGTCCTGGTTTATCGCATTTTGAAGACAGAAATCGGATTACTTTTTTTCCGTTGCGGGTTTTTTTTTTTTTTTCTGGAGTAGGGTGGGGGCGGGGTGGGAGAAGGGTTGGTTTACATTCCACAGACTACTTCAGGCTAAAGACTCAAGTAAAACTCAGTTATTACGGTAGAGCTGGAACACTTTACTGTTTCGATGCTAATAATGCACCCGGTACCTCAATTCAACTGCTACAAATAAATGTCAAAAGGTTGAATAATAAATATTACAATGAGCCATTAAGTTTATGCACTAGATTTCAGAGCTGAAAGTGTAACTGTTAATTCAGTGAAAGTTTGTTAGGTTACATGGTTACACAGTGAGGTGAGGTGAGGTAGCAAGAAGTTTCTGTGAGCCCAAAATGTTATTTTCTGGAGCTCTTGTTTGTGGGGTATCTTTTTCTTTTGACTCCCCTTATTCCCTCTCCAAGAGTAGTTGCACTTAACTTTTTTTTTTTTTTTTTAGTGGAAAGATTGGGGTGTGAGTCCTGATTAAATGCTAGTAAAAGCTGCCTCATACATACTGAGTAAAATAAATACGGAATTGTATTTTTTTTGTAAAGGGTGTGATTTTACTTTTAAAGCCACTCCTTTGCAACAGGAAAAGTCTGTTTTGTGTTCTCACCCAAAGGTTTTAAATAAGGTGACTCTTACTATTGTCCTGCTTATCTTGTGGTCTGAACATGACTCTTCAAACTCCCAAAACAATTGAAATATTTCTTTTTTTTTTTTTTTTTTTTTTTGGAGAGAGTCTCGCTGTGTCGCCCAGGCTGGAGTGCAGTGGCACAATCTTGGCTCACTGCAACCTCCACCTCCTGGGTTCAAACGATTCTGCTGCCTCAGCCTCCTGAGTAGCTGGGATTACGGGCGCGTGCCACCATGTCCGGCTAATTTTTGTATTTTTAGTAGAGACGGGGTTTCACCATGTTGACCAGGCTGGTCCCGAACTCCTGACCTCAGGTGATCCGCCTGTCTCGGCCTCCCAAAGTGCTGGGATTAAAGGTGTGATCCACCATGCCCGGGCTGAAATATTTCTCGTAATAGCAGAATATTTCATGGCCGAACTCTTGATAGTGACAAATCAGTAAATACAACCAAGAAAAAGAAAATGAGGGGTCAGAGTTGCAATACCCCAAATGAAAAATAACAGTTTTTTCAGGGCTTTTTGGTACCAGAACTCAGGCACTTGGATTTTATGACCTTATACTTTTTCTGCATCTCTCTAAAACTTGTGTTTTCAGACCATCCTGTGTATAGAGCAGGAGAGTTTCTACTGCAAGTGACAATCAGAGGTGACTATCTATATTTGCACTTAAAATCAAAGTAGTTCAACATGCAAATGCTAGGGTCTAGCCCTGGGTAAGGGCCATGCTGGTGTACTGTGTTGTGATGATGGAAGCAGTAAATCAAAATTATGGAAATTTGCACTGTTGAAAAGCATGCTTTAGCTTTATTTTCAATTAAAAACACTGTTTAAAATTCCTGGTTCCATACATTTCTACTTATTCCAGATTGAAGAACGGTTAACAGGATTGAATGGTTTTGTTGACATTTTCACTTGTAATGTTTTTGCCTGAAAGAAATGCATTTATTGGGTGTAGTGTTTTGTTGTAATACTATGTGACGAGGCCAGTCAGGTTCTGTGCAGAACACTGGTGGATTTCTTTCCAAGCAAGAACAAAACTTTACAAACTTGTTACACATCAAGTAGGAAAAGTTTCAGGCTTAAGAAAGTGAAGCAGAGATCAGTGATTTTTTTAATGAAAGTTGAATCTAATAATTTCTGGCCCACCTCCTTTAGTCTGACAAATTATGTATCTCAGATCCTTGCTATCTTGAATCTAAGAAGTTGCATCTATAGATCATAAATCACAAAACAAAACAAAACACCAATGAAATGTTTACTGTGTGAATTTAAGTCACTATTTCTCATGGAAATTCAGTCTATTGTTTTTGTTTTTCCTTAACCTTTTAGTTCCTATTCCCTTTGAAATTTTCCTTTTGTCTATAAATGTTTCAGTTAGATCTGGATGGCCTCAGCCCCTAATTGCTGAATATGCTCTGTGGTTTTCCTCTTATTGTAAAGGACCGAGGCTGAGAATACCTGCATCCAAATACATTTGGATGGAGTAAACAGATGCTTTCAACTACCTTCCTTCCTTTCCTTCTTGAATGTTGCCATGCCAGGTGTAGGTTCACTGGATTCTTTTTTATTGGAATGGTAGATATGGTCAAAGTGAAAATTTGGGGATGGTATCCTTGAATTCTTGTTTGTATATAATTCCAAAGACCAGTCCATGTTATAGTTAAAGCCCCAGAAAGCTAAACAATTGGCTTCATAATCTCAGTTCTTTCCTCTTTGGAAAGCAATACAGAATTTAGGTGCAGTAAGTTGTCCTGAAAAATCAATCTGTAAAAAGTGTGACACACACATTGGAAGAGTGTAATTTCTACTCTTTAATTACTTCTAAGTTAAGAAAGTTCAAAGTACGGTGACTACTACACGCAGACTAGTACTTCTCTTGTTGGCTAAGGACTCATTGTTCCTAAATTATAAAGTGAGAATAAATTTGAAGTCTACAGATCTTGGATGTGGAAGGACTGTAAGATGGAATAAGCACAATTTAAAACAAATATACCCTGTGGAATTTCTGACATAAAATATTGGCCTCCAGCTTTGACACTTAGTCTCTAACCCTCAGAGAATCAATAGTTTCAGTTTATAGGAGCTGGAGAATGAACAGCATGGAGGCCGAGGCTTTCCAGAGTGATACCATCAAAAGGAAAGAAATTAAATAGTCAACACAAATTTCACCCCACAGTACTACCATAAGCCAGCCAACCACAGCAAAACCTGAGTTAGGGCTTCTGTAAGGAAAGTGTACCAAATAGTATGCAGTAACTTGCAAATACAAGGTATTCTTTCAATTCCTGCTAGCCCCTTAGTTGTTTCCCCATTCTGATATGGGAATTATTCTCAGTACTGTTTATATTATTTTGGTTGTTTTATGATTAATGACAATATCTAGACTTTTCTAAGCTGCTATAAATGTCCCATTTGTTCAGAAAGTTAAGCCTTATTGAGAAAAAAACAAGTTACCTCCATTGATAGATTACATTTTTACATTTAGATGTTTTCAGGGCATAGAATTAAAAACAAACAAAAAAACAAGCACTATATGACTCCAGGGTGACTGATTCCTGTGTCTAAAGTCCAACATTTACAGACATGAGGAAAAAAAGCAGGAAAAGGCTCTTTTTCTAACTTTTTGGGTTAACAAACTTATTTTTGGTCTCCTATAAAAGTAATTTCCTGATAAGACTGTGAAATGAAAATTTAAATATTTTTTTAAGAGGTGTGTGTACTCTGTCTTCCACAGTCAGGTTATCCGCCTTTATAGAAAATGCAGCTTGCTCTTTTTCCACTATTTACTTTTTAAAGTGGGTGTTCTTTTCTACTGGCTTACTTGATTACAGTGGAGTAATCTCAATAATGGTTGTTTATTTGAAAATCAACAAGGAGCCACCACTAAACAACAATAACACAAACTACATGGGGCTGGTGTTGGATTTTTATCTTTTCTGTGTCTGGGCGACTTTCAATGGTCTAGAAATTCCTCAAAGTTCTAATCAACAAGAATTGGGAGTTTCTGCTGATATGAAAATGACAGTTTTGTTTGCATGCAGGAAGAGATGTAGAAACTAATTCCTCAAAAGCATTTTTTTTCTTTCAAAGAGCAAAAACAAAAATCCTTCATGGTAAAGTTGTTTTTTTTTTTTTTTTTTTAATAAGCATTAGCATCTAAAAAATAAAGAAAATGTGGTGAGTTTTGCTTCACCTTAAAAATAACTTCCTGCTGGGAAGGTTGTAAAAAGGAGTTCCCAGAGCCAAACTAGGAAAGGGGGAAAAAAATGCTTCCCATCAACTAACCTCAGGAAATTGGCAAGGAGGAACAGGGCATCCACCTTAGCGAGTCCACCCGGTCACCCCAATCATACCAGGATTCTCCCCTTCCCTGTAAGGAAAAACTATTTTTGATGCTAGCTTTGGTTTTGGTTTGCTCCCTAGGCCAAAGGGCATTTTGCAAACTAGCCTGGGGGATGGGGACATAGGGCAGATCTAGGAGGTGGGGGAGGGCTGCATTTTACCTGTTTGGCATGCCCTCCTTTGCAAAAAAAAAAAAAAAAAAAAAAAAAAAAAAACAGAGTACGTGGGGAGGGCTTAGGGGGGCCCAGCTATCATTCTTCGCCCATGCCCTGGGCCCCCGCTCCTCTCTCGCTTCTTTTCAAACTGTGGCGGCCTCACAAGCTCCTACTTTAAAAGGCCTGAGATGTTTTGCATGAAGCCCTCACAATAGGGGTTGAGGGAATTGACAGTTTCAAAAACAAGGCGTTCAGTCCTTTCCAGCTGCCGAGCCCGCTCTCTCGCACCAACTCCTCGTTCCTCTCTGCTGGTGGCGTCCTCCGGGGCGCGCGGCCGCCCCCACCCCGCCAGCCCGCGCTCCGGCCGGCCCACCCCACCCCCAGGCTGTGTTTGTAAACAGCGGTCAGTGGCCGGGGGCTGCTGGCGCGGGCTAGGGGCTTGGCGGGCTGGGAAGGAAGGCAGGGGCCGGCTGATCGCGCGATGGGCTGCGGGCTAAGGGCCGGCTTGGGGGCCGCAGGGGTTTCAGGGTCCCTTTCCCCCTCGCTTGCCCCAGGCCGCCGAGCTCTAGGGCGCACCGCGCTAAACCTAGGGCAGCTCCGGGCTCTCTGGGCCGGGCCACCACCACAAGAAAGATGTTTAAGTGCCGCCATTTTGCATGGTGGCAAACAAATTTCTTTGTGACTTTTGTTTTCCCGCCCAGATCTTGCTGTCCTCTGAATGGGTGACGATGTCGACCCCCGGGGCGAGCGGCAGGGCCAGCGCCGCGGCACCTCCCGAGCAGCCTCTCGGCCAGTCGGCCTTGGGGCCAGGCCAGGGGCGAGCGGGGGGCGCAGGGCGCGCGGGGGCCGGCCCTCGGGGCCTGGAACGCCTCCCCTCAACTTGGCGCTCCTTTTGTGTGTCCCGAAGTCATCGCCCACCCTGGCACACGCACACGCAGCCTCGCCGTTTCTCACCTTCTCGCCCAGGCCTCATCTCCGCTCCCCAGGCAAATGGGGCCCAGCTCTTCGCATTGGGCGGAGGGCTGGCCAAGGCCTCCAAAAGGCGCGTGTGGATCGCCAGTGGCAAAGGGTTGGGGCTTTCCCCTGGGCCAGTGTGGCCGCGAACGCCTTCTGGGAAGTGGTTCAAGACCAGAGGCCCTGGGTGTTGGGGAGGGCGCGGGGGGCGCAGGCAGGGCCGGGCGCAACTCCCACAGTGGGAGGAATGGGATGAGGCCCGGCTGGCTGGGTTTGGCGCGTGGTCCCCATCCCTGGGAACCTCTCCGTGCATCTGCAAGGGGAATGATGGCCTGGAAACGGGAAACGTGAGAGAGTGACCTGGAAAGCCACCCTCGGTTGGGGAGGTTGGAGTGCAGCAATGCAAACAAAGCTGCTACCGGGGAAGAGGGGAAACAGAGGTGCACCGCAGCTAGGTCACAGGAAAGTGCAACAAGCTTGTTTTCCCGGGTGTTTAAAATGCAGCCCCAGTTGTAAAGTGTGTGAAATTACGCACTGGTCTCTTAAAGAGTGCCTAATTTATAGTAAATAGCAAGGTCTTTGTAAATGGCTTTATTATGTTGTTTCTTGTTAATTGTTGAGAAAATCCCCATTGTTGAGTGTGAAAGGCTTTATGAGCTAACCTGGTCCTCGGCGCAATCACAGGGCAGTAAATGGCCGCTCGGCCTCCAAGGCCCCGCGCGGGAGCCGTTGCCGGCCGAGAGTGCCGCGGGGACCTCTGGAGATGCTGCCTCGGCCTGAGAAGAAAGTGGCCAGGCTTTCCAGGTTTTAATTAATGGGAAGGCGTGTTTGGAACTCGCAGGCCTCCAAAAGCAGCTGGCTGAGTGCGGCAGGGGGAACCGGGCGGGCCTGGGGGACCCCGCCCGAGAGGGCTGCGGAGAGGCGGAGGGGTCCCGGGCTCCCCTCTTCGGTCACAGGCTGCTGGGGGTCGCGCCTAGGCCCGCGGGTCCCGGGCGCCGGCTTGAGCCGCTCTGCGGTGGGATTGGATCTTGGGCTTTGTCTCCAGTTCTCCAGACGCTTGGAACGCGGGATCTGGCCGGTTCGGCCAGGCCTGCGGAACCTGAAAAAGCCTACCGGGCCTGGAGACCGCAGGGTCTGCGGGGCAGAGCAGGCTCCGGGGACAGCTCCAGGCCCCAGCTCAGGCCTCTTGTCTTTTGTTTAAAGGGATCTCCATCTCTCTCTTCTTTCTCTAACCCCCTGTTTCTTTTCCCCCTCTCGCCCTCTCTTTTTCTCCCTCTCTCTCCCTCTTACACACACACACACACACACACACACACACACACACACACACACACACAGTCTCCATTAGAAACTAAAATGGAATCGGAAGACGGGAGAAATAAGAGGAAGGGGTTTTGGTTTTGTGTGTTGAACAAGGAAAAAGAATGTCTTCTTTAAGATAAAATATTCCTATCTCCTTTTCCCATCTCCTCCAGTTCCCTTTCCTCCCAGTTGGGACCTGAGAAGGGTATGGGCAAAACCAGGCAGGCGCTGGATTCCTCGGATTAACTTTGAGGAGAGAACCCGTTGGGGTCCTGCAGGCCGGGAGAGGACAAGCGGAGAGCGCCTCCCCAGCATCTGCCCTGCGGCCTTTCCCGGCACTTAGGACCCAGTGGGTCGGGGGAAAAGCAGCAGCCGCCTCTCCGCAGCCCCTGAGCTCTGGCAGTGCAGTTAGAAGGAAGACAATTCCTTACTGAGCCTACAAGCGTAGAAGAAAACCTGGGTTAGGTGGGCTGCATGTGAGGGTTTAGACATTAGCTAATGCAAATCACAAGGAAATGTTAATTCCAGTAGGAAAAGCCTATATTCAGCTATCTTCCTTCCCTTCTAAGATGGCCCTCTGCTTGCTTGCGCGCTAGCTCTCACCAAATTAGCTATTACGTGAAATCCCCCTGGGTTTAAGGCACTTGTTTCACGGATTCGCGTACAACCCATATTAACTATGCACTTTCTGCTATTCCTCTTGTGATTGTCCCTGCCTCTTCCTTCTTTGCAGAGAGTATGATGCATTTTATTTTAGTCCAATCGATGCATGCAAATACTGGGATAACACAACCCACACTTCTGCAATGGAGGCTGTTTTCAAAATTGAGTTTAGGGATCAATACTAAGTCGAAATGCTCCAAATTGCACGAATTCACCAAATTCAAGCCCTGGGCTTCCAAGCCCCTATCCTGACTGATTAACGCACTCTCAGATAGCTGTGCTTCCACCGTCCCTGCCTCTCATAACAGGATGTTTTCGTCTAGTGTATTTGGCTTTCCCTAAAGATCACTCGGGTTTGCTTGGAAAAACACGACCCCAAAACGTGTAGTGTGAAACTCTTGTCGATGGCTTCCGTACAGGTCTCCTCTCACATTCGCCTTGCGGACTGCCATCTCCCTTTATTTTCCTGGGACCGAACAGCAGCACCTAGCAGTGCCATGCTGGGTGCTCCGAAAACGTTTGCTCAGCTGAATAAATGCTTTATTGGTCAGGGAACAGCCCTATCCTGTGCCACTGCTTAGCTCCCACGATGTCTTCTTCGCCCAGAGCTGAGCGGCTTGGATTGCAGCACAGCGAGCTCTCTATTCTTTTCCGGCTGCGGCCATGGCTGCGGGGCGACTGGTGCCTAACCGGGTGTGTGTGGGGGGCGGGGGCGGGGCAGGAAAGGGCAGTGGTTGTCCCCTTGTTGCAAGAAATGTTTAAGGCCAGAGAGGTGTGTATGTGGGGGGTGGGAGGGATTCCAAAAGAGAATCAGAAGAGATTGCTGCCCACAGATGTGTATGTATATAGTCTAAAAAGAATATATGGGAAACAACCCAAGTACCTAGGATGCCAGAGTGTCCCTGATTCCTTAATTCCTGCTGTCTGGATCTTCCTTCAGGGTAGATAACTGAAACAAGAAAGAAAAAGGTGGAGAGATAGTAGCAGGCAGTCTAGAGGCCTTCCAGTAAGATGCAGTTATTCATCTAATCACTACCATCAACACGTTTGTGTTGGACCCTTTTTGCATGGAAAACGCTCAGCAGTCAGTTGACTTAGACCCTAAAATATCACCAGGCTAGCAGAGGGCAGCTCTGCAAAGGCCTTCTCCAGCCCCAGTGCACGGAAGGAAGGGAGGGAAAAGAAAAAAAAGAGAAACCATCTGAGTGGCAGCTTACTCTCCTTTTCCTCAAGCCACCAAAACAAACAAACAAACAAATAAACTCAGAATTCTGGAGGCTGGGAGAAGCACATGTAGGGCACAAGAGGTTAAAATGGAATTTCTGTTGTTAGTGCTTGCCCTCTTTAAGATCAGTTTAAGTTGGCTCCAGGAAAAACGCAATACTTGTGGTAAGTGATGAGCAGTAGAAAGGAAACACCGTGTGGAAGAGAGGCTGCTCTGAGTGGAGGCAGCTGACCTCCTCCCCCTTTTCTGTGAAAGTTAGATATATGAGAGATCTGAAGGCTACCACTTGGTCAGTAGGCAGGGGTTTCAGTCTCTGCAAGGGCCTAGATTCTTGGATATTCAGGAATAAAGACACATTTTACATTCATTCTCTCATCTCTTTCTTTCCTCCCCCCGCCTCCCTTCAAATGAATACCCTGACTGTCAGTGGTGCAAATGTCTGAGATTCGTTTTCTTCCTCTACGTTGGGTCCAAATATGCAGACCAGTAGCTGGTTAAGCTTTCAGATGTCTAGTTATCCTATCCATTCAAAGTCAAACCTGCATGATACGGTGGGAATTGCCTTGAACAGGTTTATTTACCTTTCTCCCCTTTTCCCTGTATCTTCTGTTTTCTCTCTCCTCCCAGTCTCTCAGCTTTTCCCCTTCTTCCCTTCCCCCTACCTAACCCTTGCACCCAGGTGAAGGCTATGTTGGGAAATACCCATATTTCATAATATTTGCTCCAGAAGTGGAAAGAGGGTAAGATCTGGACTTACACCAGTGCTGAGAGAAGCAGTGTGGGAGCCTGCAGTGATCCTGAGCTTCCTTGCTGGGGTGAGGGGCCAGGGCTTTGCAGCCTCTTGCCCTGCATGTGCTGAGCTATTCTGGTTAGGCTATAAAAAACAGCATGTATCTCAAGACCAGGAGAGCTGCACTCCATAAACACATGGCTATGGTTCTAACATGGAGCACATTGCCAGATGCAAATGTAAAGAGATGCTTTTAATTTTGTTCCCAGTGTTATACATCATGTGGCAAATTGGCCTTTAGGAAGCCAATTTTTATTTTTTCTGTTAATAATAAAGACTTTTAAAACAAACTTAAACATTTATGATTAAGAATTAAAAGGGTGTACATCACTACTACCGGAATGTTTCTTATCTGATTTTAAAAAGAGAGGTGGGATTTTTCCCCCCTTTCCTAAATAAGGAAGATTTTTAAGCGGAAGATCTTGGTTAACATTCAAATTGTTCAATTGTTTTGCTGCTCATGACTTTAAGAAAATAATGAAAATATTTTAATTCTTGTGTTTTTTATCCTTTTACATCTTTATGCACCATAAATTTAAAAGTAAATTAGGAAATTAGTTACACACTTCTATCATCTCCTTTAAAGAAATTACCTCTGAAACATCTACTTTCTCTAATATGGCCAACATTTCTTATTATCTTATATATTTCAGTCTGTGTTTGTAATTTAAGATTACTGTTAAACAGGAGAAAAACAACTTATTTTGTAGAACTTAAGTGGGAAAGAAATATAACTTATTTTGTAGACTTAAGAAGGTTACAAGTATTTCTAAAATTTTGTCCTTTCTGTGAGTCTCTAACTGGTTTATCTGAATAGGATCTGATCCTACCACACATGAAGGCACTACATATAATATCCTGACACAACAGAAGGATCTCTAGATGAATTGGAAGCATCCTGATTGTGAATTTCCTATCTTTTCCTGTTTTGAACCACTACTTTAGTGTATACTCCAAGATTGATTTTAACTGTGATCTCCTTCAGGAAAAAAAAAAGTGCAAAAAAATAATATTAAGAAACAGAGAAGGCCGGGCACGGTGGCTCATGCTGTAATCCCAGCACTTTGGGAGGCCGAGGAGGCGGGAAGATCACTTGAGGTCAGGGGTTCGAGATCACCGTGGCCAACATGTTGAAACTCCATCTCTACTAAAAATACAAAAATTAGCCCAGCATGGTGGCGGGCGCCTGAAGTCCCAGCTCCCCGGGAGGCTGAGGCAGGAGAAACGCTTGAACCTGGGAGGCGGAGGTTGCAGTGAGCCGAGATCGTGCCACTGCACTCCAGCCTGGGCGACAGAGTGAGACTCTGTCTCAAAAAAAAAAAAAAAAAAAAAAAAAAGAAAGAAAAGAAAAGAAAAAGAGAAGCAGGAAGTCTTTTATAAATTCTGTTAGAACCATTGATCCCAGTTACCTGCTATAATGTGAATGGAATCATTATGGCTGTTCCATTGACATGGTTTCTTCATTCAGGATCCTGGCCAAAGGAATAGCATGTCAATGTGTAAAATTCTAGCCAAAGATAAGCCATTACAATGGAAATCGCGATGTGCAAAGTCTCATTGAAGCCAATGAAATTGAGTGTAATATCCATATAGCATTCTCATCTGCTTGCTCCAGGATTTAGTATGCGGCTCTGCATTGAAATGAGATTATGCATATAAAATGCCAATATAGAATACACTGCCCAATAAAACATTAGAAAAGCAACTTACAGCCCATATACATGGGCTTTACTTAAATTTGAACTTCATGTGCAAAATAAACCACAGTGCCATCAGAACACTAAATCTACAAAATGTCCTCACTCTGGTTTTTCATGCTTCTTTATGCATGATTCCCTCAGCCCCCTCCTATCCAAACACAGTTCTTTTAAGGGCACTCTTCAAATCATCTAACAATTCCCAAAGGGTATTCCAGGAGTCTCTTAAAGTGTCTTTCTAAATTAAAAGGCTCCAAATAATTTAAGTGCATTTTTGAACCAAAAATATCAGAAAATATTTGGGCTTGCAAACTTATGGGTGTGTAACCAGAAGAAAGGGACAAAAGAGAAAACACCCCCGCAGTGGATTACAAGGTTATGGGACAGGTCACTAGGAAAGGGAAATAAAACTGAATGTTAGGTTGGGCTTGTAAATTATGCACCTTTCAGGGAAAGAGGTTTAAGGTCTCTTCACTGAAGGGTTTTTTCCCATCCATTTTGCTATTAATTCTTAACTCTTGGTAGGCAGTTCTTTAATGAGGTTGTTTGTGGCAGGTTAATTTTATCCAATCTACTGAGCTCCTCATTTTCCCTTTTAAGTGCACTGTTGCCTACAGCTTTCAGCATTTTCCATAACAGAAGAAAACAGAATAAACGTGAAGTTGTCTGGCTGGGCTGAGAATTAAAGGCGTTATGTGGACAGATAAACAGAGGACCTGGACAGATGGTAGTGGGAGGATAGAAACTGGGCTGAGTTGAGGGCATGAGGGAGAGAATTCGGTCTTAGGAGAGGGATGACCCTAGGAGTGTAATATATTAAATATTGCAGCGATCGATTTCAATACCCCAAGTGGACACAGGAATAAAAATCCACCAAGAAGCTGAAGTGATTAGGAATGCTTTGTTGTGAGGAATGCTTTTTTGTGTATATTTTTACAAAATAGAAGAGACCTAGATAATCCAAGCGTAGGCCCTGGACTCCCCATTTGGGATATAACCCTAAAGGTTAGGCGTATCTCAATGGTGCTTCTGCTTAGTGAAAAGATGAGCCTTTGTACCAAGGGGGATTAAATATCAACCACAATTATGGGCTGGTCACTCTAGGAGCTTTCCTCCCAAATCAGAGACGAGTACATTTTGCAGAGGCTGCCTCTTTCCCGTGTATTAGTCTTTGTTTCAGCGCTGGGACAAAGCAGTTGCATTGGCACAATTCTTCTTTCACTAAAATCCAGGGGAAAATGCACAATATGGTTTACAGAAGGTTGATTCACAATAGCAGGCCATAAAAACAGCCTTTGGTGCTACATAGGGGAGAATATTTTTGAAATGTCATTCTAGGGACAAAAGTATGAAACTGTAATCCATGCAGGGACAAATACCCACTACCACACATGATTTCATTAGTGATTTCAGAATTGGGTGGGATTTTCTGTTATCTTTTTTTTTGTTTTAACTGAATCCCGCTCTTAGACATTCATGCTATGAACTGTATTCTCTCAGTCCAGGAATCTGTTTAGGGATTTGGGGTAGTCACTGTGGAAGCTGCTTGGAGCAGGGGGATTGTTTTCAGTCACAGCCTAATGGGCAAAGCCTGGGCTCTTCACACTGGGGACACCAAGTCGGCTGCTAGGGACACACTGTTGGATGCCTGCATGCAGCAGCGGCAGCTCCTGCAGCTGCCTCCTCCTTCAGTGTGGCTGCCACAAATCTGAGGAAGACATGCAGCATCATAGAAAGGATTTCTTTAATGAGGATGAGTTCCTCAGAGTGACTGTAGGCTGTAGTTCTCCTCCAGCCTCTCTTTCCCTCTACTCCATCTTTTCCTATCTGTGATATCGTTCCCTATACACTAGCCTGGGGTTGGAGAAAGCAACAACCCCCATCCCCCAACACATACACACACAACCACTACTCTCTCTCTGATAACCCAGAGGCTGATTTCTATTTTACCCTGGTGGTTGAGTGAGGATGGACTGAGTCAGGCTAGAACTGTAGAGTTGGGCAAAAGCAAACATGTCTCTCTCTCTCTTTACACATATCTACACCTCCTCCCTTCTCTGCCATGGTCTTCTACTCTCATCACAATGATGACTTGCTCCCACTTGGAGTTTGGTTGTAAGTACTAGATGTATTTCTCTGTGAGGATCTCCTTACCTGTGAATGGTCCAGACAGGAGGAGGAACCTTAAGCCCATTTCTTGGGAATCTAATGTGGGCTGACCTTGGCTGGATTAAGGCTGAGATTGGTTATGCAACAAAGCACCTGGGTTCTCACAGCTTGAATCTCCCTGGCTTTCTGTGGAGTGATGACTGGCTACAGGGAGGCTATTATGCCTTATAAAGCTATTTATCTCCCCAAAGGTACATGGCCCATTCCTCTCTTCAGGTTGGGGAGAGGGGTAGGTCGGTTCCAGTCAGGTGCAAGAGTAAAATTCACTCAAAAAAGTTACTTCGAGAAAGTATTAATAGTTATTGAAACCAGTTATCCCTCTTTTAGAGTGTGGGAAAGACTGAGTTATGGGGCAATTTGGATAAGAAAGGAGTTGTTCCATTTTGTGCTGATCCCCTTTGGCCATCTTTTATTCTGCATCTCCCCTGCTCCTCTTCCTCCCCACCCCCCATCCTCCTCTTCCCTGCTTCTTCTTCTGCCTTCCCTCCTCCTCCTCTTCTTTATTTTAAATCATGTCAGAAGAACAAGCAGGTTGAAAGCACCAATGGGCTTACATTGTGAGGGCCTCTGCTGCAGCTGAAACAAGGCCTGGCTGTGTCTGGACAGGTGGCACAGAGCGCAGAGATTCTTGTTCTTGTGTGACCGAGGGGTAATTTGGAGAGAAGGAATCTCCTTGGGGGAAGACATGTGGGTGGGGCCTCTCTGTCCCAGGTCACTGAAGCAGTTTCTAGGGGCAGTGCCTAAGCCGAAGGACCCTGTAGGCCTGCCCTGGTGTAGAGTACCTGTTGCTGGAAGCTGTGTGGGGAGCCTCTGGCCCCCTGGCCTATTGTAAGTCCTGGGGTTAGGTCGGGCTCCCCCTGGGGCTGCTGGATTCACCTGTCATTACGCTCACTGCCCAGGGACCCTGACAAACCTCCACAATGTGGGGCTGAACAAGGGCGCTTAAGGTTCACTGATCTGTGTGTAGAACTTTGCAAAACTGCAAATAAGCGAGAAAATTTGGCTATTCTTGTGACGGGAGATACAAGTTTGCACTTAACATGGAAGCTTGAGAAAAAGAAGGGGAAAAACCCTTCTGGCCCAAAGCCCCACTGTAATCTCCAGAACAATTTCATTTCCTCTGCAGCACCCTGGCTACCCTCGCCCAGGCCTCAGAAAGGTCAGGGGGAGAAGGAGCTTAAAAGCAGGGGCGGGGACGCAGAGGGGTGGCTAGGCCCTTGGCCAGGTAGCAGGTGAGGGCCGGCTGGGTGATGCGAGGGGCCAGGATGGAAGGCCGCAGGACGGGGGAGGGGCAGAGCCACGGCTTTTGGAAGGGCTTGGTGTTTTCTAGAGGGCTTTTTCTTAGGAATTTGCACGGTCCGCCTCTGGGGCGGCTTATTGGGGCTCTCCCCCGCCCCTGCTAGCAGAACAGGTCGCAGGGAGCTCAGGTTTCCGCCGAAGCCTCCAGCCGCCAGGCCGCCAGCACTCCGCCGGCCTCTGCCAACAGGCCTTTCCCGCTTGCTGAGAAAGGGAAAAGCGCGCGCCCCGGGCCCTGCAGGCTGAGATCACGTTTTTGCCGAGCGACTCCGGTACTCCCGGGGAAGCCAAACTGCCCCCTAGCAGCTGCGTCAACCTCGCCCGGCTGCGCGGCCCGGAGAGCGTGTTCCCCGGAAGGGGCTCCCGCAAGCGGCAGCCGAGATCCCCAGTGGTTGCGCGGCTGCCGGGAACCCGCGGGTCTCAGAGAGAAGCAGGCCGCGGGAAGCATTACCTCTCCCCTCCAAAGGGGAACTTGGAACTTTTGAACCCTTTAAAGTGATTGATCATGCTCCACCAGAGAGCGGCTCCACCCCCGCCGCCTTCCCTTGTCACCTCGGCTCTAAGTGTGCGTGGAGGTCGCGCGCGGCGCGCGGGGTCGTGCATTTGGCGCTCTGTGCTGCCAACGTGAGCACCCAGCACCTGAGCGGCTGTCGCGATTTTGGAGGAATCCCGATCTGAGAGCCCAGAACTGGGACATTGGTGCGTGCCTCCTTGCCCACAGCCCTCTAGGTGCAACACGCCAGCGACAATTTTTCCCAGGAAATCCGTCCCTGCGCCCCGGCCCCCCTCCAAGGATGTCCTCGCAGGAGCCGGGCTCCGCACTGGGAGGCTTCAGGGAACGGAGCACTGGGGCTCAAAGCCTCCACGAGTTAAGCTGATTATTAATTTGGGCTGGTGGGAGCCAGTAACACGCTCGACGCCTTTGGCTTTGGGAATTGTCCGGGAGCTGGGACGGAGGCAGGAATGACCCAGGGTTGCGACTGGGAAATGCGAGTTGCGGAGGCTCCCGGACGTAGCTGAGTGGGCTGGGTAGAACTCCCAGGGCAAAGGTTGGCTCTTCCTCGCCCCCAAATAAATTCTTAGTTAACTAGTTTAGACTAAACACATTAATAGTATTAAGTGGTGAAAATAGACAGGGTTGAACGTGGGGGCATGTCAACTGGACCCAGACCTGGTCATACTTCTCCTCTGGTGACAAATCAGGGTGCTTCCAACACGAAAACAGAAAATAGAAATGTAACATTCAACTGGACGAATTAATTTTTGACGGATTTACGGTATGATTTCCTTTCAAGCAGTATTCATTGGTTCTTTCCATCCACAGTGCGGTCCAAAGACAGAAATATAAACAAGCACTTTATGCTTTGCGGAAACCCCTTAACAGTATCTCCCAAAGAAAGATCAAGACACTTTGTGAATTTTCCCCAGATAATGCCTCATATTCCGAATGACTGATCAGAGAACTCCGGTATTGTTAAATAAAATGAGAGGAAGGCGAGTGACGTGGGAGTCGAACAATGGCATTTCTGAATCTGTTTGCTTGATTGACATTTGGGAGCTTCATGACCCCAGAGAATAGGACTCATTACGGTGAATACACCAAAACATCAACCAAGATTAGAACTCTAGATGCTGTTTTAATCCCATTCCAGTCCAAATTATAGTGGGAAAATATAAAATCCAAGTGCAGAGAATCACTCCGTTATATATTGACCTAAAGTTTTAATTGTACTAAGGGGGAAATAAAAGTGGAAACCCTCTATACTTTCCAGAATTTTAGATAGAGCACTGACAGGGAAAATGCATGGATTTGGTAGCGGAGGTACTAAGAATATTTGTGTGGTATACAACATGTCATACTTGGGAGACACTTTATTGGAAAAATAAGTAGAGAGTTTTTTGTATGTATGAGAAAAATATCATAACCATTTCCACTTAAAAAGTGAAGATCATTCTGATGCCCCAAAATAACTGAGGCTAAGAAATAATTAGATACCTTAAAGCTACAGTCTAAATTTCCATGACTGTTTGGAAGACTTCTCTCCAACGCGGGAGGGGAATTTGTTTTTTAATGTCAAAGGTTGTGTTAGCATGTACATTTAACCCAGGAAATTGTGAGAACTCTCTTCAACTCAAGTTGGAAAAAGGGAATGTGTTTGAGCAAAGTCTATTTTTAACAACAGAAAAGTGTGAGTTAAAGTGGACTGTGTGTTAGGTTGGGAATATAATCCATGGCAACTTCACTATACAAGTATTTTTGATTCTTCAGTGGAACTCATCCTCAAATTTTAGTAACTTGAAAAATTGAAGTCTTAAGTATTGTGTATTAAACTGAACCAAGAGATCACAGAAAGACAAAGCTATGGTAAAAGATGTTATAGTTATATTCTCATAGATTTAGTAGGAAAATCACAGCAAAGGAAATGCACCAGGAAGATATGAAATAGAGGAAATATGTTACAAATAATGAAATAGAAGGAGTTGCTGCACAATATAGCTTCACAATCTTATATTTTGAGGGGTAGGTTTTAATGAGAAGCCTCTGCATTGCATGGGAACTGGGAGTCGTAAGAATTATTTATGCAGTAAGAAGGAAAAAAATTAATTATTAGGAGCTCAATAATCACCAAATAAACTCTGAGCTTGGAGGTTAAAAATAGACGGCTATCTTCATGTTCAATTATACAGTATCAATTACTAATACAACTGATGTTTCAGTGTCTCAGCGAGAACAGATACCATCTTCTATGGAGATATCTTGGTATTAATTAATGACTGCTTTATTCTCATTATTCACAAGGAAAAATAGGGGTCGTGTCACATTAAAATTAAGATTATCTTAGTTTATCTGGGCTCTTAAACAAAGATCATTCAAAGTAATTATACTTTGAATTAATCGAGGTAGGCAATTTATCTCGTTATTTTTTTTTGTTCAAAGACAGGAAAATAAAGATCAGAAATAAGCAAAGTTTCATTTTGAAGATAGAAAGAACCAAACAAACATGTCTTGACTTTTGCAGTATTTCCCTTGCTAAAGGGGGAATGAGGGAACTGTAAAAGACGTGACTTTGCAAAGTCAAGTCCTTTTTAAAAGACTCGGATCGAAATTCTTGCTATGCAACAAGGATTCAAGTTTGATTAATTTTCTGCAAGCGACGTGACAGCGGTGTTTTAAAAGATTAATTAAAATTGAAGTGATACGGAGCAGGAATTCAACCTGCAGAGGCGTCCCTGGCGCCTTGGGGGGCTTTGTAAGCGAGTCCCAAGCCCGAACTGCGGGCTTTCCCGAGCCTGGGACGCAACTCCCCGTCTCCTGGAGAGGAACGCGGAATTTGGCAGGGCGCCCGCCTGGCCGCCTGGCATCCTGAGCTGGCCGCCAGCTCTCGGGGGGTGGGGACTGGGTGTGTCCTGGGGAACCCGCTGCCGAGAGAGCAGCTAGCGCAGCTCGCGACGAGCCATTGAGGACCAGGGTCGCGCCGAGAGGCCGGAGGGGGCTCCAGGCAGCCTGGAGCTGACGGCGCCGGGCTGCGTCCTCTTCACCTGGGGGTGGGGGGTGGGGGCACGTACTTTGTGACCAGGATGGTGCCGAGCCCCCTCTACGGCGGGAGCTTGCAGGGGTGCGGGGGTGTGACTGGCGCTCCGCGGACTCGTGTCCACAGTACAGAGGACATGTAGGGTTCGGCCGGGGCGCGGCTGCACCGGGGCCTGCCTCGCGGACCTGGACTCGGGACTCCGGGCGGCCCTGCCTGGTGCCATTGCCTCAGCCAAGTCTCCCACCTCTCTGCTCGGTTTCCCGCCCCACCTTTCCCCTACTACCGCATCCCTGTCCCCTCGCTTCCCTCCGCGATGTCTCCATCCGAGTAAGAAACGAAGCTGAACGCATTGGTAACTGTGCTCAAGAAGATGCAATCGCGGGAGCCCTCAGGGTGGCGCACGGCGGAGAGGCGACGCGGGTGGCGCTGCAGAGGGTACGGTGGGGGGCGGGGAAGAGGGGGGCGTTCGTGTGCAATTAGCCTCCCCAGGGCGCGGACCACGGTGTCCCCTTCTCTCCAGCTGGGGGTCTCGGGTCCTGGCGCTGAGAGGCCGCACCTTGCCTTGCTGCCCGGGCCGTGCACCCGTGGGCCCCAGGGCGACGCGGCGGGGGCGGCCCTAGCGACCTGCGGCGGCGCCGGGAAAGCCCTGCCTCTGCAGCGGGTCCCAGGGGTCGGGGCCTGGAAGGGTCCCTGGGAATGCTCCGCGCCGAGAAGGCTCTGTGGTTTCTCCTCCCCCACACGTCTCCCTCTCCTCCCCTCTTCCCGGGGACCTCAGAGGTGGCGGGGAAGTGGGAAGGGAGGCGGGCTTGCAGACCGTGCAGGCTGGGGAGCCGGAGCTCGGGAGTTGGGGGAGTCCGAGTGAGAACGGAAGCGCGTGGACGCGATGGAAGGGGCCGGGGGAAAGGGGGACGGCACTGGGGAGGGCTGGGGTGCGGGGCAGGCGACAGTCCCTTCCCCTCCGAGCGGCGCGGGGGACCTCTTCCCCGGGGAACCCCCACCCAGCCGTTCCCAACCTCGAGAACAAAGGGTCTGGGAAGCACGGTCGGGGTCGGGGAGCGGAGGTGGAGGGAGGCAGGAAGGCAGGCGGTGGGGGCAGGGGAGGGCGCCTCCCCACGTTTCCTCTCGCGGCCGAATGATGGAAAGCTCCCTCCAGCAAACGCCTCACTGAGGCCGCTTCTGAATCCGGGAGGGTTCGGGTTCGTTACCTAACGGCTGCACTTCGCTCCCTTCCTCCCCCAGCGTCCCCACCCCCTCCGGGGACCGGGGCCCCGGAGCTGCCAGGCCCGCTGCACGCGGCGGCGCGGGAGAAACCACGGGGCAGCAGCGCCCCCTGCAGGTGCCGGGCGCCTCCGCAGCCGCTGCGCGGACCCGACTCTTAAGGTGGCACCACCGGGTTCCCAGCCCGCGCGCAACCCGCAGCCCTGGCTCCATCCGCCGCACTTCTCCCTGTAGCGGCGGGCCTGACCGTCCGGAACGGCCGGAGTGTGCTGATGCCTGCTGCTATCTGCTTGATCCCTTCACCCTACCTCTCATCCAGGACTTCTTCCGCGGATGCGCAGCTAGCGATTTCGACAGGCGAGATTGAAAATTCCGGGCGAGTATATGAGGTTGAGTAAGTCCCGCTTCAGGGAGGAACGACCAGAATGACATTTCTTTAAGCCTAAATCAAACTTTTATTTTCGTTTATAAAAAGCAGAAGGCCAGCAGGAAAGGGTCGCGGAGGACTGGCACATCCACAACCGTAGGACTCTTGGATCCAAGTTTTTAGGCTGAGACTGGGCGGTCCGGGGTTCTCCTTCGGCGCTCACACCCCGCAAACTCGTGGGCAGTGCAGTGCTGGAGGCCGGGGGCAGTGGCGGACCCGCAGGGTAACCTTGTCTCGCGCACCTCCCGAGCCCCCAGCAGCCCACTCTCGTCCGAATGCTTTGTTTATTTGGTGACACCAGGGAACGTGGAGAAGAAGATCGAAGTTCAGTTTTTCTTTTTTCTTTATTTTAAATATTTTTCTTAACTAAATGGTATGTTTATGTGAACCCATCATCTCTTGGAATTAAGTGTCCTCAGCGAACTCCAGATTCCTAGGGGAAACCTACGTGCCCAGAGCAGGAAACGCACAAGTCAATTCAGGTTCCGGTGCCATCCGCAGTAAATTCCCTTCCTTTTGCTCCAAATTCCTCCTCTGCGTCCAGGAGAGGGACCCCCGGGACTCCCGCACACCCAGGACCGGGAGCGGCAGAGCAGAGGGCGGGTGCGAGGGCGCGAGGGAAGGGAGGCGGCCTGCGGACCTGGGGCGCGCAGTTTCCCGGCTCCGTGGGAACCTCCAACCCCGGGGCGCGCGGCCTAGGCTCCGCCCTGCCAGGCTTGGGGCCGAGCGGCCCACCTAGTGGGTCCTGACCTGGGGAAGCCGAGTCCGCGCGCGGGTCGGGCCGCGACGAGGGAAGCTCGCCTGGGCAAGTGCCGCGCGGGGTCAGACCCACCCCAGGGGTTGCAAACCGCAAGCGAAAGTCGAGAGGGGCTGGAGCTTTCCCTCTGATCCGTTTTACACTGTGAAAACCGCAGGCCTGTCGCCTAGGCGGCCACTTTTAAATTGGGAAGCAAATAGACGAAAAACCAAAACAAACGTACGAGCTGACTTTTCCCAGCTAAGTTTCCCCTCAATAAAAAGCCCGCTTTCTGGGAAAGACAGAAACTGATCCGCGCTCACGATTGCTTTCTTGGAGATTCTGGGGGCACTGGGGCGCGCAGGAGGCGCGGCGACAACCCCAGCGCGCATGGGGCAGCCTGGACTGTGCCCCTCTTACCAAGCTCCTTCCCAGGCTTCTCCGTGCTTCTCTCTCCACTGGGGTCCCGCCTCTCCACGGGTCACGCCGAGGCTATATGCTGCTTGCAAGGGGTCCGCGCTTTCTCGTTCGGCGGGAAAGGCACATGTTGGAGCTCGATGTTGGGGCTCAGGGTGTGGTTGATTTGTCTGCTGATCTGGGTTTCTTCCCAGCACCGGGCAGGAAGTGTAGGAGTTTGGGTCGCCAGTCCAGGGACTCGGGAAACTTCCAGGCCAACCAGAAGAAACACTTGCAGACACCTTTCGAATGTCACAGTTTTCCCCAGGGGAAAAAGCAGAAGTTGCTGGGCACATCACCCAGCACCCGGGCAAACTCTCCACTTACCTCGCGCCCTGCTAGGGGGTGTTGGGGGCCCTCCGGGAACCCCTAGATGAGCAAGCAAAGTTGCAAGAAGTGGGGTGGGGAACGCTCACCCGATAAACCATGCACCAAACTTAATCAGCCTGTAATGCTTACTCTAAATCTAGGCCCATCTAGGCCAGGTGGGCTGAGTCTTGGGATAGTGGGTGTCTCCTTCCTATGTTGATACATTAAGGATTCCATATGGACAATTATTTTTAGTCAAATTTGTGGTCCTGGAGATAGAAAGAGGAGAAGAAGAGAGAAGAAAGACAGAAGAGCTTTATTGTTCTTTTTTTTTTTTTTTTTTTTTTGAGATGGAGTCTCGCCCTGTTGTCCAGGCTGGAGTACAGTGGCGCCATCTTGGCTAACTGCAACCTCCACCTCCCCGGTTCAAGCAATTCTCCTACCTCAGCCTCCTGAGTAGCTGGGACTACAGGCAGCCGCCACCATGACCAGCTAATTTTTTTTTTTACTTTTAGTAGAGATGGGGTTTCACCATGTTAGCCAGGATGGTCTCGAACTCCTGACCTTGTGATCCGCCCACCTCAGCCTCCCTAGGTGCTGGGATTACAGGCGTGAGCAACCACCCGGCCTTATTGTTCTTATATTAAAACAAAAGAACCTAGAAAAAATTGCTTGGTTAAATTGTAGAGAGGAAGGGAGGGAAGGAAAATGAAGGCTTTTCTTCTTTGTTCTTTAAAAGTCCAAGCACTTTCTTTCAGAATCAAAATGTAGAGAGGCAGTCAGTCTTGGAGCATGCTTTTGCATTTTAGGATACTACTCATTAATTCAGTTTTAAAGCATTCACTGGGTTGAGCACAATTTTAAAAAGGTTCTGACTCACCCAGATCCTGTTTGAAGCTCAACTCATTTTGATTGAAAGAGATTTGAGACAAGAATTTCAGAAGAGAAAAATGTGTGTTACACCTGGACATATATACACATGTAACAGGGATTGTATTCCTTCTAGTCTAAGACAAGAGATTCTATGGTAAATTATTTAAAAAAATTAGTTTTTTTTCTAGCATTGTATTGTCACCAGAAAGAAGAGTGCTGAATTCTCTGTTTCTGCATTTCCCAATAATAAATCTCCTAGGAGAGATAACTTTTTGCAGTTGTGCCCCCCACCCATTTTCTCTGTGGCTTGCTTTATTTCCCACATATGAATACACACACAGCAGATACATCATGCACAAACTTTTTTTAATGTGTAATCTGTAAATCTAGGCCCATTAAGTTTTCATTGAAGTTGGGAAACTGTTGAGGACTTACTTTTGTTCTTCACCATGCGTGCACTTTGCCAAGGATCTTTGGTAACCAATAAAACGATCATGTTCACTCTGAATGTATTTCTTTGTGATTAAATGGAAAAGAGTATTCATGAACTGCTTAAACAGTATTTTTATACCAAAACATCAACGCATAATGAAAAATGAGCTATAGTTGTTCCAAATGTTCAGAATAGCAGCTTTGCATTTACAGTCATATTTTGGCAAAACTATTTCATATTAATTGAAAATGATACAACAGTGCATGCATTCTGTGGAGGGATGCTTATTCACTTAGCTGCACCATGAAAAATTTAAACTATCTGGTTCGAATGACCTGCAATGCCTACTGAAGGAAGGGTTGGAAAATTAGGAACTATGAAATTATTTGTGTGTTTTTTTGGCCTTTTCATGAAGCTTGAATTAAATCTAGTTTTTGTGAAAAATAAAACTAAAGCAATATAAGAATCCCTTAAGTTGGTCTTATAAAATCATATGGTTTTTTTTTTTTTTTTGAGATGGAATTTCACTCTGTCACCCAGGCTGGAGTGCAGTGGCACAATCTTGGCTCACTGCAACCTCTGCCTCCTGGGTTCAAGGGATTCTTCTGCCTCAGCTTCCTGAGTAGCTGGGACTACAGGCACTCGCCACCACACCCGGCTAATTTTTTTGTGTTTTTAGTAGAGACGGGTTTTCACCATATTGGCCAGGCTGGTCTTGAATTCCTGATCTCGTGATCCACCCGCCTCGGCTTCCCAAAGTGCTAGGATTACAGGCATGCGCCACCGCGCCCAGCCATATGTGATTATTATAAAAAATCTGTACCTTAAAGATATGTTAGTGAAACTAGATGGATACAAATATAACTATTACCTTTTTTTTTCCCAGTGATTTTTCTCTCTCAAATGTAAGATATGTAGGACTCCAGAACATGCACTGTAATTTGTTCTGATAATAGGAAAACCAATGCTGGTTTTCTCAGTGTCATAGTTATCAAGGGGCAATGCCAAAATCATTAGATAAGCATCATCCTTTCTATCACATCATTGTCTACATGAAATTTCATCTTAGAAAATATGCAAGAATATTATATTTGTTTCCAAAGCTTGAAAATGCAATAGAATTTGAAGTATTGAAAATATGATTCCTGGTTGACAACATCTTAGAAGTTGCAGAGGTGTCTCTTTTTGAGACGACTTTAATAATGACTGACTTTAATAATGTTACAAAGCAAGGGAGGATTTCAATAGCAAGCAAGATGTGATGAATGGGCATGAGGAACAGTGAAGCTATTGACGAAACATGCTAACTTTTAGAATTCTATCTAAATTATTTTTTTTCCAGTGCAGAGGAAGACACCCAAGTGTATCAATGTTCATCAGATGCAGGGTAATAAAAATGTGAGTGACAGTTAATGGCCTGTGACTGTAATATGATTGTTAGTGTAGGTGAGTGAATACATTGGTTCCTGTTTAAAGAAGGTCAGTGGTCCACAGTCAAGGTAAGTGAAGTTTGCAGAAAATTGAGGCCCTGAAAGGAAAAGGCTAAAACAAACAAACAAAAACAAAAAAACCCACCACCACCACCAACAGAATAACTGCCCATGACTAGTATTTTAAAATAATAATAAAACAATTTCAGTAATTAAAAAATCATTTGTTTTCTGTTTTAGATTTGACTTGAGTCAGTTGTTCCTGCTAGCTATTTAGATGAAATATATGGAATATCACTTAATAGGCAGAAGCGCTGATACAATTTCCTCTTAAAGGATCTGATTCCTGGCATCCAAAGGAAACTGGAATTCAAGTTCGTATTAGAACTTGAATTTGTTCTGCCAGAGTGAAAATTGGTTCCATTAGGCCTCAGTCACAGAATTCTTACAGACCTGGCTAGAGCTGTAGATATGATATATCCAACTAGCTGAAAATCATAGTCTTAAGTAATGCTGCATGTGCTTTGGAAAACCATCCAGAGGGTTTTAATTTTTTTTTTTTGAATGAAAATTTCCTAATTTTACAGTTGTCATAAATCTGGAACAAGTCTAATTAAGGTCATCAAGGCAAGTGAAAATCTAATGAGCAAACTTTGGAAATAACATGATGAGAATAATTTAAATGTGAAATATTAAATTGTGGCAATGTTTAGCAAGGATTCTTTCCTTAACATTTTTCTTATTCATTTGCCCATACTTCCCTCTCTTTGCAGATTTATAGTGCTCTTGGGGAGGCTCCTGGAAGAAGTGATATATCAGACAGACATACTATTCAAAAGCTTAAAACTTAGCATCTGACTATGTAAGTAAAAATAGAAAAAACAATGACCACAAAAAAGCAAAATCAACTTTACTTAGATGAACAATTCGGCCCAATATATTAAGGAGAATGGGAAAAATACGCATGTCATCTAAAAGTTCGTAATTTATTCTATACAGGAGGATTTCAAATAAATTTGATTCATAATACACATATACATTTATGTACATCAACATAATGACCTTCCATAAATTAAGTAAATTGATTGGAAATCAATCAATGTATTGATCGTGGTATGTTCTTTATATGAAAATATTCAATAGCTTCATGAAATAATTGATTACACATTTTAAGAATTTTAAAATTTCTGGGTGGGGCACACTGGCTTATGCCTGTAATCCCAGCACTTTGGGAGGCTAAGGCAAGAGAATTGCTTAAGCCCAGGAGTTTGAGGCTGCAGTGAGCTATGATTGTGCCACTATACTCCAGCCTGGGCTACAGAGCAAAACATAGTATCTTAAAAAACAAAAAGGTAAAATTTCTAGTGAGAAATAGAAAAAATTTCTGTGAGACACAGAATATTTGACTTAATTGAAAAATTAAAATAAATTTAAATTCTCCATAATTTTTCATAGAATTATGTTTTCTATTTTCCTTTTTAATGGAAGATTTGTCAACTTACTATTTTGGTGTCAATTTTCCTTGTATGTGTTTTATTTCCTTGCGAGCAAATGTTATTAGTTAATAGTAGCAGATACAGCAATCATAAAATCTCAGAGGTAATGTTCTGGCATAGGCAGTAATTCAAATTAGAACTATTTATGGACAATTCAGAAAGCTTACTTACTTTAGTTAATTCTTTTCTTATTCTGTATTCATCTTGTTGCACCAGATTTTTAGCTTCTTTTGTCTACAACATAAGATCTCAGTATTTTTAGGATGTAAAATAAATGCTCTCTTTAACAATTTTTGTAACTTGGAACTTAAACGTAGCCTATTCTAGTTATTTAATAAATAGCTAAAAGTAGATGAAGGAAACAGTTTAGGTGGGGCATGCCTGTAAACCCAGCACTTAGGAGGCAGAGTCAGGAGGATTGCTTGAGCCCAGGAGTTTGAAACCAGCCTACGTAACACAGGGAAACCCCCATCTCTACAAAAAATAAAAAATATATATATATTAGCCAGGCGTGGTGGTGCACGCTTGTGGTCCCAGCTATTCACAAGGCTGAGGTGGGAGGATACCTTGAGCCCAGGTGGCTGAGGCTGTGCTGTAGTGAGCCGTGATCACACCACTGCACTCAAGCCAGCCTGGATGACAGACTGAGACCCTGTCTGTCTCCAAAGGAAAAAAAAAAAGGAAGCAGTTTGAATTTTTTTTGCTGATTAAACCAAAAATGGAAGACTATTTTTCAGAATGAATTTAGGTAGTTTTTAGTTGTTACAAAATATCTGCTGACTCCCAAAATCATTGAGTAACAACAACAAAAAAAGCCCCGTGAAAAGTTAATGCCCACCCAGCCACTTAAAAGTAGTTCTGTAGACTTTACCAGCAGCTGCTTGTCAGAGTCCAGTGCTTACCAGTTTTTTTTTTTTCCCTGCTCGATTCAAAGGAGATTGCTTTGCCCCGTGGGAGTCTTGCTCTTCCCAACAAACGTGGAAAAAAAATGCAATAGGCAGTTCCAGGAGTGTTGCCTTTGACAGCATGTCTCAGGGAACTTAATATTCTAGGTGGCAAGTGGCCAAAATAAGTAGGAAACTTAGGTACAAGACTGAAGAAAGTACTGCCATAGCAAACTAGAAAGAGGGAAATAAAGTTTCTATATTAAAAAGAACGAAAAATTACATGGCTGATGATGAGTGAGAATTATGCGTGGTGTGTGTATGTGTAAAGAAAAGGATAAACTTTTGGAGATGTTTATAACAACCTTATAATTTGAGAGAAGCTTTGTTTTTTTGTTTTGTTTTGTTTTTGCAACAAGGTCTCATGGTCACCCAGGCTGCAGTATGATGATGTGGTCATAGCTCATTGTAACCCTGAACTCCTGGGCTCAAATGATCCTCTTGTCTCAGCTTCTGGAGTGGTTAGAACTACAGGCATGAGCCACCACACCTAGTTAATTTTTAAAAATTTACAGCGATGGGGTCTCACTATTTTGCCCATGCTGATCTTGAATTCCTGTCTTCAAGTGATACTCCCACCTCCCAAATGATGAGTATCCCAAGTGATACTCAGCCTCCCAAAGTGCTGGGATTACAAGCATAAACCACAATGCCTGGCCCTGTTTATTTGAATACTGCTTTCCTTAATGCTTTAGAAATCAAAATTGTATCATTAATTATACTTACATTTGTCTGGACTCTAAAAATAATATAATGCCCAACAGTTGTTTTAGCCGCCACAAGTTCCTCCACTTCCAGAATGCATAGCCCTTTGCAATGTGACTTTGCTACTTTTCCCACCCAGAAGTGGAATCTTCTCCATCCCTTGGAATGTGGCCTGGTCTTGCCAGTTGCTTTGGCTTATGGGATATTGCGGAAGTAAGTATGTTGCACAGGTTCTGGAATCTAGACCCCAAGGAGCTTTTGCAGCTTCCATCTTTGTCTTCTAGAAACACCATGCCACAAAGAAGCTTGGGATGAAGGATCACGAGGCGAGAGGAGTCCAGCACCCAGCACACCCACTGGGAGCTACATGCATGAGACCCCACCCAATCAGCAGAACCATACAGCCAACAGAATCATGAGAAATAAGAAGTTGTTGTTGTTCTAAGCCACTAAGCTTTGGAGTGGCTTGTTACACATCAATAGGTATCCATGCTTGCAACTACTACAATCATCTAAAGTTGAGAGAGGCCGGGCCCGATGGCTCACTCCTGTAATCCCAGCACTTTGAGAGGCTTAGGCGGGCAGATCACTTGAGGTCAGGAGTTCGAGACCAGCCAACATGATGAAACCCTGTCTTTACTAAAAATACAAAAACAAGCCAAGCGTGGTGGCTTGTACCTGTAATCCCAGCTACTCAGGAGGCTGAGGTGGGAGAATCGCTTGAACCTAGGAGGTGAAGGTTGCAGAGTGCCGAGATTGTGCCACTGCACTCCAGCCTCAAAAAATGTTGAGAGAGATTTTGTTGATATAGCAAGAGTATAAATTGTGCCGGGACGGTGGCTCATGCCTATAATCCCAGCACTTTGGGAGACTGAAGCAGGAGGATCACTTGAGGTCAGGAGTTTGAGACCAGCCTGGCCAACATGGTGAAACCCTATCTCTACTAAAAATACAAAAATTAGCTGGGCATAGTGGCACATGCCCAGCTACTCGGGAGGCTGAGGTAGGAGAATCGCTTGAACCCGAGAGGTGGAGGTTGTGGTGAGCCAAGATCACACCATTGCACTCCAGCCTGGGCAACAAGAGCAAAACTCTGTCTTAAAAAAAAAAAAAAAGTATAAATTGGGACCAAACTAAACAGCTTCAGTTAAGATCCTGTTAGCATATGTGAAGCTACCACAGGCCCAAGTTTGTTATCTGTGATTGTTATTGTGACGTGAGATTTTCTTTTTTTTTAAATTTCTTTCTTTCTTTCTTTCTTTCTTTTTGAGACGGAGCCTCGCTCTGTTGCCAGGCTGGAGTGCAGTGGCTCAGTCTTGGCTCACCACAAACTCTGCCTCCCGGGTCCAAGCGATTCTCCTGCCTCAGCCTCCTGAGTAGCTGGGATTATAGGCATGCACTGCCATGCCTGGCTAATTTTGTATTTTTAGTAGAGATGGGGTTTCTCCATGTTGGTCAGGCTGGTCTTGAACTCCTGACCTCAGGTTATCCACCCACCTCAGCCTCCCAAAATGCTGGAATTACAGGCGTGAGCCACTGCGCCTGGCCTTCATTCAAGAATAATTTACTGAATGTTTTTTAAATTTCATTTTATGTGCCTGGCATTGTTCTGGGCATTGGACATGCAGTTGTGAATAAACCCTTGAATCTCTGCTTCTGTGTGATATACATGCTGGTAGAGGGCTTCTGAGTGCAAATAAACAAATACACCAAATCAAATAGATATAAGTGCTGTGAAAAAAGAACAGTAATGTAATACGAATGCTGAAAGACATGGAGGGTGCCTTAGAGTAGATCAGGGAAGGCCCCTTGAGATGATGTTTGGCAGATATGGGTTTAAGTCCTAGTGCTGCCACCTTTTTTTTTTTTTTTCTCCCTGGAGACAGGATCCACTTTGTACCCAGAGTGGAGTGCAGTGACACAAATCACAGCTCACTGCAGCCTCAACCTCCAGGCTCAAGCAATCCTACTGCCTCAGCCTCCTGGTAGCTGGGACTACAGGCATGCACCACCATGCCCAGATAATTTTTGTATTTTTTTGTAGGGATGGGGTTTTGCCATGTTGCTCAGGTTAGTCTTGAACCCCTGAGCTCAAGTGATCTGCCTGCCTCAGCTTCCCAAATTTGGTATATAGGCATGGTATATAGTTGGTATTATAGTCATGAGCCGCTGTGCCCAGCGTACAACAATTAAAAAAAAAAGCTATACACAAAGAGTCTTAGCCACATTCATGGTTGATGCATATCAAAAGATAGTGAATTTAGCTAGGAATGGTGGCATGCACCTGTAGTCCCAGCTACTTGGGAGACTGAGGTGGGAGGCTCACTTGAGCTCAGGAGTTTGAGACCAGCCTGGGCAACATAGCAAGGCCCCATCTCTACAAAAATTATTATTTACAAAAAGTATATATATATATCTCCACACCTGGTGGTTTTACTTTTTTGTTTTGTAGACCTCTATATATTTACAGAAACTTCCATAGTAATGAACTACAGAAATGAGCTCTGAAAATACAGTCTTATTTTTTTTGAGGCAGGATTTCACACTCTCTCCCAGACTGGAGTGCAGTAGCGCAATCTCGGATCACTGCAACTTCCTCCACTCAGGCTCAAGCGATTCTTCTGCCTCAGCCTTCCGAGTAGCTGGGATTACAGGCGCGTACGACTACCACCCAGCTAATTTTTGTATTTTTAGTAGAGACAGGGTTTCACCATGTTGGCCAGGCTGGTCTCAAACTCCTGACCTCAAATGATCCACCCGCCTTGGTCTCCCAAAGTGCTGGGATCACAGGCGTGAGCCACTGCGCCAGGCGGAAAATACAGTCTTATAGGGTGGTTTTAGAGTTGTCAAAATGACTGGGAAATGTTACTGGCATTTAGTTGGTGAAGGTGAAGTTTGTTAAGTGTCCAGCAATGCACACAGGCAATCCTGCATAATCAAGGACTATCCAGCTGGGCGTGGTGGCTCACACCTGTAATCCCAGCACTTTGGGAAGCCGAGGTGGGTGGATCACCTGAGGTCGGGAGTTCAAGACCAGCCTAACCAACATGGAGAAACTCCATCTCCACTAAAAATACAAAATTTGTCGGGCGTGGTGGCGCATGCCTGTAATCCCAGCTACTCAGGAGGCTGAGGCAGGAGAATCACTTGAACCTGGGAGGCAGAGGTTGCCGAGATCACGCCATTGCACTCCAGCCTGGGCAACAAGAGTGAAATTCCGACTCAAAAAAAGAAAAAAAGAACTATCCAACCCAATTGCAATAGTGTCTCCACTGAAGAACACTGGAACCATGCCTGAGCTTGCCACACCATCGGGAAGAGCGAAGACCTAAAAGAAACTAATATTGGAAACAGATTGTGAGGACAGAAAGAATAAAAATTTAATGTTAAAAATTAAAAAAGAAATTAATATTTATTGAGTGCTTTATCTGTAGCAGGTGACAGAGTGAGGCCCTGTCATAAAAAATTTGTTGTAGGCTGGGCGCCGTGGCTTATGCTTGCAATCCCAGCACTTTGGGAGGCTGAGTTGGGTGGATCACTTGAGGCCAGGAGTTCCAGACCAGCCTGGCCAACATGGTGAGACCCCTTCTCTACTAAAAATGCAAAAATTAGCCCAGACTGGTGGCGTGTGGTTGCAGTCCCAGCTACTCAGGAGGCTGAGGCACAAGAATTGCTTGAACCTGGGAGGCGGAGGTTGCAGTTGGGGAACTGAGATCGCGCCACTGCACTCCAGCCTGGGCAACAGAGTGAGACCCTGTCTCGAAAAAAACTGTTGTAAAATATACATTACATTTACCATTTTAAGAATTTTTAAGTGTATAGTTCAATGGCATTAAATACATTCACATCATTGTTCAACCATTACCACCATCCATCTCCAAAACACTTTCCATATTGCAAAACTGAAACTCTGTGTCCATTAATCAATAACTCTCTATTCTTTAATCCCCTCCTTCCCACCCATTTCTGGCAACCACCATTCAACTTTCTGTTTCTATGTATTTGATTGCTCTAAATACCTCATATGAGTGGAATTATACAGCAGGTGTCCTTTGGTGACTGGCTTATTGCACTTAGCATAATGCCTTCAAGGCTTAATCCATGTAAAAAATGTCTTCCCTTTTAAGGCTGATTAGTTTTCCATTGTATGTATATATCACCTTTTACGTATCCATTCTTCTGTTGATAGACACTCGAGTTGCATCCACCTTTTGACTACTGTGACCAATGCTGCTAGGAACATGGGTATACAAATATCTGTTAATGCTCCTGCTTTTATATTTTTAATGTATATACCCAGAGGTGGAATTGCTGCATCGTATGGTAATTCTATTATTTTTTTTTTTTTTTTGAGGTGGAGTCTCGCTCTGTCATCCAGGCTGGAGTACAGTGGCTCTTGGTTCACTGCAACCTCCGCCTCCCGGGTTCAAATGATTCTCCTGCCTCGGCCTTCCAAGTAGCTGGCATTACAGGTGTACACCACCACACTTGGCTAATTTTTGTATTTTTAGTAGAGACTGAGTTTCACAATGTTGGCCAGGCTGGTCTTGAACTCCTCACCTCAGGTGATCCACTCTCGTTGGCTTCTCAAAGTGCTGGGATTACAGGCATCAGCCACTGTGCCTGGCCCTTGGCTCTATTTTTAATGATTTTAGGAACCACTGAATATGGCTATTCTTTTTTTATTGTTGTTTTGTTTTGTTTTGTTTTTGAGACTCACTCAGGCTGGAGTGCATAGGCACGATCTTGGCTCACTGCAACCTCTACCTCCCGGGTTCAATTGATTCTCCTGCCTCAGCCTCCTGCATAGCTGGGACTACAGGCATCTGCCACCACGCCCAGCTAATTTTTGTATTTTTAGTAGAGGCAGGGTTTCACCACGTTGGCCAGGCTGGTCTCGAACTCCTTACCTCAAATAATCCACCCACCTCAGCCTCCCAAAGTACTAGGATTACAGGCTTGAGCCACCACACTCAGCCGGAATATGGCCATTCTTAACACAAAGATCTGTGAGCTAAAGAGGCATATTAACTGCTCGCCACCCACCCAATATACAATGGACACCCCTATTCAAAAGGGGAGGAACAGGAGGTCCATAGCAATCATTGGTTCATAGCAATTCTGAAATCCAATCGGTGCATGTTGCCAGATTTCCCTCTGTAGGGGCCCAAAATGTTTCTTGATTAGGGCTGGTTCTGCACTGTGGGGATGGCCCTTATTCTGCTGTTCTTTGAGGCTCTTGGCTCCACCCTCAGAGATTTTGACTGTACTTAGTGAGATATCCTCTTTTCCAGTGAAAAGGGCCAGGCTGGGCATTGTGGCTCAAGCCTATAATCCTAGCACTTTGGAAAGCTGAAGCAGGAGGATCACTTGAATCCAGGAGTTCAAGACCAGCCTGGGCAATATAGTGAGACCTCATTTCTAGTTAAAAAAATTTTTTTATTATGAATTTTTTTTTTTTTTTTGAGACGGACTCTCACTCTGTTGCCCAGGCTGGAGTGCAGTGGTGCAATCTCGGCTCACTGCAATCTCCGCCTCCCAGGTTCAAGCCATTCTCCTGCCTCAGCCTCCTGAGTAGCTGGGACTACAGGTCCCCGGCACCATGCCCAGCTGATTTTTTATGTTTGTAGTAGAGATGGGGTTTCACCATGTTGGCCAGGATGGTCTCGATCTCCTGACCTCATGATCTGCCTGCCTGGGCCTCCCAAAGTGCTGGGATTACAGGTGTGAGCCACCACGCCTGGCTGAATATTTAAAAAATAGAGATGGGGTCTCACTATGTTGTCCAGACTGGTCTTGAGCTCAAATGATCCACCTGCCTTGGCCTCCCAGAGTGCTGGGATTAGAGATGTGAGCCCCCATGCCTGCCCAAAGAAATTTTTTTTAATTAAAAAAAGAAAAGAAAATGGCCTATATTTGTAGCTGAGTAGATTCTTCAGCCTGCTTCCTACCCATAGAAACTTGGGGGCCTGGAGGTCTCCTTATAATCTGGTCAGTCTTACTCTATTTAAATTCATTATCATGGCTGGATGAAGTGGCTCATGCCTTAATTCCAGCATTTTGGGAGACTAAGGCGGGCAGATTGCTTCAGCCCAGGAGTTTGAGACTAGCCTGGGCAACACAGCAAAACCCTGTCTCTACAGAAAATACAAAAAACTAGCTGGGTGTGATAGTGTGCACCTGTGGTGCCAGCTACTCAGGAAGTTGAGGTGGGAGGATAACCTGAGCCTGGAAGGTTGAGGCTGCAGTAAGTCGTGATCATGCCACTGAACTCCAGCCTGGGTGACAGAGGGAGACTCTGTCTAAAATATATATATAGAGAGAGTTATTATTATTATTTTTTAGGCTAGTCAAGTGAAGCAGTGGGAGTGGAGAAGGAACAAACAAATCTGTAACTAGTTGTAATCAATCAGTTGCAAATACCTCTGTACTCGGACCAACCTCAATCTTTATTTATTTTAATAACAGGGGACAAAGTCTTGCTGTGTCACCTAGGCTGGAGTGCAGTGGGGATGTCAGCTCACTGCAGCCTCAACCTCCTGGATTCAAGGGATCCTCCCATCTCAGCCTCCCGAGTAGCTGGGACTACAGATGTGTGCCACTATGCCTGGCTAATTTTTTGATGTTTTGTAGAGAATGAGGTCTCACTATGTTGCTCAGGCTGGTCTTGAACTGCTGGGCTCAAGTGATCCTCCCACTTCAGCCTTCCAAAGTGCTAGGATTATAGGCATGAGCCACAGTGTTGCCCAGCCTCAGTCTTTTCTTTTCTCTCTCTCTTTTTTTTTTTCTTTCCTTGAGACAGAGTTTCACTCTCATTGCCCAGGCTGGAGTGCAGTGGCGTGATCTCGGCTCAGTGCAACCTCCGCCTCCCAGATTCAAGTGATTCTTCTGCCTCAGCCTTTGGAGTAGCTGGGATTACAGGTGCACGGCATTATGACTGGCTAATTTTTGTATTTTTAGTAGAGACGAGGTTTTGCCATATTGGCCAAGCTAGTCTCAAATTCCTGACCTCAGGTAATCTGCCCACCTCGGCTTCCCAAAGTGCTGGGATTACAGGCGTGAGCCACTGCACTCAGCAAGTCTTTTCTTTCTGTAGAGAGAGTGTCTTACTATGGTACCAGGGTTGGTCACCAACTCTTGGCCTCAAGTGATCCTCCTGCCTTGGCCTCCTAAAGTGCTGGGATTACAAGCATTAGCCACTACATCTGGCCAAGTCTTAGTATTTTTTAAACCAAGCAGATACAAATTCCTTAAAAAATTTTGTGGGCTTTCTATGTATCTGGTTTATGGTCCTCTCCATTAGATGTAAGTCACATTCACAATTCTTTATGAGACAGGCCCACTGTTTATACTTATTCATAGCTGTTTGGGAATTAGTTCTCTTTGGGACCATATTTTTCAGATTCCTAGAAGTCCTCTTGTCTGAGAGCCCACTAGGCACAAACTTTAACTGTTTTTGAAATCTTAGCAAAGGGTTTGTTTTTTTTTTTTTTTTTTTTGAGATGGAGTCTTGCTCTGCTGCCCAGGCTGGAATGCAGTGGCGCAATCTCAGCTCACTGCAACCTCCACCTCCTGGGTTCAATCAATTCTCTGCCTCAGCTTCCCGAGTACCTGGGATTACAGGCACCCACCACCATGCCCAACTAATTTTTTTGTATTTTTAGTAGAGACTGGGTTTCACCATCTTGGCCAGGCTGGTCTGGAACCCTGATCTCATGATCCACGCACCTCAGCCTCCCAAAGTTCTGGGATTACAGGTGCGAGCCATCACGCCTGCCCAGCAAAGGTTTTTTTTGTTTTGTTTTGTTTTAATGTTTTGAGACAAAGTCTCACTCTTCCACCCAGGCTGGAGGGCAGTTGTGGGATCACAACTTACAGCAGCCTTGGCCTCCTGGGCTCAAGTGATCCTCCCACCTCAGCCTCTCCAGTAGTTGGGACCACAGGTGCATGCCACCACACCTGGCTAATTTTTGTGTTTTTTGTAGAGATGGGTTTTTGCTGTTGCCCAGGCTGATCTCAAACTCCTGGGTTCAGCCTCCCAAGGTGCTGAGATTACACACATGAGTCATTGCACCCCACCAGCAAAGGGTCTCGTAGAGCCCCGAGGCCATTCCTTACTCTGATAATCTTTTGCAGGCTGGATCAGCTGGAGATGCGAACAAGTTTTGCTTTCTAACAAAAGCGAGTCCTGCATGTTCTGTTTCCTCTAAATTGTGCTTGCTAGCCACATTTCCTTCTTCACCCTCACCTCTCTCATAGCACTTTATCACATGCAGCTGGGACTAACTGACTGGTGCTTTCATCATTCTGCTTGAAAAGATCCAAAAGTTCATTAGGCACATTTTCTGTCTTCCAAGTTGCCACGGTTGACAGTTTTGCCAATTTGTTTCACTGCTGTATAACACAAACCACCATTTCCAGTCTGCAGTGGCAGTTTTTACCTCTTTCCCAACCTCTGCTAATGCTTCGTTAATGATTTTCCCAGTCTTTGCTAACAGTTTTCATGCTGCTTTTTTCCACCTCTACTCATTGCCCCCTCCTGAAACCAAAGCCACATATTTTAGATTTGTTCAGGCTTCACTTCATGCCCAGTACCAATAATGATACCACTCAGGGTTCTGTCAAGGAATCAGAGAGGTCAAGAGTATTGTATAAATTGGGAATGGGGGGAAAAAAGAGCATTGCAGAGATAAGGGATTTATTTTAGAAATTTGAGACATAAGTCTGGGCAATATTGCAAGACTTCTTCTCTACTAAAGAAAACAAAATTAGCTGGGTGTCGTGGGATGCACCTGTAGTCCTAAACTACTCAGGAGGCTGATGTGGGAGGATCACTTGAACCCAGGAGTTGGAGGCTGCAGTGAGGTCTGATTGACAGAGAGAGGAAAAAAAAATTAGACACATTACACAAATGTAAGATTAATGAGGGAAGTGAAGTTTTGGGAGGGAGTTGAAGGGTCAAAAAGAGTCATCAACACCTGGGTGCAGTGGCTCATGCCTGTACTCCCAGCACTTTGGGAGGCAGAGGCAGGAGGATCACTTGAGGCCAGGAGTTGGAGACCAGCCTGGGCAACATAGTGAGAACCCGCCTCTAAAACAACAACAACAACAAACTAGCCAGTTGTGGGTGGCACATGCCTGTAGTCCTAGTTACTTGGGAGGTTAAGGTGGGAGAATCCCTTGAACCCAGGAGTTTGAGGTTGCAGTGGGCTGTGATTGCACTGTTGCACTCCAGGCTGGGAGACAGAACAAAACCGACTCTAAAAAAAAAAAAAAAAGTCATCATTCAATTGGCTGGAAGCAACAAAATGGGTAGACAAGTTGGGGCTGCAGAGAAATCTGAGAGGCCAAGTACCGTTCAGGCCCTGCAGTGGGACCTTACCGGGAGAGCTCACAGAAGGGTCTCTGGGAAGCTTTCACCTCCACAGGTCTGCACACGTACACTACACCCAGGTGGTTTACCTGGGAGGTTGAGCTGAATGCAGTGTGAAAGAGAGTGACGATCAGCTGGGGCCTTGTCAGGCACCTGGGAGTCTGTCCACACACGAGACCATAGACCCGCTGAGGGCAACAACTGCTGCTTCACTTCTGCTTTCCAAATTTCACTCAAGTTCCTTTTTTGGTCAATTCTAACTTGGAACAGACCAGGAAAGGGATTTTGGGAATTGTCATTAATTACGTTGACAATAGCACAATCAGTGCAGACTGCGTACATTTTCCCATGTCTCCTGGGAAAATGGTACCACTCTAAGGTCCATTGTGAGAGGCATAAAAGTTTTAGAAATCCAGGCCAGGTACAATGGCTCACACCTGTAATCTCAGCACTTTGGGAGGCCGAGGCAGGTGGATCACTTGAGGTTAGGAGTTTGAGACCAGCCTAGCCAACATGGTGCAACCCTGTCTCTACTAAAAATACAAAAAAATTAGCCAGGCGTGGTGGCAGGTGCCTGTAATCCCAGCTACTCAGGAGGCCGAGGCAGGAGAATCGCTTGAACCCAGGAGACGGAGGTTGCAGTGAGCTGAGATCGCACCACTGCACTCCAGCCTGGGTGACAGAGCGAGACTCCATCTTAAAATAAAAAATAAAATAATAAAATAAGTTATAGAAATCCAGGCAGGTGTCGCGGGGGAGTGGAATAGAGAGGAGTGAAGGATAGTGCTGTTATGGTTTTGAATGATTTGTCCAACTCTATTTTCTGCTGGAAAATCGAGTTCAGCCTGACTGTCTTTGGTGTCCGAGAATTATCTACGCTTGTGGTTTTCTTTTTTTTTTTTGAGATGGAGTCTCACTCTGTCGCCCAGGCTAGAGTGCAATGGCGAGATCTCAGCTCACTGAAACCGCCGCCTCCCAAGTTCCAGGGATTCTCCTGCCTCAGCCTCCTGAATAGCTGGGAATGCAGGCATGTGCCACCATGCCCAGCTAATTTTTATATTTTTAGTAGAGACGGGAGTTTCACCATGTTGGCCAGGCTGGTCTTGAACTCCTGACCTCAGGTGATCCACCTGCCTTGGCCTCCCAAAGTGGTAGGATTACAGGCATGAGCCACTGAACCCGGCTACACTTGTAGTTTTCAACATCTGATTTCACATTTACTTTTAGGCCCCCCATCATCTGTCTGTATTCCTGCTACTCCATTAAAAGTGATCTTATTAAGAATACCAACCAGAAACAGTGGCTCATGCTTGTAATCCCAGCATTCTGGGAGGCCGAGGTGGGAGGATTGCTTGAGCCCAGGTTGAGACCAGCCTGGGCAACATAGTGAGATCCCATCTCTCCAAAAAATAAAAAAGAAAATTAGCTGGGGGTGGTAGCACGCACCTGTAGGTAGTCCCAGCTACGTGGGAGGCTGAGGTGGGAGGATCCCTTGACTCTGGGAGGTCGAGGCTGCCTGCAGTGAGCTGAGATTGTGCCAATGCATTCCACCCTGGGTGACAGAGGAACACTCTGTTTCAATAATAAAAAAAAAATACTAATGACTCTTGGATGCTAAATCCAGTTAGTAATTTTTGGTTTTTAACTTATGTGATTTTTTTTGCAGGAATAGAGTGAGGAAAGTGTCAACTGTAACCGTTTCCTCCTTTATATTCTTTCTGAGGTTTCTTCTTTCAGGATTTCTTTTTGTTTTTTTGAGACGGAGCCTCACTCTGTCGCCCAAGCTGGAGTGCAATGGCTCGATCTTGGCTCACTGCAACCTCCATCTCCCGGGTTCAAGCGATTCTCCTGCCTCAGCCTCCTGTGTAGCTGGGATTACATGCATGTGCCACCATGCCTGGCTAATTTTTTTTTTTTTTTTTTTTTTTGAGACGGAGTCTCGCTGTCGCCCAGGCTGGAGTGCAGTGGCGCAATCTCGGCTCACTGCAGGCTCCGCCCCCTGGGGTTCACGCCATTCTCCTGCCTCAGCCTCCCGAGTAGCTGGGACTACAGGCGCCCGCCACCTCGCCCGGCTAATTTTTTGTATTTTTAGTAGAGATAGGGTTTCACTATGTTGGCCAGGCTGGTCTCGAACTCCTGACCTCTAGTTATCCGCCCACCTTGGCCTCCCAAAGTGCTGAGATTACAGGCGTGAGCCCCTGAGCCTAGTCAAGATTTCTTTTATTCTGTCTCTTAAATATGTGTATGCAGGGCTCTCTTGTATCCACTGTTGTGTGGAGTTGGCTCCCAGCAGCTCATAAAAACTAATTGGGTGCATCTCTTCACAACTCTAGGCTCAGTGATGACAAGTTGGTAGCTTGGAGTTGACCACAGACATCAGCAAATGCTACATATCAGGCCTCCTTTAGCTGGAGAGATGATTGTTAAAACACTTAACTGTCCATCACTTCTTCCATTCCTGCTCTTCACAGCCTGCCTGGGTAATCCCCAGTTACAGTCTCAAGCACCATCCCTATACTGATGCCCATCACATCTTTCATCTCCTGTTAAGATCTGTCTTTAGGCCTAGTTTTCCAAATAACTCTGACTTCACTTGGCTGTTCCCCAAGCATATTATATTTCTCCTTAAAACTGCTCTTTAAAACAAAAAATTCTTTGGCCGGGCACGGTGGCTCACGCCTATAATCCCAGCACTTTGGGAGGCTGAGGTGGGCAGATCACAAGGTCAGGAGTTCAAGACCAGCCTGACCAACATGGTGAAACCCCGTCTCTACTGAAGATACAAAAATTAGCTGGGTGTGGTGGTGTGCGCCTGTAATCCCAGCTACTGAGGAGGCCGAGGCAGGAGAATCATTTGAACCCTGGAGGCGGAGGTTGCAGTGAGCCGAGATCGCACCACTGCATTCCAGCCTGAGTGACAGGGCGAGACTGCGTCTCAAACAAAAAAAAATTATTTGTCTCAGTATACAACACCATTTTCCCCTGCTTGTTCACCCCTCATTGCCACACTCTTCATTCACACAATTTTTTTTAACAAGTTTATTTTTAGAGGTGGGGTCTTGCTATGTTGCCCAGGCTGGTCTCGAACTCCGGATCTCAAATGATCCTCCTACTCTGGTCTCCCAAAGTGCTGGAATGACAGGCTTGAGCTACGTGTCTGACCTCCAATCTGGTCTCTATGCCTCAGTCCAAATGATCTTTCAGAAGCTAAGATATGATCACATCACTCCCTTGTTTAAAACCCGTGAATGGCTCTCCATGTGTGCCGTGTAAACTAAACTGGATAAAAGCCCAGTTTAGTTTACATGGCACACAGACTCTTTATGATAGGGCCTTGTTTACTTTTTAGTCTCACAGCTTATCATACCTTCCCCTGACATTTTTTACTCCAGTCACTTCCCACCAAGATCCTTCCCCCGTCACCCAGGCTGGAGTGCAGTGGTGTGATCTTGGCTCACTGCAACCTCCGCTTCCCAGGTTCAATCGATTCTCCTGCCTCAGCCTCCCGAGTAGCTGGGATTACAGGCATGTGCCACCACGCCCGGCTAATTTTTGTAGTTTTGGTAGAGATGGGATTTCTCCATATTGGTCAGGTTGGTCTCGAACTCCTGACCTCAGGTGATCCACCCACCTTGGCCTCCGAAAGTGCTGGGATTACAGGTGTGAGCCACCGTGCTGGGCCTCACTCCCTCATCCTTTAACTCAGAAATCACTTCTGTGTGGCAGAGAAAATGCTATGTGTTCACCAAACCATTTCATTTCCTTCCTGGGACCCAGAAAACCTACATTACCCATTTCTCTTGCATCTTGGTGGGGCCATGTGGCTGGTTCTGGAGAATGGAATGTAAGTAAAAGTTGTGGGTTTGGCCAGGCACAGTGGCTCACGCCTGTAATCCCAAAACTTTGGGAGGCCAAGATGGGAGGATCACTTGAGGTCAGGAGTTTGAGACCAGCAACATGGCAAAACCCCGCCTCTACTAAAAATACAAAAGTTAGCTGGGTGTGGTGGCACATGCCTGTAATCCCAGCTACTCGTGAGGCTGAGGCAGGAGAATCACTTGAACCCGGGAGGCAGAGGTTGAGCCACGATCGCGCCACTGCACTCCAGCCTCGGCAACAGAGCGAGACTCCATCTCAACAACAACAATAACAAAAAAAAAAAAAAGAAAGAAAAAGAAAAGGAAATCTGCTGGTGCAGAACAAAAATATAAATATTTAATATTAATTAATTGTGTTAAATCATTGATATTTAGGATTCTTTGCTTTACCAACTGGCAATAAATGTCCTGATTAATGTACTTTGGGAAGTTTTTTCTATATTTCCTTTAGACTTGGTTGGATACCTCTCTATCTGTTTCCGAAGCACTCTGTACTTATCCTTTTTTTTTTTTTGTAGTGATGGGGTCTCGCTATGTTGCTCAGGTTCGTCTTGAACTCCTGGGTTCAAGCGATCCTCTTGCCTCAGCCTCTTAAAGTGCTGTGAATACAGGCATGAGCTACTGTGCCTGACCACAGAATCTCTCTTTTAAAACTGTCCATCACCCTCCAATTATTCCAGAATAATAGGGGCTTATTCAGTTCAAAGTGATCAGGTCTGCTCTCAAACATGAAGTAGCAAAAAAGCTGCAGAATTAAATAGTTCCTCAGTGTGCTCTGGTTTAGGGTTGCTGCTTTTTTTTTTTTTTTTTTTGAGATGGAGTCTCACTCTGTCGCCTGGGCTGGAGTGCAGTGGCATGATCTCAGCTCACTGCAAACTCCGGCTCCTGGGTTCAAGTGATTCTCCTGCCTCAGCCTCCTGAGTAGCTGGGATTATAGGCATGCACCACCATGCCTGGCTAATTTTTGTATTTTTAGTAAAGATGGGGTTTCCCACGTTGGTCAGGCTGGTCTCAAACTCCTGACCTCGTAATCCGCCCACCTCAGCCTCCCAAAGTGCTGGGATTACAGGTGTGAGGCACCGCGCCCGGCTGGGTTGCTGCTTCTTATATCATCACCTGGTGGTTATCACTGCTGAAGGGTGATTCAGCCCAGGCCCGGCCCCACTGCTACAATGATGGTACTGCTATTTCAGATCTCTGCAGATACCCACATACGGGCTCCCAGAGAATCTCTCTTCTACTTCACATTCATGTTCAATCATTATTCCCAAGATAGAACTGCTGGGACAAAGTAGCTGGATCCAGAGATCCAGAGAGGTTTGCCATCCTCAATTTCACACTCTGCAGGAGCGATTCCTCCCGTATGGCCTTCTAGGCCCTGGTCACCTGTGCAGAATTCTTCTCTGTCTCATGGTGAGTTTACTCCTTTGAAGACTTTGATGTCCTTTGTTTCCACCGGTTCTCAAGCCTTCTGAGTGGTTGCAAGGACATTCAATCTCAAAGAGAAGGGGCCAGGGTTTGTTTGCTTTCTTCCCAGGATGCTTCTTGGTCCCCATGCAGATTTACTCTTAGTGACTACCTCTGTATACCAAGCTTCGAGGGACAGACTTTGTCAGGTCACAAAAGGTCCTCTTATCCCTTCTCCCAGAGCAGTAGGTGCCTGTTCATCATATATTTACATAACTAAGGAAGGCCAGTCATCGATTTTCCCTGAACAAAAAGCAGATATATTCTAAAATGATTTTTTCTGTTCGGTGAAACCAATAGTTCTTAAACTTTTTGGTTTCAGCATCCCATTTCTACTCTTAAAAAAAACGAGCTTTGATTTTGTGAGTTCTATTTATCGATGTTTACTATATTAGAAATTAGAGAAACTTTAAAAATATATAATCATTAATTAATTTTAAAATAACAAAAACCCTATACATGTTAGCACAAATGACATGTATTTTATAAAAATAACTATTTATTCCAAAACAAAAAGGATTTAGTGAGAAGAAAGATGTTTCACATTTTTGCAAATTTCTTTTAATATTTGGTCTAATAAAAGACACCTGGGGCCGGGCGCGGTGGCTCATGCCTGTAATCCCAGCACTTTGGGAGGCCAAGGCGGGCGGATTACCTGAGGTTGGGAGTTCGAGACCAGCCCGACCAACGTGGAGAAACCCCGTCTCTACTAAAAATACAAAATTAGCCAGGTGCAGTGGTACATGCCTGTAATCCCAGCTACTAGGGAGGCTGAGGCAGGAGAATCACTTGAACCTGGGAGGCAGAGGTTGCGGTGAGCCAAGATCGCACTATTGCGCTCCAGCCTGGGCAACAAGAGCAAAACTCCGTCTCAAAAAAAAAAAAAAAAAAAAGAAAAAAAAGACACTTGGTTCTCATAGTTGCTTTTGCAATCAATCTGTTGCAATGTTATTTTGGTTGAAGTAGTTGAAGAAAATTCCACCTTACATAGACATAAAGCTGGAAAATAGAGGAGTATTTTAGTAGCATTTTTAGATAATCATAGGTATTATTCTTTGGTACCCTACCAAAACTTGACAAGTGGTAATTTCTTAAAAATGTAGTTGCAATGTAGAATCTGCATTCATATCAATGAACTTTTTGTATTCTGTTATATTAAAATTCATTGATTTATTTTGCCTTATAAATGGACCTTTTGCCCATACATAATTTTGTAACGTCATGCACTGGTCATGTGGAAAATATTGGTTCCCTGAATCATGCAGATCTTCCAAATATTGGCGCTTTTCATTACACAATATTAAAAGAATCACATTTGTTATTATCGCCATTGATCTCAGCAGAAAAGTTTTAAGTATTGGGAAGGTTTTAAGCTCACAGTGGCAGATTCAAGTTTTTGAAAATTCTAGCTTTTGCTTGAAAGCTCAAATTTTATTACTGGAAACCAACACTGTCAGCTGTATTCCTTAAAGTGATAGGTTCACTTCATTTAATGTTGAGACAATGTGCCAAACACTGAAGCCTAAATAATCATACATCTGTCAGTTGTTCTTGCAAGTAAAAATGGTGTTCCAGCTGAGTGTCGTGGTGCACACCTGTAATCCGAGCAATTTGGGAGGCTGAGGTGGGCAAATCACTTGAGCTCAGGAGTTCGAGGCCAGCCTGGGCAACTTGGTGAAACGCTGTCTCTACAAAAAAAGTAAAAATTATCTGGGTGTGGTGGCATGTGCCTATAGTCTCAGCTATTTGGGAGGATGAGATGGGAGGATTGCTTGAGCCTGGGAGGTCAAGGCTGCAGTGAGCTCTGATAGTGTCACTGCACTCCAGCCTGGGGGCCAGAGTGAGACCCTCTCTTAAGAAAAAAAAAAAAAAAAGAGGGAAGGGTCAGAGGGTGGGATGCTTTGAAAATGAGCTTTTGTAGGTAGAAAAAAGCTTCTCAGGCTGGGCACAGTGGCTCAAGCCTGTAATCCCAGCACTTCGGGAGGCTGAGGCAGGCAGATCATGATGTTAGGAGTTCAAGACCAGCCTGGCCAACATAGTGAAACCTTGTCTCTACTAAAAATACAAAAAATGAGCTGGGCGTGGTGGTGGGCACCTGTAATCCCAGCTACTCAGGAGGCTGGGGTAGGAGAATTGTTTGAACCCAGGAGGCAGAGGTTGCGGTGAGCCGAGATGGCACCACTACACTCCAGCCCGGGCAACAGTGTGAGACTCTGTCTTAAAAAAACAAAAAAGAAAGAAAAAAAGAAAAAAGCTTCCCAGGGCCAGGTGAGGTGGCTCATGCCTGTGATCCCAGCACTCTGGGAGGCTGACGCGGGTGGATCACTGGAGGTCAGGAGTTTGAGACCAGCCCGGCCAACATGGTGAAACCCAGTCTCTATTAAAAATACAAAAATTAGCCAGGCTTGTTGTGGGCACCTGTAATCCCAGCTACTCGGGAGGCTGAGGCAGGACAATTGCTTGAATTTAGGGTTCAGATGTTGCAGTGAGCTGAGATCGTGCTAACTGTACTCCAGCCTGGGTGACAGAGTGAGACGCCATCTCAAAATATATGTGTATATATATGTATATATAAAGAAAGAAGGCTGGGCACAGTGGCTCATGCCTGTAATTCCAGCACTTTGGGAGGCCTAGTCGAGCAGACCTAGACCAGGAGTTCGAGACCAGCCAGACCAACATGGTGAAACCCCATCTCTACTAAAAATACAAAAAAAAAAAAAAATTAGCCAGGTGTGGTGGCACGCACTTGAAATCCCAGCTACTCAGGAGGTGGAGGCAGGAAAATATCTTGAATCCAGGAGATGGAGGTTACAGTGAGCCGAGATTGCGCCACTGTACTCCAGCCTGGGCAACAGAGCAAGACTCCATCTTAAAAAAAATAAAAGGGAAAGAAAGAAAAGAAAGAAAAAAGCTTCACAAGATGATATGTGAGAGGGATTGAGAATTCAGCAGGTACAGGACATTGGAACAAGAGATGAGAAGAAAGTTGTTTTCTGTAGAATCCCCAGATACATAAAATTGGAGGGGATCCTAGGTGTCCTGTCATATATGAGATGGTATTTGGATCATCTGAATTCAAATATCATGGTATAGAATTGTATTAGGCCATTCTTGCATTGCTGTAAAGAAATACCTGCCGGGCACAGTGGCTTACGCCTGTAATCCCAGCACTTTGGGAGGCTGAGGCGGGTGGATCACTTGAAGTCCACATGAGCCTGGCCAACATGGTGAAACCTCGTCTGTACTAAAAATACAAAAATTAGCCAGGTGTGGTGGTGGGTGCTTGTAATCCCACCTACTAGGGAGGCTGAGGCAGGAGAATTGCTTGAACCCAGGCGGCAGAGGTTGCAGTGAGCCGAGATCGAGCCACTGCACTCCAGCCTGCGTGACAGAGTGAGATACTGTCTAAAAAAAAAAAAAAAGAAAGAAAGAAATAAGAAATACCTGAGACTGGGTAATACATATAAAAAAGAGGTTTCATTGGTTCATGACGCTACAGGTTGTACAGGAAGCATAGTGGCACCTGTGTCTGGGGAGGCCTTGGGAAGTTTCGAATCATGGTGGAAGGTGAAGGGGGAGCACGTGTCTCACATGGTGAAAGCAGGAGTGAGACGGAGAGTTGAGGAGAGGTGTCACACACTTTTAAATGACCAGAACTTGTGTGAACTCACTTACTATTGTGAGGGGAGCACCAAGGAGATGGTGCTAACCATTCATGAGAAATCCACCCCCATGGTCCAATCACCTCCCACCAGGCCCCACCTCCAATACTGGCGATTACAGTTTGACATGAGGTTTAGGTGGGGACTAATATAGAAACTATATCAGAATGAACCCTGCAGGATGGAGGATTGGCATCCAGGTGGCTGACCTCTGGGTTCCATTTTGGGATCCTGTCTAAAGCAGTTTTGAACTCTGGTGCCATACCCAGCTGTACGTTGGCTTCAGTCATCCCTCTAGAGCTGAGCCAAGAGTGCATCTTTGCTAGGAATACTACACTTAACCAACCGTTGTTAACAAATTCACCTGTACAGGATATTTTGGTTCTTGAAGGAGACTTCAAAGTCAGATAAATTTTTTTTTTTTTTGAGATGGAGTCTTGCTGTCTCCCAGATTGGAGTGCAGTGGCATGATCTCGGCTCACTGCAACCTCTGCCTCCTGGATTCAAGCAATTCTCCTACCTCAGCCTCCCAGATAGCTGGGATTACAAGTGTGTACCACTACACCAAGCTAATTTTTGTATTTTTAGTAGAGACGGGGTTTCACCATGTTGTTCAGGCTGGTCTCGAACTTCTGACCTCAGGCGATCTGCCTGAGACCTCCCAAAGAGCTGGGGTTACAGAGAATTCTTTTAAACTGCTTGAGATGATCCTTGAAGCAATAGTTTAAGAAAGGAGGTTTTAGGCTGGGCACAGTGGCTCTTGCCTGTTCAAGACCAGACCAGCCTGGCCAAGATGGTAAAACTCTGTCTCTACTAAAAATACAAAAATTAGCTGGGCGTGGTGGCACGCAGCTGTAATCCCAGCTACTCAGGAGGCTGAGGCAGAGAATTGCTTAAACTCGGGAGGTGGAGATTGTAGTGAGCCAAGATCGAGCCACTGCACTGTAGCCTGGGCGACAGAGTGAGACTTTCTCTCAAAAAAAAAAGAAAAGAAAAAAGAAAGGTTTTAGGCAGAAGGTATGCAGTATTGTGTGAACTTCCTGGAGTGGTCAAGACCAAAAAATTCATTGCAGAAATAGCAAGTGAGAGAGGATCACAGGTTCCTGGGCAGGCAGGCTTTGATTGGTCTTTTTTTTTTTTTTTTTTGAGAGACAGAGTCTTGCTCTGTTGCCCAGGTTGGAGTGCAGTGGTGCAGTGGTGCGATCTTGGCTCACTGCATCCTTCACCTCCCAGGCTCAAGTGACTCTCCTGCCTCAGCCTCCTGAGTTGCTGGGATTGTAGTTGTGCGCCACCATATCTGGATAATTTTTGTGTTTTTAGTAGAGGTGAGGTTTCACCATATTGGCCAGGCTGGTCTCAAACTCCTGGCCTCAAGTCATCCACTCACCTCAGCCTCCCAAAGTACTGGGATTACAGGTGTGAGCCACTGTGCCCGGCCTGATTGGTCCAGTGTTCTTACCCTGCTCCACTTGTTAGGAGAGGACTTCCTAGAGACTGGGTCTAGACTACGGGGCGAGCACCTAGTCTACAGTGGAGCCCCTGGAGGAGGCAGGAGGGATACTGCTAGAAACAGTGAATATGGAAGTAGGACAAATGTTGAGGACTTTGATTTTGTGACTTGGCCACACCACAGAGATGCCCCAGTAGTGGCAGATCTCTGGGAGACAGAAGTGAAGGACAGGGACTGAAGTCATGTATAGGCTTCAAAGCTTTAGATGCCTGGTGGCGTTGGCTGGTTGCTGGCACCACTTGGGTAAGCTGTTCTCTATTGTGGAGGTAGCTGGAACTCATACATCAAAAAAAAAAAAATTTTTTTTTTTTGAGACAGGGTCTTGCTCTATTGCCCAGGTTGGAATGTAGTAGTGTGATCATGGTTCACAGCAACCTCCAACTCCTGGGGTCAAGTGATCCTCCCACTTCAGCCCCCCTGAATAGCTAGGACCACAGGAATATGACACTGTACCCAGCTAATTTTTAAATTTTTTTGTAGAGATGGGGTCTGACTGTGTTGTCCAGGCTGGTCTTGAACTCCTGGGTCAAGGAATCCTCCTGCCGTGGCCTCTCAAAATGTTGGGATTACAGGTGTGAGCCATTGTGCCTGGCTCAAATTTTTTGATTGAGTACTAACTAGAAGGAGAAAAGACATCCCCATTCCTGTTACTAGTAGATAGAGTTTTGAAAAGAGCTCTAAGGAGGGCTTTGTAGGGAAAAACAGGCTTAATTAGAGCTAGCAACTGCTGCTACTGTTCACAGTGACAAGTAGCATATGTAGGAGGCAGGAATGAGAGTTGAGCCTAAGAATCCAGTGAAATCAAGATATCAGAATTGGAGGTCACTAGGAGAAATGCAAGTCCCCTCTTCTCCCCAAGAATCCTCGAAGATATTGGGAGGGACACTAGTTTTCCCTTGTATATAGGGTGGGAAAGTGAGTTATTTTAATACAGATTTTTTTTTCTGGCCAGGTGCTACCATTTGTGTGAGGAAAAAATAATGTGTAAACTTCTATGTTAAACTAATGTTTAATATCTCTTGAAGAATACTCAAGAAATTGATAACAGTGGTGGTTGGGAGCCACTAGGATTAGTGGCTCACACCTGTAATCCCAGCATTTTGGGAGGCCGAGGCAGGTGGATCACCTGAGGTCAGGAGTTCAAGATCAGCCTGACCAATAAGGTGAAACCCCGTCTCTACTAAAAATACAAAAATTACCTGGGTATGGTGGCCGGCACCTGTAGTCCCAGCTACTCGGGAGGCTGAGTCAGGAGAATTGCTTGAACCTGGGAGGCAGAGGTTTCAGTTAGTCGAGATTGTGCCACTGCATTCCAGCCTGGGCCACACAGCAAGACTCCATCTCAAAAAAAAATTTTTTTTTCTTTATTTCATTGTAAATATTTTCTTGCTTAAACAATTTTTTTTTTTTTTTTTGAGACAGGGTCTCACTCTGCCGCCCAGGCTGGAGTGCAGTGGCGTGATCTTGGCTCACTGCATGCTCCGCCTCCTGGGTTCATGCCGTTCTCCTGCCTCAGCCTCCCGAGTAGCTGGGACTACAGGCGCCTGCCACCATGCCCGGCTAATTTTTTGTATTTTTAGTAGTGACGGGATTTCACCGTGTTAGCCGGGATGGTCACGATCTCCTGACCTCGTGATCCGCCCACCTCGGTCTCCCAAAGTGCTGGGATTACAGGCGTGAGCCACCGCGCCTGGCCAACAATTCTTATGTAATTGCTTTTTTTTTGAGACGGAGTCTCGTTCTATTGGCAGGCTGGAGTGCAGTGGCTCGATCTCGGCTCACTGCAACCTTCACCTCCTGGATTCAAGCAATTATCCTGCCTCAGGCTCCCGCGTAACTGGGACTACAGGTGTGCGCCACCATGCCTGTCTAATTTTTGTATTTTTAGTAGAGACAGGGTTTCACCATGTTGGCCAGGATGGTGTAATTGGTTATTTTTAATGTTTATTTTATTTTGATATTTTATTTTATCTTGAGATGGGGTCTTGGTAGGTTGTCCAGGCTGGTCTCAATTTCTTAGGCTTAAGGGATCCTCCCACCTCACCCTTCCGAACTGCTGGGATTACAAGCACATGCCATCATGCCCAGCTCATTTTTTAAACCAACCTTAATTTTTAAACAGGTATTACACACACGGCATAAAATTCAAAATGTTCAAAAGGGCATATAATGAAAAATAAGCATCCTTTCCTCTTCAGTTTCCTAGCTATGAAGGTATCATTGTTATCTTTTTTTGTTTGTTTGTTTGTTTTTGAGACAGAGTCCTGCTGTGTCACCCAGGCTGGAGTGCAGTGGTTCGATCCCAGCATACTGCAATCTCTGCCTCCCGGGTTCAAGCAATTCTCCTGCCTCAGCCTCCGGAATAGCTGGGATTACAGGCACACACCACCAGGCCCAGCTAATTTTTGTAGTTTTAGTAGAGACGGGGTTTCACCACGTTGGCCAGGCTGATCTTGAACTCCTGACCTCAGGTGATCCACCTGCCTCCGCTTACCAAAGTGCTGAGATGACAGGTGTGAGCCACTAATCCTAGTGGCTCCCAGCCACCATTGTTATCAATTTCTTGAGTATTCTTCAAGAGATATTAAACATTTGTTTAACATAGAAGTTTACACATTATTTTTTCCTCACACAAATGGTAGCATACTTTGCATAACCTTCTGTATTTTTTTTTCATGTAATGGTATATGTTGGTTTTATCTTTCCATATTACTACAGATAGAGCCTCCTCCCCCACTTTTAATAGATTTTTGGCTGCATAGTATTTCATGTTTAGAAGTACCATGATTTACTTAACTTATCCTTCAAAAATAACTTTGCAAATGTGCCAATATGTTTATAGGATAAATCCCTAAGAGTAGAATTGCTAGATAAAATACACGTGTGCTTAAAATTTTAGTAGACATTCTCACATGACCCGCTTTACGGATTGTATTAATTTGCAGTTCCACAGGATAATTTTTTTTTTTTTTTTTTGAGACAAGGTCTTGCTCTGTTGCCCAGGCTGGAGTACAGTGATGCAATCATGGCTCACTGCAGTCTTGAGTCTTGACCTCCTGGGCTCAAGCAATCCTCCTGCCTTGGCCTCCTGCCTTAGCCTCCTGAGTAGCTGGGACTACAGGGATGTGCCACAACACCTGGCTTCCACAGGATATTTTAATCTTTTTTTTTTTTCTTTTTGAGACAGAGTCTCACTCTGTCACCCAGGCTGGAGCACAGTGGTGAGATCTCGGCTCACTGCAACCTCTGCCTCCTGGGTTCAAGCGATTCTCCTGCCTCAGCCTCCTGTGCACCTGGGATTACAGGCACACGCCACCATGCACCATGCCTGACTAATTTTTGTATTTTTAGTAGAGACAGCTTTTCACTGTGTTGGTAAGGCTGGTCTCAAACTCGTGATCCACCCGCCTGACCTTGTGATCCACCCGCCTCAGCCTCCCAAAGTGCTGGGATTACAGGTGTGAGCCACTGTGTGCTAGGATTACACGTGGGAGCCACTGTGCCCGGCCTGATATTTTAATCTTAAAGGATAGATTGACCCAAGATGACCTAAGAACGTGGGGGTCAGGCAGGCAGCTGATTTTTGGCTTACATACAAGTAACCTGCCTGTTTGGTATGGCTTTGAGATATTTCATATCTGTGGATGCCCTTGTTGGTTATTCCAGGTGGGTACTCTTCACTAGTTTCTTTGCCTGATTCCCTCTTCTGTCCACTCTCTTTTTTTTTTTTTTTTTTTAAGTCGGAGTCTCAATCTGTCACCCAGGCTGGGGTGCAATGGGGTGATCTCCGCTCACCGCAACCTCCACCACCCAGGTTCAAGCGATTGTCCTGCCTCAGCCTTCCAAAGTGCTGGGATTACAGGTGTGAGCCACTGTGCCCGGCCTTCTGTCCACTCTTTAAGCCTTTTTCTTTCCTGTTTTGTGTGTTTCCCTGGGTGACTGGATTCTTTTCTGTGGCGTCATGCTTCACAGATGCCTTCCAGATCTGTATCTTCAGATGCAAACCCATATCCTCTTTGTGCCTATCTGTATACTATTGTGTAGAGAGACAAATCCCATTTCTCCACTCTAGGAAAGTCTTAGAGACAGTAAGCGATTTTTTAAAATTTATTTTTATTTTTTGAGATGGAGTATTGCTCTGTCGCCCAGGCTGGAGTGCAGTGGCATAATCTTGGCTCACTGTAACTTCTGCCTCCCAGGTTCAAGCAATTCTCCTGCCTCAACCTCCCACGTAGCTGGGATTACAGGCACATGCCATCATGCCCGGCTAATTTTTGTATTTTTAGTACAAGACAGGCTTTCACCATGCTGGCCAGGCTGGTCTTGAACTCCTGAACTCAAATGATCTGCCTGCCTCAGCCTCCCAAAATCTTGGGCTTACAGGTGTGAGTCACTGTGCCTGGCCCCTAGGAGTACATTTTGGTGTATTTGAGGGAAAAGGAATGCTCCATCCATATGAAGACGGGGTGGTAGCAGAAGCTTTAGAAGAAGCCAGTGACTGGTCAGGGTTGAACTGCAGTTCACAGTTTGACATCTTGGCTTATATTGGAGGGTGAAAACATCATAGTCCCAAAGGTTTTTACTGGAAAACGAAAATAAAGTAGTGAGTGTACCATTGCTGCAGCTTGGCAATGGACCTTGCAGGCTCCAGTTTCTTTATAATCCATTCTCCAGCCCACTGTGAGTGAGAGTTCTCTTTCAAAAATACAGTTTCCACTTCCAGCTTGAATGTCTTGCCTTCGTGGCCTCCAGAATAAAATCTAAGTGATTTAGCACAAGGTCATTAGACATCTGCAATTCTATCTCCCCTTCAAGCTGCATGATTTTTCCATTCTTTCCTCCCACCCCATTTTTCACCTGTCCCCCATCCTTGTAGCCATGCTGAACTTCAGACTATGTGATGTCTCCTTTTTCTTCCTACTTTACTTATTGAATGGAGATCTGGTTAAAGAATGCCTTCTCTTGGCCAGGCGCGGTAGCTCACACCTGTAATCCCAGCACTTTGGGAGGCCGAGGCGGGCGGATCACGAGGTCAGGAGATCGAGACCATCGTGGCCAACATGGTGAGACTCCATCTCTGCTAAAAATACAAAAATTAGCTGGGCGTGGTGGTGCTTGCCTGTAATCCCAGCTAGTCGGGAGGCTGAGGGCTGAGGCAGGAGAATCCCTTGAACCAGGGAGTCAGAGGTTGCAGTGAGCCGAGATCTTGCCACTGCACTCCAGCCTGGCGACGGAGCGAGAAAACGTCTCAAAAAAAAAAAAAAAAAAAAGAATGCCTTCTCTTTATGAAGTCCTTTTTACTTTTTCTCATTTTCTCATAAAGAGCTCTTGAGACAGAATCACTCTCTGTACTGCTGGGGAAGTATGTACGTAGTTGCACCATTGCACTCATCACACTACATTGCAGCCATCTACCTAGGTCTGCTATCCTGTTTGACAGGCACTTCCATGTGGGCAGGGTCTGAGTGTCCTACTCATGTCTATAGTCCCAACAATTCACAATGCCTGGCATGTTTTAGGCACCAAATACAAATTTGTTGAATCAATGATTGAAGACCCACAGTCTAGAGTTACAGTGTGATTTCGGGCAAATATTTTATTCTCCTCTGATATCAGTATTCTTTTTTTTTTGAGACAGAGTCTTGCTGTGTTGCCCAGACTGAAGTGCAGTGGCAAGATCTCAGCTCACCACAACATCTGCCTCCCAGGCTCAAGTGATTCTCCTGCCTCAGCCCCTTGAGTAGCTGGGATTACAGCGTGCACCACTACCACCTGGCTAATTTTTGTATTTTTGGTAGAGATGTGGTTTCACTGTGTTTGGCAGGCTGGTGTTGAACTCCTGACTGCAAATGATCCATCCATCTGCCTTGGCCTCTCAAAGTGCTGGGATTACAGGCATGAGCCACCACGCCCGGCCAGTATTTTTTTTTTTTTTTTTTTGAGACAGAGTCTCACTCTGTCACCCAGCCTGGAGTGCAGTGGCACAATCTTGGCTCACTGCAACCTCCACCTCCCAGGTTCAAGTGATCCTCCTGTCTCAGCCTCCCAAGTAGCTGGGACTACAGGCATACGCCACCATGCCTGGCTAATTTTTGTATTTTTAGTAAAGACGGGGTTTCACCATGTTGGCCAGGCTGGTCTCGAACTCTTGACCTCATGATCCGCCTGCCTCAGCCTCCCAAAGTGCTGGGATTACAGGCATGAGCCACTGTGCCCGGCCCAGACAGTATTCCTTATTTTTTTTTTATTTTTTATTTTTTTTATTTTTTAGATGGAGTCTCGCACTGTTGCCCAGGATGGAGTACAGTGGCACGATCTTGGCTCATCGCAAGCTACGCCTCCTGGATTCACGCCATTCTCCTGCCTCAGCCTCCCGAGTAGATGGGATTACAGGCACCCGCCACCACAACTGGCCAATTTTTTGTATTTTTAGTAGAGACGGGGTTTCTCCGTGTTAGCCAGGATGGTCTTGATGTCTTGATCTCGTGATCCGCCCGCCTCGGCCTCCCAAAGTGCTGGGATTACAGGCGTGAGCCACCACGCCCGGCCCCCGGCCAGTATTCTTTATTAGTAAAAAATGGTCTCTTCCTGTCTTAAAATTTTGTAATTCTAGATGATAGGTATGTCTTAATTCTTTAAATTAAAAATTGAGAAGTGTTACTTTTACTGTTTAAGTGACTATAATCATACTTGACTAACATGAAATCTGATGGCTGGCTGGATGTTGTTTCTTATACTGGCTGGCCATTTCAGTTTTGCTCTACTGCTAAGCATGAGATATATAAATCTGCCATACCATAATCAAAGAACTTGATGCCATTGCATTGTTTATTCAAAGTAGTCCCGTAACTCCTTCAATATATGTAAACTTATTTTTCTCATGTTTTTCTGGTATTTTCCCCCCTGAATTTTTTTTATCATAGTAAAATATACATAGCATAACATTCTTTATCTTAACCACTTTAAAGTGTTCCCTCTTGAATTTTATTGGCAAATAATTCAAGGGCATCATTCCAATTCCTCTCCCCTTCCAAATACCATAAAACATTCAATAATATATTGAGTATCTATGCATATCAATATATAGATTTCTCTTACAGCCAGTGAAAATCTGCATATGATCTAAGAACTCATCAGTTACCATGAACAAATATACCATGTTTCATAACCATCTCATTTGTGAGGATGATATGACAACACACAGCCAAACTTTTATAAAGGATTGAGTGCGTTAGAAGGCAGAGACTACTCAAAGCCAAGATGAATATTTTGGTGAAGAGTGAAAGACTAACTAAAAAATGTGTGAGAGGCTGGGCGCGGTGGCTCATGTTTGCAATCCCAGCATTTTGGGAGGCTGAGGTGGGCAGATCACTTGAGCTTAGGAGTTTCAGACCAGCCTGATCAATATGGTGAAACCCCTTCGCTACTAAAAATACAAAAATTAGCCAGGCATGGTGGTGCATGCCTGTAATCCCAGCTACTCAGGAGGCTGAGGAAGGAGAATCACTTGAACCTGGGAGGCAGAGGTTGCAGTGAGCTGAGATTGCGACACTGCACTCCAGTTTTAGGTGACAGAGCGAGACTCTGTCTCAAAAAACAAACAAACAAACAAACAAACAAACAAACAAAAACCAAAAATGGCTGGGCGCAGTGGCTCACGCCTGTAATCCCAACACTTTGGGAGGCCGAGGCGGGTGGATCACCTGAGGTCAGGAGTTTGAGACCAGCCTGGCTAACATGGTGAAACTCTGTTTCTACTAAAAATACAAAAAATTAGCCGGACATGGTGGTGCGTGCCTGTAATCCCATCTACTCGGGAGGCTGAGGCAGGAGAATCGCTTGAACCCGGGAGGCGGAGGTTGCAGTGAGCCGAGATGGCGCCATTGCACTCCAGCTTGGGCGACAAGAGCAAAACTCCGTTGGAAACAAACAAACAAACAAACAAACAAACAAAAAAAACAAAAACGGGGGGTAGGCGCGGTGGCTCACGCCTGTAATCCCAGTACTTTGGGAGGCCGAGACAGGTGGATCACGAGGTCAGGAGATGGAGACCATCCTGGCTAACAAGGTGAAACCCCATCTCTACTAAAAACACACAAAAATTAGCTGGGCGTGGTGATGAGCGCTTGTAGTCCCAGCTACTCGGGAGGCTGAGGCAGGAGAACGGCGTGAACCCGGGAGGCGGAGCTTGCAGGGAGCCGAGATCTGGCCACTGCACTCCAGCCTGGGCAACAGAGCAAGAATATGTCTCAAGAAAAAAAAAAAAAGAAATCTGTGACGTGAGAATAAGTTGAACTTTAATGGGGTTTTAGAAATAGTCTATAGTCTTTCAGTTATTTATTTATTTTTAGAGACGAGGGTTTCACTATATTGTCCAGGCTGGTCTTGAACTCCTAGGCTCAAGGGGTCCTCCTGCCTCAGCCTCCCAAAGTGCTGGGATGACAGGTATGTACTACCTTGCCCGGCCCAGCTTCTTTGTTTAAATGTTACTCCTTGTTTATGTATATACATGTAGACAAGTAGAAATAGTAAATGTAGTAAATGTAACAATTAAGTCATGATGTTTTGAGTTTCTGTTTTCTCTCCTACCTGGTATAAGTCAACTTCCAGAAAAAAAAATTTCTTATTCAGATTTATTTGTTATGAGAAGTCATATTCTTTTTTTTTTTGAGACGGACTCTCGCTCTGTTGCCAGGCTGGAGTGCAGTGGCATGATCTTGGCTCACTGCAACCTCCGCCTCCCGGGTTGAAGCGATTCTCCTGCCTCAGCCTCCCAAGTAGCTGGGATTACAGGCATGCACCACCACGCCCAGCTAATTTTTGTATTTTTTAGTAGAGACAGGATTTCACCATGTTGGCCAGGATGGTCTCCATCTCTTGACCTCGTGATCTGCCCACCTTGGACTTCCGAAGTGCTGGGATTACAGGCGTGAGCCACCGGCTGATAAATCATATTCTTGAGTGATAGCAACTTTAATAAATAACAGTTGATCAAATCCAAAAATTTCAAATTTCCACACAGAAATCTTTCAGCTTTCTCTTTCTTTTTTCTTTTGTCTTCTTTTTTTTTTTTTATTTTTTTGAGATGGAGTCTCACTCTATTGCCCAGGCTGGAGTAAAGTGGTGTGATCTCAGCTCACCACAACTTCTACTTCCCAGATTCAAGCGATTCTCCTGCCTCAGCCTCCCAAGTAGCTGAGATTACAGGCATGCGCCACCAGGCCTGGTTATTTTTGTATTTTTAGTAAAGACGGGGTCTTACCATGTTGGCCAGGCTGGTCTAGAACTCCTGACCTCAGGTGATCCACCCGCCTCGTCCTCCCAAAATGCTGGGATTACAGGCGTGAGCCACCATGCCCAGCCAAGAAATCTTCTTGCTTTCTTTCTGAAATGTCGTGCTGTTCAGGTTTATGCAGGGCAGATTTCTTCCCATTTCATAGCTGGAAGATGTTAGAGTAAATCAGTCCAGCTGTTTTTCTATAAAATGATTTTTAAAAAAAATCCCAGTGACCTTTTTCTGCCCTCAAATAACTTTAAGAATAGTTGGACATAAAACCTTCAAACTCTACATATTCATAGCCCTCAGAGGAATATAATCATTGTTAGTTTGAGAAAAAGCTTAGTATTTTTTTGAGTTGGAAAGCTCTAATATTACATGTTTGCACATGTTTGGTATGTAACTCTTCATCTGCTGATGAAAACTGATATGAGACTTTTATAGCGTATGTGTAGATGCTGGTTTTTTACTTTATTTACCATGTCACAGGACTTACGAAGGCATACAGAATTTATGCAGTAACCTTTATATTGAAGCTAAAACTTTACATCTGTTCGCCAATATAAAAACAGAGAGATCCTGCTATGACATTGCAGAAGTCACGCAGAAAATCTTATAATGGTGATTCCAAAGAAATGAACTCTGCTGTGTTTAGATCTCATCAAAGGACACTGAGTGTTCTGGCACTCTATGGGAAAGGGTATTTTGGGAGGTTCCATAAAAGATTTTTACACACATTCTGCATAGATGCCTCAGCAAAGATTGTTGATTGCTAGTGTAGTCAGGACACTTGGGGTATAAAAATAACTTTTATCAGAGTTTCACGGAGAACTCTGAAGGTAGTTAATTCCTCAATGCTTCATAGATACCCTTCCCTGAATATTTGGGTACCAGCCAAAACACAAGACCTTTGTATCTTTTCCTTTTTTTTTTTTTTTTTGAGACGGAGTCTCGCTCTGTTGCCCAGGCTGGAGTGCCATGGCGTGATCTCGGCTCACCGCAAGCTCTGTGTCCCAGGTTCAAGCAATTCTCCTGCCTCAGCCTCCCGAGTAGGCACCCGCCACCATGCCTGGCTAATTTTTGTATTTTTAGTAGAGAGGGGATTTCATCATCTTTGCCAGGCTGGTCTCGAACTCTGGACCTCATGATCTGCCCACCTCAGCCTCCCAAAGTGCTGGGATTACAGGTGTGAGCCACCGCACCCTGCCGTTTTTTTTTTTGTTTTTTTGTTTTTTTTTTTAAAGAAACAGTCTTGCTCTTCCACTCAAGCTGGAGTGCAGTGGCATAGCTCACTGCAGTCTCAACCTTCTTGGCTCAAGCAATCTTCTGATGGTTTAAGTTCCATATTGCTCTCCATTCATCTTCCATCCTAGGGTGGAAAGAGATTTCTGCTGTGATTAGCCCCAGGGTACTGTACTATCCCTTGTTGATTTTCTCAAGCAGTGTCTACACCTGTTTTTGTTTGTTTGTTTGTTTTTGACAGAGTCTCGTTCTGTCGCCCAGGCTGGAGTGCAGTGGTGCAATCTCGGCTCACTGCAGCCTCCACTTCTTACGTTGACGCTATTCTCCTGCCTTAGTCTCCCAAGTAGCTGGGATTACAGGCGTGCGCCACCATGCCAGGCTAATTTTTGTATTTTTAGTAGAGACAGGTTTTCACCATGTTGCCCAGGCTGGTCTTGAACTCCTGGCCTCAAGTGATCCTCCTGCGTTGGCCTCCCAAAGTGCTGGGATTACAGGCATGAGCCACTGCTCCTGGCCTGTTATGGGTTGAATTATGTTCCCCTCTCCTAATTAATATGTTGAAATCCTAACCCCCAATACCTCAAAATGTGACCTTATTTGGAGAAAAGGCCTTTACAGAGGTAATGAGGTTAAAATTAGGCCATAAAGGTGGGCTCTGGCCAGATGTGGTGGTGTGCACCTGTAGTCCCAGCTACTTAGGAGGCTGAAGTGGGAGGATCACTTGAGCCCAGGAGTCTGAAGCTGCAGTAAGCTACAATTTCACCACTGAGCTCCAGCATGGGCCACAGAGTGAAACCCCGCCTCAAACAATAAAAGAAAGTGGACTCTAATCCAATGAGAGTGTTATTTGTATAAAAAGCATAAATTTGGATTCAGAAATAGACACACGTAAAAGAAGACAGTGTGAAGACACCAGGAGGAGATGGCCATCTATGAGTCAAGGACAGAGGCGTGGACCTGGTCTTTCCCTTACACCCCCAGAAGAGATGAACCATGCTGACACTTTGATTTTGGCTTGCTAGCCTCCAGAACTCTGAGAAAAGAAATTTCTATTGTTTAAGCCATCCACTCTGTAGTATTTTGTTATGACAATCCTAGTAAACTAATATAACACCTTTATAAATTATCTCTTCATTTAACAATATTTAATTATCCAGTTTGAGCATGGCATCTGTTTCCTGTTGGTACTGGACTAATGTAGATTTATAATCTATCAATCTATCTATACCTTATTTGCTTCAGATTTGTTTTCTGTTAAGAAATTGGGCCAGGTGCAGTGGCTAATGCCTATAATCCCAACACTTTGGAAGGCTGCGGTGGGAGGATTGCTTGAGCCTAAAAGTTCAAGACCAGCCTGGGCAAAATAGTGAGAACTCATCTCTACAAAAATAAAAAAAATAAGCTGGGTAGGGTGGTGCATGCCTGTGGTCCCAGCTGCATGACAGGCTGAGGCGAGAGGATCCCGCGTGCCCAGGAGTTCAAGGCTGAGCTGTGATGGTGAAGTGCACTCCAGCCTGGGCAACAGAGTAAGACCCTATTTGAAGAAAAGAAAAAAAAAGAAAAAAGAAATTGAACACTGCCAATTCGCAAATTTCTTTCACATCAATAAATATGCTTGCACAACATTCTGAACATATTTAGGAAGTCTGATTTGGATTCCTCCTCTAACACCAGCCGATACCTGGAACACTTCCACCCATATAGAGACAGGACTCCTCTGGAGCTGTCTGTCCTTCCGGGAGGCTGTGATTCATTGGTCGCTTTGCCCAAAGTCATCCATGGAAGAACTTGGTAACGGTGCCATTCCTGTGCATATGAATGTTTTAATCATCTCCCGAATTAAACCAGTAACTGATTGTTGCCTTTCTGACAACCAACACACCTGTTCTGTGGAAATCTCTTTTATTATAAAGGAGCAATATGTTTGTCTGAGTGTTATACCTCAGGCATTTTATTTTCAAATTGCTATTTCTTTTTTTTTCTTTTCTTTGTTTCTTTCATTCTCAAAGAAGGTGAAAAATTGCTGTTTCTCTCTTTTTGTTCCCAGTAATTTATTAAATCCAATTATTTTAAGGAATATCCCTAAAGAAGAGGAAACTTCTAATGTTCCTGGTTTTTAAAAAGGGAACAAAAATGCAAAAAGCTTTTCACTGGAAATACCCTATTGAAAAAAACCCAAACACACCCTTCTCTGCCAAATTAAATTTTAACAATGTCAAAAGTGGTAAAATCAGCTGGGCATAGTGGCCCATGCCTGTAATCCCAGCACTTTAGGAGGCTGAGGCAGGTGGATTGCTTGAGCCCAGGAGTTTGAGACCAGCCTGGGCAACAGTGAATCCCTGTCTCTACAAAAAACACAAACATCCGCCGGGCATGGTGGTGTGTACCTGTAATCCCAGCCACTGGGGAGGCTGAGGTGGGAGGATCGCTTGAGCTCAGGAGGTCCAGACCACAGTGAGCTGTGATTGTGCCACTGCACTCCAGCCTGGGTAAGAGAGCAAGAACCTGTCTCAAAAAACAGAAAAGAGTGAAATTGAGTCTCTTGCTTACTTGCCTATCTTGTACAATTAGCAAAGCTGGTCTTTCAAACAGAATTGGCCTGTGAAGAATGAACAATTTAGGGAAAAAAGGAATTTAACAGTCTTGGGGAAAATAAAACTACAATGGGAAATCCAATCCATTTTATATTTGAGCCACTGAATGTGATTTGACTATATGGAAGGGTGGCCTGGCAAACCCCCTCAACCACCGTCCAACTTAAAACAGCACTGAAAGCAATGCTTGTCACTTACGCTACTATTTCACTGTGGCTTTCAAGATAATATGCTGTCCATTTTTTTAATAACATTTAACATGTTCATCTCCCTTTGATTGAGCACTTATAGCCAAATTATTAGTGCTTATGGCTTACTGTAGACAGTATTTATGCTGCTTTCCAGAAGCCACTTTTATCTGTTGGAAAAAAAATCCCACTGTAGGATTTTCAACCTTTTAGGCTAACATCTGACTCTATTAGCTTCTGAAGAGAAGAACCATAAATAATCTTCCCATTCTACATTCTATGCTTTTAGCTAATGCACTAATCATAGAGGGTTTTTTTCTTTGCCTCATGAGAAAAACCAGTCTTATAGTTAAAATTCGGGTTTACAAAATATGGTCTTTAGGTAGCAATGGAGGTTTGGAGATAGAAAACAGGGAGGTCTTTGCTGGACTTTTTGAGTATAAAAGCTTGGGAACAAATGGGCTTTTTCCAGGGCCATATCATATCTCAGAGACCTGGCTAGTAATAAATTTTGGGGGAAGGGAGTAATATTAACTCTTTCAGGTCATAAGGGCACCATTCATTCTTTACACTAACAATGCACTTGGATGCACAGGATAGTTCCTGTGGTCCTGAGAGATTATGTGTCTCCGAAAGAACTTTAGTGTTTAAACCTACTGTAGGAGTAATTTTGGAGCACACTTAGGGAAACGATTGATTAGCTGCACTCTTTTATATGGGCTTTCTCTGAAATTCATGTCTATACAGTTTTTATTATTGTTTTCCTTGTCATTGAAGTAAAAGATGTTCTTGGATGCATTTCAATCAGTAAAAGGGCATTTTTTTTTTCTTATAAGGTGATCATGGGAGAACAGTTTTTAACACAATTCTTTCTTTTTCTTTTTTTTTTTCCAAAGGCACAACTACATCATCTTTAGGAGTTAGCAGAGTAGGGCTTGATGGTACTAGTTCTGGTTCAACCATTTATTTATTTACTGATTTTTTGGAGACAGAGTCTCGCTCTGTTGCCCAGGCTGGAGTGAAGTGGCGTGATCTCGGCTCACTGCAACCTCTGCCTCCTGGGTTCAAGAGATTCTCATGCCTCAGCCTCCTCAGTAGCTAGGACAGGTGCGTGCCACCATGACTGGCTAATTTTTTGTATTTTTAGTAGAAACAGGGTTTTGCCATGTTTTGCGGGCTAGTCTCAAACTCCTGAGCTCAGGCAATCTGCTTGGGTTGGCCTCCCAAAGTGCTAGGATTACAGGCATGAGCCATCACATCTGGCCATGGTTCAACCATTCATTCTCTAAGTCATTTGCTTTTTTTTTTTTAATTTATTAACCAACAGTGTTTAAAATATCTGTGATTGAAAACCAAGGAACAGGATAAAGAAGCTAAAGTATGGGACAAACAATTTCACTAAAGATACTTCTCCCAACTCAAAAGTAACTAAACTTTCCCTTTTCATCTAACCACTCTATAAACACATACAGATATAAAGCTAAGCAGCCTTTTACTGACCTCTAAATTAGAAATCCCTGTTAATCTAAGTTATAAAGGATTAAATCACATTTGGTAAAGATAGATCTTGTAGGGCAGTTGAAAATGGACAATCTTATTTAATACACATATGAGAATCCTCTGTTGATAGAATTACTATCAAATTATTCCTTAACATGGTTAACGTTTTTCTACTTTTATATGTGCAGTTTGCTTTCATGAACTCCTTTAACATGAGAGCTGATGTTGTAGGTTTTGTTTCTTTACTAACACCTAGCATGGTGACTGGCAAATATCAGGCAGTCAAATGTCTGTAGAATTAATCAATTAGTGCAAATTATTATTTTTATTCCTGACTTCCAATATTTAATTTTTAAAAAATTGAGCCACCGGGCTCGGTGGCTCACGTCTGTAATCCCAACACTTTGGGAGGCCAAGGCAGGTGGATCACGAGGTCAGGGATTCAAGACCAGCCTGGCCAAGATGGTGAAACCCCATCCCTACTAAAAAAAAAAAAAAAAAAAAAAAAATTTGCCAGGTGTGGTGGCGGGCGCCTGTAATCCCAGCTACTTGGGAGACTGAGGCAGAGAACTGCTTGAACCTGGGAGGTGGAGGTTGCAGTGAGCCAAGATCGTGCCACGGCACTCCAACCTGGGCAACAGAGCGAGACTTTGTCTCAAAAAAAAAAAAAAAAAAAAAATTTAGTGAGATGCCAGGACACAAGGTTGAATATGGTAGCCATATGGACAGCTTTCAAGCAAAAACTTAAAGAAAATTAAATTTCTACTAAACTACAAAAAGGATAATGGCTTTATAATATCTGTAAAAATAAATACAAAATGGCTACATATTCAAACATGTAAGTCCTTTTCCAAGAAAACGAGAAAGTAAAAAGCCCGAATGTTTCAGTGTAATTTGGCAGGAATATTTAGAAATTTTCAGCAATCACTGCATATTGCTGTTGTTAAGACTCTGATTCTGAAAGTTGAAAACTACCAATATTTAAAAAACATTTTTACCAGTCAAAACACACCAAACAATACAAGATATTTAATGTGACAATGGATTGCCTAATTCACATGTTAAATTGTTCTATGCAGGGAGATTTCACAATCCAGGATCCATAGCCATGTTGTTCTAAGTAGGATTTCTACTTAGATTTAGCTTCTTGATAGGAGGCAGACATACACTTAGCTGCATGATATGTGCTAGCTTCAAATAATTCTTTTTTAGCTTTTTTGGCAAGCAGGGTAAATCGACTCGACATTGCAGCCTTACAAAGCTGACTTGCCGGTCATTTTCTTCTTCTTTTTTTTTTTTTTGAGACGGAGTCTCGCTCTGTCTCCCCGACTGGAGTGCAGTGGCACGATCTTGGCTCACTGAAAGCTCCGCCTCCCATGTTCACGCCATTCTCCTGCCTCAGCCTCCAAAGTAGATAGGATTACAGGCACCCGCCACCACAACTGGCTAATTTTTGTATTTTTAGTAGAGACGGTGTTTCACCATGTTAGTCAGGCTGGTCTGGAACTCCTGATCTCAGGTGAGCCACCTGCCTCTGCCTCCCAAAGTGCTGGGATTACATGCGTGAGCCACCGCTTTTGGCCCAGTCATTTGCTTCTTGAACTAGGTTTATGCTAGTCAGTAACTCACTCCTGATCCTTGACAATGGCTTATTTAATTTCATTTTACCTATGGATAAAATTTCCTTTTAATTTTGCTAATGCTTCAATATTATTTCCGATTTGACTTAGCTCAGACTTTTAAGGAACAATTTCAATGGACTTGGATTAAGAGCAGTAATAATTTATTAAATGGCAATGTTATTTATCCTTAAATATATATCTACTCTTTTGGGTAAAATGAGGCTGAAACCCACTGGGCTGCATTCCCAGAGGGTTAAGGCACTCTAAGTCACAGGATGAGATAGGAAGTCGGCACCGTAATACAAGTCATAAAGACTTTGCTGGCCAGGCGCAGTGGCTCACGCCTGTAATCCCAGCACTTTGTGGGGCCGAGGTGGGTGGATCACTTGAGGTCAGGAGTTTGATAACAGCCTGGCCAACATGGTGAAACCCTGTCACTACTAAAAATACAAAAATTATCCAGGTGGATAATTTGGTGGCAGATGCCTGTAATCCCAGCTGCTCAGGAGGCTGAGGTGGGAGAATGGCTTGAACCCAAATAGGCTGAGGTTGCAGTGAGCCAAGATCTCGCCACTGCACTCCAGCCTGGGCAACAGAGTGAGAATCCATCTCAAAAAAAAAAAAAAAAAAGGCCAGGTGCGGTGGCTCAAGCCTGTAATCCCAGCACTTTGGGAGGCCTAAGGCAGGCAGATCACGAGGTCAGGAGATCGAGACCAGCCTGGCTAACATGTTGAAACCTCTTCTCTATTAAAATACAAAAAATCAGCTGGGCGTGATGGTGCACACCTGTAGTTCCAGCTACTCGGGAGGCTGAGGCAGGGGAATTGCTTGAACCTGGGAGGTGGAGGTTGCAGTGAGCTGAGATTGTACCACCGCACTCCAGCCTGGCGACAGAGCAAGAAATCCGTCTCAAAAAAAAAAAAAAAAAGTTTATTTCTTTTCTTTCAGAACTTGTGAACTATTGATTCCCAATTTTTCCCCCTTTGCCTTGGCTACTTGGGTGCTTAGAACAAAATGCTATTGTCAGTTTGTAGAAACATATTTTCTTTTCCCTTGATCCTAATTACTTTTATGTTTTGAAACTTTACTATAGATACATCTGATAGTCAAATATTTTAAGAATGTGGTGGGTTCCAGATAAAAATCTTTTCATTAAATAATTATGCATTTTTTTCTAAATTAGATCTACAAGCATTTATTGAGCAAATGCTATGTGAAAAAATTACAAAAGATAATAGGAAGAATGACTTACTTCCCTAATGCTTTGGTAGAAAGCTCCCTGGCACATTGACATAACAGGGAAGGTGACGGGAAGAAGTGAAAAGTCCAAGCTTTATACTCTCTGTCAGATTAATGGAATATGAGGACTTAAAATAAAAATTAAATTAAAGTATAGAAAATAAAGTTATATTTCTTAATTGCCCAAGACTGTAGATCAAGATTTATGCTCACTATATATAGCATCCAATAATGTTAGGGCTAGATAAAGCTCAGACTGCCTCATCCTATCTATCATTTTGTATTGATTCCCATTAAAATGTAAGCACTACAAGGGCAGGAACCTTTATTTTGTTCACTGGCATATCCCAAGTATTTAGAGAAATGCTGGGCATATAGTAGGTGCTCAGTAAATCATATCAGTTCCATCAAATTGAGTCTATTTTTGTCTAACATTTTAAATTATTTATGTTGTATCTTCAAATATCTTAAACATAGGTATTTTTAAACTCTCTTTTGATCATTTCACTAAAACCAGTCCCTGGGTATAAATTTTTTTTTTTTTTTTTGAGATGGAGTCTTGCTCTTGTTGCCCAGTTTGGAGTGCAATGGCATGATCTCGGCTCACCGCAACCTCTGCCTCCCGGGTTCAAGCGATTCTCCTGCCTCAGCCTCCTGAGTAGCTGGGATTACAGGCATGCACCACCATACCTGGTTAATTTTGTACTTTTAGTAGAGATGGGGTTTCTCCATGTTGGTCAGGCTGGTCTCGAACTCCCGACCTCAGGTGATCCGCCCGTCTCGGCTTCCCAAAGTTCTGGGATTACAGGCATGAGCCACTGTGCCCGGCGTCCCTGGGTATAAATTATCACCTTTGTCCTATTTGCTGACTTTTCCTCATGGTCGTTTATTTCCCTGTGTGGTTTCTAATTTTTTACTGTAAATTTATCTTCAGCAGGGGTTGTTTTCTATGAAAGTCTTTTGTACACTAGCTTGTTGGAGTGTTCTTATGAAATGGTTCTCCTTTTCCCTTTGACTGGGGACCTGTGGGTTCTGTGGTCTCAGACCAGATTATATGTTAATTTTTCAGCCTTGAAGTCTGTATCATGCAAACAGTGTGAAGTTCAAACTCACTTCCACACAGGGCAAAGGCCTGGGTTTCAGATTTCTCTTCAGTGACTGTTTTTCTATTCATGGTAACAAGTTTCCTTGCTGCTTCCTCAAACTGGTGGCCAAGTGTTTCTAGGTTCTGTTTCACAAGGGCTAGCCCTTTTTGAGTCCTGGCTTAATATAGAGTCCTATACCCTCTTCTTCACTTAGGTGTTAATGTCACAAGCCCTAACTGTTAAGGCATATATTAATCTCTGATTCCCCTGTCAGCCCTCTGACTTGAGTTCCCAATTATGCTTCTAAATTCTGCAACATTCCTAAAAGTTTCACTTCTTGACTTCCAGCTTATTTCTGTCTGAACATTTAAAAAAATGACATTTTATACTGCTAAATGATATTTATTCCTGTGAGCTTGAAGTGGAAGGATTTATTATATTGGCGTATTCGCCAAGTTTACCAGGAAAGCAAATTCATTTTTATTTATTTTTATTTTTTATTATTATTATTTTTGAGACAGAGTCTTGCTCTGTTGCCCAGGCTGGAGCGCAGTGGCGTGATCTCGGCTTACTGCAACCTCCGCCTCCTGGGTTCAAGCAATTCTCCTGCCTCAGCTTCCGCAGTAGCTGGGACACAGGTGCGTGCCACCACGCCCAGCTAATTTTTGTATTTTTGGTAGAGACGGGGTTTCATCATGTTGGCCAGGATGGTCTCATCTCCTGACCTGGTGATGCACCCACCTTGGCCTACCAAAGTGCTGGAATTACAGGTGTGAGCCACTGCGCCTGGCCTTTATTTTACTTTTTACTTTTTTTTCTTTTGAGACAGGATCTCATTCTGTTGCCCAGGTTGGAGTGCAGTGATGTGGTCATGGATCACTGCAACCTCGACCTCCTGGGCTCAAGTGATACTCCCACCTCAGCCTCTCGAGTAGCTGAGACTACAGGCGTGTGTCACCATGCCTAGCTAATTTTCGTATTTTTTGTACAGACAGGATTTAGCCATGTTGTCTAGGCTGGTCTCGAACTCCTGGGCTGAAGCAATCTGCCTGCCTCAGCCTCCCAAAGTGCTGAGATTACAGGCGTGAGCTACCGTGCTCAGCCAAAAAGCAAATTTATTAATGAGGAAACTAAGATCTAAAAAGGTAGAAGTGCCTTGGTGGTGAGGACTACAGCGTTAGGAAGCTAAGAAATCATGCCGTGAATTCTCAGATTCTGCTTCCTTCCAAAATTGGAATACCTACATTTTTGCCTTGTCCTTGGATGGAGATATATATATGTGTGTGTATGTATATATATATTTTCCTTTTATTGGTTTCATTTTCAGAATGTCATATGTCATACTTTAATATTTGATTTGAATTGAATTGTGGGGGTGGTAGCAACACAGTGATGTCTTGGGAAGATATTTTCTGTTACTGTTTAATTGGGATCCTGGATGAGTTAGAGGAGAATTTGGAACAGGCACCATGATAAGGAATTTGAGTGGTCAAAAAAGCCTTATAATATTAGGACCAACCTAATAAAAAGAAAGAATACATGCAGCCACATCGATCCATTCTGATCCAGAGATCTGAGAGGAAAGCCTAAAAGATCAGATCCAGGTTCTGTAGATGACCACACTCCTGGTTAAGTGATACAGACAAAACAAAATTTAAGTTCTGTTAATATGGAGATGGGAAATCCCAGCTGATTGGTGGAGGCAGGAAATTCACACCAATATGGCTGGAAAGGACTGACAATATAAAGGCACCTGCCCTGATAAATCTGGCTCAGGTTAGAATCATTGAAAACACGATCAGGTCCCAAGACCTGGCTAGAGATCCTGGGCTTCACTGCAGAGCTGGCAGTGAAGCTCTCTAATGGTGAGAACTTGCTCTGGTCTATGAGTAAGCGGAGGTATAATCTGAGAACAAGGTCAATCTCATTGCAAAAACAAGGGAGCTCCCTATTGAATATTCTTGTCATGTGCTTTGGGAAGAATGGAGAAGAACCGACTCTTAGAATTGGACTGGGCCTCATTTGAAGCATCTCTTTTTACTGGAACAAGCATACAATTTGGAATCAATCAGGGCTTTGTTCTGACCCCAGGTTTTCCACCTGTGGTTCTGTATATTTGGGCTAATGTTTTCACCTTCTTGAACAGCAAGTATTTCAATTCAGGTGTTTCATCAGCAAGATGGAGATCATGCAGAATTGTTTCTGTGAGAATTAAATTAAGTTACCTGGCATCAATAGACTCTCAATAAATGGCATTTATTATTTGGAAAAGTGCCTCATAAGAGGTGAGTGCCAGTACTGAACATAGTTAAAAATGCCACGGCCTCAAGAGATCATCCTTGACCCTCAATTTAAGTTAGTTTCTCCTCTCCTATTCTCTAATAAAGCTCTTTTCTTTTATAACATCCACCATTATTGACACCTGTGCAGTTTTTATTTCCATGACTGGTTCATACAGCAGTTATAAACTCAGTGCTGAGAGAGGAAGGTTTCATGAGGCCTGGTGAGAACTCCATGTCTCTGACCAGGGAAGTCCCCACTCGGGTTTGCCAGTTGTTCTTTTGAGGGAGTAAGGGTCTTGGTGCTACCAGATTTTCCCATTTTTTCATATAATCCAGAACGCTGACTTTTTATTTATTTATTTTTTTGAGACAGAGTCTCGCTCTGTTGCCCAGGCTGGAGTGCAGTGGCACGATCTCTGCTCACTGCAACCTCGCCTCCCGGGTTCTAGCGATTCTCCTGCCTCAGCCTCCTGAGTAGCTGGGATTACAGGCGCGTGCCACCACACTGGCCTAATTTTTGTATTGTTAGTAGAGATGGGGTTTCACCATGTTGATCAGGCTACTCTTGAACTCCTGACCTCGTGATCCACCCACCTCAGCCTCCCAGAGTGCTGGGATTACAGGTGTGAGCCACTGTGCCTGGCAGAACTCTGACTTTTTATGTGAAATGTTCCGGTTTTAAAGTGTTGGGAAGTAATTCAAATGATATTGTGTGGGCCAAACCAAGGTCAGGTGTGGGCTGCAGTAGACCTGAAAGCTGCCAGTCTACAGCCTCTGGCTTATATCTGTCTTCATGACTAAGTAGTGTTGGGATCACTATTGTTTGTTCAATGCCTGGCACAGTGGGGGCACATAGTAGGCACCAAATATGTATTGAAAGAAAGAAGGAAGAAGAAAAAATAAAACACTGAAAAAAAGTTTTTTTCTTAAAGGGTTATATTGAATCCTGGGTCAAGGACCAGGAAAAAAAAAAAGAAAAGGAAAGGAAAAAGAACTGTGTTGAAAAATTGCTGATATTAAAAATTGTCTAGGCTGGGTGCGGTGGCTCATTCCTGTAATCCCAGCACTTTGAGAGGCCAAGGTAAGCAGATCACTTGAGGTCAGGAGTTGGAGACCAACCTGGCCAACATGGTGAAACCCTGTCTCTACTAAAAATACAAAAAATTAGCCAGGAGGTGGTGGTTCATGCTTGTAATCCCAGCTACTCAGGAGGCTGAGGTATGAGAACCACTTGAACCTGGGAGGCAGAGGTTGCAGTGAGCCGAGATTGCGCCACTGTACTCCAGCCTGGGCAACAGAGTAAGACTCTGTCTCAAAAAAAAAAAAAATAAATAAAAATAAATAAATAAATAAATAAATAAAATAGTCTAGGTAGTTTGATTGAAGCAGAACCTTGTTCTGTCACCCAGGCTGGAGTGCAGTGACACAATCACGGCTCACCGAAGCCTCATCCTCCTGGGCTCAGGCGATTATTCTACCTCAAACTCCTGAGAAGCTGGGACTATAGGCACGCGCCACCATACCCGGCTATTTTTTTTAGTTTTTGTAGAGACGGGGTCTCACTGTGTTGCCCAGGGTGACACTGAGAAGTTCCAAGTTAATATAAACCAAGAAAGAAAAACCATTCATTGCTTCTCTGTATCATTTTTAGGGAAAAAATAGGCTTATTATTTTTGTTGCTTTTATAACCAAAGACTGAAAGAATGATAATGTTTACCACAGAAGCAAAATTTCCCATTTGCAAGTATTGTATTGAACAGACTGTTGGTTGCATATTGTCAAACCACTTTTAGTTTGCTGCAAAGTAGAATTTAGTCTCTGACCTCAAGTTTTATTGTGTAATGAGCTTGCTAAATACATTGAATTGCAAATTTCCATGGTAGTATGATTTGTGTACTGGCTTGAACTCTGAAAGTCATTGCAGCTGTCATTTGGTGAAAAATAGGGAAAAAGAGGCTTTGGGGAGCTTAGGTTTCTAGAGCCGATGGAAGGGAGAAAACCTCAAATGCTAGATTATTTAGAGACTGTCTAAATTGAAGTGACTATCTTTGACATATTTGTAAGTTTAAGGATTCCTAGAGATTGGCCTTTAGGGACACAAAGTGTGCATCAGTAACTAAAGTGGCCTGCCGGTAAGATTACTGAATTGCAAAATTGAAGATCAACAAATGTTCCTAATAGACACTTAGTATTCATCCTGTACTACATTTGATACTTTGGCCCCAAAAAGTAAGTATTGAAAGTAATGGTGGAGGGGGAAATCTCTGTACTCCAGGAATTTACAGTCTGGTTTGGGAGCCAATACTAATAATCGGAAAAGAGTAAAAGACTCTATGATTAAGAGCTAAGCCATGTGTTAGAGACTATAAGTATACAGGAAATCAGAGGGTAAAAATCACAGCAGGCTTCATAGATCAGTTAAGAACTCAGAGCTTCTAGTAAGTATTGTTAAGATTTAGAGAGGGAAAGAATACACATTGCTATCTTGGTCCCCTCTGCTTTTGAAAGTATGTTGATTCCTTTCTTGGGCTTTTTTAAAAAATAGGAAAAAGGAAAAGTTGTTTCTTTTTCTACCATCAATTTACATATTGTATTAGTCAGTTCTTGCGTCGCTATAAAGAAGCACCTGAGACTGGGTAATTTATAAAGAAAAGAGGTTTAATTGGCTCACAAATCTGCAGGCTGTAGAGGAAGCAGAGCAGCACCTGCTTGGCTTTGGGGGTGGGCTCAGGAAACTTACCGTCATGGTGGAAGTTGAAAAGGAAGCAGGCACATCTTACATGGCCGGAACAGGAGGAAGAGAGCGGGGAGGTGCTACACACTTTTAAACAATCACATCTCATGAGAACTCAGTGAGGATCACAGGAATAACACCCAGGTGATGGAGCTAACCCATTCATGAGAACTCTGCTTCCATGATCCAGTCATCTCCCACCAGGCCCCACCTCCAATACTGGGGATTACAATTCCACATGAGATTTGGGCAAGGACACAGATTTAAACCATATGACATAGAGAAAAATACAGATATATTTTCGTAGAGATGTAGTCTTGCTATGTTGCCCAGGGTGGTCTTGAACTCTTGGCCTCAAGCAATCCTCCCACCTCAGCTTCCCAAAGTACTGGGATTACAGGTGTAAGCCACCCACATCTGGTCTATATATATAGAGGATTTACTGCGAAGGGACCAAATATATATGTTAAAAAAAGGTAAAAAAAAAATATATAAATACATATATACATTTTGGAAATAGAGTCTCACTCTGTCACTCAGGCTGGAGTGCAGTGGCGTGATCTCGGTTCACTGTAACCTCTGCCTTCTGGGTTCAAGTGATTCTCTCACCTCAGCCTCCCAAGTAGCTGGAATTACAGATGCGCACCATCATGTCCAGCTCATTTTTTTTTTGAGATGGAGTTTTGCCCTTGTCGCCCAGGCTGGAGTGCAATGGCATGATCTCGGCTCAATGCAACCTCCGCCTCCCAGGTTCAAATGATTCTCCTGCCTCAGTTTCCCGAGTAGCTGGGATTACAGGCATGTGCCACCACACCTGGCTAATTTTGTATTTTGAGTAGAGACAGGGTTTCTCCATGTTGGTCAGGCTGGTCTCGAGCTCACGACCTTGGGCGATCCATCCGCCTTGGCCTCCCAAAGTTCTGGGATTAGAGGCGTGAGCCACTGTGCCCGGCTTGGCTAATTTTTATAGTTTAAGTAGACATGGGGTTTCGCAAAGTTGTCCAGGCTGGTCTTGAACTCCTGGCCTCATGTGACCTGCATGTCTTAGCCTCCAAAAATGCTGAGATTATAGGCATGAGCCACCATACCCAGCTTTTTTTTTTTTTTTTTGATATGGGGTCTTGCTTTCACTCAGGCTGGAGAGTAGTCGCAGTATCATAGCACACTGCAACCTTGAACTTCTGGGCTCAAGGGATTCTCTTCTAGCCTCAGTGCCCCAAGTAGCTGGAACTACAGATGTATGCCATCATGCCCAGCTAATTTTTAAATTTTTTGTAGAGACAAGGTCCCACTATGTTGCCCAGGCTGGCCTCGAACTCTTGGCCTCAAGTGATTCCCCCACCTCAGCCTCCCAAAGTGTTGGGATTACAGGCATGAGCCACCGTGCCTCATCTGGAAATGTTATTTTAAAAAAAGATTAACAGTAATTATTCTGAGTAGAATTTTAGATAATTTAGATTTTTCTTTGTAATTTCTCATTTTGTGACATTGATCATTTATCTGTGTAATTAACAAAAAATATGTTAAATATCCTTTTGTTTCAAAAATCAGCAAGGGCACCTTATTGCTTACACCAGTAATTAGAAAGATTAAAAACCCTGGTTGCAATGAGAACACGTGGACACAGGGAAGGGAGCAACACACACTGGGGCTTGTGGGGTGGGGGGTGGGGGAGGGAGAGCATCAGGAGAAATAACTAATGCATGCCGGGCTTAATACCTAGGTGATGGGTTGATAGGTGCAGCAAACCACCATGGCATAGGTTTACCTATGTAACAAACCTGCACATCCTGCACATGTATCCTGGAACTTAAAATAAAAAACCAAAAAACATGAGAAACCCTGGTTGCATATTTTAATCGCCTGGATTACTAAAAAAAGACCAAACAAAACATACCATTATGTGCTCAGGTCCTTCTTCAGCTCAATTAAATGAGAATCTCTGAGGGCTAGGGACCTGGTTTCGGCTTTTTTGAAAAGCTTTCAGGTAGTTATTTTATTTTGAGACAGTGTCTCAATCTGTTGCCCAGGCTGGAGCACAGTGGTGTGATCTCGGTTCACTGAAACCTCAATCTCCTGGGCTCAGTCAATCCTCCTGCCTTAGCCTCCTGAGTAACTGGTACTACAGGCGCATGCCACCTTGCCTGGCTAATTTTTAAATTTTATTTATTTATCTATGATTTATTTATTTATCTAGAGATGGGGTTTTGTCATGTTGCCCAGGCTGGTCTCGAACTCCTGAACTCAAGCATCTGCCTACCTCGGGGCTTCCAAAGGGCTGGGATTATAGGCGTGAGCCACCATCCCTGGCCTAAATTTTATTTTTGAAATTTTGTAGAGACGGAGTTTTGTCGTGTTGCCCTGGCTGGCCTCAAACTCCTGGGTTCAAGCTATCTGCCAGCTTCAGCCTCCCAAAGTGTTGGGATTACAGACGTGAGCCACTGCACCCAGCCTCCCTTTCAGATCATTTTAATGTGTATCCAGTATTTCCTGGAAATATATTACAACTGCAAAATCTCACATTCCCTTCAGATATACTGCAACAGAAACTCTAGGACTGGGGCTCAGCAAACTGTTTTAACAAGACTTTTCCTGGCTGGGGATGGTGGCTCAGGCCTGTCATCCCAGCACTTTAGGAGGCCAAGGTGGTCGGATCACTTGAGTTCAGGAGTTCAAGACCAGACTGGGCAACATAGTGAGACCCCTATCTCTACCAAAACAAACAAACAAACAAAAATTAGCTGGTATGGTGGCCCACCTCTGTAGTCCCAGCTACTTAGGAGGCTAAGGTGGGAGGGTCTCTTGAGCCCAGGAGGTCGAGGCTGCAGTGAGTGATGATCACACAACTGCACTCCAGCCTGGTCAAGAGAGCAAGACATTGTCTCAGAAAAATCAAAACAAAAAACAAAATAAAAGTCTTCTGCTAAAGTTTGAGAACCTCTGCCGTAGAGTACAGGCCCAGCCTGAAATACACACTTAATCTTGCCTCAAGCTCCCAAACCTCTCCTGCCATTTTCCAGCCCTCACTTTACTCTCTAACCAGGCGAGTTTATTGTACGTCTACTGAGCCTACATGGCTTTTGCGTCTTCCTGGCCTGACTAGTCACCCTCTCTTGGAGCCACAGACACTTTAGTCATCGTTCAAGGCCCAGCCCAGGTCTCACCACCTGCGTGAAGCCCTTCTGTATTTCTCTGCCCTCACACTGCCACAGTTCCCTCTTCTCTACCATTCATTCATTTCTTCAATAAGTATTTATTTCACACCTATTATTTGTGAAGCATTAAGTGGAATACAAAAGAATTATGTGATGGTCCCTTCATAGGGGATGTACTTGTTTCTATGTGGGACTAACGAAGGAGAAGCGGATGTTGAGGGGGTTGCCATGCGGGCTGATAGAATGTGAAGTTCAGAGTTTCACCAGGTGCGTTGGCTCACACCTGGAACCCCAGCACTCTGGGAGACCGAGGCGGGCAGATCACAAGGTCACGAGTTCAAGATCAGCCTGGCCAACATGGCGAAACCTCGTCTCTACTAAAAATACAAAAACTAGCCGGGTGTGGTGGTGGGCATCTGTAATCCCAGCTACTTGGGAGGCTGAGGCAGGAGAATAGCTTGAAACCGGAAGGCAGAGGTTGCAGTGAGCCGAGATCACGTCACTGCACTCCAGCCTGGGCAACAAAAGCGAAACTCTGTCTCAAAAAAAAAAAAACAAAAAAAAACGAGGTGCAGGAAGGGTGGACAGTAGAGCTGGAATGTGTTGGGTTGAGAACCAGAATGTAGATAATTTGCTCCAGGAGGTGACTCCAAGAAGAAAGGACAGGAACAAGCTCTTCTGCATATCATACCTTTGTTTATTTATTCATTTTTTTTAGGGATGAGGTCTCACTATGTTGCCTAGGCTGGCCTCAAACTCCTGGACTCAAGTGATCCTCCTACCTCAGCCTCCTAGACAGCTAGGACTACAGGTTCATGCCACTGTGCCTGGCTTAATATACCTTTTAAGTGAATAATTTTTCTTTTTCTTTTTCTTTTTTTTTTTTTGAGGCAGGGTCTCACTCTGCCACCCAGGCTGGAGTGCAGTGGTGCAATCATGGCTCACTGCAGTCTTGACTTTCCAGGCTCAAGTGATCCTCCTGCCTCAGCCAACAAAGTAACTGGGACTATATGTGCACAACCAAGCCTGGCAAATTTTTTTTTAATTTGTAGAAATAGGGGTCTCACTATGCTGCCCAGGCTGGTCTTGAACTCCTGGGCTCATGTGATCCTCCTGCCTCAACTCAGCTCCTGCAGTGCTGAGATTACAGGTGCGAGCCACTGCATCCACCCTTAACTTACTCAGTTATTTTCCTATTTACAAAAGTAGAGTTTATTGTAGAAAAATTGGAAAATACAGAAAAACAGAAAAATAAAAATCACGTACATTCCTACCACCTGAAGGTACACACTGTTGTTAGTTATTTCTTATACATTATTTCAGTCTTAAAAAATTGAGTAGATGGGCCAGGTGTGGTGGCTCATGCGTGTAATCCTAGCACTTTGGGAGGCCGAGGCAGGTGGATCACCTAAGGTCAGGAGTTCGAGACCAGCCTGGCCAACATGGCGAAACCCCATCTCTGCTAAAAATACAAATATTAGTCAGCTGTGGTGGCGGAGCCGATAATAATCCCAGCTACTCGGGAGGCTGAGGCAGGAGAATTGCTTGTACCCAGGAGGCACAGGTTGCAGTGAGCCGAGATCGCACCATTGCACTCCGGCCTGGGCGAAAAGAGCGAAATGCCATTTCAAAAAAAAAAAAAAAAAAAAGAAAGAAACATAACAATTATACAATATGTGGAGCTCATTTGGGTACTGGTTTGAGCAAACCATAATATGTTATTTTTGAGTGAAATCAGAACATTTGATTTTGATTTTGGACTGGGTATTAGATCACATTAATTTTGTTAGTAGAGCTAATAATATTGTGCTTATATATTGAAATGTACTCATTTTTTATATGTGCATAGAGACATGATGCATGGAATTTGCTTAAAAATATTAAGATACTACTGCAACAAAAGTAAAGAAAATGAACGTAAAAAAGAGTAGACAAAGCAAGCACGGTGAAATGGCCATGCTTGAATCTGGGGAGTTTGTATTATTCTCTATTTGCAATCTTCATAATAAAAACTTTAAAACGATTTGCCCAGTGTGGCGGCTCATGCCTGTAATCCCATCACCTTGGGAGGCCGAGGCAGACAGATCACCTGAGATCAGGAGCTCAAGACCAACCTGGCCAACATGGTGAAACCCTGTCTGTACTAAAAACACAAAAATTAGCTGGGCGTGGCGGTGCATGCTGTAATCCCAGCTACCGGGAGGCTGAGGCAGGAGAATGGCTTGAACCTGGGAGGTGGAGCCAAGATCACGCCACTGCACTCCAGTCCGGGCGACAGAGTGACTCCATCTCAAAAAACAAAACAAAGCAACAACAACAACAAAACCAAACTGATATTTAGCCTGAGTACAGCGGCTCATGCCTGTAATTCCAGCACTTTGGGAGGTGGAGGTGGGAGGATTGCTTGAGACCAGCCTATGCAACACGAGGAGGCCCTGTCTCTACAAAATAATAATAATAATATTAATAATAATAACAAAATGAAAATAAAAATAAGTAAAATAAAATTAGCCTGACGTGGTGGTACGTGTCTGTAGTCCCAGCTACCTGAGAGGCTAAGGTGGGAGGATGGCTTGAACCTAGGAGGTCAAGGCTGCAGTAACTGTACCACTATACTCCAGCCTGGGAGACAGCGAGACCCTGTCTCAATATGTATATAGATTTATATTTAGAGCTCTGAAATTGAACTGTGTCTGCTACTACTGAGAAGATTTGACTGTGCATGCAATAAACGAAACCTCGAAAACATGACAAAGCGGGAAATGTAAATTTTTAGGCAAAACAGCAAGTGAAGTAACAGGTGCTGCCTCCATTTGGGAAAAGGAGTTCTGGTGAGCACACTAATAATTTGTAGAAACAAAATGAGAATAATAATGTTAGTGATAAAAATAATAGTTAAACTAACGAATAAGCCTTAGTGATAATGTTGCTGTATATCTGGCATGATATTTATCTCATTTTATGATCCCAGCGAGCTTTTGAGGTAGATGGTGTTATCGCCTTTTTACTTATGGAGAAACTGAGGCACAGTACTATTAAGTAACTGGCTCAAGATCCTGTAGCTGGAAAATGGCAAGCTAGGATTCTCATCCTGCCCAGAGGTCCTACTCTTTACCTCTAAATACCTCACCAATAGAAAAAGAAATGATTTATTTATTTATTTATTTATTTATTTATTTATTTAAATAGAGTCTCACTCTGTTACTCAAACTGAAGTGCAGTGGCACAATCATGGTTCACTGCAGCATCGACCTCCTGGGCTCAAGTAATCCTCCCACCTCAGCCTCCTGAGTAGCTCGGACTACAGATGTGAGTCACCACGCCTGGCTAATGTTTTACTTTTTTGTAGAGACAGGGTCTCACTATCTTGCCCAGGCTGGTCTCAAACTCCTGACCTCAAGCGATCCTCTTGCCTGGGCCTCCCATTTCTGGCACCCAGCCAGAAATGATTTTTTGAATGCCCAAAACTGACTATTTTGACCAAGGAGCTTTTTGTTCAGTGTTTTAGAGGTATAATTTATGTTGCATTTAGAAAGTAAAAGTAGGCCGGGTGGTGGCTCACGCCTGTAATCCCAGGAGTTTTGGAGGGCAAGGCAGGAGGATTGCTTGAGGTCAGGGGTTCGAGACCAGCCTGGGCAACATAGTAAGACCCTATCTCTACAAAAAGATAAAAAAATTGGCCAGATGTGGTGGTGCTTGCCTGTTGCCCCAGCTACTTGGGAAGCTGAGGTGGGAGGTTCAGTTTAGCCCAGGAGTTTGAGGCTGCAGCAAGCTGTGATTGCACCACTGCACTCCAGCCTGGGTGACTCAGGGAGACCTTGTCCCTAAAAAAAAAATAACATAAAAATAAGTTAAAAAGTAAAAGTGTACCTACAGCTCAACTCCTGCATGTGTAGTTTCTGGGCATTTGTAGGATAACTGTTCAATTTCATTTCCAGCAGTTGTGACTTTATTTCTCCCAGGTGGAAAATATGTCCTTTCTTACTCAGTGGTGAATGTCAGGTAGACTCAGCATTGTGGTGCCTGGTGCAGTCCAGTGGGGCATCCTGGGAGGATGAGAGGGTTTGGAATAGAACTGGAACGCATGTGACTTTACCTAAATCTTCAAGTCTCAGCAGTGGGCTCCCCTAAGCATAAGGTTTCTACTACAAACATTTTAACACTTTTTTTTTTAACATATGGCAACAGAATGGTTATAGAAATTAGCTGCTATAAAGTGAGACAACAATGGATGAGACAATTGGAAAGCGAAATCTATTTGAGAAATAGAGTAGGTCGTCAAATAATGTTTCAATATCATTCTTTTTTTTTTTCGAGATGGAGTTTCGCTCTTGTTGCCCAGGCTGTAGTGCAACAGTGCAATCTTGGCTCACCGCAACCTCTGCCTCCTGGGTTCAAGTGATTCTCCTGCCTCAGCCTCCAAAGTAGCTGGGATTACAGGTGCCTGCTACCATGCCTGGTTAATTTTTTGTATTTTTAGTAGAGATGGAGTTTTCCCATGTTGGCCAGGCTCGTTTCAAACTCCTGACCTCAGGTGATCTACCTGCCTCGGCCTCCCAAAGTGCTGGTATAACAAGGCGTGAGCCACCATGCCGAGCCTCATTCAATGTCATTCTAATGTCATTATAAAGTTGATGAGAAGAAAGAAAAATGGATTGCTGGTCAGGGCCACTGGCTGGGTGGAGTTTCCCTGAGTTTGCAAGTTCTCCCCGTGTTTGCATGGGTTTTCTCTGCATGGTTCTGGGCTTTCCCAAACTCCCAGAAACACCCTCTGGTTTTCCTCTCCATTCCAAAGATGTGCACATTAGGCTAACTGGCTGTCTACATGGTCCCAGGCTGAGTGAATGTGTATCTGTGAGTGAGTGCCCTGTGAAGCGAGGGCATCCTGTCCAGAGATCGTTCCAGCCTGGCCCCCCTGAGCCACAGGGACTGGCCCCAGTCACCCCCGGCCCTGAACTGGAATAAGGGAATAAATCATTATCTTACTTGTTTTTATCAATCTTTCTTAAAGGTATGTGTAGTTCACATTTGTTTCAATGTTTAATATTAGAAGAGTTTTTTTCTTTATTTAGAAGTTTGGTGATGTTTTTGTGACCAGGAATATTCCATAGGAACTTTAGTCTATATTAGTTAAACTGTGGTCAAGTTGGTTTGGTTATATGGCATTTTGCTTAAAGGTACAGTTTCCAAGAACCTATTGATGATATTAAGTGAAGACTTTCTGTAGAAGCCACCTATGGATGAGCTTTTCTTTTTTAGTAAAGTTTTTTTGAGACAGGGTCTTGCTCTATTGCCCAGGCTGGAGTGCAGTGGTGCCATCTTGGCTCACTGCAACCTCTGCCTCCTGGGCTCAAGTGATCCTCCCACCTCAGCCTCCTGAGTAGATGAGACTCCAGGCGCCTGCCACCATGCCTGGCTAATTTTTGTATTTTTTTTATAGAGACGGGGTCTTGCTATGTTGCCCAGGCTGGTCTCCAACTCCTGAGCTCAGGCGATCTGCCTGCCTCAGATTCTGAAAGTGCTGGGATTACAGGCATGTGTCACCTGGCTCGGCCAAGATGAGCTTTTCTGCCATCCTGAAATTTTCTTTCCACTGCACTTGTGTGGGTCCGTAGTTAACAAAGCTTTTCCTACATGGAAAAACAGCAAATGTTCTTTTGAGAAAAAGCAGTAACATCAGTGATTTTTAACTATAAGTGAACCAGAGGCAGAGATGGCTTACAGATGACTCAGGTATGTGCTCTATGCTTGTGTTTTCAACTATGCAACTTTTGCCTGAGCAGGGAGATGAGAGCCAATCTTGCTGTTATGAGATAAAAGATGTCCTCTCAGATGGTTAATGTCATAGGTTTCACTAGCCAGCATTTGAATTGTGAATATTGCATTGTAAAAAGAGAAGAATGAAAATAAAAACAAGGAAAGAAGAAGATGGAGGAAGATTATAGGTTCTGTCTGTACGGTTTCTGGTAAAAGAAAGCAGTGGACTCTAGCTCCGGACAGAGGTATGTGCAGGGGATAGCTGCAGGTAGTAATTGAAATTTATGTAGACTTTGTCTAAACGGTGACCACCACCCACATTATCCCCATCATTTCCCAAGCCAGACATGCCATTATATGTGATATGATCACTCTCACCACAGGGTCTACTAGTTAGAGAGAGGTCTAAGATGGTTACAGAAATGCCTGGTGAAAACAAAGGACAAAAAGAACACTTTGATGCAGAGAAAGGAAAATTAGAATTGGTTTGCTGCAGGACCTCTGGATGCAATGCGTGGCAAAGTACGGGGTGTTTCCTGAGGCTTGCTTGGGAACATTTTCCCTCATAGCTTCTCTAGGTCGGGATCTACTTGATACAGAATAGAGAATTTTTCATGAAAATATGTGTCAGTGACTATATTCCACCATGATAATGTAGATTTCTTTCTTTTCAGATACAAAGGTGTGCCCTGTACAGCTACTAATGTAATAAAAATTAATAAAAATGATCATTTACTGAGTTATTACTATCAGCTGACACGTAATTTAAGGAAAGTGTTAATCACCAAAGAAACAGATACTGTACAGACCAAAATGACAGATACTCATTATATTATCATCCCTATTTCATAGAAAGAAAAATCTGAGGCTCAATGGGGTCAAGTAACTTGCTCAAGGTCACAAAGCTGGAATGTGAAGAAGCCCTGGTCTGTCTGACTTCTAATCCCAAGGTTTTTTTGTTTTTGGTTTTTTTTTTTTGAGATGGAGTCTTGCTCTGTTGCTCAGGCTGGAGTGCAGTGGCACAATGTCGGCTCACTGCAACCTCTGTCCCCTGGGTTCAAGGATTCTCATGCCTCAGCCACCCATGTAGCTGGGATTACAGGCGTGTGTGCCACCAGGCCCCCGTAATTTTTGTATTTTTAGTAGAGACGGGGTTTCACCATGTTGGTCAGGCTGGTCTCGAACTTCTGACCTCAAGTGATCCACCTGTCTTGGCCTTCTGAAGTGCTGGGATTACAGGCGTGAGCCACCACTCCCAGCCTAATCTCAGGGTCTTGACACCTAATACTATGAACTAGGAGTAGACATTTCCAGGAGGAATATCCTGGGGATTGTGTCTTTTGAATGCACTTATGCAGGATATCATAATTTTAATACACTTAAATATAAACATGAAAAAGCACTGAACCTTTGTTCACACTGGTCTACCAGTGTTCCTGGTTTCCCACGTACCAAATCCTTCCTATTCCTGAAAATGGGGCAATTAAGTCCTCTTCCCCTGCAGATTGTAGGAAGACCCTTTAACTCTGATCTTAGCCAGTGAATTTAGGGAATTCTGGCAAAACAAACTGGGACTAATGTAGGGTAGAAGAGGGAAAGCGTCTCCTTCATCCTCTGAAGGTTTGCTGAAAATGAACCAACAAAAGGCAGATTAATAGGAGAAAAAGGCATACGAAATATATTTAATGTGCATAAGCATGGAGAAATGGTAGGAGAATGATTACCCAATAGCCCAATGAGCTCCAGATGTTTGTATACCCTTCTTCATAGGGGAAAAGGAGATGAAGTTTATAGGAATGAATGATTTTCAGGGGAAAAGAATGAGTCCAAAGAACAGTGGCCCTGAACAAAGTTCTTCTGAGCTCTGGGGGAGGTGGCATAAACGTGAGGGGGGTAGAACCTCACTGTGAACCAAGGTTGTCCTATGCAGACAAAGCTTCCCAGGTAATCTCTCAGAGCCACCTGCAGAAGAACAGATGAAAAGTCTGTCTGGGCATGGTGACTACTAGTCTCTTTTCTTCTCTCTTTAATCTTTTCTGGTATTTGATAAGATTCCTAGGGAGAGGAGTCTTAAAATAATTGAATTTATTTTTCTTTTATGTTTTGTAGAGATGGGAGTCTCACTATGCTGCCCAGGCTGGTCTTGAAATCCTGGGCTCAAGCGATCCTCCCACCTTGGCCTCCCAAAGTGCTGGGATTATAGGTGTGAGCCACCATGCCAGGCCCAGTTGCATTTTTTTTTTGAGGGGGGCAGGGGAAAGAAGGTAAATGGCTCCTGTTAGGGTCGTTTTCTTTTCAGATAAGGAAATTTCAAAGAGATTTCCTCCTGGCGATTTGGGAAAGAGTGAAGATCAAAGAGAAGAGGGATAAGAAAAGGTCAGACAGAAACCTTGGTTCTGAGGTTTATTTTTGAGATCTTTGAATTTTCCTTCAAACAAAGCACTCGGCATGTCAAAGCATCATCTTTGGGGGTATTGTTTCTGCAACGTAACACTAAGTACCAGTCACCTCAGTCCCTGTGTCTCTGTTCTGGCAACGAAATCCAGTGGTGTTTTGGTGACTTGGTCTTGTTTTTTCTTCTAACTCTGGGACATGGATTCTGTGCATCTCATGTCCAAGTTTCTACCTTCATGACCTGCTTAGATTCTAGGTCTTTAGGGACTAGGACTCTCACTTGCCCTCTCTAGTCCCTTCCCAGAGCCTGGAATTCCACACTGAGCCCCTAAACTGTGGTCAGGCTTGGGATTCCTGCTGCCTGGCCTATGCCCTCTGCCTTCTAGGGCCTCTGATGGTGCCTGGTTCTAGATTCCTGATCCCCACATTTGGTCTGTCCATTGGGTTTCTGCAATGTGAAATTACAATATACAGTTGGCCCTCCTTATCCATGGGGTCCTCATTGGTGGATTAAACTGTAAACCAAAAGGAAAATTCTACCTATCTTGTCCAATAGTAGGTCATAAAATCTGCATTCCAGAAAGGTCTTGCCCTATACCTGGGAGGAAGAAATGCTACACAGAGAGGCCAAGAAGAATCTAAACAGGCAGGCCTTGCTGGGTGGCCTCTGTAAACCAAAAATAAAATTCTAAGCCTCCCAACCATCTGAATGAACCCCTTCTCTTAGCCAGGGGCATTCCAAAGTTAACCCGAAAAACTAGTTCAGGCCATGATAGAAAGGTGGAGTTGGACATGACTCATTATACCCTCCTCCCTTTTGGAATTCAGGCACAACTGACCAGCATTAACAATAAAATGCAGACCCTGAGACTGACAAAACAGACACTTTGTAGCAACAAGATACCAAATTCCAACCTGACTTTAGTGTAGCATCACATAACAGGTACCAGGACCTGAAAGAAAGCAAAGTATTTTAGCCCAAAATGTATTTATTTGACATATTTTGAAATGGCCCTGCAAAGCTGTCTCTTGTGGGAAAACAAACATTCTGTAGAGAATCCCTTTCCCTTTCCAAGTCCTTTGCTGATCCAGGAGATATTTAACTAAGAGTCTGGCTCCTGTTAGGGTTGGATAAGAGACATTTACCATCTATTCTCTGAAGCCTGCTACCTGGAGGCTTCATGTACATAATGTCCCCTTATCTTGACTACCAGAATTTCTTTCTGCTGACTTTAACTCTTGAGGCAGACCTTAACCCTTTCAACTAATTGCCAATCAGGAAATCTTTGAATCCACCTATGACCTGTGGATCATGTAATCCACAGTGCTGCCTTTAATCTCAGCACTTTGAGAGGCCGAGGCAGGAGGATCACTTGGGGCCAGGAGCTCGAGACTATCCTGGGCAACATAGTGAGAACTTATCTACAAAAAATAGAAAAGTTGGCTGAGCGTGGTGGCGCACACCTGCAGTCCCAGCTACTTGGGAGGCTGAGGTGGGAGGATTGCTTGAGCTCATGAGGTTGAGGCTGCAGTGAGCCATGATCATGCCAGCCTGCTGGGTGACAGGGCAAGATCCTATCTCAAAAAAAAGAAAAAGGAAGGAAAGAAAGAAAGAAAGAAAGAAAGAAAGAAAGAAAGAAAGAAAGAAAGAAAGAGAAGGAAAGGGCTTGGTGTCTCATGCTTGTATTTCAGCACTTTGGGAAGGGCAAGATGGGAGGATCCCTTGAGTCCAGGAAACTAACCTGGTGTGGTAAGACTCTGTCTCTTAAAAAACAAAAAAAGAAGTAGTAAAAATACTTTTAATAGATTATGGATATGTGTATACAATAATACAAATATAATATCTCAGGCTTCACAACAGGGTAAAGTTTCTATAAGTTGCCCTTACTGAGATTGGACATAACTTTAAGTTCCAGAACAGGCGTAATGTGAGGTTGGATACCCAGAAGCCTAAGAGGCTGAATTCTTTTTTTTTTTTTTTTTTTTTTAAATTTATTTTTTTATTGATAATTCTTGGGTGTTTCTCACAGAGGGGGATTTGGCAGGGTCATGGGACAATAGTGGAGGGAAGGTCAGCAGATAAACAAGTGAACAAAGGTCTCTGGTTTTCCTAGGCAGAGGACCCTGCGGCCTTCCGCAGTGTTTGTGTCCCTGATTACTTGAGATTAGGGAGTGGTGATGACTCTTAACGAGCATGCTGCCTTCAAGCATCTGTTTAACAAAGCACATCTTGCACCGCCCTTAATCCATTTAACCCTGAGTGGACACAGCACATGTTTCAGAGAGCACAGGGTTGGGGGTAAGGTCACAGATCAACAGGATCCCAAGGCAGAGGAATTTTTCTTAGTGCAGAACAAAATGAAAAGTCTCCCATGTCTACTTCTTTCTACACAGACACGGCAACCATCCGATTTCTCAATCTTTTCCCCACCTTTCCCGCCTTTCTATTCCACAAAGCCGCCATTGTCATCCTGGCCCGTTCTCAATGAGCTGTTGGGCACACCTCCCAGACGGGGTGGTGGCCGGGCAGAGGGGCTCCTCACTTCCCAGTAGGGGCGGCCGGGCAGAGGCGCCCCTCACCTCCCGGACGGGGCGGCTGGCCGGGCGGGGGGGCTGACCCCCCCCCCCACCTCCCTCCCGGACGGGGCGGCTGGCCGGGCGGGGGGCTGACCCCCCCCACCTCCCTCCCGGACGGGGCGGCTGGCCGGGCAGGGGGGCTGACCCCCCCCACCTCCCTCCCGGACGGGGCGGCTGGCCGGGCGGGGGGCTGACACCCCCACCTCCCTCCCGGACGGGGCGGCTGGCCGGGCAGAGGGGCTCCTCACTTCCCAGTAGGGGCAGCCGGGCAGAGGCGCCCCTCACCTCCCAGACGGGGCGGCTGGCCGGGCGGAGGGCTGACCCCCCCACCTCCCTCCCGGACGGGGCGGCTGGCCGGGCAGAGGGGCTCCTAAGAGGCTGAATTCTATGCCTCTGTAGTCCTAGTTTCGAGGGAGGATTGCACAGGAGTTTGGGTCCAGCCTGGGCAACAGAGAGAGACCACGTCTCAAAAAAAAAAAAAAAAAAAAAAAGAGAGAGAGAGTTGTGTTGGGATCCTAGAGCCTGATATCATTCTATGGAGGGAAAGGATTATAACCAGATTTCATGGGTTAATTCAATCAAAGCCATGGAAGTAGAAAATCAAAGACAGAGTGGGCTGGGCACTGTGGATTTCTGTCAATTCCTCTTGCAGACAGGACCTCTTTTGAAAGTCCCAAACTGCATATGTGGGCCCTCATTATCTGGCCTTTGGTGACATGCCCCTGACAGAGATAATAGCTCGACTACATATGTGAGTTTCAACCAGCTGTGTGTCCATGGCCAAGATACTTTGCCTTTCTTGAATATTTATATTCTCATCTTTAAAAGCGCGATAAACATGTCTATCCCTTTAAGACTGTTCTATTGATCAAATAAGAACATATATGTAAGTAAAAAGTACTTTGCAGAGATGTACAATGGAAAGAAAAGTCAATTTCAGTTCTTTTGAAATGAGTGCCAGTTTGGCAGAAAATAATAAAGTAACACTTGGTGTGTTTGGCATCATTTGGGGATTAACGAAAGTGAATTTTATGGTCAGCTAACCTCTTGAAATGCCAGTATAAGAAAATTATACTATACACAACTGACCGTACACTACATGAGAATGTCCCAAATGATCCCAAGGCAGGCACTTCATCCCCCTCCTTCATTCCTTGGAGCCAATTACCAATTAAGTTATATTCAAATTCAGAATTTTTCATTATTGTGAGGTTTTATTGTGTATGGACTTCTGTGTTTATTCCTTAAATAGTTGAAAATAATTTAAAATGTCTAGGGGTCTCGGTTATTATTATAAATACAATTGCAGCCAGGGGCGGTGGCTCACATCTGTGATCCCAGCACTTTGGGAGGCTGAGGCGGGAGGATCACCTGAGGTCAGGAGTTCAAGACGAACCTGACCAACACGGAGAAACCCCATCTCTACTAAAAATACAAAGTTAGATGGGCATGGTGGCACATGCCTGTAATCCCAGCCACTTGGGAGGCTGAGGCAGGAGAATCGCTTAAACCTGGGAGGTGGAGATTGTGGTGAGCCGAGGTCACACCATTGCACTCCAGGCTGGGCAACAAGAGCAAAACTCTATCTCAAAAAGAAAAAAAAAAAATACAGTTGGGATATGGTATAGGATGTTCTGTCTCTACAACACATGACCCAGACTATTATTATTTTTTTAAGACAGAGTCTTGCTGCTCTGTCACCCAGGCGGGAGTGCAGTGGTGCCATCATAGCTCACTACAGCCTCGACTTTCTGGGCTCAAGGGATCCTCCTATCTCAGCCTCCCTAGTGGCCGGGATAACAAATACGCACCACCATGCCTGGCCTATTGTTGTTGTTGTTGTAGATACAGGGTCTCACTCTGTTGCCCAGGCTGGTCTTGAACTCCTGGCCTCAAGTGATCCTCCTGCCTTGTCCTCCCAAAGTGTTGGAATTACGCGTGTGAGCCACCATGCCCAGCCCACTTTCCTTTTCCTATCTATGAATCTTCTTCCACCACAAGTGCTGGAGACTTTCTGAACCTATTCAGGTTCAGGGGCTGCTCAATTCTTGAATTATTCTTTGCTCAATTGAATTCTATTTAATTTAATTTGTCTAAGGTTTTTGTTTTCTTTTTCCTTTTTTTCGTTTTTTAGGCGGGGTCTTGCTCTGTCACGCAGGATGGAGTGCAGTGGCAAGATGACAACTCATTGTAGCCTTGACCTCCCAGCTCAAGTCGTCCTCCTGCCTCAGCCTCTTAGGACCAAGGTGTGCACCACCATGCCTGGCTAATTTTTTTGATTTTTTGTAGAGATGGGATCTCACTACATTGCCCAGGCTGGTCTCAAAGTCCTGGGCTCAAGCAATTATTCTGCCTTGTCCTCCCAAAGTGCTAGGATTACAGGCGTGAGCCACTGCACCTAGCCTAGCTTTTTCTTTTTGCAATTGTTACAGTGATGACCCCAAGGAGTCATCTGTCTGTGTCCATGCTCCCTTCCCATGTAACTTCCCTGCTCCTCCCATCAAAAGCAGAGGCTACTACGACACCTCTTGTATTGAGGCTGCTTTGTGATTTGCTGTGACTAATGTAATACAGTGGAAGTGACAGTGTGTGACCTCTGAGGTTATACCTTATAAGGTCTTGTAGCTTTGCTTCTACTCTCTTGAGACACTACTGCCTCGTGAACAAGCCTGGGCTTGCCTCTTTGAGGATGAAAGGCCACGTGGAAAGAGGCACAGCTACCTCATTTCAGCTACCTCAGCTGAAGTCCTGGACATGGGAGTGAGGATGCTCTGGCCCAGCCACCCTCCAGCTCTCCCATCCACTGACTGCAGCTACATGGAGAGAAACTGCCCAGGAGATCCCAGCCCAAATTGCGGAATTGTGAACAAATAAATGGTTTGTTGTTCGAAGTCACTAAGTTTTGGGATGATTTGTTATGGAGCAAAGGATAACTGGAACAGGAAGTTAGAAAGATACTTCTTTCCTGTCAGCCTTCATGGTGATTGTGTTACAACCCAAAATGCTTCCTAGAGTTATCTTCATTTTGACATGGACAGGAGACAGAAATACTGGGTAGAAGAGGGCGGTTCCCCAGTAAAGGACCCACCCTTAAGCCTGGATACTCGCCACCATAAATGAGAACAGGCATTCCTGTTTTTGTGCCCAAAAAGTTGCCTTTTGGCCCAACGCCCCACTATCCTTTACCCATATAAACCCCAAACCCCTGGTTCCAGGAGGAGATGAGCAGACAAACAGAAGAGAAGAAGAGCAGCAGAGAGGGAGAGAAGAGAAGGAACGTTGGGAGAAGTTCAGCTGTGGAGGGTCAGAGAATTGGCTGCTGGATGGCCAAACTACACAGGAAGATCATCTTCCAACTCTATCCCCTTTCCAGCTCCCCATCCATCTTGCTGAGAGCCACCTCCACCACCCAGTAAAACCCCCAGATTCACTGTGCTTCAAGTCCATGTGTGACCTGATTCTTCTGCAATGCTGGACAAGAGTTTGGGATACAGAAAGCTGTCACACTGGTCCCCTGCCCTTGCAAGAAGGCAGAGGGTCCACTGAGCTGGTTAACACTTAAGCCGTTTGCAATGGCAAGGCTAAAAGAGCATAATGTGACACACACCCACTTGGGCTCCAGGAGTTGCAGGTTCCCACGTCTGGATGCTGCTGTGGGGCTGAAGCCCAGTGCCCCAGCTCCTGCACCTGTCCATCTGCATGCTCCTTCTCCCGTAAGGAGTTTGACCAGTGACGGCAACTGAACAGACGAGCCACATCCCTGTTGCACGTCCTGCGAGGAGGGTCAGGGAACTCTCCATTTCAGTTTCATGCAGAATACATGATAAAGGTTTTGTTTTCCTTGTTCTTCTGTTATGCTTGGTGGTCCCTAGAGCCTGGGCTCTTTGTATCGGAGGGTGGTCTGACTGCCATGTGCTGCCGTCCAACCTTTCTGTTTTTCAGACACTACGGTTGACTTCCCCACCAGAACATGCCCGCAATGACAATGATGGCTCTTGTCCCTTGGAGGTGAGGGATTCTTACTCTGAAGATGGCTGATAGATCTCAAACGGCCCTTAGGAACTGGAGGAACTGAGACATTACCCAAACATACCTTCCCAGATAATAATGAATTCCTCAAATATTCTTAGTTTTGCTCTGTACACTGAAATTTCTTTCCTTCTATGTAAAGTGAAGAAAAATGGACTGACGGTAAGGCTCAAGTGATTCTCTTCTGTGCAAGATATTTTATCTTCTTTTTTCTTTTTGCACTATTCAGAGGCCTTTGTGGATTAAGTCAGGTTACTTGGCTATATTCTGACTAGCTAAGATTGCTAGATAAGAGATGACCTCCAGATAAATCGTTTGCTGTGTAAGAAGGCTCTATTTTAAAACCAGAATTTTTTGTGGTCTTGTCACTCGATGATGGAGATGAATGAGATTTCATTACTAGTATAACTGAGTAGAAAATGGCTTTATTAGATAAACCTTGACATACCCTTGTTTTGGAATAGAAATAAAGGTATAAATCATCACATACAAATTATATGAATTTTAATCTTATTTACTATTATACTTGTAAATTTGCCACTAAAATATTAATCAGGGAGTGACATAAATGCAGCTAGTAGTAAAACAAAAAGGTTGTTTTATTCTTTTATTATTGAGATGGTAATAATAGATTAGAAAGAACATTTTGAAAATATAGATAATAAAACATTTTAAAAAGAAAATAAAAATCACTCAATCTCACCTCCAGAGATGGTTATTGTTAATATATTAAAATATGTCCTTCTAGATTTTTTTTTTTTGAGTCAGGGTCTTGCTCTGTTGCCCAGGTTGGAGTGCAGTGGCGTGATCATGGCTCACTGCAGCCTCAAATTCAGGGTTCAAGTGATCCTCTCACCTCAGCCTCCTGAGTAGCTGGGATTACAGATGTGCACCACCACACTCAGCTATTTTTTTTTAAGTGGAGGCAGGATCTCATTTTGTTGCCCGGGCTGGTTTCAAACTCCTGGATTCAAGTGATCCTCTTGCCTCACCTCCCAAAGTGCTAGGATTACAGGTGTGAGCCACCATGCCCAGTCTGTCCTTCTAGATTTTTAACATACATATACCCACTTTGAGGAGTGCCTTCAAAAGATGGAATGCATGCTGTTTCCCCTCTTCCAGCACATATTTTACTCCACTTATTAGGTTAAAAGTCACGAAGAAAGTAACTGTGTCTACTTCATTTCAGACAATTACATAAGTCTTGCAGTAGTAGACTGGTCCTGCCTTGGGGAAGAGGGTAAAATAGTTGTCTGGGTTCTATCATTCTGCAGTGGAACCTACACACCAAGCAAACACTTGTTAATTCATTTAAGCCAGGAGGACATTAAAAAAAAAAAAAAAGAAAAACCGGCTAGGCGCGGTGGCTCATGCCTGTAATCCCAGCACTTTGGGAGGCCGAGGCTTGAGGATGGGTTGAGGCCAGGAGTTCGAGACCAGCCTGGCCAACATGGTGAAACCCTTTCCCTACTAAAAATACAAAAATTAGCCAGGCGTGGTGGCACGTGCCTGTAACCCCAGCTACTGGGGAGGCTGAGGCAGGAAAATCACTTGAACCCAGGAGGCGGAGGTTGCGGTGAGCCAAGATTGTGCCACTGAGGCGACAGAGCAAGACTCTGTCTCAAAAAAAAAAAAAAAAAAAAACCCCAAAACCCAGACTTATTGGTAGACATCAAGTCAACAAAACAGCTTGTCAGTTGGCTATGTTTTTCCTTTTCCAACTATAGACCACGTGGGTATTGGTTAGTGTTCTGAAAGTGGTGAATACTATGCATAAAGAATTACACTTTCTCAGCCTGAGGCACGTATGCTTCAAGGCAGTCACAATGTATTGGAATCCAAAATGAAATAAAGAAAGTGAGTAAGCTGCTTTAATAAACAGATGGCTTTCATTAAATGTAACCATTAATCTTGTCCTGATCATTTACCGGAATGTGGTAGGTTGCAATGTTTCCTTAATCTATTAATGAACTATCACCACAAAATATGTCACCAAAGTAAAATAAGTGTTGATGTGTTCATGAAAACCATCAGATAGACCAGAACCCTCCCCTCTGTGGAATTAGGCAAATGAAGAACTTATTTAAGAAGGAAGAAGGGATTGTTGTAACCCCTCTGGAGCAGTTTTTAGGACCACAAAGCAAAAGCACAAAGCTTGTAAATGACCTGAAGAATTACGGGAGTCTTTCTAATTAAGCACTTTATGATGAAAATCTGAGTTTTAGAAAAGCAATTTTAAAGGAATAATTCTTCATTTGACAAATGATTCACAATAGAATTTTTAAAGGATTAATCATCTAGTAAATTTATTTTTTATTATTTTTATTCTTTTATTGAAAACTTTTTTTATTTGTAATTTTTGTGGTACATAGGAAGAGTATAATTATCTAGTAAATTTAACATAGCATTTAGATTTTTAAATTCTGTCTGTAACATAATGTGCACATGTCTTAAGTAAAATGAACTGCTGTGATAGCGAAAGTTTCAACTGGGCTGGGCGTGATGGTTCACATTGGCGAATCCCAGCACTTTGGAGGCCAAGGTGGGAGGATCCCTTGAGCCTAGGAGTTCAAGACCATCCCGGGCAACATAGCAAGACCCCATCTCTACAGAAACAAAACAACACAAAGCAACAAAACAAAACACAAAAAAGGTTTAAATGGCAGGAACAGGTTGGATTGGTGGGCATCTGAAGCCCCTGAGTTTCATCCGTTGGGTTCAGAGTACTTTTTGTATGCTGATTAACAAAGGAAAGGCTGGGCTTCAGCTATATTTCCTCTTTAATTTCACATTTCATACATAGATGGGACCAGAACAGGCTTAGTAAAACCCTGCTGACGAATGGCAGGTGATCACAATGATCAGAAGCACAAGTCCTGGAGTCTGACTGCCAAGCTCAATCCCTGGCTTCTCACTCTATTATCTGCATATCCTCGGACAAGTTATTTCGTTTCTCTGGGCCTAGTTTCTTTCCTTCCTTCCTTCTTTACTTCCTTCCTTCCTTCCTTCCTTCCTTCCTTCCTTCCTTCCTTCCTTCCCTCCTTTCCTTTCTCTCCTTTCTTTCTCCCTTTCTCTCTCCTTCCTTCCTTCCTTCCTTCCTTCCCTCCCTCCTTCCTTCCTTCTTTCTTTCATTCTTTCTTTTGTTCTTTCTTTCCTGAGACAGAGTCTCATTCTGTTGCCCAGGCCAGAGTGCAGTGGTGAGATGATGGCTCACTGCAGCCTCAACCTCCTGGGCTCAAGTGGTCCTCCCACCTCAGGCCTCCAGTAGCTGAGACTGCAGGTACACACCACCATGCCTGGCTAATTTTTTATGTTTTGTAGAGATAGGGTCTTGCAATGTTGTTCAGGCACTTTGGCTTCCCAAAGTGCTGGGATTACAGGCACGAGCCACTGTACCCAGCCTCTCTGGGTCTAGGTTTTCTTATCAGTAAAGTTGAAGCTAGGAGTATTGACTGTCTAGAGTAGCTGTGAGAATTAAATAAGATTATCCACATAGCATGATCAGTGAGCCACCTTATGCATAATAAGTGCTCAACGGTAGCAGTGATGACTGCATTCTTCTTCTTCTTTTTTTTTTTTTTTTTTTTTTGAGACCAAGTCTCATTCTGTCGCCCAGGGTGGAGTGCAGTGGCGCAATCTCAGCTCACTGTAACTTCCGCCCCCTGGGTTCAAGCAATTCTCCGGCCTCAACCTCTTGAGTAGCTGGGATTACAGGCACCTGCCACCATGCCTGGCTAATTTTTTTTTTTTTTTTTTTGGTAGAGACTGGGTTTCACCACGTTGGCCAGGCTGGTCTTGAACTCCTGACCTCAAATGATCCACCCGCTTCGGCCTCCCAGTGCTGAGATTACAGGCGTGAGCCACCACGCCCAGCCAGATGACGGCATTATTCGTAATAATAAAAACAAGGACTAGGCCGGGCGCGGTGGCTCACGCCTGTAATCCCAGCACTTTGGTAGGCCAAGGTGGGTGGATCCCCTGAGGTCAGGAGTTCGAGACCAGCCTGACCAACATGGAGAAACCCCGTCTCTACTAAAAAATACAAAATTAGCTGGGCATGGTGGCCCATGCCTGTCATCCCAGCTACTCGGGAGGCTGAGGCAGGAGAATCGCTTGAAGCTGGGAGGTGGAGGTTGCAGTGAGCCGAGATCGCACCACTGCACTCCAACCTGGGCAACAAGAGCTAAACTCCGTCTCAAAAGAAACAAAAAACAAAAAACAAGGACCATCCAGGGCCTTTTCTTCTTTACATGTAATCACAGGTGATATTCAAATATTTATCATGGCCCAGGCACCAACTGATCAGAATGAACACGCACAACCTGGGTGGCCGCGTGGTACCCTCTGACAAGAAATGCCCCTTGAGTAATCTCACTACAATACAATATGATGGGAGGCTCTATAGCTCCACAGTTCTTGGACGGGGATGTGCGGATAACCTTTGTCTTATTCTAGGGAGGCATTAGTGACTACTGGAAGGAGAATAGAAATTACTTGTTGTGGGGCTGTCACTGGCTGTGACATCTTGAATAAACTACACAACATCTCTGTGGCTCACTCTCCTTATGCTTAATACTCATGCATCGGGCAAAGCTGTTAATGGGGATCAACAAGGATCAGGAATGTAAAAGCCCTTTGAAAAAGAGTAAACCATTATACAAGCTCAGGAGATTTGCAAAAGTACCTAAACCTTCAAGAAAACACATTCCAGGGGGAAATCAGCTACGATCTACATGCCTCTTCCATTTTCTTGTAACATTTCATGCTAAACCTGTCTATGAGATTTAAAATATCACATTACATTTCTCCATTTTTACATGGGCAAAGTCGATCAAAATGAAAGGTTTTCAGAAAGTAGAATTAACTTCTTCCTATTAATGAGAAATGATAAATTGGGGATCATTTCCCTGATATTTTGCTTCTCTCTGAAATGTAGGCACTATTTTATAAAAATTTAGGTTAATTAAAATATTATAAATTATGCCTATAAACTAAAAACCCTTTATATTCTTCAGTAAGTTTTTTCTTCAGCCTGACCTAAACTTCTTTCACATGTGAATGGCGAATGTCTAAACCCACTCAGGTTATTAAACACAGTATTGAATTGTGTTATAGAGCTGGTAATTTTTAAACGTTGCAGCAGCATGGCAAACAGTTACAACTGGTGGTGCACATCTATTTTCAATTTGTGGCATTTGTGCCTTTTCAATAATGTTGGCCCTTTTCCTCTTCTGACTCAATTTCCTTTCTGTTTCTTATTCATTTTATAGATTGTGTCAATCTGTCTCACTTCTGAGCCAACGTTTTTGAGATTAGGATCCCATTTGGGATCCTTTACTCACCCATATCTTGCACACACATGCTTTTCCAAACACTTACATGCGCACACATGCACACAGAGCTAATTACACAAAGACTCAGAGCAAACCTTTAATCACATGTAACCCACAAGTAGCAAAAGTGCTATTAGGAGATAATGAGAGAGTTTTCATAAACTAATCACAAAATCTGCTTCTTTGCAGTGACATCTCATGTGCTCCTCTATTTAGCTTTCCAGGGGTGCAAAAACTGTTTCTGCCAAAACATGTAACTGTAGAATGAAATGAGTCCTTTACAGGCCCTAACTCTGCCCAGAGGGTGACTTCCCACATGTATAAAAACAACATAAAGCAATTGATGGAATGGCAGGGCACGATGGCTCAAATCTGTAATGCTAACACTTTGGGAGGCCAAGGCAGGAGGATCAGTTGAGCCCAGGAGTTCGAGACCAGCCTGGGCAACAAGGTGAGACCCTCTCTCTACAACAAAATTTAAAAAATTAGCCAGATGTGGTGGCTTGCACTTGTGGTCCCATCTACTCAGGAGGCCGAGGTGGGAGGATCACTTGAGCCAGGGAGGTCAAGGCTACAGTGAGCTGTGATTGCACCACTGCGCTCCAGCCTGGGCAACAGAGCAAGACTCTTTCAAATAAATAAATAAATAAAAATAAGGCAATTGATAGGGTTTAGGATACATTACCCTAAAATATGGCACTTTGGCATACTGAATATTTTAAGCTGAAGGAACTTGAGAAAACATCAGAAGCAGGAAGCTCTCCCCGACCTTTCCCTGCTGTTCTCAGCTGAAGCAGGGTGTAAGACTTTCACGTGAGAGATGCCCTGCCTATACCAGGAGGAAAGGGACATCCTTATCTCTGAAGACACAGGGTCACAGGGAAGAATTGGAACAAACAGGCCTGGCTTAGTTTCCCCCAGTTTATTACTATTAGATCATTCTCTTTTTGCCTGCTCATATTTCTCCACAACTGTCCACTCTTCTTCAAACCTACTATAACAAACACTCAGGTTGACTGTTTCTTTGTGTCTTCATTTGTTTGTTTGTTTATTTGTTTGTTTGTTTTGAGACAGAGTCTCCCTCTGTTGCCCAAGCTGGAGTGCAGTGGCTTCATCTGGGCTCACTGCAATCTCTGCCTTCTGGGTTGAAGTGATTCTCCTGTCTCAGCCTCCTGAGTAGCTGGGGTTACAGGTGCGCTCCACCACACCCGGCCGGGTCTTCATTTCTAAAGGCTCCTTTGCCATGTAAAACTTACATTAAATCTGCCCAGCGTGGTGGCTCATGCCTGTCATCCCAGCACTTTGGGAGGCTGAGGCAGGTGGATCATAAGGTCAGGAGATTGAGACCATCCTGGCTAACACAGTGAAACCCTGTCTCTACTAAAAAACACAAAAAATTAGCCAGGCGTGGTGGCATGCGCCTGTAGTTGCAGCTACTTGGGAGCTTGAGGCAGGAGAATTGCTTGAACCTGGGAGGCAGAGGTTGCAGTGAGCTGAGATCGCACCACTGCACTCTAGGCTAGAAAACAGAGCGAGACTCCGTCTCCAAAACAAACAAACAAACAAACAAAACTTACATTAAATCAATCTGTATGTATGCTTTTCTCTTGTTAATCTGTCTTTTGTTATGGGTGTCTTAGCCATGTGTGAGGAAAAGACAGTTTTCCTCCCCTAAAAAATAAAATAAGAATACCTTAATTTTCACAATGAACCCCAATTTTGAGATTCCCTTTTTTTCTCCCTCTCTTTTGAGACAGAGTCTCTCTCTGTTGCCCAGGCTAGAGTGCTGTGGCATGATCATGGCTCACTGCAGCCTCCAACTGCTGGATTTAGGCAATCCTTCTGCCTTAGCCTCCTGGGTAGCTAGGACTATAGGCATGCACCACCACACCTGGCTAATTTTTACATTTTTTGTAGAGGTAGGGTCTTGCTATGTTGTCCAGGCTGGTCTTGAACTCCTGGACTCAAGCAATCCTCCTGCCTTGGCCTCCCAAATTGCTGGGATTACAGGAGTAAGCCACCATGCCCTGCCTCTTTTTCTCTTTAGCCCCACTGCCTTTTTTTTTTTTTTTAAGATAGAGTCTTGCTCTGTCACCAGACTGGAATGCAGTGGTGTGATCTCAGCTCACTGCATTCTCTGCCTCCTGGATTCAAGCGATTCTCCTGCCTCAGCCTCCTGAGTAGCTGGGATTACAGGCACCTGCCACCACGCCCGGCTAATTTTTTGTATTTTGAGTAGAGATGGGTTTTCACCGTGTTAGACAGGACGGTCTTGATCTCCTGACCTCGTGATCCACCTGCCTGGGCCTCCCAAAGTGCTGGGATTACAGTCGTGAGCCACGGTGCCCGGCCAATTTTTATTTTTTATATTTTGAGACAGGGTGTTGGTCTGATGGAGTGCAGTAGTATGATCATAGCTCACTGCAGCCTTGTCCTCCTGGATTCAAGTGATCCCCCTCACCTCAGCCTCCCGAGTAGCTGGAACTACAGGTGTGTGCCACCATGTCTGGCTAATTTTTCTGTTTTTTGTAGAGATGGGATTTCGTCATGTTGCCCAGGCTGGTCTCGAACTCCTGAGCTCGAGCAATCTGCCCACCTCGGCCTCCTGAAGTGCTGGGATTGTAGGCATGAGCCACCGCGCATGGCCTGAAGTTCTTATTCTGACAGAGGACGGACAGAAGGAGCAAGGGGAGCCCCTAGGAAACAAACAATGCCAGTGTTCGCTGGGTTGCTTTGAAGTGAGTCTAAGTTCAGATCTTTCTGGCCAGCTGAATTTCCAACTGTTTCAAGTTTTTGAAACAGGAGGGTTTTCAGATGTGCAAAAACGATTTGCTTACTCTTACCTTCTCCTCCTTAATGGGCATTTTTCCTTTAAATGCTATACAGATGACAGAAGTATTCCCACTCCGAGGGTAAATTGGAAAGTACACGTCATAGTTCGAGACATGTTTGATGTTGAGTTTTGCTTTTGGATGCTCGGCTTCATGAGCTTATGTCTAGGCCCTTCTAAATCAGAAACGGATCCTTAACACGGGGTAGCGGCATCGCTGCTTGGATTCAGGGAGCGAGGCGCAGAGGTTTCATTTGGCTTCCTTTATTGTTCTATGGATGGCATGAAAATATTTCCTATAAAAGAGAAATCAGAAACCAGAATAAGGTATCCTGTTTGTTATCTCTGGTCAGGCAAATAGCATTAAAAAAAAATCTTTTTCAACATTAGATTTGCATCGCATGTGTTGGAGTGTCTTATGAAGACCAAATAAATGGTTCGTGAGGAACTAGATGGAAATAGTCTCTCATGAGATTTGCTTTGTTTATACCTCTAGGGTGGAGTGTTAGAAAACTGGAGCCAGAAAAAGAAAATAAAGGCAGATTTTAGGGCTTACAGAAGTTCAGTTGGGTATTTTTGTTTTCTGTTTGTTTGTTTGTTTGTTTTTAGAGGTAAGTTCTGGTTCTACAATCCAGGCTGGAGTGCACTGATGTGATCTTGGCTCACTGCATCCTCGACCTCCCTGGGTCAAGCGATCCTCCCACCTCAGCCTCTCAATAGCTGGAATACAGGCACATACCACCACACTCAGCTAATTTTTGTATTTTTATGTAGAGATGGGGTTTCACTATGTTGCCCATGCTGGTCTCAAGCGATTCGCCTACCTCAGCCTCCTAAAGTGCTGGGGTTGTAGACGTGAGCCCCTGCACCTGACCAAAAGGATGTTGTTTTCATACTACAGACCCCTCTCTGGGAGGCAATGTGCTTAATTTTGTGTTAAGTGGTGAAGAACTCTTCTTTCTGATTATAATTAACCATTTGGCAGAGTATTTGGAAATGCTAATGGTCTTCGATTTACACCCTCAAGATAGATCTTTTTGCCCAGTTGGGATTAGGCCTTTCCCACTAGGGCCCAGGGGCCCAGGGACAGGCTCTGCCAGCTCAGGGAGTCCTTACTGGGGGAGAGTCTCTTCTCTCTTTCTCTTTCCTCTCTCTCATGACAGATTCAATAATACATGATGGTGTTTTTATAGTGAAGATATAGTCTCAATTGGGAAAAAAGTTTGTAAAAGAATACTCTAAACGACTGGGCACGGTGGCTCACGCCTGTAATCCCAGCATTTTGGGAGGCCGAGGCGAGTGGATCACCTGAGGTCAGGAGTTCCAGACCAGCCTGACTAACATGGTGAAACCTCGTCTCTACTAAAAATACAAAAATTAGCCGGGTGTGGTGGCGGGTGCCTGTAATCCCATCTACTCGGGAGGCTGAGACAGGAGAATCGCTTGAACCTGGGAGGTGGAGGTTGCAGTGAGCCGAGATGGTGCCACTGCACTCCAGCCTGGGTGACAGAGCAAGACTCTGTCTAAAAAAAAAAAAAAAAAAAAAAAAAAAGAATACTCTAAAAGCGATGCCCAATTGGTGGAAGAATATTGAAGAAGATACATGTAAATCACATTGTCTTTTTTTTTTTTTGTGGAGACAGAGTTTTGCACTGTCATCCAGGCTGAAATGCAAGTGGCACAATCAGAGCTCACTGCAGCCTTGGCCTCCTTCCACCTCAGCCTCCTGAGTAGCTAGCACTATAGGTGCAGGCCACCATGCCTGGCTAATTTTTTTTTTTTTTTTGAGGTGGAGTTTCACTCTTGTTGCCCAGGCTGGAATGCAGTGGCACGATCTCGGCTCACCGCAGCCTCCACCTCCCAGGTTCAAGTGATTCTCCTGCTTCAGCCTTCCCAGTACCTGGGATTACAGGCATGCACCACCACGCCTGGCTAATTTTTGCATTTTTAGTAGTGACGGGGTTTCTTCATGTTGGTCAGGCTGGTCTCAAACTCCCGACCTCAGGTGAATTGCCCACCTCAGCCTCCCAAAGTGCTGGGATTATAGGCGTGTGCCACCGTGCCCGGCCATGCCTGGCTAATTTTTTAATTTTTTTGTAGAGAAAGGCTCTTGCTACCTTGTCCAGGCTGGTCTTGAATTCCTGGGCTCAAGTAATCCTCCTGTCTTAAGCTTCCCAAAGTGCTGAGATTACAGGCTTGGGCCACCATGCCTGGCCTACATCATCTTTATACTAAGAGGAAGAGCAGTCAATATAATTCAGTTTTTTTCCTCATTATGCCATTGATAAACTAACCCTGAGAAGGCATGCCTCTTTTTTTTTTTTTGAGACAGGGTCTTGCTCTGTCGCCCAGACTGGAGTGCAGTGGCACAATCTCGGCTCACTGCCACCTCTGCCTTTTGGGTTCAAGTGATTCTCCTACCTCAGCCTCTGGAGTAGCTGAGACCACAGGCGTGCACCGCCACGCCCAGCTAATTTTTGTATTTTTAGTAGAGACAGGGTTTCGCCATGTTGGCCAGGCTGGTCTCGAACTCCTGGCCTCAAGTGATCTGCCTGCCTCAGCCTCTCAAAGTGCTGGGATTACAGGCATAAGCCACCGTGCCTGGCTTGGCATGTCTCTTTTTGTATTGACCAAACTTCTAAATGAGAAAACTAACTCCCAAAACAGACTCAAGTAACTCCTATTAGTTGTTTTGATTTTATTGGGTTAAAATTTGAGGAAAATGCTGGGCGCTATGGTGCACACCTGAGTGGTAGTCCCAACTACTCAGGAGGCTGAGGCAGGAGAATTGCTTGAGCCCGGAAGTTTGAGGCTTCGGTGCATGATGATTGCATCTGTGAATAACCACTGCACCCCAGCCTGGGCACCATAGCAAAACCCTGTCTCTAAACATATTTAGAACACACACACACACACACACACACACACACACACACACACACAAAAGGCCGTGTGCAGTGGCTCAGCCTGTAATCCCAGCAATTTGGAAGGCTGAGGCAGGCGGATCACAAGGTCAGGAGTTCGAGACCAGCCTGACCTTCGTAGTGAAACCCCGTCTTTACTAAAACTACAAAAATTAGCTGGACATGGTGGTGCGTGCCTGTAGCCCCAGCTACTCGGGAGGCTGAGGCAGGAGAATCGCTTGAACCCAGGAGGCGGAGGTTGCAGTGAGCTGAGATTGTACCACTGCACTCCAGCCTGGGCAACACAATGAAGACATCTCAAAACAAAACAAAACAACCCCCCCTCCCACAAAAAACACAAAAAAACCAAAATCAAAACAAAAAAACTTGAGGAAAATATAGTAGTCCCTCCTCTGCAGTTTCGCTTTCCAAGGTTTCAGTTACCCAAGGTCAACTGTGGTCTGAAAATACTAAACGGCAAATTCCAGAAATAAACCATTCATAACTTTTAAACTGCTTGCCGCTCTGAGTAGCATGATGAAATAATGGCGGTGGGGCGGGGGGGGGTCTCTTCTCTGCCCCACCCTGTACAAATCATCCCTTTGTCCAGCGTATTCACATTGTGGATGCTACCTGTCTGCTAGTCATTGACATATTCTGCTCCTGACATCCAACCATCAAGATGGTCATGGCTCTGTGATCCAGGATCACCTGAAGCAGATCATCCTTTCTCTGACATATTATCAGAAGGTCAGTAGTTGCCTAACATGACATCACAATGCCCGTCATTCACCTCACTGCATCTCACCAGGTAGGCATCGTATCATCTCACGTCATCACGAGAAGAACGGTGAGTATAGAACAGTAAGATATTTTGAGAGAGAGAACACATTTGTGTAACTTTTATTGCAGTATATTGTTAGAATTATTCTATTTTATTATTAGCTATTATTGTAGCTTTTTTTTTTTTTTTTTTTAAGATGGAGTCTTGCTCTGTGGCTCAGGCTGGAGATGCAGATGGAGTGCAGTGGTGCAATCTCTGCTCACTGCAACCTCCTCCTTCTGGGTTCAAGCAATTCTCCTGCCTCAGCCTCCCCAGGTAGCTAGGATTACAGGTGCCTGCCACTACGCCCGGCTATTTTTTTTTTTTTTTTGTATTTTTAGTAGAGATGGGGTTTCACTATGTTGGCCAGGCTGGTCTTGAGCTCCTGACCTCAAGTGATCCGTCTGCCTTGGCCTCCCAAAGTGCTAGGACTACAGGTGTGAGCCACCAGGTCTTGACCTATTACCTATTATTAATCTCTTACTGTGCCTAATTTATAAATTAAACATCATAGATTTGTATGTATAGGAAAAAAACATATATACGTAGGATTCAGTACAATCCATGGTTTCAGACTTCCACTGGGGGGTCTTGGAATGCATCCCACAAAGATAAGCAGGGGGCTGTTGTACCATAAGTAGAGCTAAGTGAACCATACATTCTTTCCCTGAAGGAGATAAAGTCCCCCAAAATCAAAGACAGTTTAGAAAGGATAACCTAGGACATCAAATACCTTTCAGGTTTACCATTTTTTTCTTTTCTTAACTAATTTTTTTTTTGGTGAGTGGGGGAGGTTTGGTTTAGGGCGGAATAACTGATCTTTATCTATCTAGACATCAAGTGCTTCTTTTCTTGGTTGCAATTTCATCACCTAAACTGACTCTGTGTATATAAACATTGCTCTTCTTTAATAGAAACCTGATGAACTTCGAAATTTATTTGAAATATGTATTCAATATAAACCACTCTTCATTTCTTGCAAAAGTAGAGTAACACAGCAGCCTCCATATATTTTTTTCAAAATTATTTTCTATTCTCTCATCTCATTTTTCATAGCACCCCTGCTCAGACTGAATGGGAATACTGATAAACACGAAAACATGCTCAACTTCTCTAATAATCAAAGAAATACATATTAAAATGAGATGCCACTGTTTCTTCTATCACTGGGACTGAAATGGAAAGTATTCATCATATCCTTTGCTGGTGAGAAAGCCGGACGAAGAAAGATCAGAGAGAGCGCCACCCCCATTCCCCACAGCGTTCCAGCTCTGGCCCTGCTCTGTGGCTGCCCCTCAAGCCTGAAAATCACCTCATATTCTTACAATAAATCCCTTCTCCTCTCTTGCTTCCATTTTTCTTTACTTATTTGCAAGTAAAGAGCGTTAACTAATCTAATGATTTTTTTTGGCTTTCATTTCAACCTGTTTTCTCTCTTTTCTTTCTTTCTTTCTTTCTTTTCTTTTTTTTTTTTTTTTTTGAGACAGAGTCTAGCTCTGTTGCCCAGGCTGGAGTGCAATAACGTGATCTCAGCTCACTGCAACCTCCGCCTCACAGGTTCAAATGACTCTCCTGTCTCAGCTTCCTGAGTAGCTGGGATTACAGGTGCCTGCCACGATGCCCGGTTAATTTTTGTATTTTTTTGTAGAGACAGGGTTTCATTATGTTGGCCAGGCTGGTCTCAAACTCCTGATCTCAAGCGATCTGCTCTGCTCAGCCTCCCAAAATGCTGGGATTATAGGCATGGCATGAGACACCGTGCCCAGCCATGTTTTCTCTTTATAGTATTTGTTACTTCTACAAATTGATCACTTGGAGTTTTTTGCCTTGACCGTATTAAGGATATCTAATGGCTTCCTAATTTTTCTCCCCTGGATCCTGCATTGGATCATTTTCAGTTGTAGGCCTTTTCTGTGAACTTCTGTGTATTTTTCCCTTTTCCTTTGTCTAAGTGTGATTTTGCAGTGCTCACATTTTTTCCTCCTCCCTTTTCTGAGCTTCAAACAAAAGGTAAATCTGTTCACGCTTGATGATTGCTGACAGACTAAAGTATTCACTGCCCTTGGCTCTATTCATTATATACTTCTTACAGCCATAGCTGGGGGCAGATTGATGTGCTCAGCCCCCTACTCATGTCCTAAAACAGATTCATCTGAGGGCTCTTGCAGTATTCAGGTAGGACTTCTTAACCAGCCCCCTGACACACCCTTTGATTCTTTGAACCATCAGCTGTAACCCTCAGGGTGAACTGTAATCCCCAGGGAGGACCACAATCTCCAGGGTAGATTGCAATCTCCATGACAGACTGCAGCAGGATCCTTCTGTTCTCTAACTCGGGGTCTCCAACCCCTTGGCTATGGATGGGTACTGGTCCATGGTCTCTTGGGTACCAGGGTGGATAGCAGAAGGTGGGCTGTGGGTGAGCGACCATTACCACCTGATATGGCTTGGCTGTGTCCCCACCCAAATCTCATCTTGAATTCTAGCTCCCATAATCCCCACATGTTGTGGGAGGGACCTGATGGTGGTAATTGAATCATGGGAGTGGTTTCCCCTATACTGTTCTCATGGTAGTGAATAAGTCTCATGAGATCTGATGGTTTTATAAGAGGAAACCTCTTTCGCTTGGCTCTCTTTGCTTATCTCTTTTTTTTTGCTCTTGTCTGCCACCACGTAAGACGTGCCTTTCGCCCTCTGCCATGATTGTGAGGCCTCCCCAGCCACATGGAACTGTGAGTCCATTAAACCTCTTTTTCTTTAAAAATGACCCAGTCTAGGCTATGTCTGTATCAGCAGTGTGAAAACAGACTAGTACACCATCTGAGCTCTGCCTATCAGATCAGAGGCTGCATTAGATTCTCATAGAAGCATGAACTCTACTGTGAATTGTGCATGTGAGGGATCTAGGTTGCATGCTCCTTATGAGAATTTAATTCCTGATGATCTGAGGTGGAACAGTTTGATCCTGAAGCCATCCCCACCCCGCATCTGTGGAAAAATTGTCTTCCATGAAACTGGTCCCTGGTGCCAAAAACGTTGGGGGCTGCTGCTCTAATTCAATCTTACAGAGGAGGAAAAATAATTTTCTCCAAATCCTTTGCAGGGAAGAAAAAGTAACGTCTTTCCCTCACCCATCACAAGGTTCATGGCTGAAACTCCTATAACAAAAGGCATTAACAAGAGAAAAGCATATAAACTTAATATAATTTTTTTTTTTGAGATGGAGTTTCGCTCTTGTTGCCCCGGCTGGAATGCAACCTCTGCTTCCCAGGTTCAAGCAATTCTCCTGCCTCAGCCTCCCAACTAGCTGGGATTACAGGTGTCTACCACCATGCCTGGCTAATTTTTTGTATTTTTAGTAGAGGTGGGGTTTCACCATGTTAGCCAGGCTGGTCTCCAACTCTTGACCTCAGGTGATCCACTTGCCTCACCCTCCCAAAGGGCTGGGATTACAGGTGTAAGCCATCACACCCAGCTAAACTTAATATAAGTTTTATGTGACACAGGAGTCTTGAAATGAAGACCCAAAAAAATGGGAAAACTGGTTTTTTTTTTGTTTTTAGAGGTGAGGTTTTGCTATGTTGCCCAGACTGGAATGCAGTAGCTATTCACAGGCACGATCATGGCACACTACAGCCTTGAACTCCTGGGCTCAAGTGATTCTCCCGCCTCAGCCTCTCAGTAGGTGGGACCACAGACACACACCACCGCACCTGGCAAAACTGTATTTTTATGCTTAGGTTTGATGAAGAGTGGATATGATACGGACAGAGGACAGGGAAATACTGGGTAGAAGAGGGCAGTTCCTGGCAAAGGCCCCACCTTTAAGCCTGGAGGCCCACAGCCCTAAATGGGGACCGGCATTCCTGTTTTTGCACCCAAAACATTGCCTTTTGGTCCACCATGCCCTTTATCCTGTATCCACATAAACCCTAAACCCCAGGCTCCAGAAGGAGACGAGCAGATGAAGGGATGGGACAAGCAGATGAATGGCAAAATGATGCGGCAGAGGAAGAGGGAAGAAGAGGAATATGTGAATGCCGAGAGGAGTTTTGCTGGGGGTGGCCAGAGAGGAATTGGGCCGCTGGACAGCCAAGCTCCAGGGGAAGATCATCTTCCCACTCCATCCCCCACTTCTGGCTCCCCATCCATCCTGCTGAGAGCCACCTCCACCACTCAACAAAAACCTGCATTACCCTTCAAGCCCATGTGTGCCCCGATTCTTCCAGGATGCTGGGCAAGAGTTTGAGATACAAAAAGCTGTCACATTGACCTTCTGCCCCTGTGAGAAGGCAGAGGGTCCATTAAACTGGTTAACATTTAAGTCATCTGTGGATGGCAGGGCAAAAAGGGCACACTATAACACACGCCCACTTGGGCTCCTGCATCTGTCCGTCTGTGTACTCCCCCTCACCTGAGAGGTTTGACCAGGAGCAGCGGCTGAACAGGTGAGCCACGCCCCTGTCGCACATCCTACGATGGGGATCAGGAAACTCTCCCATTTCAGATAGCTGTGTAGAAATATAACTGAATCCAAGCTCGTACCACTTGCTGCACAGCAGCCAGTAAGTCAAGAGACAAAGTATCGGGGCAAGGAAAACAACTTCATTCTGAGAGCCAGCAAACTGAGAAGATGGCAGACTAGTGTTCAAAAGAACCATCTTGGCAGGGTGTGGTGGCTCACATCTGTAATCCCAGCACTTTGGGAGGCTGAGGCAGGTGGATCACTTGAGGCCAGGAGTTCGAGCCAGCCTGGCCAACATGGTGAAATGCCGTCTCTACTAAAAATACAAAAATTAGCTGGGTATTGTAGCAGATGCCTGTAATCCCAGCTACTTGGCAGGCTGAGGCAGGATAATTGTTTAAGCCCAGGAGGCGGAGGTTGCAGTGAGCTGAGATTGCACCACTGCACTCCAGCCTGGGTGACAGACAGAGACTCTGTCTCAGAAAAAAAAAAAGAACCATCTTAAGTCAGTTACAAATTTCAGACACTTTTTATGTTAAGGGCAGGGAGAAGAAAAGAGGGATTGTGGTCAAGAGAGGTAACTGATGATCACAGACATCTGGGCATCAGCAAGGGTCCGAGGAGGTTGGGAAAATTCTTTGTCCTGAGTCAGGTCACAATGTTTCTATAATTTTTTTTTTTTTTGAGATGGCGTTTCACTCTTGTTGCCTAGGCTGGAGTGCAGTGGCGTGATCTCGCCTCACCGCAACCTCTGCATCCCAGGTTCAAGCGATTCTCCTACCTCAGCCTCCTGAGTAGCTGGGATTGCAGGCATGCACCACCATGCCTGGCTAATTTTTTTGTATTTTTAATAGAGACGGGTTTTCTCTCTGTTGGTCAGGCTGGTCTTGAACTCCTGATCTCAGGTGATCCACCTGCCTCGGCCTTCCAAAGTGCTGGGATTACAGGGGTGAGCCACCGTGCCCGGCCTAACATTTTTATTTGTATATATATCCTCCTTATCTCCTCTTGGGTTAGTTTTGGGAAAGGGACTATTATTTTTTTTCTAAAGCTAAACTATAAACTAAATTCCTCATATAATTAGATGGTATGCATGCAAAGTTAAGCAGAAGCTTTTGAACCTAAAGGATATTACCATGGTGGAGGGGGTGGTCAGAGACAAAATGGAGTCAGTCATGCTAAGACTCCATCCACTGTTACAGAAGGATGATTGGGGCTGGGTACAGTGGCTCACGCCTGTAATCCCAGCATTCTGGGAGGCCAAGGCTCGCAGATCGCCTGAGGTCAGGAGTTTGAGACCAGCCTGGCCAACATGGTGAAACCCTGTCTCTACTAAACAAAAATTAGCCGGGTGTGGTGGCAGGTGCCTGTAATCCTAGCTACTCGGGAGACTGAGGCAGGAGAATTGCGTGAACCTGGGAGGCGGAGGTTGCAGTGAGCCAAGATCGCGCCACTGCTCTTCAGCCTGGGTGACAGAGCTAGACTCTGTCTCAAAAAAAAAAAAAAAAAAAAAAAGAAGTATGATTGGAGCAAGAGATCTAATGGTAATAGACTGGGGGAAAATTAGTAAGGCTTGTTTGTTCAGATTCTTCTTTGTTTCTCTGTCTTCATTCCTTTCATGTGAATATAGGAAGGACCCTTCTGGAATGACTATTTTGGGAAGTTCAGAGAATTCTTTCACGACCTGCTTCAGGAGAGAAGGTTAGAAGGTCAGAGAGATCTTCTTGCTTCTGCTGTTTTCTCAAATGCCAAAGTATCATATTTTGGGATAGCATGTCCTGAACCCCATTACTTTCATAGTACTTAGTTGGGATAGACCCCTGTAACAAAAGACAGATTAACAAGAGAAAAACAAACAGAAGCTTATTACCATGTATACCTCATGTATACACAGATGATATCCAGAGAAATGAGTACAATCTCAAAGAGGTGGCTTTGAATTCAGGATTAAATACCATTATCTGCAGAAACAGTGCAGGGAAAGGCTTATGGGGATGTGATCAGAAAAATTATGGTAAATAAGAGAAAAGCTTGTTATGCAGATTTAGGTTGATGCCTCCTCCAGTTAATGTAGAATGTCTGGGCTTCTGACTGAACTCCATCCTCAAACCTGGAACCTCAATTCGACCCTAAGTGAAAACAGCTGACCCTGATACAGAAGGGCTGGGCTCCTGGCTAAATTCCACCCTCAAGCCTGGAAACTCGGCCCCATTTTTCACCCAAATGATTGCCTTTTTGGCCTATCCTGCCCCCTATCCTGTGCCCATAAAAACCAGAGCAGCTGGCAGAAAAAAAAAAAAAAAAAAAAGAAAAGACAAAACAGGCAGCTGACCAGCAAGGATATAAGCTGCTGAGCCTCAGGGATGCAAGCTGCTGAATGGTGAGTAGAGAAGCAACTGAGTGTTGGAGACGATGGTTAAATGCGGCTAACTTCAGACAGTGCAGTTTCAGAGGGGAGCCTGGCCAGAGACAGCTGGACTGCAGGGAAAGATCACCTTCTTCCCGCACTGTCTCCTTTCCAGCTCCCCTTCCACTGAGAGCCACTTTCACTATTCAGTAAAGTCCTCCACGTTCATCATCTTTCAAACAGTTCATGTGACCTGATTCTTCCTGGACACTGAACAAGAACTCAGGTGTCAAAAAGGGCAGGTGCGGGAGGCTCTCACCCTCACCATTCACTGAGCTGTTAACACTTAGCTGTCCATGGACTGCAGGCTTGGTGAAACGAGCCACTCTAGTTCCTGCCCACAAAGGGGGTCAAGGTCAAGGGAATAATCCCATCTCACAGTGATAAGAGTCTCTTGTGATTAAGAGTCATCCTTCTCTTTCTTGTACAGGAAGATATCCTTAAAAATGGAGATTCCCTTTACAGATGTAAATTTCCCTTACAAAAGGGTAACTTCTACTGTTTTCAGAACATCTCTTGGGTTTGTAGTTTCTCAAACTCATCCTTATGCCAAAGAGGCATTTTTTTTGGGTGGCATATTTTAGTCGTCTACAGTCATTGTGGGGTGCATACTTTTGGTCCCCTACAACTTATAGAATTTTTCCTGTGGAGTTTAAGCCTCACAGGAGGCAGGGCCTCACTGCTCCCCAGCCTTCTTTCTTTCCCTGAGTTTTCTGGTGGAGAGATGGGCTACACGTGGGGATCTTACTCTGGCTGTTTCACAGTTTATTATTCAGTATTTTGGTAGCCACACACCCTCCGTCTCTGAGACAGGAAGTAGACTCAGAGGGAGGTGTGACGTGTCTTATCACTTTTTTCGGTCTGGCTCTGGTTAGATTTTTCTTAACTTAATTCCACTGGCAATAACAACGGGTGGAAATTTCTAACAGGTTTTGGCATGAGATTCTCTCTCAGTCTGACTTTTCAGTAGGAGAAAGGAAGCTGATGAGGAATCCAGTTCTCCTTTGAACAGTGACTTAGCAATGTCTTCCCTCTACACGAAATCTACCTTGCTCTCTATGGGTTTCAGTAGTCTGTACAATCTGACCTAATCCCGAAATTCACACCCTCCACTGCCAGGAGGCTGGCCTCCTTTGCTCTTTTTTTTCATGCCACTTGCTTCCTGGCAGGTTCCCTTTCTCTGTTTAGCTATATTCTTTCATGTGTAAACCAAAAATAAAATACTAAGTCCTCCAAGTGACTAAATGGACTCCCCTCTTGGCCAAGGGGATTCCAAAGAAACATAAAAAACTAGCTCAGGCCATGACGGGAAGGGAAGTTGGACATGCCTCATTATACCTTCTCCCTTTTGGAGTTGAAACATAATTGACCACATTAACATTAAAATAAAGATCATAAGACTGACAAAACAGACTCTTTGTAGCAATAAGGTAACAAATTCCAACTTGACTCTGGTATAGCATCACAAGACAGATAACAACAAGCCTTAGAAGAAATCAAAGTATTTTATTCCAAAGTGAGACAGGCTAGTTCCCTTGACCTAGACCCCCTTCAGGGGTGGGAACTGGAGTGACTCCTTTCACTCAGCCTGCTCCTGGCCACTGCTTGTGAGAGGGAGCATGTGAGCAAGCAAATGCGGGAACTGGAGGGAACGAAGCTAGAACCGGCTGGTCACTCCTGTCTGGCGGGAGCAGGCTCTGTGCAACTCCCTACGGCATCCAAGCCCCTGCACTCTCAGCGCCTGGGTTCTTGTCTGCTGTCCGGGAAAAATCAGGTCACTGGAATGGATCGAAGGGTGGTGTATGTGGAGGGTTTTAATGGGCAATGGATGTGGCTCTCAGTGGAATGGGGAGTTGGAAAGGGGATGGTGTGGGGAGAAGGTGATCTTTCCCTGAAGCCACACTGTTTGAAGTTAGCTGTGTCTATCCGTAGTCTCCAATGCTCAGCAACTTGCGTCCCCACTGGTCAGCCATATGTGTTGCTCTGCCAGCTGAAGTCTTTTTATGGGCACAGGATAGGGGCATGGCAGGCCAAAAAAAGCAACATTTGGGTGGAAAAACCGGGCCAGCTGTTTTCACTTAGGGCCATGGTTTCAAGATTAAGGATGGGTTTAGCCCGGAGCCCAGCCATTGGGTATCACAAGTATGTTTCTTTTCTTCTTCTTCTTCTTTTTTTTTTTTTTTGAGACAAAGTTTCACTTTGTTACCCAGGCTGGAGTGCAGTGGCATGATCTTGTCTCACTGCAACTTTTGTCCCTTGGGTTTAAGCGATTTTCCTACCTCAGCCTCCTGAGTAGCTGGGATTACAGGTGCACACCACCATGCCCAGGTAATTTTTGTGTTTTTAGTGGAAACAGGCTTTCACCATGTTGGCTGGGCTGGTCTTGAACTCCTGACCTCAAGTGATCCACCTGCCTCAGCCTCCCAAAGTGCTGGGATTACAGGCGTGAGCCACCTCGCCTGGCTCAAAAGTATATTTCTTTGACATATTTTGGAATGGCTCTGCAAAGCCATCTCTTGTGGGGGTAAATTCACATTCTGTAGAGAATCTCCTTTCCTTACTAGGTCTTTTCCTGATTGAAGGGAGATTTAACTGAGACTCTGACACCTTTTAAGATCCAAAAGCAGACATTTACCATCTATTCTCTCTGAAGCCTGCTACTTAGAGGTTTCGTGTACGTAACAAGAACCTTGGCTTCCACAACCTCTCTTATCTTAACTTAAGCATTTCTTTCTGACTTCAACTCTTTTTTTTCTGAGATGGAGTCTCACCCTGTCACCCAGGCTGGAGTGCAATGGCACAGTCTTGGCTCACTGCAACCTCCGCCTCCTGGGTTCAAGCGATTCTCCTGCCTCAGCCTCCTGAGTAGCTTGGATTGCAGGCGTGCACCACCATGCCCGGCTAATTTTTTGTATCTTTAGTAGAGATGGGGTTTCACCATGTTGGCCAGGCTGGTCTCAAACTCCTGACCTTGTGATCTCCCAAAGTACTGGGATTACAGGCGTGAGCCACCGCACCTGGCCTTCTGACTTCAACTCTTTAGGCAACACTTAACTCTTTCAACCAATGGCCAGTCAGAAAGTCTTTGAATCCAACCATGACCTGTAAGCATTTCCCCTTCAAATGACCTGCCTTCCTGGGCCAAACCAATGTGTACTTTCCATGTATTGATTTACGTTTTTGCCTGTAACTTCTGTCTCCCTAAAATATATAAAACCAAGCTATAACCCCACCACCTTGGGCACATGTTCTTAGAACCTCTTGGGACTGGGCCCCAGGTTATAATAATTCATATCTGGCTCAGAATAAACCTCTTTAAGTTACAGATTTTGACTATTTAAAATCAACACATGTAATGCCAGATCCAGTTCCATCTCCTTCATGGAGCCTTTTTATAATCCCAATCTATGCTGAGGCCCTCTGCTCTCATCCATTCATTCATTCACTGATGTGAGGGCCAAGGTCTGTGGCACTCCCTAAAGGTTCGCTGAAAAAAAATCACTGACCTGGGGGAGATTGAGTAATGGGAGAAAAGGCGTACAAATTTATTTAATGTGTATACACGGGAGCGTTCAGAATGAAGACTCAACCCAATAGTGAGGTACAAAAGTTTATATACCATCTTAGGGCTACAGAAAGAAAGGGGGTTTGGATCCTGGAGGTAGAAATAAATTATTAAGGCAGATAGTGAGGGCAACAGAGTCCTCAGCAGAGTGTCCCTTACAACAAAAAGCAGCCCCCAAAATCATTTCTAACAAAGAGCAGCCTAAGAAATTGAGCTGCAAACATGAACAAGGAAGCTGCAAGCTTGCACAGGGGAATGCCAGCAACTGTGCCAATAGAAAAGGGCTACCTGGGGGCCAGGCATGTCCAGCACGGAGGTTCCATCTTCCCTTTTTTTGGTTACCACATGTACAGTAAATGAATGGGCAACATGGTGCAGCTCAGGCAGAGGACCTGCCTGCATAATAAAAGATTAGGGCGGGGCTACCAGAAATTCGTGCCCTATGCAAATGGCACACCCAGTCTAACCAGTTTTTTGCACCCTATGTAAATCAGACGTCACCTCCTCACCAGCTCATCAATACACCCCCCTGCATTTCACTGCAGATCCAGCATTTTCTGGGAACCCCCCTCTGTAGCAAAGAGCTATTCTCTTTCTTTCGCTTACTATGCTTTCAATCTCAACCTTACTCTTTGTGTGTCTGCGTCCTTGTTCTCTGTGGCCATGGGACAAGGAACTTGGGGTGTTACTCCAGACAACCAGGCTGTTTCAGGGATAAAACAGATTATGGAAGAGGGTAGAAGTGGAATTCTTTGAGGGGATTACTAGGGAGAATAAATGGATCTGGGAACAGAGATTAACTTGTAAATACTTCTCTTTGACAGTGATAGGGTGGTTCAGGTGTGGTTACATTCTTGGTCTTACAGGGAGCGGAAGAAAAAACAATTGTTCTTCTTGATGGGCCTGGATCTTAGGCAGATAAAGGAACTTTTAACTCTTTGGAAGAGATGGTCGTGGTGGTTGGGGGAGGCCAGAGAGAACTTGAGACTTCTTTTTCAGTATGTCAATGTGATGTATTTTGGGGTATTTGGTTTCTGAGTACCAACACTGAACAAATTTGCTAGATGCTTATGCTATGTCAATCACCATGCTTAGTGAGAACCTCAGAGTAAATAAGGCAGGCTGGTCCTTGCCTTCATGGGACTGAGAGTGTTGAAGGAGTCCTAGACATGACACATATGAAAGTCACATCATAATAGATTCTTTAGTCCTCCTTGTAATCCTTGTTTATTAATTAGGGTAGTCTTTTTTGCAACCCATAAAATCCAGTTCTGGGATATGGGCCAAAACACATATTTCCTGGGAAGGCCCCGCGGCTCCTCACAGAACTGAAGGGAGAACCAGAACCCTGGCTTCCAGTTGGCGGCAAGAGAGAACCTCCAGGGATTTCAGCTGCAGAAACATTTAGACTTTCTCTTCAGGGCACCAAGTCTGCTTCAATAACTGCTACTTTCTGTATCCATGCCAAGTTTCAAGTCCCAGGAGAAAACTGGAATGTTTAAGCTTGAGTCAGGTGATTGCCTCTAGAAATGAGGCACCTCTCTGGATGCAGGCAGGGAGAGGTGGGTGTGGGGGCTGGGGCCATGGAGGGCCTTTCCCAGAGTGGGGAGATTGTGGTGTGGAGCCATTCTCCTGCAGATGCTGTGCCGTGCTGCCCAGATTTCTCCTTCAAGGATGGAGAACTTATATCCCCAGCTGCTGGGTGTGCTGTTGGCCGGGTGGGAGCCATCAGTGTTCAGCGGTGGCCTGGGAATGGCCTCTGCCCAAGGAGTCACTTTTGTCCCATGTCACGCTCCTGCTTGGGCATTCAATGAGTGGCAGGAATGTGTGGAGCTGTCTATAGGCCCAGCGTGGGACAGTTTTAAAGGGACATCCCAGCTTCAGAGCTTGCCACAGCAGGCCGCTCAGCTCCATCTGGCCGGTCCTGAGTCCTTCATTTTCCCAACAGGCGTTGGCCCTGAGAGCCCTCCCTGGTAAATTCCTGTGCTCCGATCTCCTCCCCAGAGTCGGCTTCCTGAGGAACCCAACCTGCAACACACCCCAGTGGAATCTGCAACACTTGTGATGCTCACATTTACACTCTTTTTTTTTTTTTTTTTTTTTAGAGACAGTATCTTGTTCTGTCACCCAGGCTAGAGTGCAGTGTTGCCATCATAACTCACTGCATGCAGCCTCGAACTCCTGGGCTCAAGTGATCCACTTGTCTCAGCCTTCCAAAGTGCTGGGATTACAGACAGGAGCCACCACGCCTGGTTCGCAGTTCTACATTTTATTATATATTATATGGCATCGTTTGTTAATTATTTCACATATTCCTTATGCTTCCTGTTATGGTCTGAATGTTTCTGTCTCCTCGAAACTCATATATTGAAATACTAACCCCCAAGGTGATAGTATTAGGATATTAGGAGGTGGTGCCTTTGGGAGGTGATTAGGTCATGGGAGTGGGGCCCTCATGAATGGTATGAGTGCCCTTATAAAAGAGACCCTGGAGAGCTTGCTGGCCCCTTCCCCTATGTGAGGACACAGTGAGAAGGCTCTGTCTATGAGCCAGGAAGAGGGCTCTCGCCAGACACTGAATCTGCCAGCACCTCAGTCTGGGACTCCCCCACCTCCAGAACCATGAGAAATAAATCTCTGGGCCAGTCGCAGTGGCTCACACCTGTAGTCCCAGCACTTCGGGAGGTGGGGGTAGGAGGATCACTTGACCCCAGGAATTTGAGGCCCACTTGGGCCACATAGCGAGAACTTTCTCTACAAAAAAGTAAAAAATTAGCCAAGTGTAGTGGTGCATATCTATAGTCCCAGCAACCCAGTAGGCTGAGGTGGGAGGATTACATGAGCCCAGGAGTTCAAGGCTGCAGTGAGCTGTGACTCAACCACTCTATTCCACTCTGGGCAACAGAGTGAAACCCCATCTCAAAATAAAAAAAGGAGAAGAAGAAGAAGAAATAGGCCAGGCTCAGTGACTCACACCTGCAATCCCAGCACTTTGGGAGGCCAAAGTGGAAGGATTACTTGAGCCTAGAAGTTTGAGATCAGCCTGGGCAATATGATAAGACCCCCATCACAACAAAAATTAAGAAGTTAGCTGAGTGTGGTAGCACGTGACTGTGATCCCAGCTACTTGGGAGGATGAGGAGGGTCATTGGCACCTGGGAGTTTGAGGCTGCAGTGAGCTGTGATTATGCCACTGCCCCCTAACCTGGGTGACAGAGTGAGACTCTTTGTCTCTAAATAAATAAATAACTAGGCCAGGTGCCGTGGCTCACTCCTGTAATTCCAGCACTTTGGGAGGCCGAGGTGGAAGAATCACTTGAGGTCAGGAGTTCAAGACCAGCCTGGCCAACATGGTGAAACCCCTGTCTCTACTAAAAATACAAAAATTAGCCAGGTATTGTGGCAGATGCCTGTAATCCCATCTAATCAGGAGGCTGAGGCAGGAGAATCGCTTGAACCCGGGAGGTGGAGGTTGTAGTGAGCCGAGATTGCGCCACTGCACTCCAGCCTGGGTGACAGAGTGAGACTGTCTCAAAAATAAAAATAAAAGTAAAAATAAAAATAAGTGGATAAATAAGTAAATACATGTCTGTTGTTTATAAATTATCCTGTCTATGGTATTTTGTTGTGGCAGCCTGAATGGGCTAAGGCACCTTCCAAGCTAGACTGCAGACTTTCTACATATAGAAACCTCAACTTCTCTGACATCTAGCCCTCAACCCTAGTTGTAGCAAGAGGCACATAGGTGTCACTCAGAATTATGTGTTTACTGATGGACTGTCTCCCCTTGAAGGACAAAGCTATGCTGAGTCTAACACAACAGAATGTTGCTGTTTTAGATGGATCAGAGATTTAATATAAGATCTCTCTCTCTTTTTTTTTTTTTTTTTTTTTTAGATGTAGTCTTGCTCTGTTGTCAGGCTGGAGTGCAGTGGCACGATCTCTGCTCACTGCAACCTCCGACTCCCTGGTTCAAGCTATTCTCCTGTCTCAGCCTCCTGAGTAGCTGGGATTACAGGAACGCACCACCACACCCAGCTAATTTTTGTATTTTCAGTACAGACGGGGTTACACCATGTTGGCCAGGATGGTCTCGATCTCCTGACCTCGTGATCCGCCTGCCTCAGCCTCCCAAAGTGCTGGGATTACAGGCATGAGCCACTGCACCCAGCCAAGACCTCTTTTAAAGGGGTTTCTAGTCAATAGATTTCTTTTTTCATTTGTTCTTTGGCTGGCTCATTGCTTTTAGAGACCAGAAACTACTGATTAAGGAGAGTAGACCTCTCTGCTATAACCTCTTTTTTCCATCTGCAGAACAGGTTTTCCTTGACTTCCATCTCTGGGGATGCAACCACAGAACCTTACAAAACATGTTTAAGTGCACGGTTTTAAGAGACGTTTGCATTCTTTATGAGTGCATGCATGTGTGGGGTTGGGGAGCTTTGCATGCCAGACTGTGACATCATATGTCTCCATGCCTATATTTGGAAGCCGGCTGGGTCCACAATAGCTGTGTGCTGAGAAGAATGGAAAGCTGATGATGGGCTCACAGGCTTTGATCTGTTAAATAAATATTTTTTCAAGAAGAGGAGCTTTAGGAATAAACCATTTCAGCCAGCACCTTTGTGATCATCCCAATTCTAAAACAGATGGAGATTCCTTGTACCTAGAGAAAGTTGAGTTTTAAACATTGAATAAAAATATGATTTTCTAGTTCTTGGCTCAGTCTCTTAATCACTTTTACCTCCACCGCATACAGAGCTGATGCTTGCAAAGGGAAGTTGTTACCCCCTACCCATTGGTTTCTGTCTGATTCTGATCAGGTAGTAATATTTCATAGAGCCGCCGCATGACACCAGCACATTTTCCCCACCCTGGACACATGTTTCCTTTCATTTTGGAAAAATTGTACTGTGAGCATAGCAAAGAGAATAACTTCTATGTCTTTCCTCTTATAAAGAATGTGCTTTTATAACATGTTTTTTAATTGATAAAGAGGTAAGGGTAATAAATGAGCATTTGATCCAAGTTTCAGCAAAGGACTCTTTATTGGAGTACAGACTCTAAAAGTTATTTTAGGCAAGTACCCAGAGGCAATTTTTAGAGCCACGAGGCTGAATTAGAAGATGATGATTCTGAATGAATTCTGCCACTCCTTAGACATAAATTACGTCTCCTTCCAAGTGGAGTGGCTAGTGGGCTAAGAGGACATATTTTAAAATAGTTGAATCCAAACATAAGCTGGATTTGCATTTTTTAAAGCCTATAGTTTGCTTTTCACATTTTCTCTCTTCCCCAGGGACTCTGGCATTGTATGGTCTATGCTGCTTTCTTACAAAGGTACCTTAGGTTCATTTTATGAGGTGTGGAATAGAGGACTAGCCTGGTGCTTGGACTGGCTGAACTTTCCATCCTGCTTTAAACAACCTGCTAAAAGTCAGTGTGATTTACAACAGTAGTTACAACTACCCTTTTACTTAGCCAGGGATATTCTCATGCTATCAAAAAATAGAGGCACATTTGGAACCACTGTCATTCCTATCCCTTGATTAATCATCTTGGTGATTCATTCATTAAACAAGTTTATGCAGCTAAGGGGCCTTCTTTGGTGAGGTAGGATGAAAGAGATCACTTGTCCTAGTTACATCCAGTACAATCTTTATTTTTTTATTTTTCTATTTTTTTAAATTTTATTTTCCATAAGTTATTGGGTTTTTTTTTTTTTTTTTTAGATGAAGTTTCGCTCTTGTTGTCCAGGCTGGAGTGCAATGGCATGATCTCAGCTCATGGTAACCTCCACGTCCCAGGTTCAAGCAATTCTCCTGCTTTGTCCTCCTGAGTAGCTGAGATTACAGACGCCCACCACCACGCAAGACTAATTTTTTGTATTTTTGGTAGAGATGGGGTTTCACCATGTTGGCCAGGCTGGTCTCAAACTCCTGGCCTCAAGCAATCCACCTGCCTCGGCTGCCCAAAGTGCTGGGATTACAGGCGTTAGCCATCACACCTGGCCACATCCAGTATAATTTTAAAGAGAGGGAGGGTCTACTGAACAGATACAAGGGGTGAAACCGCTTGATTATTTTCTCTTCTTCTTTTTTTTTTTTGAGACAGAGTCTTGCTCTGTTGCCCAGGCTGGAGTGCAATGGTGCGATCTCGGCTCACTGCAACCTCTGCCTCCCAGGTTCAAGCAATTCTCCTGCTTCAGCCTCCCTAGTAGCTGGGATTACAGGTGCCTGCCACCATGCCTGGCTAATTTTTGTATTTTTTAGTAGAGATTGGGTTTCATCATGTTGGTCAGGCTGGTCTCAAACTCCTGTCCTCAGGTGATCTGCCCGCTTCGGCCTCCCAAACTGCTGGGATTACAGGCGTGAGCCACCGTGCCTGGCCTGCTTGATTATTTTCATGAATTATTTCCATGTGTCCCAAGACCGTGTGGCAGGTGCTGGTGTCTGTAACATTCACTGGGGTCCTTTTCATGCCCGTGTTTTATGTTGTGTGAATCCATGCAGTTGAAATGAAAATTGCACACATACAAATACACACCCTATACCCCTCTACTCTCCAAAAAGACTCCTCAAATCTTTCTGAAAAATTAGGATGCCAGGTATGTATTTGTAAAAGGCCACCTGAGATGATCATCAGTACTGTTATTGAAGCTAGATGGGGTCTGCTTGCCTGACACGATAAGACCAGATATCCACACCGACGTTTGCAGTGGGAAGAAAGAAGGTGTTTATCTGCAGGTTACCAAGCAAGGAGGATCAGGCAGCTTATGCTTAAATCCTGACCTTGCAGGTAAGGGTTTTTTAAGGCAGGGGTGGCTGGGCTCAGTGGCTCACGCCTGTAATCCCAACACTTTGGGAGGCTGAGGCAGGTGGATCACTTGAGGCCAGGAGTTTGAGACCAGCCTGGGCAACATGGCAAAACCCCGTCTGTACTAAAAATACAAAAATTAGCTTGGTGTGGTGGTGCATGCCTCTAATCCCAGCTACACGGGTGGCTGAGGCAGGAGAATAGCTTGAACCTAGGAGGCAGAGGCTGCAGTGAGTTGAGATGGTCCACTGCACTCCAGCCTGGGCAACAGAGGGAGACTCCATCTCAAAAAAAAACAAACAAAAAAAGATGTTATCTTTAGTTTCCATAGGGAAGCAGACATCCCATGATTCTAGCTTCCTTGGCTGTTGCTTTAAGTTACTATTCCCTTCTTCTTGCTTATCAAGTTGTTTATTTATTTCTCAGGGCTGGCTAGGCACCTGGAATTTCCCTTGAAGGAATTCAAGATTTTCTTTCTTTCCATGCTTGTGGAGGCCTGCAGGCCACTAACAGGAGTCTCTGTTCTATCTTAGTACTAATATCTTTTAAATTGCATGGTGCCTTTTTCTTATAGGAGCTCAAAAAGCTTCCTTCATATCTACTATGTGCTTGGAAACATAAAAACTCCTATTTTGTGTAGAGGTGAAAGCCACGTGCATATAAGCTTTTGAGACAGTGACACATATAAAAACGATGTGCACCCTTGGGATAACTTCCTGCTATAGATAGAAGATACGCTGCCTGGCCAGGAGCGGTGGCTCACACCTGTAATCCCAACGCTTTGGGAGGCCAAGGCCGGCGGATCATGAGGTCAGGAGTCCGAGACCAGCCTGGCCAACATGGTGAAACCCCGTCTCTACTAAAAATACAAAAATTAGCCCGGCATGGTGGTGGGTGCCTGTCATCCCAGCTGCTCGGGAGGCTGAGGCAGGAGAATCGCTTGAACCCAGGAGGCAGAGGTTGCAGTGAGCCGAAATTGTGCCATTGCACTCCAGCCTGGGCGACAAGAGCAAGACTCCATCTCAAAAAAAAAAAAAAAAAAGTATGCTGCCCATTATATGTAATTTTTTGCCAAAGCTGAGATTTCCTGCCTTTCTCAGACACCAAGACAGCTTGTTGAAATGCAAATAAGCAAGATGAGAGTAAAGTTACAGTTAGTTAGTAAAGTTAGGCTCTTCTCTCATTTATTTTTCTATTTTTACTTTTTTTTTTTTTTTTTTTTTTTTTTGAGAGGGAGTCTCGCTCTGTCACCCAGGCTGGAGTGCAGTGGCACGATCTTGGCTCACTGCAACCTCCGCCTCCCGGGTTCACGCCATTCTCCTGCCTCAGCCTCCTGAGTGGCTGGGACTACAGGTGCACGCCGCCATGCCTGGCTAATTTTTTGTATTTTTAGTAGAGATAGTAGAGACGGGGTTTCACCATTTTAGCCAGGATGGTCTCGATCTCCTGACCTGGTGATCCGCCCGTCTGGGCCTCCCAAAGTGCTGGGATTACAGGCATAAGCCACTGCGCCCAGCCTCATTTATTTTTTAAATAGGGAAATATTTAGAAAAAGTGCTAGAGACCTGGCCGGGCATGGTGGCTCACGCCTGTAATCCTAGCACTTTGGGAGGGCGAGGCGGGCAGATCACGAGGTCAGGAGATCGAGACCATCCTGGCTAACACGGTGAATCTCCGTCTCTACTAAAAATACAAAAAAATTCCCCTAGGGTGGTGGTGGGCGCCTGTAGTCCCAGCTGCTGGGGAGGCTGAGGCGGGAGAATGGCGTGAACCCGGGAGGCGGAGGTTGCAGTGAGCCGAGGTCGCGCCACTGCACTCCAGCCTGGGCGACAGAACGAGACTCCGTTTCAAAAAAAAAAAAAAAAAAAAAGAAAAAGTGTTAGAGACCAACTCCTTGAGTGTCAGAGCCTTCTAGTTGAGAACTTTTATAGTTGCCCAACAGGTTCCTTGCCTGTTTCCCAGATAGAGCCAATGTATTAAGACAGGGGAATTGCAATAGAGAAAGAGTTTAATTCACACAGAGCTGGTTAAGTGGAAGACTGGAGTTTTATTACTCAAATCAGTCTCCCTGAAAATTTGGAGACTGTGGTTTTTAAGGATAATTTGGCAGGGAGGGGACCAGGGAGTGGGGAGTGCTAATTGGTTGGTTTGGAGATAAAAATCATAGGGGTTTGAAGTGGGTTCTTCTTGCTGCCTTGTGTTCCTAGGTGGCATTGGAGAACTGGTTGAGCCAGATTACTGGTCTGGGTAGTGCCAGTTGGTGCATGAGAATGCAGGGCCTAGAAAACACCTTAAGCACCAATCTTAGGTTTTGCAATAGTGATGTTATCCCTAGGAGCAATTGGGGAGGTTCGGAATCTTGTGGCTGGACGACTCTTTTTTTTTTTTTTTTTTTTTTTTTTTTTTTTTTTAGAAGACAAGGTTCTTTGTTTATTGGGCTAAACAGGGCAATAAATTGTGGCTTGTACCTCACTTCTTAGATCTGCTTCTAGAATAAGGAGTTTATTGACAGTTATCACCACATGGGCAGAGGTTTTGCAAAAATGAAGGGCTAAATCTTTTAGTAAACATTTTCTTAATTTTTAATCTGACATAAAAAGTTGAAGAAGTAATCTAAAAAATATAAGGTTCGAGGAATAGTGGTTCTTCCTAGAGACTATAAGGAGCCATAATCCAAATGATAGTGAAAAACGGGTTTCAATTTCCATTTAAAATGCTGTAAGATACACAGCTTTGATAATTATATTTTTCTAATTGTAACATTTTGAATTTCATTTCAATGAAATCTGCTGTCCTAAGACAAGTATGAGCAATTAATCCTAGGTCTCCACACCTTAAGACACACCATGTAATCACTGACCCATTATTCCTTGTGGTGTTACTAGGTCGGACCAATCCTTGATCTCCCCAAATTTCACCTTAATGAGGCTGACACTTTTCAGCTTATCGACTGGCAGCCCCTTTAGGTATTCTAGACGGCTAAAGAAGAAATGTTTGGCACAGCTCCAGCCTTGAGAGCTTCTGCAATGAGCCTGCGACCTTCCAGCAGTATCTACCCTTGTTTTTCCTGAAATGGCCTGGACTTTACTATTGTCATTACACCGCTCAGCCTCCTGTCCCCGGGAAAAACGTTATTGTAGCGAAGTCCAGACTCTTCCCAGGTGCTGGGAGTGTGGGATGGGGACACCTCAAGCGGCTGTGTCTCTCGTAGCTCATGGGCACTGGCCTCAGATGCTGCCTTGCCGGGCTGCTTCCCGGGAGCGCGCTTCCGTTCCCCCACCTCTCCGGAAGGAAACGCCACTTTCACTGGGCTCCGCCGCAGCGCCCAGACCCTGGGCCTTGTGTCAAGGTTCCAAGTCTGGACCACCTGCAGCAACGGTGGCACAACAAACTGCGCGGGTTTCACCAGCGTCACCATCTTCCCTGAGACCCGGCTGCTTGGCTCTTAAACTAAACCATAATTTATAATCTTGTGGCTAATTTTTTAGTCTCACAAAAGGAGTCTGGTCCCCAGGCAAGAAGCGGATTTGTTTCAGGAAAGGTCAGTTATCGCCTTAGTTTCAAAGTTAAACTCTAAACTAAATTCCTCCCAAAGTTAGTTTGGCCTACGACCAGAAATGAACAGGGATAGCTTGGGGTTGGTCAAGTCAGGTCTCTTTCACTGTCATAATTTTCTTTTCTTTTTTTTAATTTTTTTGAGACAGAGTCTCGCTCTGTCACCCAGGCTGGAGTGCAGTGGCGCGATCTCGGCTCACTGCAAGCTCCGCCTCCCGGGTTCACGCCATTCTCCTGCCTCAGCCTCCCGAGTAGCTGGGACTACAGGCACCCGCCACCATGCCCGGCTAATTTTTCGTATTTTTAATAGAGACGGGGTTTCACCGTGTTAGCCAGGATGGTCTCGATCTCCTGACCTGGTGATCTGCCCGTCTCAGCCTCCCAAAATGCTAGGATTACAGGCGTGAGCCACCACATCCGGCCATAATTTTCTCACTGTTATAATTTTTACTTTGCTCTGTTTCACTTGGCTCTGTTAACAGAAAAACCAGACTCTTAAATATTTTAAAGAGGTTTATTGTGAACCAATAGGAGTGACTGTGGCCTGGGGAAGACACAACCCAAGAAGCCTTGAGTATGTGGTCCTGGGACAACTGAATTACAGTTTGGTTTACACATTTCAGAGATGTAGGAGTTACAGGCAAAGCCATACATCAATACATGAAAGGCATACATTGGTTGAGCCCCAAAAGACAGGATATCTTGAAGGAGGGGTCTTAGAGGTTATAGGCGAATTCAGAGATTCTTCTTCTTCTTCTTCTTTTTTTTTTTTTTTTTGAGATAGGGTCTCACTCTGTCACCCAGGCTGGAGTGCAGTGGCGCCATCACGGCTCACTGTAACCTCCGCCTCCCTTGCTCAAGCAATCCTCCTGCCTGAGCCTCCTCAGAAGCTGGGATTACAGTCACGTGCCACCATAGCTGTCTGATTTTTTGTATTTTTTTGTAGAGATGGTGTTTTGCCATGTTGTCCAGGCTGGTCTCAAACTCCTGACCTCAAGCGATCCAACCCCCTCAGCCTCCCAAAGTGCAAGGATTACAGGCATGAGCCACTGTGCCTGGCCCAGAGATTATTTAATTTGCAATTAGTTAAAGGAATAAGGCTCTGCCTAAAACTTGGAGCTGGCAGAAAGAAATGCTTAAGATGAGGGTGCTGTGTCAGAATCAGCCACAATATCCTGGGTCAAAAATGACCTGTTTAGGGCCAGGCACGGTGGCTCATGCCTGTAATCCCAGCACTTTAGGTGGCCAAGGAAGGTGAATTGTTTGAGCTCAGGAGTTGAGACCAGCCTGGGCAACATGACAAAACCCCACCTCTGCAAAGAAATGCAAAAACTAGCCAGGTGTTGTGGTGTACACTTGTAGTCACAGCACTTGGGAGGCTGAGGTGGAAGAATTGATTGGGCCTGGGAGGTGGAGACTGCAGTGAGCTGAGATTGCGCCACTGCACTCCAGCCTGGATGATGGAGTGAGACTCGGTCTCAAAAAAATAAAAAATGACCTGTTTAGCAAGATTGATGGACTGCAGATGAGACTTCACCCTTGCCTTTCATTGCCTTAAGTTCTGTTTATAATTTGGTATCTTATTGGCCACAAAGAGTCTATTCTGTTAGTCTTAAGATCTCTATTTTAACATTAATGCTGGGTAGTTGTTGCATCTAAGCTCCAAAAAGGAAGGAGTATAATAAAGCATGTTAGATCTCTCACCCAGTCATGGCCAGTAACCCAGCTTCTAAGGCTTCTATGGAGTCTCCTTGACTAAGAAGGGGTCCATTTACAGCTTCAACTAGACCAGTATGACTGGGGCAATCAATTTTTGTGGTATGGAATTTTTATCATGTAACAAGGACTCACATACTATTAAGGGCTGGCCTGTTCTTTGTTTCCAAAGATCAAAACAGTTCCTAGTCCTAGCAAAAACTAGTTTTTTTTTTTTTTTTTTTTTTTAGACAGAGTATCACTCTATTGTCCAGGCTGGAGTGTAGTGGAGTGATCTCGGCTCACTGCAACCTCGATCTCCCGGGCTTAAGTGATTCTCCCACCTCAGCCTCTCGAGTAGCTGGGACCACAGGTGCCTGCCACCATGCTCGGCTAATTTTTGTATTTTTTTGTACAGACAGGGTTTTGCCATATTGCCCGGGCTGGTCTTGAACTCTTGAGCTCAAGTGATCCACCCACCTCAGCCTCCCAAAGTACTGGGATTACAGGTGTGAACCACTGTGCCTGGCCCACAAAAACTAGTTATTGATTTAATGATAATGTGTCTGTTGTTCATCCTTCACCTGTAGCAAAATTTCAGAGAAGGGAGCTGAGACCTTATTTAAGGATGGCATGCAAATTTTTGAAGTATTCCATGTTTTTTAGCCAGACTAGATATGTAACATGCTATAGATAGATTCTATACCCTCCTCCCACCATGCCCATTAGAAAAAACGTTTCAGCCTACTAGACTGCTCTTCCTGCTCTGCCTGCTGAAACCCTAAGATGCATCTCACCTGCCTGTGCTCTGATTCAGGCTTCTGTGATCACTTCACCCACGGATTGACCTCTTCTCTGAAACTTTGTTGCATTTTAATCATAGTTTTGTGGCATTTCATTTAGCATGTCCTCTTCTGTACTATTGCTATTTGTGTTTGTGTTCTAATAGATTATATCTGAAGAGGATCAGCATATGCCACATCAAAATATGCCTTTTTTATTTTTCTTTTAAGACGGAGTCTCACCCTGTTGCCCAAGGTGGAGTGCAGTGGCGTGATCTTGGCTCACTGCAACCTCTGTCTCCAGGGTTCAAGCACTTCTCCTGCCTCAGCCTCCTGAGTAGCTGGGATTACAGGCATGTGCCACCACGCCCAGTTAATTTTTGTATTTTTAGGAGAGATGGGTTTTCACCAGGCTGGTCTCAAATTCCTGACTTCAAGTGATCTGCCCACCTTGGCCTCCCAAAGTGCTGGGATTATAGGCGTGAGCCACCGTGCCTGGCCCAAAAGTTATTTTGAGCTGAAGGCATTTGAATTCCTGAAATCCTTTATTTGCCAAAAATCAGAGCCTCCCCAAAGAACCCAACTGTCATAAATCCCCTCCCCAGGAGCAACACTGATTTTTCCTTCTCAGAGAAGAGAGAAGTCAGCATCACACCCCAATAGACATCCTCACAAGGCTATCATATCGCCTATCTATTCCCCTATGAATCTATCAGTCTTTCAAAAAAAAGTCCTTTGTGTTTCCCTAGGTGCTTTTTCTCCCCATCTTCTAAGAAGTAAGTTGTTCTCCCAGAAGTGCCTCACTGCTCCCCCACATTTCCCATTCAGATGGCATATAAGCCCCCAATTCTGCTTCCTTCAGTCACATTTTTCTGTGAACTCCCAGGTATGTATGTATGTGAATAAAAATCTGTCTTTTCTCTTGTTGATCTGTCTTTTGTCAGGTTAATTTGCAGGCCCCTAGGTACTGAACCTAAGAGAGTGAAGAAAAAATGTTTTCTCCTTGACATAACTTCCCTGTTGGAGAAAGAGGAGGTAGTATATCTAGTATGTATGTTTGGACGGACAGACAGACCTGAGTGTTTTAAAATTCTTGCATTACCTGTCTCTACCAAAAAAAAAAAAAAAAGAAAAAAAAAGAAAAATATAGCCAGTCATGGTGGCACACACCTGTAGTCCTAGCTACTTGGAGGGCTGAGGCAGGAGGATCCCTCAAGCCCAGGAATTTGATGGTGCATGAGCCATATTGTGCTACTGCACTCCAGCCTGGGTGGCAGAGCAAGACCCTGTCTTTAAAAAAACAAAAAATAATAAATAAATAAATACATTCTTGCATTGCCAGTTTTCTTGGACAAATTACTCAGCCTGTCTGAATCTCCTTCACTTCCTCTATAAAATGGGGATAGTAACTTTACTTCTCAGGGTTGTCGCGGGAGTTAAATCAGATAGTGTATATAGGCCGGGCGTGGTGGCTCACACCTGTAATCCCAGAACTTTGGGAGGCTGAGTCGAGCGGATCACTTGAGGTCAGGAGTTCGAGACTAGCCTGGCCAACATGGTGAAACCCCGTCTTTACTAAAAATACAAAAATTAGCTGGGTACGGTGACAGGCGCCAGTAATCCCAGCTACTTGGGAGGCTGAGGTGGGAGAATCGCTTGAACCCGGGAGGCAGACAGAAGTTGCAGTGAGCCAAGATCGTACCACTGCACTCCAGCTTGGGCAACAGAGCGAGACTCTGTCTCAAAAACAAAAAGTTTTGGTTTTATCTCCTCTACTAGATCCCAAGTTTCTTGAATTTAGGGACTTTTCTATATGTGTGTATTTCCTACAGGGTATAAAGTAACTGATTAATAAATATTTGCTCAGTGAATGAATGATTCTTTTGCTATATTTTGCCCTGCATGTACTAAACTCATTAGCTAATTTATTTTGTGTTGGAGAAACCTGGCTTAGTTTTTATTTTTATTTTTATTTTTTTTGAGACAGGGTCTCACTTTGTCACCCAGGCTGGAGTGCAGTGGTGCTATCATGACTCACTGCAGTCTCGACCTTCCCAGGCTCAGGTGATCCTCCCACCACAGCCTCCTGAGTAGCTGGTACGACAGCACCCGCCACCATGACTGGCTAATTTTTGTATTTTTAGTAGAGACGGGGTTTCACCATGTTGCCCAGGCTTGTCTCGAACTCCTGGGCTCAAGCGATACACCCACCTGGGCCTCCCAAAGTGCTGGGATTACAGGCACGAGCCACTGTGCCCGGCCCTGGCTTAGCTGCTTAATAACTGCTCCTGACAGCAAGGGAGGCATAGCTACCTTTACTGAGGTAAAAATCTGCCCTTAACAGGAAATCATTAGTAGAGGCAGCAATGGAATTCGGGAGCACAGGCCAACAGTTACATACATTTAATCTCACTTTTTATGAATGTGAATTGCTAAGGGCATTGGATAGGATGGCGGAAAAAGCTCAAACTGCAGACCATTCCAGGCAGCGGCATTAGTGGGGACATGTTGGGCTCAGATCAGGAATTAGTGACAGAAAAGATACAAAAGGTTATCTAGCCTCTCCCCCTTCGGGCGCAACCACGGGGCTTCTGGGGGTTTCGTGCTTTTTATGTTTCAGAATAGGAATGGGATGAGAAAGAAGAGAACTTATAGGGTGAATTTGCATGAGAATAGGGAACTGGAGAGAAGAGTAATGTCAGAGAAATTTATACGTCCTCTAAAGGCCACTGGGGTGTGTGAGAAGTATTAAGCAGAAACAGAGAGAAGAACAAAGAGGCGACCAAAATAATTGTCCATGTACTACATCCTTTTTTTTTCTGATCTAGAAAAATGACAGATTCCTCCTTAACAGTTGGCTGCCCGGGAAAACCTTTGATTTAATCCATCTCCCTTTTCTTCTAGAGTACTCGCTGAAAAGTATTTCTAAGTAATTGTTACACGCAACACACTCGTGTCGCTTATTAAGGGAGCACGCCATAGGGCAGGGGATAATCCTTACCTGGTCCATCCCCTCGGGGCACCAGAATCTGGACTCTCATTGTCAGTTAAGGTTTTCCTCTGAATATGGCTGTAACAATACCTGGAGGGGTTCATTAGCTTGCCACTTTACAGAGATAATAAAGGCATTAATTAAGAATGCCAAAACCCACACGTGCAAGGAGACCTAGATCCAATTTACTGTGCACTGAATGTAAGCACCATTTTCTATATAACAGCTACAAATACCTTCCAGGGTGGTTCTGCTATTAATTTATAATCCGTCTCTGCTGGGGACTTGGCGAAACCTTTAGCCGTGTGTGCCCGAGGGAAGGGTCTTCGCTGTGTGTGTATTCTCCTCTTTTGTTAGTCAGGGCCTGTGTTTTGTCCACTGACCTTTTCAGAATGTCCCAGGCTGCTCTTACCCTGCACCAGTTCGTACTGGAATGGTGGCTTCATCCTATCAGGACCCTTTCTTTTTCTACTACGAATTGAGCATCTCATACTGCAGGCGTTCTTAGTCTGGGGAAATACCCGAGGTTTGTCGTCTTGTGCTAAGGAAATTAAAGATGCAGACACACACAAGGAGTGGGTTTAAGAGCAGAAGTATAATAGTTGAAGGAAATAAGAGAGAGCGTCCTCGTGCAGAAGAAGGGGGCCCGAGAGGGTTTCTGGGTTTGGGGGTGAGATGCGGGTGGTTTTATAGAGGAGCTTGAGGAGGAGGTGTCTGATCTACGTAGAACGCAGTGGATTGGCTGGGCCAGTAGTTTCATTTACATAGGCGCGAGGTGGCTGGCCATCCCACCGTAATTTTATACTATGCAGATGGGGTCTTTACCTGGCCAGTGTGCCATGACACCTGCACACGTGGCAAAAAAAGGAAAGGGAAGAGGAAACCTGCATGTTGAGTATACCCCACTTTCAGGTATCCCTTTTCTATGGGCACAGCTGTCGGCATTTACCTATGCAAGCCTCCAGCTTGCTTATTTATGCTTGCAGCTTGAGTTTTTAGGCTGCTTTTTGTCAGAAAAGAAATAATTTGGGGGCTGCTTTTTTTTTTTGAGATGGAGTCTCGCCCCGTCGCCCCCAGGCTGGAGTGCAGTGGCACAATCTCAGCTTACTGCAACCTCTGCCTCTCTGGTTCAAGTGATTGTCCTGCCTCAGCCTCCCAAATAGTTGGGACTACAGGTGTGCACCACCACGCCTGGCTAATTTTTGTATTTTCGGTAGAGACGGGGTTTCGCCATGTTGGCCAGGCTGGTCTCAAATTTCTGACCTCAGGTGATCTGTCTGCCTCAGCCTCCCGAAGTGCTGGGATTACAGGCGTGAGCCACTGTGTCTGGCCTCTAAATGTTTCTTGTTAGACTTAAAGAGTTTGTTTGTCAGTCTTAGGGTCTGTGTTGATGTTAATGCTAGTCAGCTGGGCCTGAATTTCAAAAGGGAGGAGGCTATGATGAGGCATGTTGGACTCCCCCTTCCCATCATGGCCTGAACTAGTTTTTCAGGTTAATTTTGGAATGCCCTTGGCCAAGAGAATGGGTCCATTCAGATAGCTGGAGGAGGTTTAGAATTTTATTTTTGGTTTACGGGGGAACCCAGCAAGGCCTGTGTGTTCAGATTCTTCTTGGACTCTCTGTAGCATTCCTTCCTCCCGGGTACAGGGCAGGACCCCTCTGGAATGTGGGTCTTATGACCCACAATCACACAAGGTAGGTCAAAAAATTTCTTTGTGGCCAGCTCCTACATGAAAAGCGGGATAGAGTTAGAGTAATATTTCTAGGTTTTATGTCTCACTTTGGGGAAAACGAGATCTAGTTTCTACGACTTGCCTTGGGGAAGAAGAATTCTAGTTTCTATGATTTGCTTTGAAGGAGAAAGAAGGGTGGGAGACAGGAAGATGGCAGAAGGTCAGAAAGACCTTGAAACCATCCCAACAGGGTTGACAAGGATTGCATACTAGATTACGGACAGAAACACAGTCATAATTAAGCACTCACCAGGCTGTGCTCTGATTCACTTCCTTGTTGCTAAAAATCACGTAGCACTAGTTACTGACTGTTTGCATCCCTGTTGTCCCTATAGACAGGATCTCTGACATTAGGGTCATAAGACTAAGCACTGATTTGTATCTTCATTGTTTCTAGTTCCTATAGACTGGATCTCTGACATTAGAATCATAAGCTTTTTGTTTTAGGATCACTTAAGATGTTTTTAGACCTGGAATTCCAGCAACCAGTTTGGAGACCCCTACAGGGGAATGAGATGAGTGTGACGATACAACTTCTTCATTTCCCTGTCCCGCGACTTCACCCTGCACTCTTCCACCAGTCAATGATCTCTATGCTTCAGCCCACTCCAAAACTCTTGAAAACTCTACCTCCAAACTCCTCAGGAGGACAGATTTGAGGTTTCCTCCTGTCTCCTAGTTCTATGACCCTACTATTAAATCTCTTTCTCTGCTGCAATCTGGTGTCTTGGTGTATTGATTTGCTTTGTGTATTGGGCAACAAACCTATCATGGTTACAGCCTTGATTCTGAGGCTGCTTCTGAGGCTTTCCAAACTTTTAGTTCAAAGTACTCAGCATGCCAAAACACTATACTTTGTGGATATCCTTTTCTGAGCCCCAAAAAGAGCTTTTGATCAGTGGTTGTTGAGAGAGTGTCTCTTTCACAGTGGGGCACAGAGGAGAACGCCATATACTTGCTTATTTTGGCAGAAAGAGAAACTTCCAGTCTGAGTTGGACTTGAAGAAATTTTCCTTTAGGCAAATTCCTGGATACTGTTATAAATTGATTTAACTTTAACTGCAGTCACTTAAGAGTTCTTCTGTTTCATCATTTTATGCTCATAATTTTTATAATCTTATTATAGTTTTTGAAGAGGAAGGGGCATTTAAAAAGACCACGTGAAATAAAAAATTGGGGGGAATTATCCAGCTAATTCAGGACAAAAATCATGTGCATTGCAATATAAGGCAACATTGAATATAATGCTACTTATATTTCCCCAATGACACCATTTGTTTTTTGCCAACTTGAATATACACTTTTAGAGATACAGAGGAAAATAGTGTAAGATCTACTCTTAATATTTAAATTTTTTTTTTTTTCAGATGAAGTCTCACTCTGTTGCCCAGGCTGGAGTGCTATGGTGTAATCTCGGCTCACTGCAACCTCCGCCTCTTGGGTTCAAGCGATTCTCCTGCCTCAGCCTCCTGAGTAGCTGGGATTACAGGCGCGTGCCACCATGGCCATTTAATTTTTATATTTTTAGTAGAGACAGGGTTTCATGTTGGCCAAGCTGGTCTCGAACTCCTGACCTCAGGCGATCCGCTCGCCTTGGCCTCCCAAAGTGCTGGGATTACAGGTGTGAACCATCGTGCCTGGCCAATATTTAATTATTAATTTAATTACATATGTACATTGTAATTAAAAAAATGTTTTTCTTTTCTTTTTAGAGAAGAGGTCTTGCTATATTGCTCAGGCTGGTCTTGAACTCCTGGGCTTAAGCAATCTGCCAGCCTCAGCCACCCAAAATGCTGGGATTACAGGTGTGAGCCTGCACCTGGCCTAAATTGTAATTTTTGATGTCAAATGTAAAATGCATTACTTTAAAAATATGAGATGACAACACTTTGGTAGGCTGAGGCGGGCAGATCACCTAAGGTCAGAAGTTTGAGACCAGCCTGGCCAACATGGTGAAACCCTGTGTCTACTAAAAATCAAAGAAATTTAGCCAAGTGTGGTGGTGCATGCTTGTAGTCCCAGGTACCTGGAAGGCTGAGGCAGGAGAATCACTTGAACCCGGGGGTAGAAGTTGCAGTGACTGGAGATCATGCCAGTGCATTCCAGCCTAGGTGACAGCGTGAGACTTCATCTCAAAAAGAAAAAAATATGGGATAGAAAAATTTTAATTCATACTCATACATACATCTTTGGCATCTGTTTCTTTCATCATTACCATGGTAGGGGAGAACAAAATAATATCTTTTCTTCTTGCATTGTAAGGTTCATTGCTGAAATCCCTATAACAAAAGACAGATTAACAAGAGAAAAGCATATAAATTTATTAATAGAAGTTTTATGTGACACAGGAGCCTTCACAAATGAAGAGCCAAAGAAACAGAGGAAACTTTTTTTTTTTTTTTTTGAGTTGGAGTCTCGCTCTGTCACCCAGGCTGGAGTGCAGTGGTGTGATCTCGACCCACCACAACCTCTGCCTCCCAGGTTCAAGCAATTCTCCTGCCTCAGCCTCCTGAGTAGCTGGGATTACAGGCATGTGCCACCACGCCCGGCTAATTTTTGTATTTTTAGTAGAGACAGGGTTTCACTATGTTGGCCAGGCTGGTCTCAAATTCCTGACCTCATGATCTGCCCACCTCGGCCTCCCGAAGTGCTGGGATTACAGGCGTGAGCCACCGCGCCCGGCCCAGAGGAAACTGTTTTTATGTCTAGGTTCAGTGAAGAGTGGACAGTCATAGGGAAGTATGGTTGGACAGAGGGGCTGTGATCTGATGATAGTAAATTGGCAGGAACTTAGCAAGCCTGTTCAGATTCTTCTTGGCCCTCCCTTGTCTCCCAGGATAAGGATGTTCCTTTCCTCCAGCAATAGGAAGGATTCCTCTGAAATGATGTTTTTATGACGTGTTCTAGGGGAGAAGGGCAAGAGGAAGGTGAGAGGAGGCTTCTTGCTTCTGCTGTTTTCTCCAGTGCCAACGTGTCATATTTTGGGGCAGCATGTTCTGAACTCCATCACCAGACTCACAGTTTTTCTGAACACTTTGTATTTGTGTTTAAATTATTTGAGATACAGCACTTTCTGAATCTATGAATGATGTGGTCACTGAAATTCTACCCCAAGTCACAAGTAGCCATTCATGTAATGTTAAGGCCAATGGGTTTTTTATTTCTCCTTATTGGCTTCCTGACTCATCTGTGCTCTTCACAGCCTAATTACATTTGGTGATTTTGGAAAGGCTTGATTAAAATGACACCCTGCACTTACAATTTTCATACCTCCAGATATGGTTAATGAATAACAATATGCCCTTTAAATAGTCAACTTCATTAGATTATAAGCATCCAAGCTAGTATTAAGTTAGGCTAATATGTCTTCCTCAAACCATATTTTGTAGTTCAAAATAAAATAATGGAGAGAGTACTTTACAGTATGAAAGACTTTGTAAGGACTAAAATATAAGATTTTCCCTCTTTTGGCCAGGCGCGGTGGCTCACACCTATAATCCCAGCACTTTGGGAGGCCGAGGTGGGAGGATCACCTGAGGTCAGGAATTCGAGACCCGCGTGACCAACATGGAGAAACCCCGTCTCTACTAAAAATCCAAAAAATAATTAACCAGGCCATGGTGGCGCATGCCTGTAATCCCAGCTACTCGGGAGGCTGAAGCAGGAGAATTGCTTGAACCTGGGAGGCAGAGGTTGCGGTGAGCCGAGATCGCACCATTGCACTCCAGCCTGGGCAACAAGAGCAAAACTCTGTCTCAAAAAAAAAAAAAAAAAAGGATTTTCTGGGGGTTGATTTTGGAAACACCCAGCACTGAATTTGAGCATAACAAGCATTTCCTCCTGGGTAATTTGAGGAATTCCCTGTAATCTAGATTGTTGTCTTCAATAATCAAGTCGTTAGATTGTTCTTTAGCTCTCAGCCTTACCTTAAGCAACCATTAACCAGCAAATATTTAATGTGCCAACTGTAATCCCAGTACTTTGGGAGGCCAAGGTGGGTGGATCACTTGAGGTCAGGAGTTCGAGATCAGCCTGGCCAATGCGGTGAAACCCCATCTCTACTAAAAATACAAAAATAAGCTGGGCATGGTGATGGGAGCCTGTAATCCCAGCTACTCAGGAGGCTGAGGCCGGATAATTGCTTGAGCCAGGGAGATGGAGGTTGCAGTGAGCTGAGATCATGCCACTACACTCCAGCCTGGGTGACAAAAAAAAAAAAAAAAAAAAAGTAAACTATTTAGTGAGTGATTTTTCAAAAAAGTATTTGTAACTTGATAAACATTGATAAACATTTGTAACCTGCAAAAGATGAATTTGAAACTAGTGAGAATTTGCACTCTCTAATTGTTGCCTCCCCTACCCATTCTTTCTCATTTTCCGAATCTTACCACTTCCTAACACTCATGTTACAAAAGATGTACTGGGCGTGGCGGCTCACGCCTGTAATCCCAGCACTTTGGGAGGCCGAGGAGGGTGGATCACGAGGTCAGGAGCTCAAGACCAGCCAATATGGTGAAAGCTTGTCTTTACTAAAACTACAAAAATTAGCCAGACGTGGGGCCGGGTGTAGTGGCTTACACCTGTAATCCCAGCACTTTGGGAGGCCGAGGCGGGCAGATCATGAGGTCAGGAGTTAGATACCAGCCTGGCCAACATAATGAAACCCTGTCTCTACTGAAAACAATACAAAAAATTAGCCGGGCGTGGTGGCAGGCACCTGTAATCCCAGCTACTCAGGAGGCTGAGGCAGGAGAATCGCTTGAACCCGGGAGGTGGTGGTTGCAGTGAGCGGAGATTGTGCCAGTGCCCTCCAGCCTGGGTGACAGTGCAAGACTCCTTCTCAAAAAAAAAAAGCAGAAAAAAAAATTAGCCAGATATGGTGGCCAGCTATTCAGGATGCTGAGGCAGGAGAATTGCTTGAACCTGGGTGGCAGAGGTTGCAGTGAGCCGAGATTGTGCCATTGCACTCCAGCCTGGGCAACAGAGTGAGACTCCGTCTCAAACACACACACAAACAAACAAAGATGTAACGAAATATAGGACTTAGTCCCTGAACTTTCATTCTGAGCTAAGTCCCATACTTCATTGATTCCAAGACTTACTCCCTCCCACCCCTTCCCCTATTTGAACTTCTCTGAAATCAAGATACATAGTTACAATTGATGGCATCTTACAATTCTGTTGGCCAGGTCATAGTTGTGATATGGTTACAGGAATCTGGTCATAGCTATTTTTATTGTTGTCACTTTAATTGCGTTATATGCATTTAATTGCCATTTACAGTATCTTCACAATATCACAGCATGATTTGGCATTGAAACAAAAAGCTATTGTATTTGTAGAAATGCATGGAAAAAATCCAGTGTGAGATGTAATGAAAATGTTTGATTAAATAAATCTAAAATTCCTCTTTTCATAAGTATAGAAAGATTCTAAGCAGTAAGAAAGCATTGTTGTCAGAGTTTAACTGGCATCATTTTTGTTTTTTTAGTGGTATATAACGGAGTATCTAAAAATCAGTGGCATCTTAGATTCAATGAAATATGGTAGTATTTGCATTGGATTGGAAAGTTGAATCTCATGTCCTTGGTAAAGTTCTTGCTGTGATGTGCTTAATGTCTTCCTAGCATCTAAGATCACATTTAAAGGAAATTATCTGCAATCTGTTTATTACACACTTTGTCCAAGTTCAGACTGCAGTTCTTCAATCATACTTTACTTCAAAGTATCACAGGGGGAATTGAAAATCTGGTGAACATGTTGCAATGACAGGAAGTATTAAAACCATAAAGGTGCAGGCAGATTTGAGACTATAGGAACACCATAGCTAAATACGGTCCATATTGCAGTGTCTTCTCAAAAAAGAAGTCTTTTATGGCTTCATAAGGAATTGTTTAGAGACTTAAAAATAAAATTTGGGCCTCTCACTTACTGATCGGATGCACATTTGTTGAAAAACTACTACATGGAGGACTCAGTGTTCATTCATACCTAATATTTAGTGAGCCTGCTCTGTGCTAGTTATTGTGCTGGGTTCTAAGTATAAATAGTAAAAGGCTAGCCACAGTCTTCCTGGACCTTATTTTCTATTGGGGAAGACAGGTCAATGTGAGCAGAAGATATTTCTAAGTTTTATAGATTGTGTAGTCCATTTGTGCTGCTGCAACAAAATACAGCACAGACTGGGTAATTTATAAACAACAGAAGTTTGTGTCTCACAGTTCTGGAGGCTGGGAAGTCCAGGATCAAGGCGCCAGCAAGGCTAGTGTCTGGTGAGGGCTGCTCTTTGCTTCCAATATGGTGCCTTGTTTCTGCATCCTCCAGAGGGGATGAACACTGTCCTTACATGGCAGAAAGGACTGAAGGGCAAGAGGTTGCTCCCTTTAACCTCAACCCCTTTTCTAAGGATGCTAATACCATTCATGAGGGAGAGCCCTCAAGACTTAATCACGTTGCAAAGACCACACCTCTTAGATGCACTGGGAATTAAGTTTCAGCATAAATTTTGGAGGGGACATCATCATCCAAACAATAGCATAAATATTTCACTTTAATGAGTCTGAAAGCCTTCTTTGACCACTGCCCTGTACAGTCAACCATGAATGAGGAGACTCAGTCAAGGTCCTGGCAGGAAACACATGGCACATCCAAACTGGGTATTTTGCAGAGTTTTAATTAAAGGGACTATTTACAAAGCTGCGGGCAGGACGTAGGAAAACCACAAGGATCATATAGTACCTGGGGAGCCAATAATAGACATGGCTAGTGGGGTACGGTGGGTTGGAATTGGGGTGAGGGAGTGGGATCCCCTCTGTTAGGCCTGAAGAGAACCTGAAGCCTCAGTAGAAAAAGAGGAAAAAATCATGGAAACCAAGGAAAGAAAGTTTTTCTTTCTTTTCTTTCTGTTTCTTTTTTTAATTTTAATTTTAATTTTAATTTTTATTTGAGGTAGGGTCTTGCTCTGTTTTCCAGGCTGGGGTGCAGTGGTGCAATCACAGCTCACTGCAGCTTCAACCTCTGGGGCTCAAGCAATCCTCCCACCTCAGCCTCTCAAGTAGCTAGAACTACAGGCATGGTCCAACATGCCTGGCTAATTTTAGAATATTTTATACCGACAGAATCTTGCTGTGTTGCCAGGGCTGATCTTGAACTCCTGGGCTCAAACAATCCTCTAGCTTCAGCCTCCCAAAGTGCTGGAATTACCGGCATGAGCTACTGCACCTGGCAAAAAAATTTTTCAAGTGTTTAGAGCACTTTGATGTGGTTGAGAAAGAGAGCTCTGGATTCAAATGGGCCAAGGTTTTGGGGTTTCAATTTTAGTTCTTCTACTTATTAGTCCGTTGAGACTACTGACTCTCCCCAGTATCTATTTTCATCTTTTTCCTTTTAGTAAAATCACATCCTGGAGTTTTTGCTGACCACGTAGTTCCTCAGCTACAGACTACCCTGCCCAGCTAACTCTGGACATGTGACCACATTTGGACCAGTGGGGTGTGGGCAGAGGTAACTTGTGCAATTTCTGGGTCATCTTGTTAATTCTCCCCACCATTGTTTTTGGAGACAGGATCCTGCTGTGTCACTCAAGGTGGGGTACAACAGTATGATCATAGCTCTCTGCAGCCTCAATCTCCTGGGCTCAAGCGATCCTTCTGCCTCAGCCTCCCAAGTAGTTAGGACTACAGGTATGTGCTACCATGCCTGGCTAATATTTTTGTAGAGATGGGGGTCTTGGTGTGTTTCCCAGGCTGGTCTCAAACTCCTGGCCTGAAGTGATCCTCCTGCCTTAGCCTCCCAAAATATGGGGATTACAGGTGTGAGCCACTGCTCCTGGCCTAATTCCTGCTTCTAGTTCTCTCTTGCCCTTTCTGCTGGCGGGACAGTGGGATTAATTGGAGCCTGTTTGGAAGCCACATGTTGAGGAAAGCAGATCCACCTCTCACACTTCTGGGCTATATGACAAATAAACCTCTATCTTATTTAAACCACTGTACACATGGGCTTTTTGTTATAGCAGCTTAGTTGACCCTTTATCTAATACATTGTATTACCTTGGATAAATTATACAATGTTGCTAAGGCTTAGCTTCGTCTCTGTCTCTCTCTCTCTCTCTTTTTTTTTGAGTCAGGATCTCACCCTGTTGCCCAGGCTGGAGAGCAATAGCATGATCACAGCTCACTGCAGCTTTAATCTCCTGAGCTCAAATGATCCTCTTGTCTCAGCCTCCTGAGTAGCTGGGACTACAGGCACACACTATCATACCCGGCTGATTTTTAGATTTGTAAAATAGAGACAGTGTCTCCCTATGTTGCCCAGGATGGTCTTGAACTCCTGGTCTCAAGTGATCCTCCACCTCGGCCTCCCAAAGTGCTGAGATTACAGGCATGAGCCACTGTGCCCAGCCCTTACTTTCTCATTTCTAAAAACACAGCCAGAAAAAGACTTCCTTAGTAGATTATTGTAAAGTTGAAAGGAGCCAACGTGTATAAAGCTCTTAATACCATTCTTGGCTTTCAGAAAATAATAAATATTAGTAATGCTTATTTTCCCTTATTACCACATTTTCTCTATACTATATATATGTGTGTGTATATATATATGTGTGTGTGTATATATATAATATATATATATATAAAATATATATATATAAAATAGTCTGTCCTATGGTTCAACTTTGGTTTACTTAACCATTCCCCTTTTGTTGGACATCTAGGCAGAATTCAGTCTTTCACTGCTATAAAAAAAAAGTTACAAAGAGGGGGCCGGGTGCTGTGGCTCATGCCTGTAATCTCAGCACCTTGGGAGGCGGAGGCGGGTGCATCACGAGGTCAAGAGATTGAGACCATCCTGGCCAATACGGGGAAACCTCGTCTCTACTAAAAATACAAAAATTAGCCGGGTGTGATGGCAGGCGCCTTTAATCCCAGCTACTCAGGAGGCTGAAGCAGGAGAATCGCTTGAACCTGGGAGGTGGAGGTTGCGGTGAGTCGAGATCGTGCCGCTGCACTCCAGCCTGGCAACAGAGCGAGACTCTGTTTCAAAAAAAAAAGTTACAAAGAACATTTTTGTGCTTAAACAATTTATCAATATTATATATCTTTAGGCTATAGTCCCAGAAACAGAATGATTAGGTCAAAGTGTATGTTCTTGATTTTGTATGTATGTGTCCTATTGTAGAATACAGTTTTCTGCATTTAACGTTTTGTTTAATTATGGTAAAACCTATGAAATATTATTAGTTAATTTATTACGTATGTTTCTTAAATGTTTAATAAAGTGTTTAACTTAATGTTTTAAGAAAGGTTGAACTAGTTCTCCAATTATGAAAAATTTTCTTTTCCTTTTTGAGACAGGGTCTTGCTCTGTCCTTCAGGCTGGAGTACAGTGGCGTGATCATAGCACACTGCAGCCTTGGCCTACGAGGTGCGAGTGATCCTCCTGCCTCAGTCTCCCGCGTAGCTGGGATCACAGATGCGTGCCACCAGGACTGGCTAAGTTTTTGCATTTTTTGTAGAGATGGAGTCTCACTATGTTGTCCATGATGTCCAGGGAGTCTCAGACTCCCTGGGCTCAAGCAATCCTCCTGCCTTGGCCTACCAAAGTGCTGGGATTACAGCCATGAGCCACCACACCCAGTCTGGGATCTTTCCTATTCTCCAAGTTTATTTTCTTTTTTCATACAGAGTCATAAACCAGAGACAGGATTCAAGCTGTTGCTTAGATAACGATTTACCGTGTGCCATCAGTTTTGTTCTGGGTATCCTCCTTAGGAAGAGTCTGGAATTTCTGAATTTTGTTTCCTAAACTCAGATTTCTAGACATTTCTCTACATTTTGAATGGAATTTCCCAAAACTGATCTCTACATGCACATCTGTTATTCACTTGCATATTAGTTAAATTTATATAGATGCTTGGGTAAAGATATCAGGAAGAAAGCAACAATTATACAATTAATTAATTTCTTGCACATCAGAATAGAATTTCTAGTTGGTAATGCCTAACCAACCCCTTAAGTTTATACATCCAGGTACCTTCTCAATGCTTCAAACTCAACCTACTCCAGACTCAAGAGCACTGAACTGAGAGCAAACGTCCCAGTCTGATATCTTTAGCTGAATGGCTTTAAGCAAGGCACATTACATCTCTGTGGCTCATTTTAAAAAAACAAACAAAAACAACAACAACAACAAAAAAACCCTAGATGAAATCCATGGTTCTTATACTCTTTCAGCAGCAGAAACTTTTTTCCCCATACAAACTACATATAAAAATGATAAAACAAGATTAGTCACTTAATTGGAGATAAAACATTTTCTATAATTTTAGTTCTGTGTTCTTTAATTACCATCATCATTAAAAATCATTTTGGACGGCCGGGCATGGTGGCTCGATGCCTGTAATCTCAGCACTTTGGGAGGCCAAGGTGGGCAAATCACCTGAGGTCGGGAGTTCGAGACCAGCCTGACCAACATGGAATAACCCTGTCTCTACTAAAAATACAAAATTAGCTGGGCATGGTGGCGCATGCCTGTAATCCCAGCTACTCAGGACGCTGAGGCAGGAGAATCGCTTGAACCTGGGAGGCAGAGGTTGCAGTGAGCCGAGATTGCGCCATTGCACTCCAGCCTGGGCAACAAGAGCGAAACTCTGTCTCAAAAAAAAAAAAAAAATCATTTTGGACAATATACGTTTTTGCAGCCCTCAGATGTTCTGGTGTCGTTCTGTTTTCTTACAGCTGCTAAATGGACATTTGATTATTGAGTCCTCTGCCCTAGGACTCTGCTCCAGGGAAGAACTGAGATGACAAATCTTTAGAGAGCCATCTCTTTCTGGAATCATATGGCTCGCAGCTCCTGTTTGTTGATGAAGACAATTGGGAGTGCTGGATTAAACACCACCCTCCCATTCAGGGGGTGTACACACAGAGAGATGTGGCTTTTTGCTCCCACGGTAGCCACGCTCTAAGCTGCCTTGTGGGGTAATTGGCTTGGTGGTGAGTTTAGGAGTGTAAAATGGTTTGCTTAATGGTTACTGTTGAGAGAGCACAAAGGATGGTGAAGGAAATGTAACTTACATTAAATTTTTTGTTAGTTCTTTGTCAGATATGTATATTGTAAACATTCTCTCCTAATGTTTGTCTTGCGTTTTTGTTTTCTTTTCTTCTTTTTGAGACAGCTCTGTTGCCCAGCCTGGAGTGCAGTCATGTGATCACGACTTACTGCAGCCTTGACCTCCTGGGCTCAATCAATCCTCCTGCCTCAGCCTCCCAAGTAGCTGGGACCACAGGCCCACACCACCACTCCTGGTTAATTTTTAAATTTTTTGTAGAGATGAGGTCTTGCTATGTTGCCCAGGCTGGTCTCAAACTCCAGGGCTCAAGCAATCCTCCCACCTGGGCCTCTCAAAGTGCTGGGATTACACATGTGAGCCACTGCATCTGGCCTTCATTTTCTTAATGGTGTCTTTTGCTGAGCAGAAGTTTCAATGCTGATGAAGCCATTTTAACTTTTTTTTCTCCTTTTATAGCAACTGCTTTCTCTGACCCACATAAGAAATGTTGGCCTTCTCCAAAGTCATCAGAACATTCTCCCATGTTTTCTTCCAGAAGCTTTGCAAGTGATCTTTGATGTTTAGGTCTATGATTCACCTCAAATCAATTTTTTTGTGTGTTTTGTGATCTGAGTAGAGGTTTATTTTTAAAGATATAAGTAGTTAGTTGTTACAGAACCTTTTATTGATATATGTATCTCTATTAAATTGTTTGTGCACCTTGGCTAAAAATTAGCTATACAGCGTGTCTACTTTTGGACTTAATACATTCTCTTAAATACCACTGTAGTAAAGTAATATAATTTTCCCAACAGTATTCTCCTTTTTCAAAATTGTTTCAGATTTTCTAAATTCTTTGTATTTGTATCTAAATTTTAGAATCATCTTACCAGTTTCTACAAAAATGCCTTCTGAGATTTTGATGGAGATTGCATTGAATCAACAGATCGATTTGTGAAGCACTGGCAATATGATAACAGTATTGAATCTTCTTTTTTTTTCTCATTTGTTTCTGATGAAATTACTGACCTTCAGTATTGAGTCTTCTAATCCATGAATATCGTATATTTATTGAGCTATTCTTTAGTTTTAGTTTCTCTCTTTTTTCTTTTTTTTGTTTTTTTTTTTGAGACAGGGTCTCACTCTGTCACCCAGGCTGGAGCGCAGAGGCATCATTATGGTTCACTGCAGCCTCAGTCTCCTGGGCTTAAGCTATCCTCCTGCCTCAGCCTCCTGAGTGGCTGCAACTACCTGCTTGAGCTCGGTTATGTATATACCACTTCCATTTGATAATGAATGCTGCTGTGCACGCCCCACTGTGTGGCTAGATGGGTCAGAAGGCACCCAGTTTATGTATGACAGGCAGTTCAGGTCGCATGGTGACTTGATGACCCATAATCAAACGTTCAGTTTCCACCAAAGCCCAGTAACAGGCCAAGAGCTGTCTCTAAAAATGAAGGTAGTTATCTGCAGAAGATGGCAGGGCCTTGCTCCAAAATCCTAGAGGCCTTCACTGTGATTCACCTATGGGGGCCTGCCAAAGGCTCTAAACAGCATCCCTATCTGCTATGTGACAAATCACTCAAAAATTTAGCAGTTTAAAACAATTTTTTATTTTATCTTTTTTTTTGTTTTTTTTGAGACAGGGTCTCACTCAGTCACCCAGCCTGAGTGCAATCACTGCTCACTGCAACCTCGAACTCCTGAGCTCAAATAATCCTCCCACTTCAGCATCCTGAGGAGCTAGGACTGCAGGCAGGCACCACCATGCCCAACTAGAGATGGAGTCTCACCATGTTGCCCAGGCTGGTCTCGAACTCCTGGACTCAAGTGATCCTCCCACCTTCGCCTCCCAAAGTGCTGGGATTACAGGCATGAGCCATCACATTTGGCCTTGTTTTCTTTTCTTTTTTTTTTTTTTTTTGAGATGGAGTTTCACTCTTGTTGCCCAGGCTGGAGTGCAATGGTGCAATATTGGCTCACTGCAACCTCCACCTCCTGGGTTCAAGCCATTCTCCTGCCTCAGCCTCCCAAGTAGCTGGGATTACAGGTATGCACCATCATGCCTGGCTAATTTTGTATTTTTAGTAGAGACAGTGTTTCACCATGTTGGTCAGACTGGTCTCGAAATCCTGACCTCAAATGATCCACTTGTCTCGGCCTCCCAAAGTACTGGGATTACAGGCATGGGCCACCATGCCTGGCCAATTTTACTTTTTAATCTCACTGTAATTGTGGGCCAGGGATTCAGGAGAGGCTTAGATGAGTGGCTCTTGCTCAGGATCTCTCACGTGACTGTACTCAGGATGTTGGTTAGGGCTGCAGTCATCTGAATGCTTAGCTGGGGCTGGGGGTCTGCTTCCAAGATGGCTCACTAGGGTGGTTTCTGGCAGGGCCTCCATTCCTTGCTGGGTGTTGGCAGGAAGCCTCTCTTCCTCACCATGCAGCTTGTGCTCTCATGTGGGCTAACTTCCCCCAGAGCAAGCAATCTCAGAGAGAGGGAGGAGGGAGCTGCAGCGCATTTTATGATCTGCCTTCCAGAGTCACACCCATCACTTTCACTTTATTCTGTGCATTAGAAGCCAAAAGCTAAGTCCAGCCCACACCCAAGGGGAGGGAAGTGAGGCTCCACCTCTTAAAGGGAGGATTCTCAAAAATGTGTGAGTATATTTAAAAATCACCGCAGCTTTTTAATATTGTCCCAACAAGGCTGTGCAAGAAACAATCAGGAAAGCTCAGCAGCATAAAACTGTAAGTGTTTATAGTTCATGCATCTGAGAGTTGCCTGGGCAACTCCCCTGACCTCAGCAGGGGTCGTTCACACCTTTGAGGATGGCTTTATTTAAGCAAGGACAACCTGCTTACATCAGGTGGGATAACTTCTGATACAGATTTAATTTTGGTTTGAGGTTTATGTCACCAGTATAATTACTATTTTAAATAATATATTACTAGAAACACATGAACAAACTTGTTTCTAGACATGCTAAAAATGTATTGAAAGCCCCATTTCATTCAGAATGAAATAATAATTTCACATGTGACTTGTAAAATCAATTGTCTCCATATTTACAATTTACCTTTGAGGTGATGATACTGGTGTTGTTATGTTTGTTGTTTTATGTGATTAACTTACAAATATCATCCAATTTTCTTTTCCACTCTATTTTACAAATAATCTGAATATATTCATTGACGTATATATATATTTGTTGTGTTTTGTTTTGTTTTTTAGAAGCAGTCTTGCTCTGTTGTCCAGGTTGGAGTGCAGTGGCACGATCTCGGCTCACTGCAACCTCTGCCTCCTGGGTTTAAGTGATCCTCCTGCCTCAGTCCCCCTGGTAGCTGGGGTTACAGGCATGTGCCACCGTGCCTGGCTAATTTTTGTATTTTTAGTAGAGACCAGGTTTTGCCGTTTTGGCCAGGCTGGTCTTGAACTCCTGACCTCAGGTGATCCACCCACCTCATTCTCCCAAAGTGCTATGGCTTAATAAATAAAATATTCTTTTTTTGAAGTAGAAATAATATTGTTTTTGTATTGCATTCAATTTTTTATGTATGCCTGTTTCATTTCATCAGTTTTAATCTTTGTGTTTTCATCTACAGTTTTAAAAATAGTTACAAAAATGCATTTTCTGGTATATTTGTATGTGTATTTAAAATTTACTGAGTTATCAGAAGAATGGTTTTGTTTTTCTAAATTGTCTGGCTTCATTACAGTAAGCATGAAAGATTTACATTTTATTCAATTTAAAAATGCTGAGAAAATGCTATGTTGCTTTGTTTTTTTAATTAACAGTTGAATCAAATTTGACATGCAAAATATCACACCTATATTTGAAGAATTGCCATACATCACTATTTTTCCCTTTTTCCCTCCCTTCCTTCCTTTCCTTTTTTTTCTGAGGCAGAGTCTCGCTCTCTGTTGCCCAGGCTGGAGTGCAGTGGCACGATTTCGGCTCACTGCAACCTCCACCTCCCGGGTTCAAGCAGTTCTCTGCCTCAGCCTCTCAAGTAGCTGGAATTACAGGCACCTGCCAACATGCCCGGCTAATTTTTGTATTTTGAGTAGAGACGGGGTTTCACCATTTTGGCCAGGCTGGTCCTGAACTCCTGACCTTGTGATCCACCCGCCTCGGCCTCCCAGAGTGCTGGGATTACAGGCGTGAGCCACCGCGTCCGGCTCTTCTTTCTTTTCTCTCTTTCTCTTTCTTTTTTTTTTTTCTCTTTCTCTGTTCTCTGTCTCTCTCTCTTTCTTTCTTTCTCTCTTTCTCTCTCCTTCCTTCCTTCCTTCGTTCCTTCCTTCCTTCCTTCCTTCCTTCCTTCCTTCCTTCCTTCCTTCCTTCCTTCCTTCCTCTCTCTCTCTCTCTCTTTCTCTCTTTCTCTCTTTCTTTCTTTCTTTACAGAGCCTTCCTCTGTCACCCAGGCTGGAGTACAGTGGTGCAATCATAACTAACTATAACCTTGAACTCCTGGGCTCAAGGGATGCTCCCACCTTAGCCTCCCAAGTAGCTGGGACCATAGGCATGCACCACCACACCTGGCTAATTTTTTAATTTTTAGTAGAGATGAGGTCTTGCTATGTTGCCTAGGATGGTTTTGAACTCCTGGGCTCAAGCGATGCTCCCACTTGGCCTCCCAAAGTTTTGCAATTATAGTTGTGAGCCACTGCACCCAGCTGATCTAATACTCTTTTCTTTTCTTTTTTGAGACAGAGTCTCGCTCTGTCGCCCAAGCTGGAGTGCAGTGGCGCAATCTCGGCTCACTGCAAGCTCCGCCTCCCGGGTTCACGCCATTCTTCTGCCTCAGCCTCCCGAGTAGCTGGGACTACAGGCGACCGCCACCACGGCCGGCTAATTTTTTGTATTTTTTTTTAGTAGACACAGGGTTTCACCGTGTTGGCCAGGATGGTCTCGATCTCCTGACCTCATGATCCGCCCACCTCAGCCTCCCAAAGTGCTGGGATTACAGGCGTGAGCCACTGCGCCTGGCGGATCTAATACTCTTTAATCCCGTGTAAGTGACACATGAGATATCCTGCAGCTGTACAATCAGATCACTCATGTTAAAAAGGGAGTTCTCAGCCAGGCACGGTGGCTCACGCCTGTAATCCCAGTACTTTGGGAGGCTGAGGCGGGCAGATCACCTGAGGTCAGGAGTTCGAGACCAGCCTGTCCAACATGGTGAAACCCCGTCTGTACTAAAAATACAAAAATTAGCCGGGCATGGTGGCAGGTGCCTGTGATTCCAGCTACTCTGGAGGCTGAGGCAGGAGCATGGCTTGAACCTGGGAGGCGGAGGTTGCAGTGAGCTGAGATCACACCACTGCACTCCAGCGTGAGTGATACAGTGAGACTCCATCTCAAACAAACAACAACAACAAAATAAATAAATATAAAGGGAGTTTTTTCCAGGGGAGGGGGCAGTGATGGGCTATTCTTCAGAAGCAGGAACTTCCTTCATATCTTAAAGCTCATGAATGAACAAGGGGATCATAAAGCATCAGAAATTGAAGCTTCTTATTTTGCAGATGAGAAAACTGGGTCTGAGAATCCAGATGTCCTGAGTGAGTAAAGGGAAAATTTTCACTTCTTCCTATGGAAGCCTGTCACCCCCCAACTCCATCCTAGGCTGAGGAAGTCTGCGTTCTTCTCTCACGGAGCTGGAGAACCTTTCAAGGTCAGAAAGGAAATAGTTAAGTTATGAAACAATCTGAGAGTGGAACTGGGATGGTGTGAATGCCTTGCTAGAAAGCATTAAAAACAGGCTGGTTGGCCAGAAATAGAGAAGGGCCTCCTGCTCTGAGTGACAGTTTAGATAAGATTTGTGCTTCTCCAACTATCTCTGGTGAAGAAAAATATTTAAAAATTCCCAGTCCATTGCAAACAGATACATTGTAAAATGGAGTAAAAATGAATGATCAGAAAATTAATTTATAAAGTAAAGACATACGGAACACAAGTCTAAGTTATTTTTTATTATTAGATTCAGCAGACATAAACTTAATCTACTAGACTGTCATAAATGTTTCTAAATGTGTATTCTCAATTTCTGGACTTATTTTGTTGTGGTTCAGTAACAAATAGCTTATAGACTGGCCCTGAATGAAGGCGACTTCTTATAGTTCTAACTTTCTGTGTTTTTACTTGAAGCCCAAACAGCTGTGCCTTGAATTTATAGAGGAATTCTTCATCTATACGTTAATTAAACACATGCATCATTTAATTAACCAAATGTTTAGTTAAAGCCTATCATGTATGGGTTAAATGCATGCTATATAGGAAGTTGCATTAGAAATGGTCCCTTTTCTCTATACCAGACAGTGTAGCGAGGGAGCTAACAGCCACATATCTATGATGTGGGAGAGAAGGTGATGGCTGCCAGGAGAGCGCTGTGGGGGAGTTGCTGGGGAATCTGGAGCAAGGAGGCTTCACTGATCTCTGGAGGAGTCAGGCAGACTCTGTGGAGGACGTGGCCTTGAAGGCTACACATAGGAAAATGCAGGCCAGGGCACGTCATGGGTGGAATGAGTAAGTCTCAAAACCTTGACATACTTCTTTCTCTTTCATGTCAAAAACATCTTTGAAAGGTACAGCAATATTAGGAAGCCCTATATACAGGAAAATTGAAGCACAAAGAAGCAATTGTGGCAAACAGCAGGTCCTTGAACAGGTCCATTGGCCTATTTAAGTCTCAGTTTTAGTATCCGTGAAATGGGCCTAATAACATCTACCTTTTGAGTTGTTCAGAGGGCTAGATGTATATACATTGCTTTATAAAGGTAATTATATTTACATTACAAAGTACTGGCGCGTTCTCTGATAATAGTAAGAGCTCAACAAGTCGTGACAATTATTATGTTGTTACTAGATAGTTGGTCCAGAGTCATTTGTTTCGCAGGGGAGGGGAGGAGGGGTTCTGCTCGGGATTCGTTTCCTCCATCCTTTTAGCAACTGCACTTCTCTTTCTCTTGGGGAAACTGTCACTCTCTTGACTATGCCATTCTCATGGGTCTGCCTGTTTGCTGGCCACAGGGAGAACCTGTGATCCAGATCTGGCCAATCACAGTGTCTCGTTCCCTTCACCACAGTGATTGGCCTAAGAACAGGCAGGAGACGCGATCTGGACCAATCAGAAACTTACATTGAGGTATGTATATGTGCGTGTTGGGAGAAAAAAATTACTTTATTTTTCCTTCCAGTTTGCAAAGCTGGGCTAAGAGCAGAGTTTGTCACAACCAAACCTAGAGCTGGAGAAAAGGGGAAGTGGAGAGGCAACCGAAAATACCATGAGGTCTCTGAATCTACACCTCTTCTTTCTAGTTATTGGAATCAATGCATTCCAGCTTTTTGCTTCAACCAGAATGAGTTTTGTATCCCTGGTAACCCTGCCTAATGCAAGGACTCACTCAGATTTCCAGATTCTTATCTTAGTGTGTTGTCCTTTAGGTCAGCACTTTTCAAGAGCCATTGCCATCATTTATTCATTCGTCAAAATTATTTTGGACAGATTCCGGGGTGAAGCGGTCATGCTAAGAGAATAACAAACAAGCATGTGGCCAGTGTTATGAGGGCTTCAGATCCAGTCAGGGGTGCAAAATGAGAAAAAGCTAATCAAGAAAATAAAACAGCTGGGCGCAGTGGCTCACACCTGTAATCCCAGCACTTTGGGAGGCCGAGGCAGGCAGATTGCTTGAGCCCATGAGCTCGAGACTAGTCTGGGCAATATGGTGAAACTCTGTCTCTACAAAATAACACACACAAATTAGCCAGGCATTGGCCGGGCGTAATCGCTCATGCCTGTAATCCCAGCACTTTGGGAGGCTGAGGCAGGCAGATCAACTGAGGTCAGGAGTTCAAGAACAGCCTGACCGACCTGATGAAAACCCATCTCTACTAAAAATACAAAATTAGCTGGGTATGGTGGTACATGCCTGTAATCCCAGCTACTTGGGAGGCTGAGGCAGGAGAATTGCTTGAATTTGGGAGGTGGAGATTGCAGTGAGCCAAGATTGCGCCACCGCACTGCAGCCTGAGCGACAAGAGCGAAACTCCGTCTCAAAAAAAAAAAAAAAAATTAGCCAGGCATGGTGGTATGCACCTGTAGTCCTAGCTTCTAGGGAGGCTGAGGTGGGAAAATCACTTGAGCCTGGGCGGCCTAGGCTGCAGAGAACCATGAGCATGCCATTGCACTCCAGCCTGGGCATAGAGCGAGACCCCGTCTAAAAAAAATTAATTAATTAAAAAGAAAAAGCTAATGATGACAGATACCAACTGAGTTGAAGTGCTATGAGAGTTCAGAAAAGAGAGAGGGCTCATGCTTTTGGGGACTATCAGGGAAGCCTTTGAAGAGGAAGCAGGAATTTGAATTGGGCATTGAAGGACAGTTCAGATAAGTGTTTTTCTAGAGAGTGTGGTGGTAGGTGCAAAGATATCTAGGGCAAAGAGTTGATGAGGCACAGTAATGGGAGGTAAGAGTGAAGGTGAGATGGGGCTTTATGTACTCTTTGAAAATAGTTTCATAGGCTGGGTATGGTGGCTCACGCCTGTAATCCCAGCACTTTGGGAGGCTGACGTGGGCAGATCACCGAAGGTCAGGAGTTTGAGACCAGCGTGGCCAACATGGCAAAACCCGTCTCTATTAAAAATACAAGAAATTAGCTGGGTGTGGTGGCAGGCACCTGTAATCCCAGCTATTTGGGAGGCTGAGGCAGAAGAATTGCTTGAACCTGGGAGGCAGAGGTTGCAGTGAGCTGAGATCACGCCACTGCACTCCAGCCTGGGAGACAAGAGCGAAACTCTGTCTCAAAAAAAAAAAAAAGAAAATAGTGTCATAGAAGCTTAAAACATATTCAAACATAGAGAGAATAGTATAATGAATCACCAGCAGACATTGGCCAATTGCAATAGTTATCAATAAAACAATATCATTCTTGTTTTATCTACTCAACTGATCCTTCCTCATCATCCTCCCCACCCTCCCACTGAAATATTTTGAAACAAATCCCAGACATCCTATCATTTTACCCTGAAATACTTAATTATTATTGTTGTTATTATTATTATTTATTATTTTTTTTTGAGACAGAGTTTTACTCTTGTTGCCCAGGCTGGAGTGCAACGGTGCCATCTTGGCTCACTGCAACCTCCACCTCCCGGGTTCAAGCAATTCTGCCTCAGCCTCCCAAGTAGCTGGGATTACAGGCATGCACCACCATGCCCGGCTAATTTTGTATTTTTAGTGGAGATGGGGTTTCTCCATGTTGGTCAGGCTGGTCTGGAACTTCCGACCTCAAGTGATCTGCCTGCCTCGGCCTCCCAAAGTGCTGGAATTACAGGGGTGAGCCATCGTGTCTGGTTTTATTATTATTGTTGTTTGATACAGGTTCTTGCTCTGTCACCCAGGCTGGAGTGCAGTGACGTGATCATGACTCACTGTAGCTTTGAACTTCTGGGCTGAAGTGATCCTCCCACCTCTGTCTCCTAGATAGTTGGGACCATGGGCATGCACCACCATGCCTGGTTAATTTTTTATTTTTTTGTAGAGATAAGGTATCACTACATTGTCCCGGCTGGTCTAGAACCCCTGGGTTCAAGCAAGCTGCCTGCCTCGGTCTCCCAATGTGCTGGGATTACAGGCATGAGGCACTGTGCCCGGCCACATACTTAATTATTATTATTATTTTTAAATTAATTAATTTTTTTTTAGACGGAGTCTTGCTCTGTCGCCCAGGCTGGAGTGCAGTGGCGCGATCTCGGCTCACTGCAAGCTCCACCTCCCAGGTTCAGGCCATTCTCCTGCCTCAGCCTCCCAAGTACCTGGTACTACAGATGCCTGCAACCACGCCCGGCTAATTTTTTGTATTTTTAGCAGAGACGAGGTTTCACTGTGTTAGCCAGGATGGTCTCGATCTCCTGACCTCATGATCTGCCCGCCTTGGCCTCCCAAAGTGCTGGGATTACAGGCGTGAGCCACGGTGCCCGGCCTATTAGTAGTATTTTTTTAGATGGAGTTTCGCTCTTGTTGCCCAGGCTGGAGTGCAATGGCGTGATCTCGGCTCACTGTGACCTCCACCTCCCAGGTTCAAGTGATTCTCCTGCCTCAGCCTCCCGAGTAGCTGGAATTACAGGCTACAACCACCACACCCTGCTAATTTTTGTACTTCTAGTAGAGACGGGGTTTCGCCATGTTGACCAGGCTGGTCTTGAACCCCTAACCTCAGATTATCTGCCTGCCTCAGCCTCCCAAATTGCTGGGATTACAGGGGTGGGCCACTGCTCCCGGCCTGAAGTACTTAATTACTATCTTTAAAAGGCAAAGGACTCTTCTCCCAATATAAGCCCAATAATATTATCATCCCTAAAAATCCCCCAATAATTTCTTAACATTACCTAATTCTCAGTGTATGTTCCATTTTCTCCAATTGTCTCACAAATATCTTTGCGCAGATGGTTTGTTTGAATCTGGATCTAAAGACAGTACACACATGTAGTTGGTTATGTCTCCTGAGTCTCTTGCTACCTACAATAATTCTTACTATCCCATTTTAGAACTCTGTATTTGGTAAAGGAAGCTGATCATTTGTCCTGTGGAATTTTCCACATCCTGGATTTGGCTGATTGCGTTATCATGGTGTTGTTCAACAATGCTCCTAGGCTCCTTCTATTCCTGTAAACTGGTGATAATGAGGCCTGGAGGCTTGATGAGATTCTGATTCAGTTATTATTGTTATTACTTTTTTGGTGATGCAGCGGACTTTCCCATGCACCTCGTCAAGAGACACATAATGTCTGGCTTTCTACTTCCAGTGATGTCAAAGTTGATCAGTGAATTTTAGTAAAAACTGCTGTTGTAGTTTTTTAGACCCCTCTCTAAGATTCTGACATGAGTCCATGGGGGCTGGGCTAGTGAACAAATCTAATTCACAGATCCGGCTGCACTCAGAATCACCCTTCCTCTGGGACCAGGGAGTCATTGTTACTGGGCCAAGCTGACGTCTGACCTTTGAGAGCTTCCCTTGGGTGGCAGAATTTCCCAGGAAGCTATTCAGGCCCTAAGGCAAATAGGATTCCTGCTGGCCTGTCCCACCGGTCTGCCAGGCGAGCTTGAATCTTTGAATGAAGTGAGGATTCCAAAGAGATTTGTCAGAATGTGTGATACTAGATTTCTTTAGCAAGAATGCTTGTCACTTTGCTACTTTCCAGTGGAAAAAATTTCCACTGATTGTGTCTAAAAATGCAAAAGAAAATGGAGAAGCAAGGTAATTTCACACGAAAATAGTCAGCAATGGAAACTTACTATTAAACAACACAGGAGGACTTTTACTTTACGGTCTTGAATTATACAACTTGCCCTTTGAACTGGATAATTTGATTATGTAGTCAGTTCCCTTGGGCAATTCAGGTTTGTGCCCTAGATTATTACGACTCCCCTCACCCCCGATATATGAAGATAATTGTGTGAGCTTCAGACTGACAACCTCTAGCAGAATTTGGGTTGCAGTCGGTTTTAAATGTAGGGAAATTGTTTTATGTAGATGGCTTGATGAATATGGTAATTTAGTTTTTAATTCATTTGACTCAGTTGAGAAAAAGATTTCAGCTTCGGAAATTAATAAACTCATACATGTTTGTGTCTTTTATATATGATTTTGAGGTCCTTTGCCTCACATACTGTGCTGTGCTTTTTTTTTTTTTTATTCCCTCTTAATGTCTTGTGCTTTGGGTTGCTTCATTTCTGTGTCTGCCCTGGGGCTTGTTCTGTGTCAGGTAACATGCTGACCTTCTTCCTGGCTTGATTTCCACATTCAGGAAGGCTTCTTTTTTTGCCCAAAACATTTGTTTTGTTCACAGATGGTATTATAAGGTTTAGAGAAATGTCATGGAGTATTTCACATAGTTTTGCGCATCGTTTTATAAAGTGAGTTTCTCAGATTTATGTATCCATCTTGGCCTTCTTTCTTTTTCTCTCTCCCTCCCTGAAAGCTGAACTAGACTGAGAGCCACTCGGGGGAACTTTGTTTTATATACATGGTTGTTTCCCAGTTCCAAGCTCAGTGCCTGGCCCATGGCAGGTGTCCAGTGAATATTATGGGAGGAGTTAATGAGTAAAAATGAACTTTGAGAATTTTCTTCTCTCTTTCTACCCTCGAATTCCCCAAACAGGGCACCCTTGTTTATACTGGGTTTTAGGAAACTAAATATCAATGACAGCCCACTCCTTTTGCTTAGAAAGATTTAGAGACTTCTTTTTGTTAGGTAAATGCTCAGCTAGATTCAAATCACTAACTCCAATTTATAGGTTAAGTTAGAATCAGGATGGAACATTTTGGCTCAGGGCCATGGCTATGAAAAAATTTCCAAGGCCAAAGTCACAGACAGTGTCACTGTATTCACTTCCTGTGGCTTCTGTAACAAATTACTACAACTGAGTCGTTTACAACAGAAACTTATCCCCTCATAGATCTGGAGGCTGGAAGTCCAAAATCAGTGTTACTGGGCTGAAATCAAGGTACGGGCAGGGCTGCACTCCCTTCAGAGGCTCTAGGGGAGGAACCTTGCCTTTCCAGCTTCTGGTGGCCTCTGGCTGTGCCTCATCAATCATATTTTGAAAGTGGGTAGACAGAAAAGAATATAAAATTTTAAGTTAGAAGCCAGGCGCAGTGGCACATGCCTGTAATCCCAACACTTTGGGAAGCTGAGGCGGGCAGATCACTTGAGGCCGGGAGTTCAAGACCAGCCTGACCAACATGGCGAAACCCCGTCTCTACTAAAAATATAAAAAATTAGCTGGGCATGGTGGTGCATGCCTGTGGTCCCAGCTACTTGGGAAGCTGAGGTGGGTGTATTGCTTGAACTGGGGTGGTGGAGGTTGCAGTGAGCTGATTTGACACCACTGTACTCCAGTCTGGGTAACAAAGCAAACGTCTGTCTCCAAAAGAAAAAAAATAAAAATTGAGTTAGAAACATGCCGTTTAAAATGTGTATTTGGGCCTGGTGCAGTGGCTCATGCCTATAATCCCAGAATTTTGGGAAGCTGAGGTGGGAGGATTGCTTGAGGCCAGGACTTTGAGACCAGCTTGGACAACATAGTGAGACCTCCATCTCTACCACAAAAAAAAAAAAAAAAAATTAGCCAGGCATGGTGGTATGCACCTGTAGTCCCAGCTACTGGGAGGCTGGGGTGGGAGGATCCCAACCCAGGAGACTGAGGCTGCAGTGAGTTATAATTGCAGCACTGTACTGCAGCCTGGGTGACAGTGAGATGCTATCTCTAAAAAAAAAAAATAAATAAATAAAGGCTCTTTGTAGCATAAATTGCAACTATGGACTAGCAGCCAGCCTCCCCTCCTTTCTTTTGGTGTGTACACCCCTCTCCCTGAGGTTTAGCAGGTAGAGGCTAGAGTTCCCAGGTAGAGGCTACAGTGCTCAGCCTCTTTTTTACAAACAGTTGAGGCTATCTAAGTTCTTACCACTGGGTTGTGAGTTGAAGTGAGGTGTGCAACTTCCACATCATTTTCTTAAAGAGAAATTGCTCACCTTTGACTTCCTCCCCCTTTCCCCTCCTTTGGGAAGGAATGCAGATGCTATGGTGAGCCAGTCTGACCATTCAGGCAAGGATCCCTCCCTACCAGGTGGTGGAACAATGAGAATGAGGACCTCCTGGAGCAGAGTGGCCTCACCACCCTGTACCCCACTGCGCTCACCTCTGGAAATGACACCAGAATGAACTTCTGTATAGTTTATTTATTTATTTACTCATTTATTTATTTTGAGACAGGGTCTCTCTCTGTCACCCAGGCTGGAGTGCAGTGGTGCATTCATAGCTCACTGTAGCCTCAAACTCCTGGGCTCAAGCGATCCTTCCGCTTCAGCCTCTTGAGTAGCTAGGACTACAGGCATGCACCACCACACCAGGCTAATTTTTTTTTTTTTTTTTTTTTGAGACAGAGTTTCGCTCTTCTTGCCCAGGCTGTAGTGCAATGTTGGGATCTCGGCTCACTGCAACCTCTGCCTCCTGGGTTCAAGCGATTCTCCTGCCTCAGCCTTCCAAGTAGCTGGGATTACAGGCATGCACCACCACACCTGGCTAATTTTGTGTTTTTAGTATAGATGGGGTTTCACCACGCTGGTCAGGCTGGTCTCGAACTCCTGATCTCAGGTGATCCACCCGCGTTGGCCTCCTAAAGTGCTAGGATTACAGGCATCAGCCACTGCACGCAGCCCTTCTGTAGGGGTCATCATTTTGGGGTCCCTTTCTTATAGCAGTGATATGGTTTGGATGTGTCCCCACCCAAATCTCATCTTGAATTGTAATCCCTATTTGTCGGGGGAAGGATCTGGTAGGAGGTGATTGGATCTTGGGGCCGGTTTTCCCCATGCTGTTCTCCTGATAGTGAGTGAGTTCTCATGAGATCTGATGGTTTTGTAAGTGGAGGTTTCCCCTGCTCTCCTTCCTCCTGTCGCCTTGTGAGGAAGGTATCTGCTTCCCCTCCTACCGTGATTGTAAGTTTCCTGAGGCCTCCCCGGCCATGTGGAACTGTGAGTCCATTAAACCTCCTTTGTTTACGAATTACCCAATCTCGGATAGTAACTTTATAGCAGTGTGAGAGTGGACTAATACAAGCAGTTCAGTTTATACCTGTACCAATATACAGATGACACCAGGAAAGAAGCAGATTTCTTGGTTTTAACTACTACTGTTTGTCTATTTAGTAAGGCATGTTGGACAACAGATACTAATATTACTTTGCATTGCTGCTGTTTCTGCCTTTTTTGTTTTTTCTTAGACAGAGTTTCGCTCAGTCACCCAGGCAAGAGTGCAATGGCATGATCTCGGCTCACTGCAGCCTCTGCTTCTTGGGTTCAAGCGATTCTCCTGCCTCAGCCTCCCCAGTAACTGGGATTACAGGTGTAAGACACCACACCTCACTAATTTTTGGATTTTAGTAGAGATGGGGTTTCACCATGTTGGCCCGGCTGGTCTTGAATTCCTGACCTTAGGTGGTCCACCCACCTTGGCCCCCCAAAGTGCTGGGATTACAGGTGTGAGCCACTATGCCCAGCCACTGTTAATTTTTTAAAAAGAATTCTTTTCCTACACACTCCAAAAGAAAATAGTTACCCCAAGCAGTGCCCTTGTAAGCTGATTATTTTGTCTCTTCTATGCTGAATTCACTTAGCCTGCTTAGAAGACTCTGGTTTACTCTGAGCTGCTAGAGTGAAACTTTCATTAGTTAGTATGAATGCATCACCACTATGTGTCTATCCTGCAATAGCTTGCAGGGGACTACTTAATAGTCTTCATAAGAAATGCTGAATTAATGTCTCCAAAGTGTGTGTTTAAGTTTATAAAAATAACCTCTGGGACATCAGCTAAAGAGAATCTCTCCTAAATCCTGTGAAAAACAAGTTATTCTTTTTTCTTTTATAATATAAAAAAGATTAGCTGAGCCCAGTGCTTTATGCCTGTAATCCCAGCACTTTGGGAGGCTGAGGCAGGCAGATCACTTGAGGCCAGGAGTTTGAGACCAGCCTGGCCAACATGGTGAAATCCTGTCCCTACCAAAAAATAAAAAAATTAGCCAGGTGTGGTGGTGCACACCTGTGGTCCCAGCTACTTAGGAGGCTGAGGTGGGTGGATTGCTTGAACCAAGGTGGTGGAGGTTGCAGTGAGCCAAGATCGTGCCTCTGCACTCCAGCTTAGGCAACAGAGTGAGACCCTGTTTCAAAAATTATAAATGAATAAATAAATAAATAATAAAATAAATAAAAAGATTAAACGATTTGTTTTTTTTTTACCACAGTAGTTTATCTCAGTTATGAACAAATTAAAAATGAAAAGATAAAACAAAAAATTTCATAATCTTACCATACAGCAAGCAACTTGGTATATATCATTTCAGTTCTTTATGAATATATGTATATTTGTGAAAATCAGACTATATTGTATGCAGCTTTATATCTTTTCCCTTAAAATAAAACCTAGAGATTTTGGTAAATATCTTGATTCTGATTGACTGTAGTCAGCTTAGTAAGCTGCAGAATGCTGACTGGGTAATCTCACAGAGGGAAGGGGGCTATCTTCATACTGAGTAAATTTGGTTTTAATATGTGACGTATGCCCTGTACCATTTTCAGTAGTGTGAGGTAGGGAAGAAGAAATGGCATTGATCTACTACTGTAGAAACTTTGCCTATGATTTACAAGCATGAGAATTTGCTTTGCCTGTTTTATGACTCTATTCAACCCTGAATTATGGGCTGTTTATTTTTTCTCTCTCTTTGATTAGATTCATGAGAGAGTTGTTTGCCTGGTTCAGTCAAAATACAAATCCAGTGTTGTTCCTATACGTCTTACAGCTTTTCCTTTTGACAAATACAAGAAGACTGGGATGTAGCAGACAGAGCATTTACCAGCTGCCAGGCATTGTCTTAAGCACATCATACAATAGGGTTTGAACCTCTGAAAACCCTATGAGGTAGATAATGCCAGTCTCTTAGTCCAAGTTTTCAGGTTAGAAAAATGGAGACTTGGAGAGATGAAGCAACTTTTTCTAGTTATTAGAGCTAGTAAGTGTCAGAGCTGAAATTTAAGCCCAGTGTGTCTGACTTTAAACCTACCTTTTAAACACTGTGCTTATTGTCTTCCAAAGTGAAACTAATTTATTTTAAAAATACAATTAAGGCCGGGCGCGGTGGCTCTCACCTGTAATCCAGCTACTTGGGAGGCTGAGGTAGGAGAATCGCATGAACCCGGGAGGTGGAGGTTGCAGTGAGACAAGATCACCCCACTGCCCTCCAGCCTGAGTGACAGTGCAAGACTCCATCTTGGGAAAAAAAAAATTTTTGACAAATAGCCGGGTGTGGTGGCTCACGCCTGTAATCCCAGCACTTTGGGAGGTTGAGGCGGGCAGATCATGGGGTCAGGAGATCAAGACCATCCTGGCCAACATGGTGAAACCTCATCTGTACTAAAAATACAAAAATTAGCTGGGTGTGGTGGCACGTACCTGTAATCCCAGCTACTCAGGAGGCTGAGGTAGGAGAATTGCTTGAACCTGGGGGTGAAGATTGCAGTGAGCCGAGATTGCGCCACTGCCCTCCAGCCTGGGTGACAGAGCGAGACTCCATCTCAGAATAAAACAAAACAAAACAAAACAAAAAGAAAACACTTAAAAAATTTAACAAATAAAATTGTGTAGATTTTTTGTGTACCACATGACACTTTGTAATATGTAAACATTGTGGAATGGCTTGGTTGAGCTAATTAACATGTACATTACCTTACTTATTAGTTTTTGTAGTAGGAGCATAAAATCTACTCTCTTAGCAATTTTCAAAATACAATTTGCCTATGCCTGTAGTCCCAGCTACCTGGGAGTCCCAGCTGAGGGAGAGGATCGCTCGAGCCTAGGAGTTTGAGGCTCTGTAGTGTACTATGATCACACCTGTGAATAGCCACTGTACTCCAGGCTGAGCCATATAGCGAGACCCCATCTCTTAAAAAAGCCAAAAAACCAAAAAACCAAAAACAAGTCAATATTATTAACTATAGTCACCATGTTGTACAATAGATGAAACTAATTTATTTTTACATCTTGTTCTTCAAATACGCAAATTTCATCAGATACGTGACACCGTAGATTATAAAACACATCATTATTTTATATTCCAATATCAATAAAAATGTAAATGTAGAGTGCATCTCAATTTCTGAAGTTATAATGTGAACAATATGTAAGCCTTAGAATCAATGAAATATGCTAAAATTATAACTAGAAGAGGCTGATACTATGTCCCCACTTGCATGGGTAGGGCTGACAATATGAGTCTGGCGAATGCAGTGCATTCTCAGGGGTGAGGTCTAGCAGGCACCACCATACATTTTCAGCTCACTTGCAGGAATAGTGGTTGTGCAGTTGGATTTGTTGCTGCAGTTGGATAAGTCATTATTATTCCTGCCCACAGTCCCAGAAGCTTGGAAGCACCAAGCTGCCTAGAGCTACTTGGAAATAATAATAGAGCAAGAGAATAGGGGAATAATGGATGAGGTATGTGCAGCACTTTGTATCTGTGATTTTGAATGTGGGACATATACATCCAGCGGTTCTTTCCCTGCAATGATGTATTGAACAACAATAGCAACATTTTATGATTTCTGGGAAATATCTGCCACAAAATTATAGCTAAAGAAGGAAATCAAATCAGTCCAGCAGAATTATTCCAGGAGTATAGAACGAGATGAACAGAGGGCTGAACACTGAGCCTAGAGAAATGCCTGCAGAGAGTGGGTATGAGGGAGAAGAGAGGGCAGAAAGGTGGGGAAGTGGGAGCGAAAGGGAGGGATGAGGGCTAAACCAGCAAAGGGCTGAAGCCAAGGATGGGATGAGTTTCTTAAAGGCAGAGGTAGACATAGGGATTGAATGTTACTGCGGGTTCACTGACCAAAGACTGTTTGTTGGTCAAGGAGCTTAATGGATCTCATGCCTATAAGGAGAATAGAAGGAGGCAATTTGAAAGCAGAGAAAACCCTTTTCCCCTTTATTATTATTTGTTTACTTTTTAGAGACAGTCTCACTCTCACTCTATTGCCCAGGCTGGAGGGCAGTGGCACCATGATAGCTCCCTGCAGCCTCCATCTCCTGGGCTCAAGCCATCCTCCCCACTCAATCTCCAGAGTAGCTAGGACTACAGGTATGTGCCACCACGCTTGGACAATTTTTAAGTTTTTTGTAGAGATGGGGTCTTACTATGTTGCCTATGCTAGCCTCGAACTCCTGGGCTCAAGAAGTGCTTCCGCCTTGGCCTCCCAAAAGTGCTGAGATTACAGGAGCGAGCCGCCAGGCCTAGCTTCCTTTATTATTTTTAGAAATGTTACACAGGTAAGGGAAGGGCAGTCTTCCCAAACCTGGCTGGATAGATCCTTACAATACTAGTTTTTGTATTAGGGGTCTTCTTGGTAACATCTGCGCACACTTCCTTCCACCTTTTTTTTTTTTTTTTTTGAGATGGAGTCTCGCTCTGTTGCCAGTCTAGAATGCAATGGCGCAATCTCAGCTCACTGCAACCTCCGCCTCCCGAATTCAAGTGATTCCCTTGCCTCAGCTTTCTGAGTAGCTGGGACTACAGGTGTGCGCCATCACGCCTGGCTAATTTTTTGTATTTTAGTAGAGACGGGGTTTCATCAACTTGGCAGGATGGTCTCGATCTCCTGACCTCATGATCTGCCCGCCTCGGCCTCCCTTTTTCTTTTTTTTTTAGAGATGGTGTCTTGTTATGTTGTCCAGGCTGGTCTCAAACTTCTGGCTTGAACACCTAGCCCAAGTTCAAGTTCACTGTGCCCAGTTTCTTCCACCTTCTGAAAACCCCAGCTCCTGTGATACCCTCATACCTCATGCTTCTGAATGGTCACTCCTACTTCTTGGGCTGAACTTTCACAATTACCTTGACCCAATTTTTTTTCTGCTCCCTACACTTTCAATGTTGACTTTCCCCCTGATTTTATCCTTAGCCTTTTTCTCTTCTTTATTCTCTGCACACTCTTTGGAAAATCTCATTTATACTCATGGCTTCAAAAATTACCATCTATTTGTTCTTGATGCCTAAAACACATTTCTAGCCCAATTCTCTCCCCTCAATTTCTGAGTCAGCTTCATTCTCTCTCTCTCTTCTTCCTTCCTTGCCATTTGATAAATTTTGCAGCTTACTGCTAGCAATGTATCCATGACTCACGAGAATGTACTTCAGGTATGCATTTTGCCCTTAGCTTGATTTTATTTTTTCTGTCCTCATTTTCCCTCCCACACTCCAAAATCACTTATCTAGACTTCAGTCGTTTTCCTGTCTTTAGTGTTGTTTCACTTTATTTTTCAACTGTGAGCTCCAAACCAGGCAAATCAGATCAAATGTGAGGGAAATTCTTCAATGTCTTACCATTGCCTACAGGTTAAAACAGAAATGCCTTTACCTGGGACACATGTCCCTTCATGACTTGGCCCCTACCTACCTAGCTGACATCACTGGGACCTGTTTCCCAGCTTGATTTTTGACTCAGGAATGCTGAACTACTTGTAGCTGTTGTTCGTATCTTTCTTTCTTTCTTTCTCTTTCTTTCTTTTTGTTTGTTTGTTTGTTTGTTTGAGACAGAGTCTTGCTCTGTTGTCCAGGCTGGAATGCAGTGGTAAGATCTCGGCTCACTGCAACCTCCGCCTCTAGGATCAAGCGATTCTTCTGCCTCAGGCTCCCGAGTAGCTGGGATTACAGGCGCCCGCCACCATGCCTGGCTAATTTCTGTATTTTTAGTAGAGACGGGGTTTCATCATGTTGGCCAGGCTGGTCTTGAACTCCTGACCTTAAGTGATCCGCCCGCCTCAGCCTTCCAAAATGCTGGGATTACAGGTGTGAACCACCACGCCTGGCCCTATATTTCTTTGCCTCTACCTGGATGCACTGACCTCCCCTATTTAATTTGCTGGACAAACTCATACCTATCTTCAGTTCTTCCTCTGTAAAGCTTTCCCCTGACTCCCAGTTTAGATGCCTCCTTTCTTAGGTTCCAACTACACTTTTTCTGCTTTGTCCACAGAAAGCTTCTTCAGGGGTTTACTTTGATTTTAAAAATTGCCATTTATTTAGGTTACATATAAAAAAATCAAGCTCTTTTCAGGTCAATTTAGAAATTTCTGTTTATAAATCTAGCAAATCACAACACTGTAGGAGGGGCACCTTTGATTAATATTTGGTCCCATTTACACATCTAAACTTTCACTTATTTGAAACTGCAATAATAACCCATCAATGTATTTATTTCCCTTTAAAGTAACTCAGATGTCTGGCTGTTAAACTTTCCAAAAGGTTTAATTATCTGTTTCTTTTCTTGAGATGGTGGGCCTTGCTATGTTGCTCAGGCTGGTCTTGAACTCCTGACCTCAAGTGATCCTCCTGCCTCAGCCTCCTTGAGTAACTGGAATTACAGGTGTGTGCCAACTTGCCTGACTAAAATGTTTAATTTTTATAAATCTAATCGTTAAACATGACTATATAGCCAGCCTTAATTCTAAGTGCCAATATTACATAAAACGTAGTAAACTTTCGACTTAAAATTGTAAGTCTAGGCTGGGTATGGTGGCTCACGTGTGTAATCCTAACACTTTTGGTGACGAGAAGGGATGATCTCTTGAGCCCAGGAGTTTGAAACCAGTCTGGGTAACATAGAAAAACTCCCATTTCTAAAAAAAATTTATAAAGTAGCCAACAGTGGTAGTGTGTGCCTGCAGTCCCAGCTACCAGGAGGCTGAGGTGGGAGGATGGTTTGAGCCCAGGAGTTTGCGGCTGCAGTGAGCTATGATCGTGCCACTGCACTCAGACCGGAGTGAGACCCTGTCTCTACTGAAAAAAACCCACAGAAACCCAAATATATATATATATTTATATAAAAAAGATTTCAACATATGAATTTTTGGGGGGAACAAATAGTCCATAACAAATATTATAAGTACTATATTATTAATACTTCCAGATTCCTTAATATCAAGATATTAGTAGTACAAGTTTCACTCTCTTAAAAATTTCTTTCTTTCTTTCTTTCTTTCTTTCTTTCTTTCTTTCTTTTTTGAGATAGGGTCTTGCTCTGTTGCCCAGGCTAGAGTACAGTGGCACAGTCTTGGCTCACTGCAACCTCTGCCTCCTGGGTTCAAGCAATACTCCTGCTGCAGTCTCCCAAGTAGCTGGGACTACAGGCACCTGCCACTATGCCCAGCTGATTTTTGTATTTCTAGTAGAGATGGGGTTTCACCATGTTGGCCAGGCTGGTCTTGAACTCCTGACGTCAAGTAATCCACCCACCTCGGCCTCCCAAAATGTTGGGTTTATAGGCGTGAGCCACTGCGCCTGGTACTCTTAAACATTTGTATATTTCATTTTGAATCCTCTCATGGTTAAATATTCTTGCCCACTAAAGAACAATCACAGTTAGGGATTGCCTTCCCAAGATAATTTTTTGGGAAGGTGTGACAGAATCCATGTCTACAATAGAGTAGGAATACCTTGAGCCCTACCCTAGGTGCTATGTCAGTGATTCCATAACTTACAAAAGGTGGCCACATAATTTCACATCCTTTAAGTTCAAGTTTTACATTACCAAATCTTCTACTATCTCTTTACAGTGTCTATAAGCCCACATCCACTGATTGGATTTTGGATACTAGCTCTGAATATCCCTGAACCTGATAGAATTCTAACCGCTCCCCCCAAGTAGGTTTCCTGTCTGGGAGAACTGCACAGTTCTTCCAGATATTAAAATTATTTCCAATTTAATTCTGCAACTCTCTCATGAAAGAGTCACAACTTCTCCTGTTACCTGGGATACATCATAAGCACACAATAAATGTTGGGCCAATTAATGGCATGGCTGAGTGTGCAAACGGATACCAGGTAACACAGAAGAATTTTTATAACTGCTACTTATTTTTCTCTCCCTTCAAAGTATAGCATGGTGGTTAAAAGCCTGGGCTTTGCAGTCAGACAGTCCTAAGTTTACATTTCCTGACACTTATTAATTAGGTGACATTGGGCTAATTATTAAGCCTTTCTGAGCATCAGTTCCTCATCTGTAAAATGGAATGACAGGACCATTATAGGGTGGTTGAAGATAAAATTATATGTTTAAGTATATACATGCACACATATGTGTTATAAGCTGAAATATGTGCTCCCAAAATTCCTATATTGAAGCCCTAACCCCCTCTATCTCAGAATGTGATTATATTTGGAGATAGGATCTTTAAAGAGGTAATTAAGTTAAAATGAAGCTCAAGGGGGGCTCTAATCCAAATGGACTGGTGTCAGCCAGGTGCAGTGGCTCACGCCTGTAATCTCAGCATTTTGGGAGGCCGAGGCAGGAAGATCACTTGAGGTCAGGAGTTCAAGATCAGCCTGGCCAACATAGCAAAACCCCGTCCCTACTAAAAAATACAAAATTATCTGGGTGTGGTGGCACATGCCTGTAATCCCAGCTACTCGGGAGGCTGAGGCAGGAGAATCACTTGAACCCGGGAGGCAGAGGTTGCAATGAGCTGAGATGGTGCCCTTGCACTCCAGCCTGGGTGACAGAGTGAGACTATCTCAAAAAGCAAAACAAAGCAAAACAAAAACAAAAACAAGACCCAAATGGACTGGTGTCCTTATAAGAAGAGGAGACTAGGATACACAGAGGGACAGCAGGGGCATACGTGCACAGAGGGACAGCCGCATGAAGAAGCAGCAAGAAGGCAGCCATCTACAAGCCAAGGAGGGAGGCCTCAGAGGAAACCAGCCCTGCTCACCACCTTGATCTTGGATTTTCAGCCTCTAGAACTGGAAGAAAAATAAAATTCTATTGTTTAAGTCACCCAGTTAATGATTTTGTTATGGTAGCTCTAGTAAACTAATTTTATATATCTGTATTTATATCTAGCTTAGTACAGTAGCCTAGCTCAATAAATGGTATCAGAGGAACCCACCCCCAATATTTCAACATAGGTTCTTTCTATCTTCCATAAGTGTTGGCCAGCTGAGAAATAAAGAGAAAGAGTACAAAGAGAGGAATTTTACAGCTGGGCTGCCAGGGGTGACATCACATATCGGTAGGACCATGATGCCCACCTGAGCCTCAAACCAGCAAGTTTTTTATTAAGGGTTTCAAAAGGGGAGCAGGTGTAAGAACAGGGAGTAGATCACATGCTTCAAAGGGCAGAAAGGAGAACTACTGATAAGGGTCTAACAAAGATCACCAGGCAAAGGGCAAAAGCAGAACTACTGATAAGGGTCTATGTTCAGTGGTGCATGTATTGTCTTGATAAACATCTTAAACAACAGAAAATAGCGTTTGAGAGCAGAGAACCAGTCTGACCACAAATTTACCAGGGCTGGGTTTTTCCCCACCCTAGTAAGCCTGAGGGTACTGCAGGAGACCACTGTGTATCTCAGTCCTTATCTCAACCACATAGGACAGACATTCCCAGCGTAGTCATTTACAGACTTCCCCCCCAGAAATGCATTCCTTCCCCAGGGTATTAATATTAATATTCTTTGCTAGGAGAAGAATTTAGTGATATCTTCCCTACTTGCATGTCCATTTATAGGCTCTTTGCAAGAAGAAAAATATGGCTCTTTTTGCCTGACCCCGCAGACAGTCAGACCTTATGATTGTCTTCCCTTGTTCCCTAAAAATCGCTGTTATTCTGTTCTTTTTCAAGGTGCACTGATTTCATATTGTTCAAACACACACGTTTTACAATCAATTTGTACAGTTAACACAATGATCACAGTGGTCCTGAGGTGACGTACATCCTCAGCTTATGAAGATAACAGGATTAAGAGATCGAAGAAGACAGGCATAAGAAATTATAAAAGTACTATTTGGGAACTGATAAATGTCCATATTAAAATGAAATCTTCACAGTTTATGTTCCTCTGCCATGGCTCCAGCCTGTCCCTCCGTTTGGAGTCCCTGACTTCCCGCAACAAAATGGTAGTCATTATAACTGTTATTTAACTTTCCAATGAAACTGCTGCCCCCTAGAAAAGGTTATCCCACAAGTCATATGCAAACGGTCCTTTTTTTTTTTTTTCAAGACAGAGCCTTGCTCTTTCACCCAGGCTGGAGTGCAATGGCACAGTCTCGGTCCACTACAACCTCCGCCTCCCAGGTTCAAGCAATTCTCCTGCCTCAGCCTCCCGAGTAGCTGGGACTGCAGGCACCTGCCACCATGCCCAGCTAATTTTTGTATTTTTAGTAGAGATGAGGTTTCACCATATTGGCCAGGCTGGTCTGGAACTCCTGACCTTGTGATCTGCCTGCCTTGGTCTCCCAAAGTGCTGGGATTACAGGAGTGAGTCACCAAGCCCAGCCAGCAAACTTTTCATTGTTTTCTGAGTTAAACATAGGCGTGCCTCTTGTCTGCCTGATCTCAAGCATCCCTGGCTGTGAGCCCTCCCTGATCTCCAGGGAGATATCTTTGCTCCTCCTCTGGGATTGGGGTCTGCCTATGCTGTTTCTCAGTTGCCGTCATCGTCTGTCTCCATAACCATCTCTCTCACCGAACCAGGCTTTGTGCATCTTTGTATTCTGGGTACCCAGCGCAGCATGTCAGGAAATTCAATTCAATAAACTGAGAAATAAGTTCACTGAGAGTTTAGGTTTATTTACTTTATCTTGTTAACAACTGCAATGATAACACTGCGGGTTAGGGAGCAACTTTCATGTTTAGTCTCAAACGTTTTCTCAAGAGTCGGTGCCGGGGCCTCCCAGCATTGCAGTGAGCTCGGGACATTCTTAGCTGCTTCAAACAAGAAGATATAGCCTGTTTAACTTGCCAGGATTCATGTAACAGAGGCCTGGTCCCATCTGGGCATGTACAAGACTTGCTTCATTTACCTGGAAATTGCAGGTATCTCTTCCTCATAATGAGGTTTCTGAAATATTCCTTGTTTTTCAGAGACTCAAGCTATTAGCCAAGTAGGAGCTAGCAATAGCTCTTAACCAATGGCAAAAGGGTCAGATATTTCCTGTGCTGTTTTTACTGTTTATAGCAGGGCTGACACAATTTGCTGTGGGAAGAAAGACTTGAACTGTCATTATAGATTTTCTCTCCTTGTGTGTGACTTAGCAGGACACTGACATTGGGTCCTCCCTGAAGGTCATCTTGAACCGAATATGCGCCCCTAACTTTCCTTCCAACCAGGCAACAACGGCACAATTTCTTGGCTATATCTTGTTTGCTTTTCAGCAACGGCAAGCCAAAAGCCATCCCAGCACAGAAATAACTGGGATGCCTTTTGTTTCTTTGGCAACTGTTATATCACTCTTGCCTTTCCTTATTTGATGAGAAGGTAGTAGAGAAAAAAATGATAGTGATAATCTCACACAATATGTAGGTATTTTTACAAACCAGTCTTATACTTGAAAATAATTTTATAATACATCAGGAAAATATCAAAGAAAAATATAAGGAAAAGGGAAGAATAGGATTATTGTTAGAAAATATAAAATACCATACTTGCCTTTAGAGAAAAATTTACAGTGTAATTAAATGAGCCAATATCAAGGTGTTTTAATAATCTAAAATATTATTTTTATATACCCTACCACGTAAAATACTCGGCAGGGATCTAACAAATGAAATGTAAACCTTTCCTATATTTCTTTTACATACCATCAATATAGCTTACTACTATTTTGCTTCCTTTACTCACATGCTTAAGAATGAAGTACTATCCTAAAGCAGAAGAAAAATAAAGGCACATCAAACATGCATGCTGCCTATTAACATCTGTTTATTCTAATTTAATTTTTTTTTTTTTTTGAGATGGAGTCTCCCTCTGTCACCCAGGCTGGAATGCAGTGGCACGATCTCAACTCACTGCAACCTCTGACTCCCTGGTTCAAGCGATTCTCCTTCCTAAGCCTCCCGAGTAGCTGGGACTACATGCATGTGTCACCATGCCTGGCTAAGTTTTGTATTTTTAGTGCAGATGGAGTTTCGCCATGTAGCCCAGGCTAGTCTCGAACTCCTGACCTCAAGTGATCTTCTGCCTCAGGCTTCCAAAGTGCTAGGATTACAGGCATGAGCTGCTACCACGCCCAGCCTGTTTTAATATTAATTCAGTATCAATAAACTCAGAAAACTGATTGCACTAACAGGATAATGGTAATTTTCATTATATAAGGAAAGTACTTAATTATTCTATCTTGATCACAATTTGGAATAAACACTTGTCTGGTCTAGCAATAAACTGGGCACTTTCTTTAGCCAAAACAAACAAACAAACAAAAAAAGGGTCAGATATTATCCATTGATACAGTTTGGATATTTCTCCCCTCCACGTCTCATGTTGAAATGTGAGCCCCAGTGTTGGAAGTCGGACCTCGTAGGAGGTGTCTGGGTCCTGGGGGGGGGATCCCTCATGAATGGCTTGGTGCCCTCACCACAGTAATGATTTCATGCCAGATCTGGTTGTTAGGGTCTGGCATCTCCTCCTCCTCTCTCTTGCTTCTGCTCTTGCCATGTGACGTGCCAGCTCCCAGGTCACGGTCCTCCATGATTATAAGCTCCCTGACCCCTTACCAGAAGCCAAACAGATGCTGCTGCCATGCTTGTACATCCTGCAGAACTGTCAGCCAAATAAACCCCTTTTCTGGGCCGGGCGCGGTGGCTCTCGCCTGTAATCTCAGCACTTTGGAAGGCCGAGGTGGGCGGATCACTGAAGGTCGGGAGTTTGAAACCAGCCTGGACAACATGGTGAAACCCCATCTGTACTAAAAATACAAAAATTAGCTGGGCGTGGTGGCGGGCACCTGTAATCTCAGCTAGTTGGGAAGCCGAGGCAGGAGAATCGCTTGTACCTGGGAGGTGGAGGTTGCAGTGACCCGAGATCGTGCTACTGCAATCCAGCCTGGGTGAAGAGTGAGACTCTGTCCTAAAAAAATAAAAAATAAATAAATAATAAGCCTCCTTTTCTTTATAAATTACCCAGTCTCAGGTATTCCTTTATAGCAATGCAAAATGGACTAACATATCCATAAAGCCATTGACCAGGTGAAGAAAAATGATGATGGAGTCTGTTATCTGTCCACCACACTCTATCCTCCCATTCTTCCTCAGTATTAGAACACTACTGCGGATTTTGGCTGCATTTCCAGGGGCTACATTCCCCTGGCTCATGTCCCACTTTGCAGCAAACTGTGGCTATGCAACCCAGCTCTCACAGATGGAATATGAACAGAAATGTTGGGAGCAACTTCCCATTTACTTGATTAAGAGAAAGTCTCTAGCCCTGAACTCACCTCTTGCCCCTATCCTCGAAGTCTGGCTTGGCCACAATTTGGACATCCTTGGAAGTCATGTGTGGAAGGACTGCCATCTGCCACCCTGGACTGGGGACAAACCCACCTGGAATTCTTAAACTGGACTGTTAGATGAGTAAGACATAAACTTATCTTGTTTGAGCCATTGAATTTTTGGGTCTCTTTGTTACAGCAGCTATCATTTCCTCACCCAGACAGAGGCTAAAGCACTACATGTATATACCATTGCCTGGAGCACATAATCGTGCAAGTCCAGCACCTTAAGGTAGCGTAGGCACTCCCTCCTTCTCTTGCTTCCTTTGGTACTGTTCATCCAATATTGGCTTTGGTATCCACCTGTAAACCTACTTTTTTTCTCCTTTCTTTTGACCAGGAAAAATGCCTGCAACGTTGTCAGCCTCTAACCTCTGACTTCCAGGCTTTGCCCTCTCTTTATTCCCCTCTCACTAGCAGCTAGAGTATTATTTTTGAGGATGAATGAAAGTAGCCGCCTCTGGCTATGCACCCCAGTGACTCCTCCCTATAGCACCATAGAGATGATGTCTCTGTGGTTGTCGCGAAACCCAGACCTTGACTGGGTGTGCTGACTCAGACTTGTAATCCCCAGACTTTGAGAGGCTGAGGTGGGAAGATCATTTGAGACCGGGATTTCAAGACCAGCTTGGGCAACATAGTGAGACCCCATCTCTACAAAAACTTAAAAAAAAAAACAAAATCAAACAAACAAAAAAACCAGCCAGGCATGGTGGTGCACACATTTAGTCCCAGCTACTCAGGAGTCTGAGGTGGGAGGGTCACTTGAGCCTTTAAAAAAAAAAAAATCCCAGCTCTTTACTGACTCTATGCCTTCTCCACCCAGGGACATTTAATACACACTGTAAAGTCTGAATAGGCTGCCCTTGGGACAAGGGCCTGAGCAAGGGAGGCAAGGTAGACGTGCTAGGCTGAGGGAGCCACACCACCATGACGAAGAATGCATATATTTTTGTTTTGTTTTGTTTTGTTTTGTTTTGACGGAGACTTGCTCTGTCACTCAGGTTGGAGTGCAATGGTGTGATCTCTGCTCACTGCAACCTCCACTTCCCCAGTTCAGGCAATTCTCCTGCCTCAGCCTCCCAAGTAGCTGGGATTACAGGCACGTGCCACCATGCCCAGATAATTTTTTGTATTTTTAGTAGAGACGGGGTTTTGCCTTTTTGGCCAGGCTGGTCTTGAACTCCTGACCTCAGGTGATCCACCCACCTCGGCCTCCCAAAGTGCTGGGATTATAAACGTGAGCCACCGCACCTGGCCAAGACTGCATTTTACCACTTCAGTTACATCACTCTCCTGACTGCAAACTGCTCTTACCTCTTTCTTTCCTCTTTGTGATTCCTCATTTTACTCCCCCCAGGAGACAACTTTGTTCTCCTCCACAGTGGGAACATTTTTCTGATTATTCCTAAAATATATTATTATTATTATTTTGAGATGGAGTCTCACTCTGCTGCCCAGGCTGGAGTGCAGTGGCACGATCTTGGCTCACTGCAACCTCTGCCTCCTGGGTTCTAGCAATTCTCCCTGCCTCAGCCTCCTGAGTAGCTGGGATTACAGACACGTGCCACCATGCCCAGCTAATTTTTGTATTTTTAGTAGAGACGAGGGTTTCACCATGTTGGCCAGGATGGTCTCGATCTCCTGACCCTGTGATCTGCCTGCCTCGGCCTCCCAAACCTAAAATATATTATTATTTTTTAGAGACAGGAGCTCGCTGTGTTGCCCAGATTGGAGTGCAGTGGCTACTCACAGGTGCAATCATAGCTCACTGCAGCCTTGAACACCTGGGCCCAAGCAATCCTCCTGCCTTGCAAGGCCTCCCAAGTAGCTGGGACTACTGGCATGTGCCACTGTGCCTGGCTTAAATGTATTTTTACACTTTTTTAAAAAATTAGTATCCAAACAAGTTTCCTAGATTGTGTTTGATTTTTAGGTCTCTTAAGTGTCTTTTTTTTCTATGTCAGTGCTGGTCCCCCATTCCCTACTTCTATTGATTTGTTGGTAAAACCAGTTCATTTGTCCTAACAAATGAATACACCCTGGATTTGTCTGATTTCTTTGTTGTGGTATCTTTTAACTTACTTTGGTGTGTGTGTCAGATCTTTTAGCAAGCATTTTAGTTTGGCCTAGAGAACAGGTTGTGAGCTCTGTTTCTGTTTCTGACCATGTTGTATGGGCAGGTCACTTAAGTCCTCTATAGGCTGGTATTTCCATGCCCCCTCCCCCTCCAGCCCCAATGCATGCCATCATTTTTCTATCTGACAAATAGGGTTGATCATAACTTGCTCTGCTTTTAGAATGACATGAGAATGAAATGATGTGCTCTGTGTGGTAAGTATTAAGGTTCTTAGGTAGAAAGCGCTCTCTAAGAATGGTTACAAAAACTTCTTTTCTTTTTTTTGAGACAGAGTTTCGCTCTTCTTGCCCAGGCTGGAGTACAATAGCACGATCTTGGCTCACTGCAACCTCCGCTTCCCAGGCTCAAGCAATTCGCCTGCCTCAGCCTCCTGAGTAGCTGGGATTACAGGCATGCGCCACCATGCCTGGCTAATTTTGTGTTTTTAGTAGAGACGGGGTTTCTCCATGTTGGTCAGGCTGGTCCCTAACTCCCGACCTCAGGTGGTCCGCCCGCCTCGGCCTCCCAAAGTGCTGGGATTACAGGCATGAGCCACTGCGCCCGGCCAGAAAAACTTTTCTTTAGGCTGGAGGAAGTTCGATAAATTTAGGAATGCAAAAGCTTTAGTGACAGGGAGTGGGGAGAAAGGCATGAATTCATTGGCTGTTGAGATCGATGTTGCTCTTTTCCTCTCTGCGTATATATCACAGTGTCTAGACTTACATGGTAAAGGCGGGCACAAAAACACAATACGATCCAATTAGAAGTGCCACATTCCATTAAGCTTATTCTGTTTGCCTTCTTCCTTCCTACTTCGAATAATTGTGAGTACCAGGTAGGTTTCTGGCCGTTTCTTTATTCTTGGTGGTGTGATAACAGCAAAATAGGACAAGAAGAACATTCAGATGTGGAAAACTGCATTGCATAGGCTGATCGTACAATGTCTGAATAGGTAACAGGGGACCTTTCAGCTTGCATCAAGAGACCCCGAAATCTCAGCTCATGGATTGCCATCCAATTTATTGAGGCTGTCCTCTTGTCCTCATAGCTACCTGCCTGGCCATTGCACTGTTTTCCTTACCAACCAGGATTCCTGAGTGCAATCTGATGCAGGACTCCCTCTCTCGTTCCTTTCAAAGCCTCAGTGTCAGAGTCTCCTGCCCTAAGTGAACATGGAAGCTCTCAGTTACCAAACGGTTGGTCGCCACATAAGCTGCTGGGATTTGACACCATAGCAAAGTATAAGAAGCTCAGGGTAGCCTTTTAGGTTTGAGAGATTGAAAAATAATTTTAGTATTTAGAATGTAAAGAAAAGCACTTCTTTCTTCCTTCTTTTTTTAAAGACAAGGTCTTGCTATGTTGCCCAGGCTGGAGTGCAGTGGCGTGATAACAGCTCACTGCAGCCTTGAACTCCTGGGGCTCAAGCAATCCTCCTGGGTAGCTAGAACTATGCTTATCACTATGCCTGGCTAACTTTTTCTTTTCTTTTCTCTTTTCTTTTCTTTCTCTCTCTCTTTCTTTCTCTTTCTTTCTTTCATTCTTTTCTTTCTTCCTTTCTCCCTCTCTCTCTCTCCCTCCCTCCCACCTTTCTTTCTCTCTCTTTCTTTCTCATTCTCTCTCTTTTTTCTTTCTTTCTTTCTCTCCCCCTCCCTCCTTCCCTCCCTCCCTCCCTCACTTCTTTCTTTCTTTCTTTCTTTCTTTCTTTCTTTCTTTCTTTCTTTCTTTCTTTCTTTCTTTCTTTCTTTTTCTCTCTCTCTTTCTTTCTCCCTCTCTCTCCTTCTTTCTTTCTTTCTTTCTTTCTTTCTTTCCTTCTTTCTTTCTTTCTCACTTTCTTCTTTTTTTTGAGACAGGGTCTCACTATGTTGCCCAGTCTTATCTTGACTTGTCTTGACTTCTTGTCTTGAATTCTTGGCCTCAAGTTGTCCTCCCACCTTGGCCTCCCAAAGCACTGGGATGACAGGTGTGAGTCACTACATCCAGCTAAGAAAAGCGCTTCTGATCCTCAGTGTGCCCTGTGTTCTGGCAGGACTGCTTGCAAACCTTAGCTACTGCTCCTAACATCGGCCCCATGTGGCACCATTGAAGCTGGGCACCCAGGGTTACACAGTCAGCATTTGCTAAGGGCCTGTCTGAATGCGACACGAGCTTGAGCAGGAAGCTTTTCTACTTGGTATAGTAGATTGTATAGTCCCTCCTGCTTCCCAAAGATATGTCTACCTGGAACCTCTGAATGTGACCTTAGTTGGAATAATGGTCTTCACAGATATAATTAAGGTAAGAATCTCAAGATGAGATCATCCTGGGTTACGGTGGACCCTAAAACCAATGATGAGTTTCTATATGAGGCAGCAAAGGGGAATACAGAGAGACACAAGCGAGAAGGCCACATGAAGATGGGGGCAGAGACTGGAGTGATGCAGCCTCATGCCAAGGAGTGCCTGGGACCACTAGAAGCTGGAAGAGGCAAGCCAGGCTACTCCTCTAGAGGTTCTGGAGGGAGCACGGCTTTGCTGGCACCTTGTTTTCAGATTTCTGGCCTCCAGAACTGTAAGGGAACACATTTCTGATGTTTTAAGCACCAAGTTTGTGGTAATTTGCCATGGCAGCCAAACGAAAGAAATGTACTCAGCCCATGTAAAGACCTCACCCTCTGTCTGATCCTTGATCACTAACAAGTCATTTATTTGTTTGTTAATTATTATTATTATTTGAGACAGAGTCTTGCTCTGTCGCCTCAGCTCACTACAACCTCCACCTCCCTGGTTCAAGAGATTCCCCTGCCCCAGCCTCCCAAGTAGCTGGGATTATAGGCACACACCATCACACCTGGCTAATTTTTGTGTTTTTATTAGAGATGTGGTTTCATCATGTTGGTCAGGCTGGTCTTAAACTCCTGACCTCAAGTGAACCACCTGCCTTGGCCTCCCAAAGTACTGGGATTAGAGGCATGAGTCACTGCGCCCAGCCTGTTTATTTATTTGTTTATTATTTTGAGACAGGGACTTGCTCTGTCTACCAGGGCTGGAGTGCAGAGGCATGATCATAGCTCACTGTAGCCTCAACCTCCTGGGCTCAAGTGATCCTCCCACCTTAGCCTCCCTAGTAGCTGGGACTACAGGCATGTTCCACCATGCCTGGCAAATTTTTAAATTTTTTGTAGAGACAAGGTCTTGCTATGTTGCTCAGACTGGTCTTGAACTCCTGGGCTCAAGCCATTCTTATGCCTCAGCCTCCCAAAGTGCTAGGGTTACAGGTGTGCATCACTGTGCCTGGCCACTAACAAGTAACTTTTTTTTTTTTTTGAGATGGAGGCTCAATCTGTCACCCAGGCTGGAGTGCAGTGGCGCAATCTCGGCTCACTGCAAACTCCATCTCCCAGGTTCACGCCTTTCTCCTGCCTCAGCCTCCCGAGTAGCTGGGACTATAGGCGCCCGCTACCACACCTGGCTAATTTTCTGTATTTTTAGTAGAGACGGGGTTTCACCTTGTTACCCAGGATTGTCTCGATCTCCTGACCTTGTGATCTGCCTGCCTCGGCCTCCCAAAGTGCTGGGATTACAGGCGTGAGCCACCGCACCCGGCCACAAGTAACTTAAATTTGAAAAATTATTTCCCTGTCTAGGTAAACCCCAAATTATACTTTTCCATAAGTAGAACATGACAGTTCTTCCAATGGCTGAAGTTTTATTTTTTATTTTTATTTATTTATTTTATTGATATGTAGTTTCACTCTTGTCGTCCAGGCTGGAGTGCAATGGTGCAATCTCAGTTCACTGCAACCTTCGCCTCCTGGCTTCAAGCGATTCTCCTGCCTCAGCCTCCTGAGTAGCTTGGATTACAGGCGTTAGCCATCACACCTGACTAATTTTTGTATTTTTAGTAGAGGCAGGGTTTTACCATGTTGGCCGGGCTGGTCTCAAACTCCTGACCTCAGGTGATCCACCCACCTTGGCCTCCCAAAGTGCTAGGATTACATGTGTTAGCCACTGAGACTGGCCTGGCTGAAGTTTTAGAGAGAAGAGGTGGAGATATTTTAGAGGTTGACTATCTGGCCAGTTAGAAAGGACCTCATAGGTTTGCAGTGTCGTGTTGAGGTCAGCATGGCCCACAGTTCTGTTCCCAGGTTTACAAAATAAGAAACCTTTACCGTATTAGCATACCCAGTGTTGAATATGTTCTTCAGGGATAACCTGTGATAAAAGTAAAGTCGCAACCAAGAGATGTATGAACTAGAAAGATGATTTGTCAGTTTAGGATAGGAGACCTAGCTCTGTAGTGATGGGGATGCTCACATATCTTGTTCGTGTCTCCCTCTTTCTAGATTTAGTATACTAGTCAGCCTAAATCAATAATCAAAAACTAAGTGCAGTGGCTCACACCTGTAATCCCCACACATTGGGAGGCTGAGGCGGAAGAATCTCTGGAGCCCAGGAATTCGAGACCAATCTGGACTACATAGCAAGGCCCCATTTCCACAAAAATTAAAAAAATTAGCCAGGTGTGGTGGTGTGTGCCTGCGGTTCTGGCCACTCAGGAGGCTGAGGAGGGAAGATCGTTTGAGCCCAGGAGTTCGAGGTTGCAGTGAGCTATGATTGCATCACTGCACTCCAGCCTGGATGACAGAGCAAGACTCTGCCTCTAAAAAAGTTAAATAAATAATAAATAATAATTAGAATATTACTTGGTGCGAGAGTAACTGTTGATACTCACCCATGTTCATGTCGTCGTCCTCTTCCTTGGCGTACTGCTAGACAATATTGCCTGCCCCTTGCTCCCTACTGTCATCTAGATGGGGCCATATGAGGAGTTCTCTCCACTGGAATATGAGCCAAAGTGATGTGTGTTACCTCTGGGCCAAGAGTCTTAGGGGTGGGTGTGCTTTCTCTACCATTGCTCATCCCCCCGTCCATCTGCTCAATGAACGGTACTTCAAGGAGCCTGGGGAGGGTGGTGCCACGGTATTAAATGGTCCTCGGTCCCTGAATGCCTTTGTGGAGTACAGACTACTCCTGGCCCAATTCTCATTGGCATGTGATGTGACAGAGACATAAACTTTTATGGCTTTAAGCCAGTGCATTTCAGAGTTATCTATTATAACATCTAGCATAACTCACCCTAAGTCACATATGTGGTCAGCATGGAATTAGAGCAAAGGGATTTGGATAGTCATAAATAATGTTCCATTGGGATGATGGTAAATCTGGTGAATTGCTCCTTCCCTGCAAATGGAATCCAGCTCTCCAGAAACCAGTATCCTTATGGTTTCATCTCAAGCTCTTTGGAGCTCCCATTTTTCTGAGTATCCTTCTGCTAAAAACACTCTTTCTTCAAACAGGGCTCATTCCAGTGGTCTAGGCTGCAGCTCCTGGTTGGAGTCACATCCAGCCATGCTTTCTGTGCCCTGATCAGCTGGATTAGATGTGAAGATTCTCAGAATTTCAGAATTGAGATGCAGAGATTCTCCATTCAGAATCTCAGAATTCCCAGATTCTCAGAATCTCCAAAAGGTAAAATATTTTGGGCTACCTTTTCAGGTGACTGATCTAAACATTTACATATTATCATGCATATAACATTCTTTTTCCTTCTTTTTAATTGTAAAATTAAGACCTGACATGGTAAAAAAAAAATCTCTTGTTTATTCTTCCAAAAATTTTGAATGCATATATAAGTGCATATATGTGTGTTTTATTTAAAACACAAATAAATGGTATTTCTCTATATCTATTTTTTTTTACCTTGCTGTTTTAGCTTTTCATTGACTATTATATCTTGGGAGTCCCTAAAGGATCAGAGGGGCTGGGCGCAATGGCTCATGCCTATAATCCCAGGACTCTGGGAGGGCCTAAGCAGGTGGATTGCTTGAGTCTAGGAGTTTGAGATCAGCCTGGATGACATGGCGAAACTCCATCTCTATAAAATTTACAAAAATTAGCCAGGCGTGGCGGTGCATGCTTGTAGTCCCAGCTACTTGGGAGGATGAGGTGGGAAGATCGCCTGAGCCTGGGAGGCAGAAGTTGCAATGAGCCAAGGTCGTACCACTGCATTTCAGCCTGGGCAACAGAGAGACCCTGTCTCAAAAAAAAAAAAAAAAAAAAAAAAAAAAGATCAGAGATGAATAACATATTTCTTGCTTTTTGGGAGTATGTCAGGGGGCAGATAAACCATGAGTATAAATGACCTAAAAAGTAGAGTATATGATTAGTAGCATTTGGGAGGCACAGTGTGCTGTCTATTTAAAGGATAAAGCAATTATATGAGGTTTTCTGGGGAATGTATGGAAAAAACTCTCATTTACTGAGCGTCTTCTATGTGCCAGGTACTGCACTAAGTGCTTCATGCACAGTATCTTTTTAAGTTACAATACCTGAGTGAGGAAGGTATTATCATCTTATCCCCATTGTACAGATTAAAAACATGGAAGCAGCCAGGCGCGGTGGCTCATGCCTGTAACCCCAGCACTTTGGGAGGCCGAGGCAGGCAGATTACTTGAGGCCAGGAGTTCGAGATCATGACTGGCCAACATGGTGAAACCCCATCTCTACTAAAAATACAAAAAATTAGCCGGGTGTGGTGGCGGGCATCTGTAATCCCAGCTACTCGGGAGGCTGAGGCAGGAGAATTGCTTGAACCCGGAAGGCGGAGGTTGCAGTAAGCTGAGATGGCGCCACTGCACTCCAGCCTGGGCAACAAGAGTGAAACTCCATCTCAAAAAAAAAAAAAAACATAATAATTAAATAAAAATAAATAAATAAAATAAAAACATGGAAGTTCGGCGGGGATGATGGCTCATGCCTGTAATCCCAGCACTTTGAAAGGCTGAGGCAGATAGATTGCTTGAGCCCAGGAGTTCGAGACTAGCTTGGGCAACATGGTGGAACCTGTTTCTATTAGCCAGGTGTGATGACACACGCCTGTAGTCCCAGCCACTCAGGAGGCTGTAGTGGGAGGATCGCTTGAGCCCCAGAGGTAGAGGTCGCAGTGAGCCAAAATCACACCACTGCACTCCAGACAAGGTGACAGAGAGACCCTGTCTCAAAGCAAAACAAAACAACAACAACCAAACCAAACCAAATCTACCAAAAACATGGAAGCTCAGAGTGGCCAAATAACTTGTCCATGGACACATAACTAGCAAGTGGTTTAACAGGGATTTTAACTTCAAAGCCCATGCACACTTTTCACTTTACCTGGCTCTCAACAAAAATTCAAAATGACTTACACAGAGACCAAACCTCTGAGTAGCAGATTAGAATCATTACAAGTGTTGGGTGTGGAGGCACGTGCCTGTAATCCCAGCTACTTGGGAGGCTGAGGCGGGAGGATTGCTTGAAGCCAGGAGTTAGAGGCTGTGGTGAGCTGTGATTGCACCACTCCACTCCAGCCTAGGCAACAGAGTGAGACCTCTTCTCTTAAAAAAAAAAAGAAGAAGAAGAACCATGATAAGTTATTAGGTAGGTCTTTCACTTCTATGATCAATGTTAGTTGTTTATTTGAACAAGGAAGCTCTTCTGTTGTCTCGTTGAGAGTAAGAGGCTGGGTGGACTCGGGCAAGACTCTGAACACATCTTTGTCAATTTTAATATGGAGAGTATGATAGTGAGTGACCTCCAAGGGTGAGTATGAACATTCAATGTGTTAATACACACAAAACCCTTGAAAGAATGCCAGACACATAGTAAGTGTTGTAAGGTGTTGACTACTATGATTACCAGAGATGTCTGTGGATTTGAGAAAAGGAAGGGAAGTAGGAATAGGAGAGGCAACAAAATTGAGGACTGAAGAGAAGGGTCAGATTCTGAGAGGGCCTTTAAGCCAACATGGAGCCAGAAGGCTGTTGGGAAAGTAGGCAGAAATTAAGGAACATACTCCACCCCACCCCGGGGCACCACACCTGGTGCAGCCTGATGTTTAGTTTCATGTATCCCTGGCCTCCTGTGCTCCCCTGCTGGTTGGAGACTTAATAGCTGCTCAGACATTTTTTGCTGTTCACTCCTTGGTGATTGGAGGTGAAAAGAATGCAAAAGGGTGTAAATCAAACAGGAAGCCCCTTTTTAGTCTCCTGCTGGATCCCAGTCAAATGAGGAGGGCATCATCAATGGTAGACTGAATAAAGAAAATGCAGTCCATATACATCATGGAATATTATGCAGCCATAAAAAAGAGTGTGACCATGTCCTTTGCAGGAACATGGATGGAGCTGAAAGCCATTATCCTTAGCGAACTAACACAGAAACAGAAACCCAAAAACCATGTTTTCATATGTAAGTGGGAGCTAAATGACGGGAACACATGGACACATAGAGGGGAACAACAGACACTGGGGCCTACCGGAGGGTGGGGGCTGGGAGGAGGGAGAGGATCAGGAAAAATAACTAACGGGTACTAGGCTCAACACATGGGCGATGAAATAATCTGTATAACAAACCCCCATGACAAGGATTTTACCTATGTCGCAAACCTGCACTTGTACCCTTGAACCTAAAATAAAAGTAAAAAAAAAAAAAAAAAAAAAAAAAGACAAAGGGGAAGGGCCTCCTGGTGAGTCAGCCTGAGTCACCGGGTGGGAATGTGAAGTATTCATTTGGAGAAGGGCTCTGGCGTTGCCTCAAGTCATCAGTGTTCTCAGTAGATAATGCACTGAAATCTCTCCACATATACGTGGCCTTAGTATGTCTGAGTTGGAGAATATCAAGTCTCCAGCCAGCCTGGGAGCATAGGATGCCAGGGCTACACAAAGCTGAACATCAAGCTGCACTGAGTGTGGTGCACAGGGGGTGGGGCAGGGTCACCCCACAATATTGGACTTGGGGCATGAGTGGGGGAGGTTTGAAGATCCTAGACAGAAGGTGTCATGGTCCTGTGAAGACAGAAGTAATGTTTTGCTAGTAATAAGTGATTGTTTCTTCCTCCTCTTTGCCTTGGCATGTGACAGCTTGCTGGTCCCCCGGGCAAATGCAGCCGCTAGGGAGGGGCACCCGCATGGAGGCGGTATGCAGCTGGCTGCAGAACAAACAGCAGAGAAGATGTCTGAGTTGGAGGACATTGAGGCTCCACCAGCCCTAGGGGGCACAGGAGACCAGGGACACACGAAACAGAACAGCTGCCTGACCTCTGCCCTGGGTCACACTGGCATGGGCTCCATCTGTTCCTGAATGAGGAGAGAGGCTGAAGTGAGAGCCTGACATTTGTCCTTCTCTCATCTTTCTGTCTAGCCTGTCCCTTAATCGGGCTCTGATAAGAGGCGACAGGAGACTCATATAAGCACCAGCTTTGGGTCCTTGATGATAGGTTATTGTAAATGACATGGAGGCCCTTTACAAAGAATGGATAAATTGCTCCCAACAGAGGCAGGAGGAATGCTTGAAGCCAGGAGTCTGAGACCCCATCTCTACCAAAAATGTAATCATTAGCCAGGTGCTGTGGCAAGCACCTGTAGTCCCAGCTACTTGGGAGGTCGAGGTGGGAGAATCACGTGAGCCTGGGAAGTTGAGGCTGCAGTGAGCTGAGAACACGCCACTGCACTCCAGCCTGGTGGACAGAGTGAGACTTTGTATTAAAAAAAAAAAAAAAGAAAAAATCAGCCAGGTGCAGTGGCTCACACCTGTAATCCCAGCACTTTGGGAGGATGAGGCAGGTGTATCTCTTGAGGTCAGGAGTTTGAGACCAGCCTGGCCAAAATGGTGAAACCTCATCTCTACTAAAAAAAAAATACAAAAATTTGCTGGGCATGCTGGCGGGCAGCTGTAATCCCAGCTACTTGGGAAGCTGAGGCAGGAGAATTGCTTGAACCCTGGAGTCGGAGGCTGCAGTGAGATGAGATCGCACCATTGCAATCAAGGCTGGGCAACAAGAGCGAGACTCCATCTCAAAAAAAAAAAAAAAGAAAAGTCACAACTTCTTGGTGAGGAGGTTCCAACAGGAGGGTCTTCACTGGGTGTTGTCAGGCAGTCTATGAATTTATAATATCGTCTCCTTGGAGAATTTTTTTTTTTTTTTTTTTTTTTTTTTTTTTAGCGTCGAGAGTGTGGTCCTTAGCCTCAGAGGCACAAAATCCTCATTTATCAACCCATGGATTGTGGAGAGTGGAGTGTTTCTCATGGCTGGAGTAATATGAAGCAAACTCAGGGAATGATGGATAAACCAAAGTTCCTGCCAATTTCTCATGACTAAAAGGGCTGAGGGGGACCGAATACTGGCAACTTTTGACCAACAGCAAAGGCAGGCTACATGGGAAGTCAAATTCTACAAGAAGAAGCTGCTTAGGGACCTCAGAAATCAGAACTAGGGGAGCTGGTTTTCTAATACAAATGTTAATGATGCCAGAGTAAGATGATCTGCTATGTCCACCTGCACAGCGGAAGATCCCTGTCATCTTGCCTAGGCAGAGTGAGTTGTTGTTAGATTAGATCAGGACCCGCCCTCCCTTGGCCTGGGCTGAGGGGCCACTGCCAACATTTGCCTCTGACATTCTACTTTTTAAAAAAAGTTTCTATGACTCACCACAGGCTTACGAATGCAGACGGTCTGGTTAATTCAAGCTTGGAGTTCTGGAAATCATCGCATCATTTTAGGGCAGTGTTTCTCAAAGGGTGAGCTTTTGAACACATGCAGCAGAATCACACACATGCTTGAGTATGTGTGTTGGTTAAAAATGCAGGCCGGGTGCAGTGGCTCACGCCTGTAATCCCAGCATTTTGGGAAGCCGAAGCGGGTGGATCACCTGAGGTTGGGAGTTCGAGACCAGCCTGACCAACATGGAGAAACCCCGACTCTACTAAAAATACAAAATTAGCCAGGCGTGGCGGCGCATGCTTGTAATCCCAGCTACTCGGGAGCCTGAGGCAGGAGAATCGCTTCAACCTGGGAGGTGGAGGTTGTGGTGAGCCAAGATCACGCCACTGCACTCCAGCCTGGGCAACAAGAGCAAAACTTTGTCTAAAAAAAAAAAAAAAAAGGCAGATTCCTAGATCTCATTTCTGTTGATCTGAATGAGTGTCTCTGGGGCTGGGGGCTGGGAATCCCAATGTGAATTTTAAGCCAACATGCCAGTTGAATTTAATGTACAAAAAATTTGAGAATCATTGTTTTGGGGCGACCTTGTGTATCTCTGTAATCCATTATGAGTTGATTTTGGAGTGGACCATCTTATATCCAAGGCTTATGAAAATCTATTTAATATTGGTGACACTTTGGCTATCTTCGTTATGTTGTTGGTTACAAAATGCAATTGGATGTTGTTTTTATTTTTTTTTTTATTTTTTGAGTCTGAGTCTTGCTCTGTCACCCAGGCTGGAGCACAGCGGCGCCATCTTGGCTTACTGCAACCTCTGCCTCCCAGGTTCAAGCAATTCTCCTGCCTCAGCCTCCTGAGTAGCTAGGACTACAGGCTTGTGCCACCACACCCAGCTAATTTTTTTGTATTTTTGTATTTAGAGGCAGGGTTTTACCATGTTGGCCAGGCTGGTCTCAAACTACGGGCCTTAAGTGATCCACCCGCCTTAGCCTCCCAAAGTGCTGGGATTACAGGCGTGAGCCACCGTGCCTGGCCAGATATTGTTTTTAAAACAGATTCTTGAATTGGGGTAATTCTATGTAATGAATATAGTCATGATTCTGGTATGTAGTTCTGGTATGTAGAAAAGGCAAAATCCCAGCCTGGCCAACATGGTGAAACCCTATCTGTACTAAAAATACAAAAATTAGCAGGGTGTGGTGGCGTGCGCCTGTAGTCCCAGCTACTCAAGAGGCTGAGGGAGGAGAATCACTTGAACCCTGGAGGCAGAGGTTGCATTGAGCCAAGATCGTGCCACTGCATTCCAGCCTGGGCGACAGGGTGAGACTCTGTCTCAAAAAGAAAAAAAAAAGAAAAGGCAAAATCATGGTATAACTCCCCTTACATTTTGTATTAATGGGGCTTTTTGTCTGCTACCCATCATTAGTTGATATAGCTTTTAAACTAGTTATTTTTTCCTCCCAGCTTTATTGAGGTATAATTGACTAATAAAACTGGTATATATTAAGGAATGCAACTTGATGATTTGTTTGTTTTGTTTTTTGAGATAGGGTCTCACTCTGTCACCCAGGCTGGAGTGCAGTGGTATGAGCCTCTGCAGCCTCAACCTCCTGGGCTCAAGTGATCCTCCCACTTCAGCCTCCCAAGAAGCTAGGACTACAGATGCATCTCACCACACCCAGCTAATTTTTTTGTAAAGCTGGGGGTCTCCTTATGTTGTCCAGGCTGGTCTCCAACTCCTGGGCTCAAAGGATCCTCCCACCTCAGCCTCCAAGTACAAAAAATTTGTAGCTGGAACTACAGGTGTGCACCACCATGCCCACCTAATTTTTTTTTGGTAGAAATGGGGATCTTCCTATGTTGCCCAGGCCGGTCTCGAACTCTTGGGCTCAAATGATCCTCCCTCCTCAGCCTCCCAGAGTGTTGAGATTATGGGCCTGAGCCACTGTGCGCAGCCAAGGAGAGACTTTTTATTTTTCCTTTCAGTACAAAGTTTCTCGGGTCCTCCTTGATTTTCTACTGGATCTTCTCACTGACAGAGCAAAAGGGTTCTTACCTCCCATTATCACTTCCTATGTAATTATCCACTGGTCCAGGCACTCAGGGGTTATGCTTCTTTCATTGACAAAGACTTTTGTTTTTTTTTTTTTTTTTTTTTGGAGGCAGAGTCTCCTCCTGTTGCCGAGGCTGGAGTGCAGTGGCAAGATCTCAGCTCACTGCAACCTCTGCCTCCTGGGTTCAAGTGATTCTCCTGCCTCAGCCTCCTGAGTAGCTGGGATTACAGGCACGTGCCACTGTGCCTGGCTAATTTTTGTGTTTTTAGTAGAGATGGGGTTGCACTGTGTTGGCCAGGCAGGTCTTGAACTCCTGACCTCATGATCTGCCCACCTTGGTCTCCCAAAGTGCTGGGATTACAAGCGTGAGCCACCGGGCCCGGCCAAGACTGTTATTTTATCTGCAGCTACACGAAGAAACAATTGCAGCTCTAGCACTCAGCCGGATTAATCACAGATATGTGATCCCTGCACACCAGCACACTGCCTTCTTGAACAGGGCAACTTTGAATTAACATCAGAATGAGATCAAGTAACATCACTAATTATGATTCATAACAAACTTCTACCCATTATTAGAAAGGAAATGCCAACGCCTGACCATTCTTAAAACTATTATTTTATTTTATATTTTTTGAGACCGTGTTTTGCTCTTGTTGCCCTGGCTAGAGTGCAATGGCGCGATTTCGACTCACCACAATCTCCGCCTTCCCGGTTCAAGTGATTCTCCTGCCTCAGCCTCCTGAGTAGCTGGGATTACAGGCATGAGCCACCACGCCTGGCTAATTTTTTGTATTTTTAGTAGAGACGGGGGTTTCTCCATGTTGGTCAGGCTGGTCTTGAACTCCCGGCCTCAGGTGATCCGCCCACCTCGGCCTCCCAAAATGCTGGGATTAAAGGCGTAAGCCACTGTGCCCGGCCCTTAAAACTATTTTTGACCTGTTATGAAAATAGTGTAATTTGAGAAGGAAGAGAGAAGCATGAGAATTAGTTTTCTGGCCAAATGATGTAGTATTTTGCAAACTGACTACATCTTAAAAATACAAAAAATAAAAGATAATGTTGCCGGATGCGGCGTCTCATGCTTGTAATCTTACAGCCCCCACATGGGGGCTGAGGCGAGCAGATCACCTGAGGTCAGGAGTTCGAGACCAGCCTGGCCAACATGGTGAAACACTGTCTCTACTAAAAATACAAAAATTAGCCAGGCGTGGTGGCATATGTCTGTAATCCCAGCTACTCGGGAGGCTGAGGCAGGAAAAATCACTTGAGCCCACGAGATGGAGAGTGCAGTGAGCCAAGATTGTGCCACTGCACTTCAGCCTGGGTGACAGAGGGAGACTCTGTCTCAAAAAGAAAAGAAAAGAAAAAAAGGTAATATTTATTTTGTGTACACCAGAGTAAATAGAGCCCATTTTTTTTTTTTTTTTTTTTTTTTTTTAAGATGGAGTCTCGCTCTGTCGCCTAGGCTGGAGTGCAGTGGTGCGATCTTGGCTCACTGCAAGCTCCGCCTCCTGGGTTCATGCCATTCTCCTGCCTCAGCCTCCGGAGTAGCTGGGACTACAGGCGCCCGCCACTACGCCCGGCTAATTTTTTTTTAATTTTTTTTATTTTTAGTAGAGATGGGGTTTCACCGTGTTAGCCAGGATGGTCTTGATCTCCTGACCTCGTGATCTGCCTACCTTGGCCTCCCAAAGTGCTGGGATTACAGGCGTGAGCCACCGTGCCTGGCCCCAATAGAGCACAATTTTTATATAGAATTTTTTATTTAGGCTGGAGAAAAAGCAATTGCAGTTTTTGCCATTAAAAGTAATGAATTTGGCCCGGTGTGGTGGCTCATGCCTGTAATCCCAGCACTTTGGGATGCCAAGGCAGGCAGATCACGAGTTCAGGAGTTCAAAATCAGCCTGACCAACATGGTGAAACCCCTTCTCTACTAAAAATACAAAAATTAGCTGGACGTGGTGATGCATGCCTGTAATCCCAGCTACTCAGGAGGGTGAGGCAGGAGAATTATTTGAACACGGGAGGTGAAGGTTGCAGTGAGCCTAGATCGCACCACTGGACTCCAGCCTGGGCAACAGGACCAGACTCCGTCTCAAAAAAAAAAAAAAAAAAAAAAGTAATGAATTTGCAGAATCCATTCCCTTTAGCATGAGTTTTCAAAGGCAGACTTCAAGTGTGTTTACCTATCTGGTAGGTTAAACGAGTTCACATCCTTAAAGCTTAGGGCTGTGTTGTGGATGTACACTCCTTGAGCATGTGGGGAAGGAAGTTAGGCACTGACGTTTTTCCGGAATATTCCCTTACCCGATGCCAAATTTCCTATTGCTAATCCCTCATCCTGATCCCTTTCCTGGGGAGTCCTGCCTAATACCAAACCTGTAGACTTTCTGTACAAGGGATGTGGTCTGACAACACACAAGGTTTATACTTTTTAAAATGACACGAGGAATTTTTGTTCCTGTCTTCCAGCAGGCTGTGAGGAGATTTTTATCAATTTGATTCATCACTGTGAAAATGATCTCCTGATTGAGTTTCTTTTGAATTTTTGAAATGGTTAATGAATAAATTGATCTTTTTAATTTTTTTTTTTTTTTTTTTTTGAGACAGGGTCTTGCTCTGTCACCCAGGCTGGAGTGCAGTGGCATGATCATAGCTCACTGTAGCCTCAACCTCCTGGGTTTAAGGGTTTAAGCGACCCTCCCATCTCAGCCTCCTGGATAGCTGGGACTACAAGCATGCACCGCCAAGTCCAGCTAATTTTTTAAATTTTTTGTAGAGACGGGTCTTGCTACGTTGCCCAGGCTAGTCTCAAACCTCTGGGCTCAAGTGATCCTTCCACTGTGGCCTCTCAAAGTGCTGGGACTACAAGCATGAGTCACCATGCCCAGCTGCTTTTTGTTTGTTTAATATTGGAGAGATGTTGCCATAGTTATTTCTTGATTTTCCACACACAGCTTCTGTGTGCTGTGACCTTACTCATGGCAATTCAGTTTCTTATTATACCTTAAGGACAGTGGTACCTTCCTCATTTAGTTTTGTTCAAGATAATACTGTTTGTCCTTAAAGAATGTTTTGAAGATGTACTTTTATAGAACTGCACTCCCACATTATTTCTTGTCTTTTCGCATGATTCTGTGTATTTGCTTCCATTTTCCTGGGACCTTCCTCCAACCTAAATCTTTGGTACTACATTTTTCCTTTTTTTTGTTCTCTAAAACAAAGAGACTTTACTAATCATTAGGAAAACGCGAATCAAAACCACAGTGGTAGCAAGGCGTGGTGGCTTATGCCTGTAATCCCAGCACTTTGGGAGGTCGAGGCAGGTGGATCACTTGAGGTCAGGAGTTTGAGACCAGCCTGGCAACATGGTGAAACCCCATCTCTACTAAAATACAAAAATTAGCTGGGCTTGATGGCGCACACCTGTAATCCCAGCTACTCGGGAGGCTGAGGCAGGAGAATTGCTTTAACTCAGGAGGTGGAGGTTGCAGTGAGCTGAGATTGCGCCACTGCACTCCAGCCTGGGTGACAGAGTGAGACTCCATCTCTAAAAAAAAAACCGAGCTCCTCTGTCCAGCTCATGGGAAAGGTGAATTTCTGGATTGCTCCACTGCACTCCAGCCTGGGCAACAGAGCAAGACTGTGTTTCAAAACAAAACAAAACACAATCAATGATATACCACTTTCACATCCATTAGGATAGGATGGCTTTAAAAAAAGAAAAAAGAAAAACCCCAGAAAGTAATAAATGCTGGTGAGGGTGGGGACAAATTGGAACCCTTGCATATTGCTGGTGGGAATGCAAAATGGTGTAGCCACTGTGGAAAACATGAAGGTGCTTCCTCAAAAAAGTAAATATACTATCACCATGTGATCCAGCCATTCTTTTGGGCATACACCCAAAAGTACTGCAAGGAGGTTCTTTTAGCGACATGTGTACACACTCATGTTCATAGCAGCATTATTCACAATAGCTGAAAGGTGGAAACAACCCAAGTGACCATTTGCAGATGAATGGATAAACAAAATGTGGTATATACATACAATGGAATATGATTCAGCCTTAAAAAAGGAAGGAGGCCGGGTGTGGTGGCTCATGCCTGTAATCCCAGCACTTTGGGAGACTGAGGCGGGCGGATCACCTGAGGTCGGGAGGTCGAGACCAGCCTGACCAACATGGAGAAACTGTCTCTACTGAAAATACAAAATTAGCTGGGCATAGTGGTGCATGCCTGTATTCCAGCTACTCGGGATGCTGAGGCAGGAGAATTGCTTGAACCTGTGAGGCAGAGGGTGCTGTGAGTCAAGATCATGCCATTGCACTCCAGCGTGGGCAACAAGAGCAAAACTCCGTCTCAAAAAAAAAAAAAAAAAAAAAAAGGAAATTCACATGCACAACATGGATGAACCTTGAGGACAGTATGCTAATTGAAATAAGCCAGTCACAAAAGGACGAATGCTGTATGGTTCCACTTATATGCGGTACCTAGAATAGTTGAATTCACAGAGACAGATAATAGAAAGGTGGTTGCCTGGGGCTGGGGGAGGGGAGCAGCAATGGGGAGTTAGCGTTTAATGGGGGCAGAGCTTCAGCTGGGGAAGATGAAAAACTTCTGGAGATGGATAGTGGTGACAGTTGCACAGTGGAAATGTACTTCATGCCACATGTTACGTATATCTTATACATAACGTAAAATTTAAAAATGGCTTGAAAAAGGCAAGGAATGGCTGGGTGCAGTGGCTCAGGCCTGTAATCCCAGCACTTTGGGAGGCCAAGGCGGGTGGATAACATGAGGTCAGGAATTCGAGACCAGCCTGGCCAACATGGTGAAACCCCAACTCTACTAAAAATACACACACACACACACACACACACAAATTAGCCGGGCATGGTGGTGCACACCTGTAATCCCAGCCACTCGGGAGGCTAAGGCGGGAGAATCGCTTGAACCTGGAAAGCAGAGGTTGTAGTGAGCCGAGATTGCGCCACTGCACTCCAGCCTGGGTGACAGAGCCAGACTTCATTGCAAAAAAAAAAAAAAAAAAAAAAAAAAAAAGGAAAGAAAAGGAAAAAGAAAAAGACAAGGAAGACTCTTACATTGTTATTTTACAAAATACAGCCCTTCCAGGAACTGTCCTGTACTAATCTGTACTGTCACGGCCAGGGCTGTTTAGCAACACAAAGTTCGCGTCAGTCACCTCTCCTTTAGGACCCATCACCTCCTGCAGCCTGTCCAGAAAACTTAAAGGTTGGGTGACACGTGAAGATGCCGGACCCCTCGTGGGGATGATGTGGTGAGTCATCCATCTGCAAGATCAGAGCCTGACTCTAGACTATGCTGGAGGCCAGGTGAGACTCTCTAAACAGTCTAGCCTGCCTATTTGCAGAAGCAACAGGAGGAAAGAGGGAGGGTGGGGAGAAACTCAAACCCTGACTTTAGACGTTGTAGGGCAGCTCAGAATTTCCCAAATTCATCTGGTCATTAGAATCCCCTGGGTGATTCCAGGGCTTCGTCAGACCATCCAAGGGCAGGTGCTGAGAATCTGGTTTTGGTTTGCTTTGTTTCAAGTCAATGCTTTAGGCAATTCATCACAATCTGGAAAGTCTGGGAAATACTGGTGGGCGTGAGAGCATGGGCTTGATTTCTTTATAAAAGGAGTGAAACCTGGGAAGTGCGAGGGGGCCTGTTGTGCTCAGATGTGGTGCTGCTGCTATTGCAATGAAGGTGGCAGTCAGGATGTGTCCCTTAGAATGGGAGGAGTTGCTTGCCTGGTGTGCTTAGAGGAAAAACTACATGGAAAAGCAGAGGACTGGTAACTGACTGAGGTTGTCCCTGCGGTCCTTTGCCCCCACTGTTTTTTTTTTTTTTAATTTTAGTCAGGGTCTCGCTCTGACAACCAGGCTGGAATGCAGTGGTGCAATCATAGCTAACTGCAGTCTCTATCTCCTTGGCTCAAGTGATCTTTCCTTCTTTGTCTCCCAAGCAGCTGGGGCTACAGGCACATGCCGCCATGCCTGGCTATTTTAAAAATTTTTTGTAGAGATGACATCTTGTTATGTTGCCCAGGTTGGTCTCGAACTCCTGACCTCATGCAATCCTCCCACCCAAGCCTCCCAAAATGCTGGGATTACAGGCGTGAGGCACCACACCCAGCCTCCAGTTGTCCATTTAATTAGCAGAAGGGACATAGTTTCTTTCCAATCTGTTGTGATTGTTGTGACTTCTGGAAGATGGCTCTTTGGAGGAGTTGCTTAAGCTTAGGATCTTCCCTGCTCTATAAGCTCTTAGGCACATCACTCAGATGAAGTAATATATGTAAATATTTATATATATTATATATAAAAATATTTAATATTTATATATTAAAAATATTAAATATTATATATTATATTTAAATATTTTATATTTATATATTATATTTAAATATTTTCTATTTATATATTATATATAAATATTTTCTATTTATATATTATATTTAAATATTTTCTATTTATATATTATATATAAATATTTTCTATTTATATATTATATATAAATATTTTCTATTTATATATTATATATAAATATTTTCTATTTATATATTATATATAAATATTTTCTATTTATATATATTATATATAAATATTTTCTATTTATATATATTATATATAAATATTTTCTATTTATATATAATATATAAATATTTTGTTTATATATATTATATATATTTTATATTTATATATTATATATATTTATATATAAATATATTTTATATATATTATATTTTTATATAAATATATTTTATATAAATATTTATATATAATATATTTTATATATAATATATTATATAATATATTATATATTATATATAACATATTTATATATTATATATAAAATATATATAATATATTTTATATATTATATTTAATATAAATATATTTTATATATATTATACTTATCTATAAATATATTTTTATATAATAATAAAATATATTTATATATAAATATAGTTATATATAATAATAAAATATATTTATATATAAATATAGTTATATATAATAATAAAATATATTTATATATATTATATTTATATATAACTATATTTATATATATTATAGTTATATATAAATATTTTATATATTATAGTTATATATAAATATTTTATATATATTATAGTTATATATAAATATATTTTTTATATATATAAAACCACACCTGGCTGTTTTGTTTTTTGAGACACAGTCTCACTCTGTCACCCAAACTGGAGTGCAGTGTCACGAGCACAGCTCACTACAGCCTCAACTTCCTGGGCTCAAACTATTCTCCCATCTCAGACCTCAAAGAGCTGGGACCACAGGTGCACACCACCACACCTGGCTAATTTTTAAATTTTTTGTAGAGACAGGGTTTCACCACATTGCCCAGGCTGGTCTCAAACTCCTGACCTCAAGCGATCTGCCTGCCTCGGCCTCCCAAAGTGTTGGGATTACAGGCACGAGCTACCACATCCGGCCACAATACTTTTTATATTATATATTTTATCAAAAAATATTACTTCAGCCTGTAATCCCAGCATTTTGGGAGGCCGAGGCGGATGGATCACGAGGTCAGGAGATCGAGACCATCCTGGCTAACGTGGTGAAAGTCTCTCTCTCCTAAAAATACAAAAAAATTAGCCAGGCGTGGTGGCGGGCGCCTGTAGTCCCAGCTACTCGGGAGGCTGAGGCAGGAGAATGGCGTGAACCCGGGAGGCGGAGGTTGCAGTGAGCCGAGGTCGCGCCACTGCACTCCAGCCTGGGTGACAGAGCGAGACTCCATCTCAAAAAACAAACAAACAAACAAACAAACAAACAGACAGACAGACAAGCAAAAAAACAAAAAAACGTACTGTGCTAAGTATTGAAAGGTCCCAAGATAAAAAACACATCAACTTCCTGTTATCCAGAAACTTAAAAATAGCAATTCCCATGTTAGTTTTAAACCTGCAGAATTAGTGTCGATGTATATTTATGATGTATATTTTATACTTATTAAACTAATTATGCACAAGTTGCAAGCTCCTGTACTCCCAGAACTGGCAGCTATTTTGTTTTTTGTTTTTTGTTTTGTTTGTTTGAGATGGAAGAGGGAATCTTACTGTGTTGCCCAGGCTTGTCTTGAACTCCTAGGCTCAAATGATCCTTCCACCTCAGCTTCTTAGTAGCTGGGATTATAGGCACACATCACTATACCTCGCTCCTGGCAGTTATTTTGTTTCTGGAAATTCAGAGAACAAGAATAAACAAAAATTACAGCTCTTTGGGAAGCCGACGGGGGCGGATCACCTGAGGTCAGGAGTTTGAGACCAGCCTGGTCAACATGGTGAAACCCCATCTCTACTAAAAATAATAAAAAAAATTAGCCAGGCATGGTGGTGGGCACCTGTAATCCCAGCTATTCAGGAGGCTGAGGCAGGAGAATCGCTTGAACCTCGGCAGAGGTTGCAGTGAGTAGAGATCGTGCCACTGCACTCCAGCCTGGGGAACAGAGTGAGACTGCGTCTCGAAAAAGAAAAAAAAGAATGAACAAAAATTAAATTTATGTTTTTCCATTTCAGCTAAGCCTCAAACTTCTACTATCTTCACAAATGGACTCAAAGACTCTGGATTTTCTAAGGTTTTTTGAATTTCCTTATATTGAGATCTTAATAACCCTGTTTGACCTGGATATTTGTATTTTTATATATATATTTATTTATAGAGATAGGGTCTTGCTCTGTTGCCCAGGCTAGAGTGCAGTGGCATGATTATGGCTCACTGTAACCTGGCCAACAACAGCGAGACTCAGTCTGGAAAAAAAAAAAAAAGAAAAGAAAAAAAGAAAAGTGTGGTGGGATTGTTCACACCTGTAATCCCAGGATTTTGAGAGACTGAGACGTGAGGATCCAGAAGTTTGAGGCCAGCCAGGACAACATAGTGAGACCCCGTCTCTAAAAAATTTTAAAAATTAGCCGGGCTATGATCGTGTACTACAATCCAGTCTGGATGACACTGCATGCCTTTGGGGGGGATATGTTTTGGGTAAGCAAGGCAAAATTTTATAAATTTTCACTTTTATGTTCAACCTCTGGGGTTACTTACCCACCACTCTGCCAAGCGAGTAATTAAGGGTAGTTATGTTCAATATTAAGCAACTAAATCTATTTTGTTTTTAGCATTTACTGATAATACAATTTCAGTATTCTAAGATATTGGCAGCTATGCTAGGCTTGGTTGTTACTGAGCAATTACTGCCTAGACTCTCAAGGAATCCCTACAGGCTGGGGAAAGGAAGCTTGATATCACTTGCCTAGATATGGTTGTGATTTCAAATGGCTACTTACTCATGATTTTAGAGAATAAATTCCTGTTAGTTTGAGTGACATTTGGTGATGATGATAGTGTTTATGGAACTTATTTTCATAAGTCATATTTTTGGTCTATTATTTTCTAGTAACTAGTCTTTAATCCACTCATGGACATGCAATAGTTCAAATGTTGTTATTCATCTCTGTACCTAGTGCTGAAGCTGATGATTATATAATCCTCCTAAACATTTACTTGTGCAGGAGAAGATCATTGGTGATATGCTACCAATGACTTTGTGTTCTTTAAATACGTTGTGTTCTTTTTTTTTTTGACTTTATAATGGAATTTTATGAATTTTTCAAATATTAGATAATACCAATGCTACATAGACTGCTCTTAAAAAGAGATTGCCAAGCTATGGCCAGTGGGACAAATATGGCCTGCCTGTTATTATCTTATCTTATTTTATTTTTTTAAATCAATGTATATTTTATTTTATTTATTTATTTATTTATTTTTTATTATACTTTAAGTTTTAGCGTACATGTGCACATTGTGCAGGTTACTTACATATGTATACATGTGCCATGCTGGTGCGCTGCACCCACTAACTCGTCATCTAGCATTAGGTATATCTCCCAATGCTATCCCTCCCCCCTCCCCCCACCCCACCACAGTCCCCAGAGTGTGATATTCCCCTTCCTGTGTCCATGTGATCTCATTGTTCAGTTCCCACCTATGAGTGAGAATATGCAGTGTTTGGTTTTTTGTTCTTGCGATAGTTTACTGAGAATGATGATTTCCAATTTCATCCATGTCCCTACAAAGGACATGAACTCATCATTTTTTATGGCTGCATAGTATTCCATGGTGTATATGTGCCACATTTTCTTAATCCAGTCTATCATTGTTGGACATTTGGGTTGGTTCCAAGTCTTTGCTATTGTGAATAATGCCGCAATAAACATACGTGTGCATGTGTCTTTATAGCAGCATGATTTATAGTCCTTTGGGTATATACCCAGTAGTGGGATGGCTGGGTCAAATGGTATTTCTAGTTCTAGATCCCTGAGGAATCGCCACACTGACTTCCACAATGGTTGAACTAGTTTACAGTCCCACCAACAGTGTAAAAGTGTTCCTATTTCTCCATATCCTCTCCAGCACCTGTTGTTTCCTGACTTTTTAATGATTGCCATTCTAACTGGTGTGAGATGGTATCTCATTGTGGTTTTGATTTGCATTTCTCTGATGGCCAGTGATGATGAGCATTTTTTCATGTGTTTTTTGGCTGCATAAAGGTCTTCTTTTGAGAAGTGTCTGTTCATGTCCTTCGCCCACTTTTTGATGGGGTTGTTTGTTTTTTTCTTGTAAATTTGTTGGAGTTCATTGTAGATTCTGGATATTAGCCCTTTGTCAGATGAGTAGGTTGCAAAAATTTTCTCCCATTTTGTAGGTCGCCTGTTCACTCTGATGGTAGTTTCTTTTGCTGTGCAGAAGCTCTTCAGTTTACTTAGATCCCATTTATCAATTTTGGCTTTTGTTGCCATTGCTTTTGGTGTTTTAGACATGAAGTCCTTGCCCATGCCTATGTCCTGAATGGTAATGCCTAGATTTTCTTCTAGGGTTTTTATGGTTTTAGGTCTAACGTTTAAGTCTTTAATCCATCTTGAATTGATTTTTGTATAAGGTGTAAAAAAAAATATGGAATGCTTCACGAATTTGCGTGTCATCCTTGCGCAGGGGCCATGCTAATCTTCTCTGTATCGTTCCAATTTTAGTATATGTGCTGCCGAAGTGAGCACTGTTGTGTTCTTTAAATAACTTGTAAAGCACTAGCAAGTCATAAAATTTCTGGATTATGTTTAAAGTATATGTAGCATTGTTTTAGGATGTAAAATCATGTGTGTGTCACATTTCAATTCTTTTTTATTTTTTTTTTGAGACAAGGTCTTGCTCTGTCACCCAGACTGGAGTGCAGTGGTGCGATCATAGCTCACTGTAGCCTCAACCTCCCAGGCTCAGCAATCCCACTCCAGCCTCCTGAGTAGCTGGTACTATAGGCACACACCACCAAACCTGGCTAATTTTGCTTTTTATTTATTTTTTAGACAGAGTCTCGCTCTGCTGCCCAGGCTGGAGTGCAGGGGCACGATCTCAGCTCACTGCAACCTCCGCCTTCCAGTTCAAGCAATTCTCCTGTCTCAGCCTTCCGAGTAGCTGGGACTATAGGTGCCCACCACCACACCTGGCTAATGTTTGTATTTTTAGTAGAGATGGGGTTTCGCCATGTTGGCCAGGCTGGTCTTGAACTCCTGGCCTCAAGTGATCTGCCTGCCTCAGCCTCCCAAAGTACTGGGATTACAGGTGTGAGCCATCATGCCCAGCCTGTTTTTTATTTTTTGTAGAGACATGGTTTCACTATGCTGCTTAGGCTGGTCTTGAATTCCTGGCCTCAAGCAGTTCTCCTGCCTTGGCCTCCCAAAGTGTTTGGTCTCTCCAGATTTAGAATGAGTGGGGAAGAGTGGGCTTTAAGATCTTTTGCCTTGCCAGAAAAGGACATGGTTAGGAGCCACTGCTTTAAATTAAGATTTCCAGGAACTGATTTTTTTTTTTTTTTTTTTTTTTTTTTAGGTGGAGTCTCATTCTGTCTCCCAGGCTGGAGTGCAATGGCATGATCTCAGCTCACTGCAACCTCCGCCCCCTGGGTTGAAGCAATTCTCCTGCCTCAGCCTCCTAGGTAGCTGGGATTACAGGTGAGTGCCACCATGCCCGGCTAATTTTGTATTTTTAGTAAAGATGGGGTTTCACCATGTTGACCAGACTGGTCTCAAACTCCTGACCTCAGGTGATCGGCCCTCCTCGGCCTCCCAGGGTGCTGGGATTACAGAATTTTTGAACACACTTTTATCATGAAAGATTTTTTGATAAATCGGTGAATCTCAGGCCTGGCTGCACATTATCATCTCTTGGGAAGTATTTTTATTTTTATTTTTTTTGAGATGGAGTTTTGCTCTTTTTGCCCAGGCTGGAGAACAATGGCGCAATCTTGGCTCACTGCAACCTCCGCCTCCCAGTTCAAGCAATTCTCCTGCCTCAGCCTCCCAAGTAGTTGAGATTACAGGTGTGTGCCACCACGCCTGGCTAATTTTGTATTTTTAATAGAGACAGGGTTTCACCATGTTGTTCAGGCTGGTCTTGAACTCCTGACCTCAAGTGATCCGCCCGCCTCAGCCTCCCAAAGTGCTGGGATTACAGGGTTGAGCCACCAAGCCCTGTCAGAAGTATTTTTACTTTATTTTTATTTTTTTGAGACGGAGTCTCGCTCTGTCACCCAGGCTGGAGTGCAGTGGTGCAATCTTGGCTTGTTGCAACCTCTGCCTCCCAGGTTCAAGCGATTTTCCTGCCTCAGCCTCCCAAGTAGCTGAGTCTACAGGCGTGTGCCACCATGCCCAGCTAATTTTTGTATTTTTGGTAGAGATGAGGTTTCACCATTTGATCAGGCTGGTCTCAAACTCCTGACTTCAGGTGATCCGCCTACCTCAGCCTCCCAAAGTGCTGGGATTACAGGCATGAGCCACCGTGCCCAGCCAGAGTATTTTTAAAATATGGATACAGAACCCGACTTTAGACCAATTGAACTGAAATATCTGAAGGTGGTGCCCAGACCATGTGTTTTTTTTTTTTTTTTTTTTTTTTTTGAGACGGGGTCTCGCTCTGTCGCCCAGCCTGGAGTGCACAGTGGCGCGATCTCGGCTCACTGCAAGCTCCGCCTCCCAGGTTCACGCCATTCTCCTGCCTCAGCCTCCCGAGTAGCTGGGCCTACAGGCGCCCGCCACCACGCCCGGCTAATTTTTTGTATTTTAGTAGAGACGGGGTTTCACTGTTTTAGCAAGGATGGTCTCGATCTCCTGACCTCGAAATCTGCCTGCCTCCGCCTCCCAAAGTGCTGGGATTACAGGCGTGAGCCACCGCAGCTGGCCCCAGACCATAGGGTTTTATAAAGCATCCCAGGCAATTATGAGGCACAGTAAGGGCTGAGAACTTTTATAAAGGAACATTCTCTAATCATTACATCCATAAAGGAAGTGGCAACTGCTATTTGTATCAAGGAACACTCATCTTATAGGGATGAAAACATTAAAAGAGCATTGTGTAAGGAGGAATCATTGTTTAAAAGGGCAACTGATTGCACGGCAGTAATAGTAAATAAAGGAAACAGTGCGTCCTTTACACATGAAATCCTCTGTGTCCTTTCAAATTCCGATTCATATTATCAAATAACACATCAGAGGTAGAATGGCTGGGGGAGGGGGGATTGAGGGATGGGAGAAGGATAGATGAAGGGAACAGCAGAAAATGAAGCAGGCAGAGCGTGGGATCAGGAGCTGGCGCAGCTGGGGACAACGACATTTCTAAGGGCAGATGCCCAGGGTCAGGGAGAGTAAGCAAGAGAAAACAAGTGGCGATCGGGCACTGGGGCTCATGCCTGTAATCCCAGCACTTTGGGAGGCAGAAGTGGGAGGATCCCTTGAGGCCAGGAGTTTGAGAGCAGCCTGGGTAATCTAGTGAGACTCCATCTCTTACAAAAAAATAAAAAAATAAGCCAGATGTGGTGGTGGGCACCTATAGTCTCAGCTATTTAGGAGGTTGAGGTGGGAGGATTGTCGAGCCCAAGAGTTCGATGCTGCAGTGAGCTATGATTGCAACAGAGCGAGACCCCATCTCTAAAAAACCCAAAAAACAACAGGTGGGTTTGCAGCCAGCTAGGGAGGATAGTGCCAGAGGAAATTGGCAGCAAGCCAGAGATGAGGGCTAGCAGTGTGGTTAGAGGCTGCGAGGAAGGATTCAGGAGCAGAAGAGTGGGCAAGAAAAGCCACGGCCCTCATCCTGAAGGAACTGGAGTCAAGGGCAGTTGTCAGAACAATGCCTTGGCCTCAGAAAAAGATGGAGACTCAGCTTCCCAGACCGGAGCTTGAACATAAGGACTTAATCCCATGGTATCAGTCCTCTCCTTTGGAGACAGCCAGGGCCAGAGTGAACTGAACGGCAAAACGGAGAAAGCTAAACCCAGAAATCCCTAAATATCCTCTCGCCCGGAACATGCTTGGGCCCAGAGCCTGCAGGTGCAGTAGAAGGAGATTCGCTTTCCGGCTTTTGTCGGGGCACCACGGTTTCAACAAAGACAGCCTCTACCCAGGGGCCGACACTCACACAGCCTTCTCTTCCTGCATAGCCATTTGCAAGTCCAGTTTCCCACTATGATACACAGCTCTTGAGATGAAGAAACGTGGCACACACATGTCTGCTGACCTTCTCTGAGATCGAGGAGGTGCTAGGATTTGTTGGCTTGAAGAAATAAGTGTTTGCACCTGACTTTCATCCTGTAACTCATAACCAAGGAAAAGTCAAACTCCCATCATCGGGGAGTGAGTTACTCAGAGGAGATGCTGGCTTTAGAATGTCCACTCCTGTGAGACCCAGAGAAGCACTGACTTAAACTCACCCTGGATGTGAAAGAAAAAGCTCAGTGATGCTGAGAGTCAATTGGTGTAACTTGATGAGCCGAAATCCCCCGCAATGGGGAAAACAGAGTCCTAGAAAGATGAGAGGGAAGGTGAGTCAGCCAGCCTAGTGGGGCTGTTATTCCTAAGCTGGGTTGTATGTCAGAATCACTCACAGCATTCTTAAAAACACAGGCCTAGCCTGTGAGACTCTGAGGCAGCTGGTGGATTTGGGCCAGGACACAGTGGATCTACTTTTAAAAAGCTCCTGGTTGGGCTGGGAGTGGTGGCTCATGCCTGTAATCCCAGGACTTTGGGAGGTGGAGGTGGGTGGATCATCTGAGGTCACGAGTTTGAGACCAGCCTGGCCCAAATGGTGAAACCCCATCTCTATTATAAATACAAAAACTAGCTGGACGTGGTGGTGGGTGTCTGGAATCCCAGCTACTCTGGAGGCTGAGGCAGGAGAATCGCTTGAACCTGGGAGGCAGAGGTTGCAGTGAGCCAAGATCGCACCATTGCACTCTAGCCTGGGGGACAGAGTGAGACTCCGTCTCAGAAAAAAAAAAAAAAAAAAAAGGCCGGGCGCAGTGACTCACGACTGTAATTCCAGCAGTTTGGGAGGCTGAGGCGGGTGGATCACCTGAGGTCAGGAGTTCAAGACCAGCCTGGCCAACATGGTGAAACCCTGTCTCTAATAAAAATATAAAAAATTTAGCCGGGTGTGGTGGTGGGCGCCTGTAATCGCAGCTACTCAGGAGGCTGAGGCAGAATTGCTTGAACCCAGGAGATGGAGGTTGCAGTGTGCCGACATGGTCCCACTGGACTCCAGCCTGGGCGACAGAGTGAGATTCCATCTCAAAAAAAAAAAAAGAAAAAGCCCCTCGTTGAAAACAGTGTGGAGATTATAAAAATAGAACCACCATACACTTCAGCAACCTTGCTACTGGGTATCTACCCCCGCAAAAAAAGAAATCATTTTATATATAAAAAAATACCTGTGCTCATATGTTTATTGCAGCACTATTCACAATAGCAGAGTCATGGAATCAACCTAAGTGACCATCAACGGAGGGCTGGCTAAAGAAAATGCACTCTAAATACACAACAGAGGCCGGGCGCCTGAAAATGCACTCTAAATACACAACAGTGGCTCACGCCTGTAACCCAGCACTTTGGGAGGCCGAGGCGGATGGATCACGAGGTCAGGAGATCAAGACCATCCTGGTTAACACGGTGAAACCCCGTCTCTACTAAAAATACAAAAAAAATTAGCCGGGCGTGGTGGTGGGCACCTGTAGTCCCAGCTACTTGGGAGGCTGAGGCAGGACAATGGCGTGAACCCGGGAGGCGGAGCTTGCAGTGAGCCAAGATCGCGCCACTGCACTCCAGGCTGGGCGACAGAGCGAGACTCCGTCTCAAAAAAAAAAAAAAAAAATACACAACAGAATACTATTCAGGCATAAAAAAGAAACAATGTCTTTTGCAGCAACATGGATGGAACTGGAGTCCATTATCTTAAGTGAAAGAACTCAGAAACAGAAAGACATTGCATGTTCTCACTTATAAGTGGGAGTTGAATAATATGGACCCAGGGACATAGAATGCAAAATAATAGACGCTGGAGACTTGGAGGTGTAAGCGGGTGGGAGGGATGGGAGGTTGCTTGGTGGATATAAAGTGTGTTCTAGTGATGGATGCATTGAAGGCCTGTCTTCACCACAATGTGGTATATCAATGTAGCAAAATTCTACATGTACCCCATGAATAACAAATTCGATATAAACAATTAAATATGAAACAAACAAAAATAAAAAACCAAAAAGTTCCCCAGTGCTTCTGGGGCATACACAGCAGGTTAGGGAGCTAGAAACACCATCTGTTGGTTGGTTTTGCCCTGTTTCTCTCACCCTGGGCAGTCTTGGGCAGCACAGCCTGGCTCCGAGGGTGAAGACTTGCCACAGTCCCAGGCTGGGGTGATGACAAGACCCCCTGAGGCCCCTGAGAGAGTCACTGTCTTGCTCCCTACATCTTCTGCAGGGCTGGCTCTGTGTTCTCTCTGCTTGGGCAAGGCTATGTGGGTTCCCGGGGCAGCCAGCAGAATCTGTCCTTGGAAGATGTGTGAAACTCTAATCTCAACTGGTTCTGTTCCGGCTGCCTGGTTCTTGGCCTCAGCTCAAGAATTCAAGGGTTAGTGGCGGAGGAGGCTCCTTTCTGCTCTGCATCTGGGGATGAATGGCTATTGCCCAGCAAGGCAAGGGGGAGGAGTCTAGGGGGGAGGTCAGGCTCTGACAGAGAGAGAGAGAGTGCACAAGAGAGAATGAATTAACCCATTAGTACCATTAACATTTTAGCATGGACTAATTGACCAGATGAGGTCTTTCTTTCCAGGGGTACAGATAGGTCTTTGACAGTCACAAAAACCCTAGAAAAAGGCCTGGAACCTCCTCTGTCTGCAACAAGAGGTGAGAATGGGCCAGGCACATTGGCTCACGTCTGTAACTCCAGCACTTCAGGAAGCCGAGGTGGGAGGATTGTTTGAGACCAGGAGTTTGAGACCAGCCTGGGTAACATAGTAAGACCCTGTCTCTAAAAAAAAAAATTAGTGGGGTGTAGTGGCACAGGCCTGTAGTCCCAGCTAAGGAGGCTGAGGTGGAGGATTGCTTGAGCCTGGAGGTCAAGGCTGCAGTGAGTCATGATCATACCACTACACTCCAGCCTGGGCAAGCCCTTTCCTGCTCTGGCATTTGCTTGTGAATACTGATTGCTCTCCGACATGTGCCAGATACTCTTCTAGGCACACAGTGAGCAGGACAGATGAGGCTCAGCTCTGGTGGGGCTCACATCCTAGTGCTCACCATCGAAGCTGCCTGAGGAAGGAAGTCCTGAGGCTGGGTCACCCCAGAGCAGACCACCAGGCTCTGGATGAAATACAAGACAAGCAACCTTTCCTTCTTGTCATTCTCAGGGCTGTCTCTGAGCCTGAGCAGCCAAAACCCGCGTGGGAGCAGATGCAGAGATGGACAATGTCACTCTCCCATACCCGAGTGCAGCCACCCACGGGGAGGCAGGGGTGGGGTGGGGGGACGTTCCTGGGGGGTTCAGCCCGGTGGGTGTGGCTGTCCCTGAGTGCCCGTGCACTTCAAAGACACTGGCTCCGGGGTCATAGGAGTCAGCTGTTAGCATCGGGCTTAATAAAGGAGGCCAAAGGCTGGAGAGACACCCAAGGCCTTAAAGGATTAAAAACAGGAAAAATATATACGAATCAGGGGCTGGGTTTGCATTTCATAGACGGGTAATGTTATGATAAAGGTTTGGGCTTTGGATTTGTAAAGTGTTGGATTCAATAAGAAGAATCTGTCTTTGGCTTTTGTTGTACAGGAAACTGAAACAGGCTAATATTGAAGGTGTAAAGGGAATGTACAAAGGATTCAAAAGGAGGCCAGGAAACCCAGCAAGAAAGGAAAAGAAGAACCAATTAGTGTGTATATATATATGGAAGCTAATTTTCATATGAGAAAGTGAGAGATTCTTACTTTAGAAACTGACAGTTACTAAGGGCCTGTGCTTAGTTATTTGCAGTTTCTCCCTGCCTCTCCCATGGAAAATTAATCAATTTCTCTTCCTTTCATTCTTCTCTTCTCATTCTTTGCATGCCTTTGCTTTCACCTCTCCCCTGCCTCAATCCTGCAAATGCCAGAGTCCAAAAAACTATTATGCTGCTGGAGAGACCGCAAGGACAAAAGTGGAGACTATTTGAAAAACAAAGTCATGGACTCCTACGGCTGGAGAGGACCCAGAGCCTCCCCCAACCTTCCTCTCCTCCCCTCTGGCTGCTGCCAGATCGCACCTGACCCGCCCAGGAAAACGGGCCTCTTTGCTTTTTGAAGAACTCCAGAGGAGAGCCCCTGATCTCCCTTGATAACTTATCCCAAGTCTGATATCCTCATTGGCAGAGATTATTTTCCAGCTTAAATCACTCGTGTGGAAGCCGAAGCTCATTGCCTTTTGTTCTGTCCTTGCTGGAGATGGTGAACAGCTGGTCTCCATTCTCGGAGGAATATCGCTTTAAACCTTGCAGGCCATTGTTAAGTGGCCTCTAGGCTTTCTCTTCTCCTGACTAAGAATCATAGCTTCTTTTCCCCATTCCTCATGGGTCCTATTTTCCAGCCCCTCTCACATCTTTGTTCTTTGAATGCGCTCAGGTTTTTCTAAGATATTCCCCTTTGGAAGATGTTTGAAGGAAAACAACAGAAGGGTCTTTAGACGTACTAAGTACTGGCAGTCCCTCTCACCTTACCATAAGCCTCGCTGTTTCCACTGGTTGAGTGGCTTCTGGGGCCTTGCCTTCCTGGGGCCAGGCTGTGCGCGAGGACCGAGCAGCCGGTCCTGTGTTGAGCTCATTGGCTTGACCACAGGCCAGTGCTGTCCCAAAGAGCAAGAGGCCCCAGCACAGCTGGGGGCTCACCTGAACTGAAAATCATGTCTGACATTTGTACAGCTCTTAAATACTTACTAAATAGAGAATCATCAGCCTGGGCAACATAGTGAGACCCTATCTCTAAAAAAATAATAACTTGCGGTCCTAGCTATTTGGGAGGCTGAGGTGGGAGGATCACTTGAGCCCAGGAGCTCAAGGCTGCAGTGAGCTATGACTGAGCAACTGTACTCCAGCATGGGCAACAGAGCAAGACCCTGTCTCTAAATAACTAAATAAATAGCCTATTGTCGCCGGGCGCAGTGGCTCACGCCTGTAATCCCAGTACTTTGGGAGGCCGAGGTGGGCGGATCACAAGGACAGGAGATCAAGACCATGGTGAAACCCCATCTCTACTAAAAATACAAAAAATTAGCTGGGCGCGGTGGCGGGCGCCTGTAGTCCCAGCTACTCGGGAGGCTGAGGCAGGAGAAAGGCGTGAACCCAGAAGGCAGAGCTTGCAGTGAGCCGAGATTGCGCCACTGCACTCCAGCCTGGGCAACAGAGCGAGACTCCATCTCACAAATAAAATCAAATAAATAGCCTATTGTCTCATTCAGAAGAAAAAATTAAGTTCAGCAAAATCTAATGGTTATGTTGAAATCAGCGATGGCTTGTGTACTTTGTCTTGTTAGGTGGGTAGGGGGAGGTGGAGGCTGAAGTGAGGAGGAATTGGGGTGCTCTAGGATGTAAGCTTGAGGCTCCAGGTGGAAGACTGGGGATGGGTAAGTGTGAAGGCCTGTGGGGTGGTAGAGGAACAGATGTTCAAACAGAAACGAAGGAATCTGCTTGCCAGATGTTGGGACAATGGGTTGATGGAGGCTAGAAGGGAAAGACTTACAACGAGGCAGATATAAAAAGGGAGGACTGTGTGGTGCAGAATCATAGATACCAGAGGCTGGGAAGGAGGTGTGGGTGGGAGGGGGAGGAAGAGAGGTTGTGAATGGGCAGGAACATGCAGTTAGGCAGAAGAAACAAGTTCTGTTTTTTGTGTGTGTTTTTTTTGAGATCAAATTTCACTCTTGTTGCCCAGGCTGGAGTGCAATGGCGCGATCTTGGCTCACTGCAACCTCTGCCTCCCGGGTTCAAGCGATTCTCCTGCCTCAGCCTCCTGAGTAGCTGAGATTACAGGCATGTGCTACCATGCTGGCTAATGTTTTTGTATTTTTAGTAGAGACGGGGTTTCTCCATGTTGGTCAGGCTGGTCTCGAACTCCCGACCTCAGGTGATCTGCCTGCCTTGGCCTCCCAAAGTGCTGGGATTACAGGCGTGAGCCACCACGCCTGGCCTAGAAGAAACAAATTATGATGTTTGATAGTGGAGCCGACTATAGCCAGCAAGAATGTGTAGTATATTTCAAAGCAGATAGAAGAGAGGACTTGAAATATTTCCAACACATAGAAATGATAAATATTTGGCCAGGTGCAGTGGCTCACGCCTATAATTGTAGCATTTTGGGAGGCTGAGGTGGGTGGATCGCCTGAGGTTAGAAGTTTGAGACCAGCCTGACCAACATAGTGAAGCCCCGTCTCTACTAAAAATACAAAAATTAGCCGGGTGTGGTGGCACACGCCTGTAATCCCAGCTACTCAGGAGGCTGAGGCAGGAGAATCACTTGAACCTGGGAGGCAGAGGTTGCAGTGAACTGAGATTGTGCCATTGCACTCCAGCCTGAGCAACAGAGCAAGACTCCATCTCAAAAAAAAAAAAAAAAAGATAAATACTCAAGGTAATGGGTGATGGAGTTGTTCACCTCTCTACATATTCTATGCATGTAGCAAATACATGTACCCCATAAACATGTAAAATATTATGTATCAATAGGAAAAAATGTGAAAGAGGGAGAGGGAGGAGTCGGGGGTATATATATATATGTATATAGACAGAGAGAGAATGAGAGTTTAAGGCAAGATCTGAGATCCTGGGATATGACCAGTGAGGATGTTAGTAATATTAATAATCTGGTTTGCCTGAACATGAGGGTAAGAAGGACTGAAGGACCCATGCAGAAAGAGTTTTGCTTTGTCCAAGACCAAAGAGTTGAGAAAGAACTTTACTTGTAGGCTGGGGAGTCTGCAGAAGTGGAGCTAGAAAGTCAAACTGGGCCAGGTACAGTGGCTCATGCCTGTAATCCCAGCATTTTGGGAAGGTGACGCAGGAGGATTGCTTTAGCCCAGGAATTTCGACTTTACAGTGAGCTATGATGGCATAACTGAACTCCAACCTGGGTGACAAAGCAAGACCGGTCTCTACAAAAATTTCTTTTAAAAAAATTAGCCAGGTGTGGCCGGGCTCAAGCCTGTAATCCCAGCACTGTGGGAGGTCGAGGTGGGTGGACCACCTGAGGTCAGGAGTTCGAGACCAGCCTGGCCAACATGGAGAAACCCCATCTCTACTAAAAATACAAAAATTAGCTAGGCTTGGTGGCACATGCCTGTAGTCCCAGCTACTCGGGAGGCTGAGGCAGGAGAATCGCTTGAACCCAGGAGACAGAGATTGCAGTGAGCCAACGTTGTCCCACTGCTCTCCAGCCTGGGTGATGGAGCAAGACTCTGTCTCGAAAAATAAATAAATAAATAAATAAAATAAAATTAGCCAGGTGCAGTGGTGTGTGCCTGTAGTCCCAGCTACTCAGGAGGCTGAGGTGGGAGGATCCCTTGAGCCCAGGAGTTTGTGGTTGTACTGAGCTATGATTGTGCCTCTGCCGGAGTCCAGCCTGGGTGACAGAGCAAGAATCTGTCTCAAAAAAAAAAAAAAAAAAAAAAGTCAGTCAAACTGAAGCTAACTCAGGTTGACACCATCAGCCAACTTAGTTCAAGCATTGACGTGCCATATTGACATGCAGCTTACCTCGTGACTATGATAGATATGACTACAAACTAAGGTAATTAAAAAAAATGGAACATAAAGAGTCAGATAATAGTTGTCACCCTTAAAGCAGTCACGTTGGACTGTTTGTTCAAACAATGCAGAGATTTCTACAACTCCTCTTTTGGTTTTATTTTCTAAGCCTACAGCATAGACAGACATTCAGCCATCTTTTTTTTTTTTTTCTTCAGAGGGAGTCTCATTCTGTTGCCCAGGCTGGAGTGCACTGGCGCCATCTTGGCTCACCATCTGCCTCCCGGGTTCAAGCCATTTTCCTGCCTCAGCCTCCCAAGTAGCTGGGATTACAGGTGCCTGCCACCACGCCTGGGTAATTTTTGTATTTATTTATTTATTTTTTAGTGGCCACTGCTCCCAGCCTCATCCATCTTTAATGGTGGAGAATCTTCACCTTCCAAGGGTGTATTTGATTTTGAGGAACACTTAGTAGTTGGGAGCCAAGACTGAGGAAGAGGCGAGTGATCAGGCTGGGAAGGGTTAAGGAAAAACCAGAGCCAGACAGTAAAGGGATGAAACAGATTTTGTTTTATTTTATTCATTTACTTAATTTTGAGACGGAGTCTCGCTCTGTTGCACAGGCTGGAGTGCAATGGCGCGATCTCGGTTTGCTGCAACCTCCGCCTTCCAGGTTCAAGCGATTCTCCTGCCTCAGCTTCCCGAGTAGCTGGGATTATAGGCACCTGCCACCACGCCCGGCTAATTTTTGTATCTTTAGTAGAGACTGGGTTTCACCATGCTGGCCAGGCTGGTCTCGAACTCCCAACCTCAGGTGATCTGCCCGCCTTGGCCTCCCAAAGTGCTGGGATTACAGGCGTGAGCCGCTGCGCCTGGCCAACAGATTTTATTTATTTTAATTTTTGAGAGAGTCTTGCTCCGTCACCCAGGCTGGAGTGCAGTGGCACAATCTCAGCTCACTGCAACCTCCGCCTCCTGGGTTCCAGTCATTCTCCTGCCTCAGCCTCCTGAGTAGCTGGGATTGCAGGCATCTGCCACCATGCCCAGCTAATTTTTGTATTTTTAATAGAGATGGGGTTTCACCATGTTGGCCAGGCTGGTCTCGAACTCCTGGCCTCAGAAGATCTGCCCACCTAGGCCTCCCAAAGTGCTAGGATAACAGTCGTGAGCCACTATGCCTGGCTGAAACAGATTTTAATTAGGAACTATTGCAATAGGGGAAAAGACTTGAGTACAGAATGGGCTTCCATTCTGAACACAGCATGGGGGATTCATAGCCAGGAAGTAGGGTGGAGATTAGGGGATGAAAAATTCCCAGGAAGGAGCATCAGGGGTCAGGGGATTCTGGCTAAACCAATTCGACAGAATCCTTCCTTCAAGACAGGCTAAGGTAATCAGACACCACCTGGTGATGGAGGTGGGGATGAGAAATTTGATCAGATATGGAAAGATTCTCGCTTAACTGACACAGCAGAATTTTTGCTAAAATTAGATAATGCAAAGATAGACACAGAAATTCAAAGGCTCAGAGGGGTCTCACCAAAGTTTGGTCAAGGAGAGTGTCTTGTCAGAAGCACCAGTTGTTGCTGTTTTTTTTCTTTTTCAAGAGTACTTCACAGAGGCACACTTTGAGTTGGAGCCTTAAACTAGAATTTTCTCTTTTTGCAATGCTGAGAATGTATCAAATAATTTAGAATTTCTACAGAAGTTTGATGTACTTTTTGACCTCAAGGAGTGAATTCTGCATGAACAACGTCAGGGACATCAAAGAAACAAATCAACTCTGTCTTGGGTGTGATTTTGATACATCGGCTCCATAGTTTCTCCCAGGCTTTGAAGAGCTCTACTGCAGACACTGACTCTTGTTCCCAGCTCATTTTGGAAACACGTGGTTCGCTGACACTTACTCTGTTCCTCAAGATTGTACCATTTGCTCAGCTTTCCTTAAAAGAAAAGGACAAGAGATACATACATCTTTGCTATTTCTATTACTCAAAAATGTGTGGTGCAGTCTTTATGTTCAAGTTGTCTCAAAGGAAGTTTTTTTTTTTTTTTTTTTTTAAATCTAAATTGAACTCTTCGGCCTTCCTTCTCCCAGGCAATCACCAGTGTGAATTAGCCAAACTGCTGACCATTTAACCGTTTTATTGAACCTGTGGGTGAATGGATCACTACATATTCACCAAAGTGCCTTCCTTACCTAACTTTAAACCTTTTGTTTTGGCTTAAAATGATTGTTCTGGAATAAGTTTCATATTCTCTCTAGATGTATCATTTGCAGATTAATTTCATTTAGAATATAATATTCTTTGCACTGAATGATTCTTTTATATATATAATACAGAAATACAATGTTTGATAAAATTTCTTGATCACAATATCTTTTTTTTATTGTTAAACTTAAAGGAACTTTATTAGTATAAATTTATGGAGGCCGGGCGTGGTGGCTCACGCCTGTAATCCCAGCTACTCGGGAGGCTGAGGCAGGAGAATTGCTTGAATATGGGAGGCAGAGTTTGTGGTGAGCTGACATCATGCCACTGCACTCCAGCCTGGGTGACAAGAGTGAGACTCCATCTCAAAAAAAAAAAAAAGTATAAATGTATGAAGTTCAAGTGTAATTTTGTTAGCTGCATGGATTGCGCAGAGGTGAAGTCAGGCTTTCAGGGTGTCATACATTGTATCCATTAAGTAATTTCTCACCACCCACCTGTCTCCCACTGTCTCACCCTTCTGAGACTCTGTTGTCACCACTCTCTATATCCATGTGTACACATTATTCAGCTCCCACTTCTAAGAGAGAAGAGGAGGTATTTGTCTTTCTGTGATGACAGTTTCTTCAAGCGGATGGGCCAAACTTGAGGGGAGTAACATAGGAGGTGGATGAGGGAATCGGCTTTCATTTCCATTACTAAAAGCCAGGAACAAATAATGATCTTGTTTAAACTTTATAAAAACTGGTGGGGTGGGTATTATTATTCCCATTTAGCAGAAAAATCCCCTGAGATTAAATTAATTACTTGCCAAAAGTTACACAGGCTCCTCTGAGCTGCTTTCCCAACTAAGTCTATCCTGTGGACTTCTATGTCTGTACAAAGGTGCCTCCCAATTTTTGCAAAAATCTTGCTATGTCCATTTTGCAAGAATCTCCACCTTCTATATCTCATCAGATTCTTCAACCCCCTGGAGCCAAGATTCAAACTCAGGGCTGTCAGATTCTAAATCACAGGAAAGACAATCTAGATGTTATAGACACCAAGAATCCAGTTGTCAGTGTACCATATTGTTGTAAGAATGGTCTCTCTTGTTGCTTAAGGCAGTTGTCTTTTTTTTTTTTTTTTCAGACGGAGTTTTGCTCTTGCTGCCCAGGCTGGAGTGCAGTGGCGTAATCCCGGCTCACTGCAACCTCTGCCTCCCAGGTTCAAGCAATTCTCCTGCCTCAGCCTCCCGAGTAGCTGGGATTACAGGTATATGCCACAACACCTGGCTAATTTTTTTTGTATTTTTAGTAGAGATGGGGTTTCACCATGTTGGTCAGGCTGGTTTCGAACTCCTGACCTCAGGTGATCTGCCCGCCTCGGCCTCCCAAAGCGCTGGGATTACAGGCGTGATCCACCGCGCCTGGCCTTTTTTTTCTTTTTTTTTTCTTGAGACGGAGTCTCACTCTGTTGCCAGGCTGGAGCACAGTGGCATGATCTCGGCTCACTGCAAGCTCTGCCTCCCAAGTTCAAACCATTCTCCTGCCTCAGCATCCCGAATAGCTGGGATTACAGGCGCACTTCACCACACCCAGCTAATTTTTGTATTTTTAGTAGAGACAGGGTTTCACCATGTTGGCCAGGATGGTCTCGATCTCTTGACCTCGTGATCCACCCACCTTGGCCTCCCAAAGTGCTGGGATTACAGGTGTGAGCCACCACGCCCAGCCAAGGAAGTTGTCTTCTTCTGTCTTCTGCAGACAGAGCATTCCCGAAAATGGAATCTACTTGTAATTCTGAAGGGAGGCATTTGGTCATCCCTTAGTCTTTTCTTTCTTCCAGTTATTATGACTTTCTTTATGCTTTTAATAATTATAAATATATATACAATAATAATAAAAATATATTTTTATTATTATGAAATAAAGCATTAAAATTATGATTTTTCATGCTTTTAATAATTCATGGTAAGCTTTTTGGGAATCTCCTGAATGCATTCACAATTGCATTACAAAAAAAAATGTCAGGGGCCAGATGCGGTGGCTCACGCCTGTAATCCCAGCACTCTGGGAGGCCGACATGGCAGGATCGCTTGAGCCAGGAGTTCGAGACCAGACTGGACAACATAGTGTGACCCCATCTCTACAAAAAATAAAAAAATTTGCCAGGCAAGTTGGCACATGCCTGTAGTCTCAGCTACTCGGGAGGCTGAGGTGGGAGTATGGCTTGAGCCCTGGAGTTTGAGGCTGCAGTGAGCCATGGTCATGCCTCTGCACTCCAGCTTGGGTGACAGAGTGAGACCCTGTCTGGAAAAAAAAAAAAAAAGACCACAATAGGATGAAATACTCTTAAAAAGGTCAGCTTAATACAATGGAAAGTAGTATAGCTATTTCCTGCCCTAGGACCCCATATGCGTATTAGAACATACTGATTTCATATAGACCCAGCCTCTACCTAGACCCAGAGCACTGTATTGCTGACTTATATACATATATGTCAGTGTGTATATGTGTGCATATACACACACAAACATATATACTTACATACTGTATGTGTGTGATCAGCTATGACCCCTGGATCTTTTTCTGCTGTTTTTGCCTTGACATGTGAAGGGTAAATATAATGCAGCCAGAGACAGAAAGAGAGTTTTCATGAAGGAAAATGCATATGGAAAGACTCTGAAGAAGGGAAAGGAAAGCTAAATGTGGGTTGAGTACAGTGGTTCACACCTGTAACCCCAGCACTTAGAGAGGCCAAGGTGAGAAGATTGCTTGATCCCAAGAGATCAAGACCAGCCTGGGCAACATAGGGAGACATGATGGCATGCACCTCTAGTCTCAGCTACTCAGGAGGCTGAGACAGGAGGATCACTTGGGCCCAGGAGTTGGAGGCTGCAGTGAACTATAATTGCATCACTGTATTCCAGCTTGGGTGACTGAGTAAGACCTATTAAAAAAAAAAAGAAAGAGAAGGAAAGGAAGAAAGAAAGAAGAAAGAAAAAAGAAAGAAAGAAGAAAGAAAGAAAGAAAGAAAAAGAAAGAAAGAAAGAAAGAAAGAAAGAAAGAAAGAAAGAAAGAAAGAAAGAAAGAAAGGGAAAGAAAGAAAGAGGGAAAGAAAGAGGCCGGGCGCGGTGGCTCATGCCTGTAATGCCAGCACTTTGGGAGGCCGAGGTGGGCGGATCACAAGGTCAGGAGATCGAGACCATCCTGGCTAACATGGTGAAATCCCGTCTCTACTAAAAATACAAAAAATTAGCCGGGCATGGTGGCAGGCACCTGTAGTCTCAGCTACTCAGGAGGCTGAGGCAGGAGAATGGCATGAACCCGGGAGGCGGAGCTTGCAGTGAGCCGAGATTGTGCCACTGCACTCCAGCCTGGGCAACAGAACAAGATTCCATCTCAAAAAAAAAAAAAAAAAAAGAAAAAAGAAAGAAAGAAAAGAAAGCTAAATGGCCAGATGCCAGATTATGGTTAGCTTGGGTAGAGTGGCCCAAGATGGTGTTGAAGAGGCTGTCAGGTGCCAGGGACAGTATATAGCACTTTACATAAATTAACCCATTTTATCCTCAGAACGGTTCTTAAAAATAGGTACTATTATTATTATGCACCTTTTACTAATGTGGAAACTGAGACCCAAAATGTTAAATAAGTTTCCCAAAGTAGTTCACTTAATAATTTTTTGTTTAATGAAAGACACAAAAAGCGTAAACTTCATGGTGTTGGTTAGAATGTGGGGGTATTTTTATTCCTCAGCATGCAATTGGTATGATTTCTGCATTTGGGTGTTAAATACATTAAACTATAAAAGTATTTCTTTCTTTTGTTCTTGTTTTTTTTTTTGAGATTGGGTCTCACTGTGTTGCCCAGGCTGGTCTCAAAGTCCTGGCTTCAAGCAATCCTTCTGCCTCAAAACTCCCACACTGCTGGGATTATAGCCGTGAGCCACTGTGCCAGGCCCATAAAAATATTTCTGGTGGAAGCGGTCAATGCACCTCATCTTTCTGTTTCAACAGTGATGCATTAGCATACTAATGAATTTTCATTTGAGTGTTGTTTCTACTTCTCTGTAAGTAGATGTTATATGAACTTTTAGATTCTGGAAGTAGGAATGCCCTAATTTCCTAAGGCATGATGTCTCTCAATTCCTACCCACTGTCGTCAGTGGCAAATCATGGCCCATCTCCACTTTGGGCTGATTCTGTAACCACTCAGAGCATTAAAGAACCAGTCAGGTATGATACGGTTATGCCTTGAGATAACAAGACATGGGAGGGCCATGGGTGCTCTAGAAACTACCAAACTGTCCCAAAGTCCTGATGAAGAAATACACAGGAAGCACTTCAAAGCTGGAATGTTCTTTAGAAATGTAAGACGTTATTATGGGTCAGAGTTGAATCACTGGCTGATTTGAAGGTATTCTTGTGGACTACACTGAAGATTAGAGCCTAGGTTGTCTTTTGAGTGAGTAGAAAAGCATTATGAGGTCTCTCGACTAATGTCTTTTTTGTTTTTTGAGAGGGAGTCTCGCTCTGTCACCCAGGCTAGAGTGCAATGCCATGATCTCTGCTCACCGCAACCTCCGCCTTCCAGATTCAAGTGATTCTCCTGCCTCAGCCTCCTGAGTAGCTGGGATTACAGGCACCCACCACCATGCCTGGCTAATTTTTGTATTTTTAGTAGAGACGGAGTTTCACCATGTTGGCCAGGCTGGTCTCAAATTCCTGACCTCAGGTGATCCACCAGCCTCGGCCTCCCAAAGTGCTGGGATTACCGGCGTGAACCACCGCAACTGGCCTGACTAATGTCTTTTTTTGTGTGTGTGGGAGCCAGAAATAATTACCAATATTAGAGATAAACAAACAAGTTACCAATATTACAATATTAGAGATAAACAAACAATACAAGTTATCAATATTAGAGACTAAAAAAAAGTCATGATTTCTCCAGTGATAACAATTGTGTTCTTTCTCTTTTTTTTTCTTTGAGATGGAGCCTCACTCTGTCACCTAGGCTGGAGTACAGTGGTGCAATCTTGGCTCACTGCAACCTCTGCCTCCCAGGTTCAAGTGATTCTCATGCCTCAGCCTCCCAAGTAGCTGGGAGTATAGGCGTGTGCCACCACACCCAGCCAATTTTTGTATTTTTAGTAGAGACAGGGTTTCACCATGTTGGCCAGGCTGGTCTTGAACTCCTGACCTCAAGTGATCTGCCCACCTTGGCCTCCCTAAGTTCTGGGATTACAGACATAAGCCACCGCACCCGGACGAACAATTGTGTCTTGAAATGCAGTTTTCTTCATTTAAGTCAGAGTTCTTCTGGGAATATTCCCTGTCCCTGTACTGTCTGGGGGTGTGGAATGGCATAGCTCTAGCACCTGTTCCACGGGGCTGAGCACCCTCCCTCCTGGGTGGCAATCCCTGAGGCTGACCCACTGGGGCAACAGGGACCTTGGATGGCTTTTTCTGTTAAGAGAGAACAGTAGCATCAGTTTTGGAGAAACTAAAGATCGATTCTTTTTTTTTTTTTTTTTAAGATGGAGTTTTGCTCTTGTTGCCCAGGCTGGAGTGCAATGGCGTAATGTTGGCTCACTGCAACCTCTGCCTCCCGGGTTCAAGCGATTCTCCTGCCTCAGCCTTCCTGAGTAGCTGGGATTACAGGCACGTGCCACCACACCTGGCTAATTTTGTATCTTTAGTAGAGACAGGGTTTCTGCACGTTGGTCAGGCTGGTCTCGAACTTCCGACCTCAGGTGATCCACCTGCCTTGGCCTCCCAAAATGCTGGGATTACAGGCGTGAGCCACCGCGCCCGGCCTTAAAGATCGATTCTTATAGGGAGTGGAGGGACAATTGGAGTGAGGGAAAAAGGAACAACACAAGGCAAGACAAGACACAACCAGATGCCTTCACCTTGGGTAAAGATTTGATTCTCTGTTGCATATAATAGCATTGACATTAATTTGTTCATTTATTTGCAGACAGGGTCTTGCTCTGTTGCCCAAGCTGGAGTGCAGCGGTGTGAACGTAGCTCATTGCAACCTCCAATTCCTGGCTCAAGTGATCCTCCTGCCACAGCCTCCTGAGTAGATGAGACTACAGGCACACACCACAGCACCTGGCTAACTTTTAAACATTTTTTTGTAGAGACCGGTTCTTGCTTTGTTGCCCATGCTGGTTTCCAACTCCTGGCCTCAAGCAATGCCATGTTGGCCTCCCAAAGTGTTGGGATTATGGGCGTGAACCACTATGCCTGGCCTACCTTGACATGTTGGTGGCCTAAGTTAACACTGGCAGGAGAGAAGGTAGGGGCTTGTATAGGTGACCAAGTTCTTGGGTTGCTGCTGTCATTGTGGGGTTCAGGGCTGTTTTCTTTTCCTTTCTTTTCTTTTCTTTTTTTTTTTTTTTTCTGAGATGGAGTCTTGCTCTGTCGCCCAGGCTGGAGTGCAGTGGTGCGATCTCGGCTCACTGCAAGCTCCACCTCCCGGGTTCAAGCGATTCTTCTGCCTCAGCCTCCTGGGTAGCTGGAAGGAACTACAGGCACCCGCCACCACGCCCAGCTAATTTTTTTGTATTTTTAGTAGAGATGGGGTTTCACCGTGTTAGCCAAGATGGTCTCGATCTCCTGACCTCGTGATCCACCCGCCTCGGCCTCCCAGAGTGCTGGGATTACAGGCATGAGCCACTGCGCCTGGCCAGTTCACGGCTGTTTTCTACAAGACTGCATGAACATAAAGCCTTTTACCAGGGATCATACCAGAAACTTAATTAAAGTAATAAGAAATAAGGCTTTTATAGCAAAGAGGTGGAGGGGGGATGGGAGTGGAGGAAGATCATATTTCTTTTTCCCCTTGATGCCCTCCTTGGAGAATCATCCATTTATGAGTCGGTTATAGAAGCTTTTCCCAGGACACTGCTTTTCTGGTATTTGTGTGGTTCTTGAACTTTCACAAAGCCCTGGGTACTTTAGAATCTAGGCAGACCTGCCCTTGGTCCTGGCCACTGAAATTTACAACTAGGCAAGTCAGATAGAATTAGGACATCATAGGGCCCAGCAGATGAATAAATAGGGTAAGACTATGACTGGCCAGGCGCAGTGCTTACTCCTGTAATCCCACCAGTTTGGGGGGCCAAGGTGGGCGAATTGCTTGAGGCTAGGAGTTCAAGACCAGCCTGGGCAACATGGTGAAATCCTGTTTCTACAAAAAATACAAAAACTAGCCGGGCGTGCTGGCGCATGCCTGTAGTCCCAGCTACCTGGGAGGCTGAGGTGGGAGGATCACCTGAGCCTGGGAGGTTGAGGCTGCAGTGAGCTGTGATTTCGCCACTGCACTCCAGCCTGGACAACAGAGTGAGACTGTCACAAAAAAAATAAATTAAAAAGACTATAACTGAGGGAGTGTGCCATTTTACTTGACAAAGTAACACAGATATAACATAACTTGGATGAAATATCTGTAACTGACAGAAGCCAGACTCATGGAACAGCCTTCTCAGATGCCTTGCCTGGTTGGCAGCTGAACTTCTGGGTATCTCAGTTAAGTATTTAACTTCTCCGAGTTTCCGTCTTCCTGTTTTCCCAGATGAGACAATGCTTTGTGTCTCTGGAAAAGTATTTTGATATTCTCTTAAGAACGTGCTTTAGGCCCAGCACAGTGGTGCGTGCCTGTCGTGCTAGCTACTGAGGAGGCTGAGGTGGGAGGACCACTTATGCCCAGGAGTTTGAGACCAGTCTGGGCAACATAGAGAAACTCCAACTCTAAAAAAAGAAAAGAATGTATGCGCGTTATTATAAGGATGATTTCTAGGTGGAATATGACAGTGATTGTTATGTGAGGTGCAGGACTGGAGAACATTCTACCCACAGCTATTCCAACTGAGAAAAAAAAAATCCATCCTAGACCCCCCAATGGCCTTCTAGCCTTGGTTCCTTTATCTCTGGACTATCCCTTTACCCTCCCCCAATGGCTGTAACCAGCAAGGGCCTGGTTCCTCTATCTTGAAGAAAGAGGAACAGATTGAGAGGATGACATTCAGTAGTTCTGAGGTTAAAACCCAAGTAAACCCATCGAAGAACTGTCACTGTGTACAAGATTACTTAGGAAGGAGATCAGAGAGATTTGTGTGTATTCAGCCTTCTTAATAACTTTTGAAATTAAAAAATACATACTATTTTCAGGACATTTTTGAGGAATTAAAGTATTATTGTAGGGTTACTGTAGGAATGTATGTATCTTAACATATCATGTGACAAATTTTGAGAGCAAACCTGTTCTCATACATTGGGCCTTGAGCCAATGGGGGAAGAGACACTGTCTAAAGACACAGAGGCAAGGTCCTGAATGCTAATACTAAAATCTCTTGGCCAGGCCCGGTGGCTCATGCCTGTAATTCCAGCACTTTGGGAGGCTGAGGAGGGTGGATCACCTGAGGTCAGGAGTTCGAGACCAGCCTGGCCAACACGGTGAAACCCTGACTACTAAAAATACAGAAATTAGCCAGGCGTGGTGGTGGGCGCCTGTAATCCCAGCTACTCCAGAGGCTGAGGCAGGAGAATCGCTTGAACTTGGGAGGCAGAGGTTGCAGTGAGCCGAGATGGTGCCACTGCACTCCAACCTGGGCAACAGAGTGCAACTCTGTCTCAAAAATGAATGAATGAATAAGTAAATAAAATCTCTTCGTTCAAAACTTTCCAGTGGCTTCTCATTTTATTTAGCATAAAATCCTGAGCCTTTTTCATGGCCCCTTTTCCATCTCCTCACTCCCCACCCCTGATGCTGCTCTTCAGATGGGCCGGGGGCTCCTTCCTACCTCTGCCATCAGTGCTGGCTGTATCCTCTGCTCTGGAGCCTGGTCCTCCCCAGATCTCCTCCAGGGCAGGCAAGGCTTCGCCAGCACCCCACCTCAAGGTTGCCTTCCTGTCTCCCACTCACCCTGCAGTCCTTCTCTTCTCTGCTCCTCCCCTCTCCTCCCCTCCCCTCCCCTTCCCTTCGCATCTGACATAGATGCACCTGTTTGTGTGCGTTGGAATGCAGGCTCCACAAGAAATGTGTGATTTGTTTTGCTCACTTCTATGGCCCCACTTGGCACATAGTAGGCACTCAGTAAGTTGGGAGTAGGACAGACTGGAGTGACTGTCCCTCAGAGCCTACTGTGGAGTAGGAGAGAGAAACAGGAAGAAAGATGCTGTGCGATGGCCCAGGGAGTGCCAGAGGAGGCAGCTGTCATCCTGGAGCAGGGCTGGAGGGCGCGGTGGACAGCCTTGCCCAGTGCCAGCCCTACTGGGGAGTGGGTTGAAGGAGGGCATCTCTATTTCTTTCCACCTCTCCTCTGATCAAATGTACTAGGTTTCTAGAATTAGGCTGAGCGGAGGCACTGAAATTCGGTTGCCTTTGGAAGATCCCTTTGGTGTGAACGTTTTATCTACTTTGATGTAATTCCCTGGAAACTCAAGTATCATTCTTTTATCAGTTTTAAAAGTAACTTCTTGTTCGTGTGCTTTTTTTTTTTTTTGAGACAGGGTCTGGCTTTGTTACCCAGACTGGAGTGCAGTGGTATGATCATAGCTCACTGCAGCTTTGAACTCCTGGGCTCAAGTGATCCTCAGTCCCCAAGTAGATGGGACTATAGGTACCCACCACCATGCCTGACTTTTTTTTTTTTTTTTTGTGGAGATGGGGGTCTCACTATGTTGTCCAGGCTGGTCTTGAACTCCTGAGTTCAAGCAATCCTCCTTCCTCAGCCTCCCAAAGTGTTGGGATTGCAGGTGTGAGCCACTGCACCCGGCCTCTATTTTTGTTTCACTTCAGATGTGGTTTATATTAATGAAGATGATGATGTTATCATTTGGAGGGTGTAGTGGACTGTAACTGCTTGTAAAAACCTCTCTCCTCTTCCTAGTTACATCCTTTCTCCTTCAGTGAACTTCTCCATTACTCTGTGGGGCACACAAGCTAATAAATTATTCTTGAGCCGGTCTCAATTGGGATTCTGTCACTTGCAAATGACAGACTAGTATGGGCACTATTATTTTGACAGTGGATTCATACATTGATCGAATTAAGATAGCTATTTCTAACATTTGTCTATGTCTTTCTCAACATTTAGTATGACATTTTAGACAGAGTAGATGCTTGAAAAAATTAGATATTAGATAACTTGATACCCTTAACACATAAACACACGAAAGAAAGCAGAAAAATATATTTTGACAAAAGCCACAGTCATGGAGGAATATTAATTAGGAATGTTTTGCCTCACAGTGTGGTGTTGCTATTAAAATCCACTGATGACCAGGTATGTATTCCTGAAAGAAATGTTTTTCATTTTATATTGGCTAAGGCTATACTTTGGTTGTTTGCAAATAACTTTCTTACAAAAAAGCAAGAAAATATAACTTCATAAATGAATTCCCAACAGAGTTAAGATGATGCAATGTGACGGTTACAATAATAACAGTAACACAATAATTGCAGTGCAGTGTTGACTATGTAAAGCTGGGTTTTAAATGCCTTACGTAATCCTCTGTCTTCACAATAATGGTGCTGTAGGAATTCTCATTCCCAGGTTACAGAAGAGAAAACAGAGGCTTAGAGAGATTACATGATCTTCCTTTCTGCCTTCCTTCCTCCCCTCCTTCTCTCTTTCTTTCCTTCCTTTCCTTCCCTCCCTCCCTCTTTCCTTTCCTTCTTCCTACCCTCCCTCCCTCCTTCTTCCATCCTTCCCTCTTTCTTTCCCTCTCTTCCCTTTCTTTTCTTTCTTTCTTCGCCTGCCTGCCTGCCTGCTTTCTTCCCTCCTTCTCTCTTTTTTCCTTTCTTGTTTTCTGACCTAACTCCCATTCACAGAAGCTGACGTAAATAAAAACAAGTATTGGACCTGAAAGTGTCAAAGTTAAATTACAACTAGAATCTGCCTTCTAAGGATGAGGTCAACACTTTAAAAAAGAGAAACAGGAGAGATCACATGATTTAAATGAAAATTGAAGCGGAGCTGGAGGAGGGCCTGGAGTCCCTGCTGGACTCCCCTCTAAGTTGTCTCTATTTGCTGGGGCAGGATAATTAACCTCTTGGGGACTTCTCTGTAGGTTTGGTATTGTTCTGTCCTCTTACGGTGAGACTGCATGGCTTAAAGAGATTTATTATTTATAATTATTTTCGAGCTTCCTAGGCTTAAGGTGCCTGTGCAGAAAGTCAGGGGGCCCAATTCTTTCAACTCAAAATGGCAGAACAGCTTTGCAAATCTGAATCCAAAACACTTTATGTATAGGTTGAAACTATTCATGTCAGGGGTCTTCCTTGTGGAAATCTGGTGTCTATTTTTTCGGCAATGAAGGAATTGCTTCTTAGACAGGAAAGACCCATGTCAACGGAGCCCTGGGCCCTGCTACTAGGAGGGAGAGGAACACAGGAGCAGGGACAGCTTCAGCTCCACATCAAGGGAAAAGCAGTTCCAGACGCAGAGCTTGGCAAATACACCTGCAAGTTGTAGGGATCGCTTTTGAAAACCAGCTGCAGCCACGCACGATGGCTCACACCTGTAATCCCAGCACTTTGGCAGGCTGATGTTGGAGGATCACTTGAGGTTAGGGGTTTGAGACAAGCCTGGGCAACACAGTGAGACCCCCATCTCCGCAAAAAATTAAAAAATTACTGTAACTCCAGCACTTTGGGAGGCCAGGGTTGGCAGTTTACTTACTGGAGGCCAGGAGTTCAAGACCAGCCTGGCCAACATGGTGAAACCCTGTCTCTACTAAAAATACAAGAATTAGCCAGGTGTGGTGGCAGGCGCCTGTAATTTCAGCTACTCTGGAGGCTGAGGCAGGAGAATCACTTGAAGCTGGGAGGCGGAGGTTGCAGTGAGCGGAGATCTCCCCACTGCACTCCAGGCTGGGCGACCAAGCAAGACTCCATCTCAAAAAAAAAGAAAAATTAGCTGGCGTGGTGGCATGTGCCTGTGGTCCCAGCTACTTGAGAAGTGGAAGTGGGAGAATAACTTAAGCCTGGGAATTTGAGGCTGTGGTGAGTACGATCGCACCACTGCATCCCAGCCTGGGTAGCAGAGCCAGGCCCTGTCTTCAAAAACAAAAACAAAACCCACAGTTGCTGGAGCTGGGTTCCAAGTGGGGGTTGATGTGATAGCCATGAGCGAGCCCCAGTCAGGGCCTGTGGGTTGCTCCCCACATGGTCTGGGGAGATGTTGGGTGGAGTCTCCGGGGGCTGCCCGGCTGCTTTGTGGCTTTGCCCAGGAAGACCTGTGTCCAAGGCACATGGGGACACTGTGGGTATTCACTGTGATCAGTAACTTGTCACAGTTGCTGTTAGTAGTGAAAATCTGCTCTCATAGCCCCTTGGAAGAGTTTCTTTTCTTTTTTCTTTTTGAGGAGTGCAATGGCATGATCTTGGCTCACTGCAACCTCCACCTCCTTGGTTCAAGTGATTCTGCTGCCTCAGCCTCCCAAGTAGCTGGGATTACAGGGATGTACCACCATGCCCAGCTAATTTGCAACCTGCACCTCCCTGGTTCAAGTGATTCTCCTGCCTCAGCCTCCCAAAGAGCTGGGATTACAGGGATGTGCCACCGTGCCCAGCTAATTTTGTATTTTTAGTAGAGACAGGGTTTCACCATATTGGTCAGGCAGGTCTTGAACTTCTGACTTCAGGCGATCCACCTGCCTCGGCCTCCCAAAGTGGTGGGATTACAGGTGTGAGCCACTGCACCTGGTCCCCTTGGAAGAGTTTCAGTCCCAATTGGGGAGGAGGGGGAGAGCTGGAGGGAGGTGGGGAGAGGCAGCTGCATTTCACCTGGGTTGGCGGGGCAAGAAACAGAGGAGAAGGCAGAGGGCAGGGCCTGGCCGGGGCATGCCTGCACCTGCTTCCTGGTTATTTTCAGCTCCTGGTATCCTGGGCCTACCAGCTCTTCTTCCTATCGTTCCGCTACTCTTGTTTTTACTCTCTCCCGCTCACTGCATAGAAATATTTGGTCTTGGAAATACAGAATTATGAGATTGCCCTGAAAACACTTCGTTGATGGAGGTGTTTGTCCTGATGTCTGAACCAGTTGTGTGAGGGAGAAGAGCACACGCTTGCATTTTTGCCTCCTAAGTTCTGTGCCATTTGCTCTGAGCAGAGACTGGATGTAGCTCTTGGAAAAGATGGATTTGTGAAAAAAAATGCAACATGTTTGCTTCAATTTCAGTAAATGATCATTTCAAAGATATAAAGCAGTGATTTGTTTAATTTAAAAAGTCAATATTAAACAATATTCCATAATGTAGAGGGAAAATTTTAAGAGGGAGGGTGCGGATGTGGGGTGTTTTATCATTCAAGGATCTTGTCTCAGGGAGGAGCTGAATTGCTCTGGGAAAAAGGTCTCACCTTTAACCTTACTTAAAGTCCAGGCTGCCTGTAATCCCAGCACTTTGGGGGGCCGAGGTGGGCAGATCATCTGAGATCATGAGTTCGAGAACAGCCTGGCCAACATGGTGAAACCCTGTCTCTACTAAAAATACAAAAATTAGCCACGCGTGGTGGCAAGTGCCTGTAATCCCAGCTACTCAGGAGGCTGAGGAAGGAGAATCACTTGAACCTGGGATGCAGAGATTGCAGTGAGCCAAGATCACACCACTGTACTCCAGCTTGGGTGACAGAGTGAGACTCCGTGTCAAAAAAAAAAAAGTCATAGGCTTACCCTGGGCCCTCTTAGAAGGAACAAAGCCCATCACACTCCATATACCAGTTGCTTCTGGTAGAACAGAGGCTGGGCATGTAGCCCCTGTGTCTACCTTAGGTAGCAGATTATAGAACATAGGCCCAGCTCAGCTTGCTTTACAAGACGAATGCCCCGATAAATGTGTTACTCATCAGAAAATACATCAGTCTTTTTTTCCTCCACCTTACGGTTCTGGAGGTCGTGATGGTAATGAATCCATAAATGCCATGTGGACTTTAATATTGCTCTGCAACCAGACACTGCCCAGTATGATGTGACAGTCTGTGGTCACTTCTAGCCTCTTCTTGATTTCTCCAAGTACAGTATTTCCTTTTCTAAAATCGGCCAGCCTATTTTTCTTCCAGACCAAGTCAGGGGTGAATTATGTGACCTGATCTCCTGCCTTTAGTACCATGATGGGCAAATTTCACTGAACCCAACTCCTGTCTGAACTTTGAAATGGTCCATGCTCCTCGGCGTACCCATCTGCAAAAAGCCTCCCTGACTCTGTGGTTGATGGTGAAAATGTACCAGGTGAAGCTGCTCTCCTCTTAGAAACCTAATCCGTTTTTGAAAAATTGACCTATGTATACTCAGTGTTGTTGTAAAGATGCTGTCTCTCTGTCCTGCTTGGAAACGCACAGTCCTCATCTTCTAAGGTAGAGAAACGAAGATGATGGGACATACGTCCATGGTTAGTATTGAGTTCTTGAACCTATCAGCCCATCTGCGGCACCAAAGAAATCCCCAACTCAAACATAAATAAGGAAGCTATGGGCTATGGGGCTCTTGTGTGGCAAACTGGGTGTCAGTCATTGTTAATGGACCGTGGCCAATGGGAACCTTTCTGCCTCTTTTATCTTTACCCTGGAGGTTTTTTTTTCCCCTAATGAAAATGTGCTGGGGGGAGGGGGGGTGGTGGAAAGAGTTGGATGATAATTTCCTTTCTTTGCCTCCTGTTTGCTTCACCTGGAAAGTTCTCCTTTAATAACAAGAATGGTGGGCCTGAGTGAGCGGCTACCTTGATGTCTGAGACAAACCCTCTCTGAGAATGCCAGACTTCCACCAGGGGAAATTGCAAACGGATTCCCTCCCCCAGCACCCCCACCAAGCAAGCCACCACCACTTAGCTGCACTCTTTCTCTTCTAAACCCAAACCCTTGAAAGCTGCAGATTTTCAAAGAAGTAGGGTGTGTCGCTGCAGCTGCTGCATCAAACAAAAGCAAACAGATTAAATTAATTTAGCCTTCAAAATCAGTCCCATTCTCTAATTCATAAAGTACTTCAAACACGGTAAGAAATGTCATTTCCCAGATGATTGGGACTAATTCACTTTATCTCTTTTTCCTCTTGCATCTGAATGCAAGCTATGTAAGACATACCTCACCAGTCAAAATAAACCGCTTGTTCCAAATGCTTCCGCCAGTTTTTAATAAGAATCTTCTCTGCTCTGTACAACAAACTCAGTTTCTAACGCACTTCAAGAGAGCTATGTGCAAAAAAAAAAAAAAGAAAAAAAAGAAAAAAGAAAAAACAAACAAACAAAAAAAGAGGAACAATGTACTCATTACAGTATGTTAAGTTGCCAGCACTAGGCAATTAAAAGGTACGGTCTGTAGGAACGCTGCAAAACAGAACAGTTAGCTTCTTTGTCTTCTCATTAACAAGATTGTTATTTTACCTCTCTAGGTAGGAAGCTTAAGAAACAAAACATTCTTGGCTTCTAAGTCACTCCAGGAAAATAAAGAGTTGTTGACAGCTAGGACTTGTGGAAAGAACCATTTATACTGTAAATAAATTTGCACATCCTTGTGGTTGTAATAAAGATAATTCCGTATCCATTCTATTGGACTAGATGCAGAAACCATTTAAAGAAACATCAAAGTCCTCCCGGAGCAAATGGCTCTTGTCCTGCTGACGCCGTCACCGCTGAGACTGCTGAGTAATGCCTCCCCTTGGGACCCAGAAATTTGGAATTTTTCCTGCAACGTGCTATGTTGTTGAGGCCACAGACTAGCGCTGGGAGGAACCACGGAGACTCTTTTACTTGCTCTCTGCCTGGGCTCTTTAATGCTTGGCTGTCGTTTAAAAAATGATGACCCAAATCTTTGCCATTTGCCAAGTGTGAGTACTTTGTGGTAGAGAGGAATGCGGTTCTCTTTGATTCTGGAATTCCTCCTGGTTTCCCTGCGTGGGTGGAAAAAGAGCCAAGAATGTAAGTCATTCGGATTCTCTTATGTTCTAAAGAAACAAAATGAAACAATCTATCCTTATACAGATTTTTACATTTGATGCTGATGAGCTTTCCTTTCACAAGATAGATACCTTCATCGTTTTTCTTATGCTTTTACTAGAAAATGTAAAACCTTGATTTCCTTTTAAGTGAAATAGAGGGAAAAAGTCCTTTTTAAAAGAATAGGCACAAGGGATGTTTTTCTTAATTATAAAGACAGTATTTAGAGTAAGATAAAAGTATAATTGCAGTTGCTTAAGGCTTGAACAGTTTTCAGGAAAAAAAGTCCCGAATGTTACTTTCTCAGTCAATTTCAATAAATTTCTCAGGGGTCTAACATTTATTTCAACCCCAGCCATACATTTTCTTCCTAAGTGGTCTTTTGCATTGACAGTATGTAGTGTGAGAGACTAATAAGATGATCGTGCAATTCCAGTGATATTCTGGTTTGCCTATCATTTAATGATTATCAATTAATCATTTAATACCCTTTAATGGCCAACTTGATTTTCAGGGTTTTGTTAGATAAGACCATACAGTGCTTTGTTAATTAAAACGTGATCTTGGGAAGCATGTAACTTTTATACAAAATAAACTTTTATACAAAGCAGAGCCTTAAATTAGCAGTTTTTGATGAAAGACTTCCTTGAAATATCCTCTTTGAAGAGAAAAAGAAACCACGTTCAGCTACAGAGACCCAAACTCCAAATACCTTGAAAATCAGATGTTTTGGTCCTTACTAAGACACATTTAAGAGCATTACAAAGATATAGCTGGACTGTGTTTATACTTTTTTGGAAGAGAAACCAAGTCTGGGCATTAAACTTATAACAGCAATTATCATCTGCATATGGGTTTAATTGTAAAACAAATAAGGTTTTTCTTTTTCTTTTTTATTTTTATTTTTGAGACGGAATCTCGCACTGTTCCCTGGCTGGAGTGCAGTGGCGTGATCTCAGCTCACTGCAACCTCTGCCTCCCGGGTTCAGGCGATTCTCCTGACTCAGCCTCTGGGATTACAGGCGTCCACCACCACGCCTGGCTAATTTTTTTGTATTTTTAGTAGAGACAGGGTTTCACTATGTTGGCCAGGTTGGTCTTGAACTCCTGACCTCTTGATCCACCCTCCTTGGCCTCCCAAAGTGCTGGGATTACAGGTGTGAGCCACTGCGCCTGGTCTGGTTTTTATTTTTCATAATTGCCATCATCATGACCCAATTTTGGTGTCAAGCCCAGTGCTGAGTAGGAAGGATAACACGTGACTTCTGACTCTTGTAGGCTTCTTCTTCTTCTTTTTTTTTTTTTTTAGACAGAGTCTTGCTCTGTCACCCAGGCTGGAGTGCAGTGGTGTGATATGGGCTCACTGCAACTCCTGCCTCCTGGGTTCAAGCAATTCTCCTGCCTCAGCCTCCTGAGTAGCTGGGATTACAGCCATGCACCACCACGCCTGGCTAATTTTTGTATTTTTGGTAGAGACAGGGTTTCACCACGTTGGCCAGGCTGGTCTTGAACTCCTGACCTCAAGTGATCTGCCTGCCTTGGCCTCCTAAAGTGATGGGATTATAGGTGTGAGCCACTGCGCCTGGCCTCTCTTAGCCTTCTTAGACCCCCTTACCTTCCCCCCACCCCCATTGCACTCCTTTCTTCTCTTTGCCCAGTATTTCTTCTTTTAGGTGCCAGTGGGATCTACTGAAAACTGATTATTTAGAGGAATTAGCAAAGAAAGCCCTTAAAGACAGAAATAACTTTACTGAGGTCTAGGAGAGAGGAATCTCTAAGAACCATTACTGGCATCTGGTGTGGGTGTAGCGGTGAGGAGAATTTTCCCTTCCCCTCTGAAGGTTCCAGTCTGCTGAAATGAACTGACAATAGACAGATTAAAAGGAGAAAAGGCATGCAAAGTTACTAACATGCATAAGCATGGGAGCCGTGCAAAACTATGAGACTCAAGGAAGGATCAGATGGTTGAGGCCTAAATATACTCTTCATAGGGGAGAGGGAAATGGGGGGTGTAGGTACTTTTAAGGGGTGGTAAATAATTTTCAAGGGAATTGGATGAGCCCAAATAATAGACAATGGCCTGGGACAAAGTTCTGAGCTCTGGGGGAGGTGGTGGTAAGGTGAGGGGAAGAACTGCACTGTGAACAAAGGTTGTCTTATTATGTAGATAAAATCTCCTAATAATCTTTTGGAGTTACCCTCAAAAGAACAGAAGAAAAGTTTGTCTGAACATTGTGATGATTTTAGTCTTTCTCTCCTCTGGTGGTTAATTTTTCTTGGTTATTTGATAAGATTCCTAGGAAGGGGCTATTAAGACAATTGTATTTTTTTTGGAAGAAGTTTTCCTCAATCAGATAAAGAAACTTCCAGAGTGAACCTCTGCATGTGCTTGGCTTGTAGGGGCAGGGGTTGGAGAAAGAAACAAGAGAAGGTTAGAAAATTTATTGATTCTGAGGTAGCTTCTAAGGTTTTCCAATTTCCTTTAATTCAAAAATGCTCAGCATACCGGAGCATCATATTTTGCAGTGCTCTGAGCCCCAACATTGAGATGGAGGATGGTTCTCTTTACTCTGACTACAACTCATGCAGTGGATAGACTGTCTATGCTGACAGCAGGGAGAGTGGTTCCAATTTCCCACAGACATTTTAGTGTGGGTGTGTTTGGGTGTCACTGAGGACCACACAGCATCACATGGCCCTCTTGGCCTTGCTTCCTTATTAGATTCTTTACAACCTGCTTTCTTCTAAAATGGATTTATAAAACACCCATAACAGGGTAAAGATCAAGAGAAAAAGTTAGAAAAAGGTAAGTCTAGAGAAGGGGTTGATGAATGTTTTCTGTACAGGGCCAGAGAGTAAAGAGTCTTAGCTTTTTGGGCCTTGTAGTTTCTGTTGCAATTATCTGCTGTTGTGCTACAGAAGCAGCCACAGACAACAGGCAAGTGAATAAGCATCTTCAATGGAACAATAAGCAGGCACCAGATTGGGTTTGCCCTTTGACTGTAGTTTCTGACCCACTATCTAGCCTCAGAATATTAAAATTAAACTAAGGAAAATATATTTTCAGTGAACTGCATAATTGAAGGGTCTGTATCATCATTCAAAGGGGCCCAAATTTAGTTGTGAGTTTCCTAAAGCTCAAAGCAAAGAGTAAGACCAGGCTTACTTCCATGAGATTAACACACGCTGGGTGCTCTGGAGAAGTCCTGACACTGTGGTTGTGATAATCTCTTAAAGGCCCTGAGAAAGGGGGCATTACACCAGTAAGGGACAACGTCCACAGCATTACATTTTCAGTAGCCAGTTTCATATATTTGCTGTTAAGCAACTAAGTGAGCCAAGGGCACAATTCCAAAGCATATTTTAGAAAAACAAATTTGAGGACAAAAGGCACTTCAGTCCTATTGCTGCTGGTTTGGGTTGAAATTGACATCAAATGGAGATCATTTAGCTGAGCAATGAGCTGCATGCTTGTCTTCTGGACAGTCCTTCATGATCTCCGTGAATACTGAGTTGCTCCTCTCATACCCAGCTGGTGTCAGGATTCCCCTGCAGCTGTAAGGCCCTCATTTGATCAGGTGCAATTATGTTCCTGCTCATTCTTTCCAGTTTGGGAACAACCGGGCTTAAGTCCTGATTACTGCCCTATCATAAAATATAAAAAGGGCCGGGCTCAGTGGCTCATGCCAGTAATCTCAACATTTTGGGAAGCTGAGGCGGGTGGATCACGAGATCAGGAGTTCAAGACCAGCCTGGCCAAGATGGTGAAACCCTGTCTCTACTAAAAAATACAAAAATTAGCCAGGCTTGGTTGTGGGCACCTGTAATCCCAGCTACTCGGGAGGCTGAGGCAGAGAATTGCTTGAACCCGGGAGGCAGAGGTTGTAGTGAGCTGAGATCCTGCCGCTGCACTCCAGCCTGGGCAACAGAGCAAGACTCCGTCTCAAAAAAAAAAAATTTTTATATATATATATATATATATATATATATACACACACACACGTATATATTGTCAGATGGTAATAATTTTCTTTTTCTTTTTTTTTTTTTTGGCGATGGAGTCTCGCTCTGTCGCCCAGGCTAGAGTGCAGTGGAATGAGTTCGGCTCACTGCAACCTCTGCCTCCTGGGTTTGAGCAATTCTCTGCCTCAGCCTCGAAAGTAGCTGGGATTACAGGTGTCTGCCAGCAGGCCCGGCTAATTTTTGTATTTTTAGTAGAGACGGGGTTTCACCATTTTGGCCAGGCTGGTCCTGAACTCCTGACTTCGTGATCCACCCGCCTTAGCCTTCCAAAGTGCTGGGATTACAGGCATGAGCCACCGCGTCGGGCTTTTTCTCTTTTTTGAGACACAGGCTTACTGTGTCACCCAAGCTGGAGTGCAGTGGCACGATCTTGGCTCACTGCAAACTCTGACTCCTGGGTTCAAGTGATTCTCCTGCCTCAGCCTCCCAAGTAGCTGGGACTACAGATGCCTGGCACCATGCCTGGCTAATTTTCATAGTTTTAGTAGAGACAGGGTTTCATTATGTTGGCCAGGCTGGTCTCGAACTCCTGACCTAGTGATCCGCCCGCCTTGGCCTCCCAAAGTGCTGGGATTACAGGTGTTAGCCACCATGCCCGGCTGGCAGCAATGATTTTCATGTCTTGTTATTACTTCACTCCTTTGATTACTGGTGTCATAATGATTACCATTTGTTTAATGGTTTCTAGGTACCAGGTACTTGGCTAAGCACTTTATATGCATTATCTCTTAATTCTCACAATCCTATGGGGATACATTGCATTATTCATTGCTTTTCAGAAGAGAAAATTGAGACAGATTAATAGCTTGCCTGGAATAACTCACATAGTATATGGATATGAACATATGCTCTGCCTATTTTTTTTCAGAGATGGTTTCATAATTTTTATTTTCTTACAGTTTTTTGCACTGGGATCCAAATAAGGTCTATACATTGCAGTTGGTTGACAGCTGTACCCTTTTTCCATCTCTTCTATTTTCTTTGCAATTTTTTTGTTGTTGTTGAGAGAATGTCGTTATTTGTCTTCTAGATTTATTTTCAGTCTTGATTTTGCCAATTCAGTATGTACTAACATTTAACATTTCTTCTATCTCCTGTATTTCCTGTGAAGTGATATATCTGGATTATAGGGGTTTGATTAGATTTTTAATGAATACTTTCAATGGTCTCCCATTATAATTTTAATTTTACTTGCATTTCTCTTATTGTATGTAGAGTTGAACATACTTTCAACCCTTTGACTCTTTTTCTTTTCCACGGAGTCTCACTCTGTCACCCAAGCTGAAGAGCAGTGGCCGAATCTTGGTTCACTGCAACCTCCACCTCCCTGGCTTAGGCTATTCTTTTGCCTCAGCCTCCCAAGTAGCTAGGACTATAGGAACATGCCACCCTGCCTGGCTAGTTTTTGTATTTTTGGGAGAGATGGGGTTTTACCATGTTGCCCAGGCTGGTCCCAGACTCCTGACCTCAAGTGATCCACCTGCCTCGGCCTCCCAAAATTCTGGGATCACAGGCATGAACTACTGAGCCCAGCCTAACCCTCTGGCTCTTGACCAAGGCTCTTAGCTTCCACTTCTTTTATGGGAGTTCTCATGACTTCCTGGATTCTTTCCCTTGACCTGCCACTGCTGACCTCCTGGTCTTTGTGATGGATGCCGGTACTTGCTTCTCTGTTAACGGTTGCTTCTGGTTGTGGATTTTCAGCTTCTGGAACCCGTAACCAGCCTTGGTTCTTATTAGGGAATTCTGCTCAGATTCTCATTCTGATTACTTGGATCTTGACCTTTTTGAATAATCCTCTGGTCTGTACCCTCTGCCTCCCCACCACCCTTTGTTGGTCACACTTGTCGCTACTGCCATCTCCACTCTGGTGTGAACAAAGGTCAAATTGTCTGTTCCTGTATGATTTCTACAGTATTTATAGCTGTAGTCTGCTTTTTTTTTTTTTCTGAGATGGATTCTTGCTCTTTCACCCAGGCTGGAGCGCAGTGGCGCCATCTCGGCTCACTGCAACCTCCGCCTCCCAAGTTCACGTCACGCCATTCTCCTGCCTCAGCCTCCCGAGTAACTGGGACTACAGGTGCCCACCACCACGCCTGGCTAATTTTTTTGTGTTTTTTAATAGAGACAGGGTTTCACTGTGTTAGCCAGGATGGTCTCGATCTCCTGACCTTGTGATCCACCCGCCTTGGCCTCCCAAAGTGCTGGGATTACAGGCGTGAGCCATGGCGCCCTGCTATAGCTATAGTCTGAATCCAGTCTGCTAAAGGCCAAAAGCAGGGGTAGAGGCATGTCAACCTCACGGTGATACATGCAAGATAACATGTTTAGTAACAGAACATCTTTCTTAATATGGCAATTTTCTTCAGATAGGATATCAATGGAGACATAACAATGTTGGTAGCATTTCATTGGCCTGGCCGTGCCCCACAAATGGAGAATGTTAGTAATTTTCCAAGACCAGCTCTGGGCTACAAAGAATGTTATTAAATAAATCATTAAAGATAAAAAGATTCCTGAAATGGCAAGTATTTTCTGTCTCCAGTGATGAAAACCAAATATGCTGCTCCCATTGCAGACATGTATAACTTATTAGACTGTTTCAAGAACACAATAGGATGAAATCAGTGACTAAGAGAAAATAGAAAATAAAATCCATTCATTCATCCAGTCACAGATAGGCTGAGAAAGAGCCAAGGTCATAGTGAGGAAGAAAATCTGAAGGCCAAGTCTAAAGAGAGGGGGAGAACCAGAGATGGAAGAATGAGCGGTGATGTAAAAAGCCAGAAGGTCTGAGCCCCGCATGGAATGTGGCCTGAGGAATGGGTCAGGGCGAGAAGTTCAAAATTAAGACCCTGGACAGTGGATGCACTTAACTCTCACAGGGTGTGGGGTCCGGGGTGGCTGTTTACAGCATAGCAGCCAAGCATGGCATGGTGACTCAGTGGCCCCTAAATGGGATGATTCATGAGTCACAGGAGTGACTCCTTTGCTTTAGTGATTGATGCCTTACTTGATTCTTACATGATCTGAAATCTCATTGTAATAACGACTTTAGACACTTCCTGGAAGTAGAACAGCTTATCTTGAAAAATTTCAGTGAAGCCTGTGAAGCCCAAAAATTCAAGACAGGTGTCAGTTAATTTAGAAAGTTCATTTTGCCAAGGTTGAGGACATGCCCATGACACAGCCTCAGGAGGTCCTGACGACATGTCCCCAAGGTGGTTGGGGCATAGTTTAGTTTTATATATCTTAGGGAGATGTGAGACATCAATCAGTATATGTAAGAAGCACTCTGATTCGGTCTGGAAAGGTGGGACAACTTGAAGCAAAGGCAGGAAGATGGGGAAGGGCTTCCAGGTAGGCGAGAAAGGAATGGTTGCATTCTTTTGAGTTTCTGATTAGCCTTTCCAAGGGAGGCCATCAGATATGCATCTATCTCAGTCAGCAGAGGGGTGACTTCGAATAGAATAGGAGGGATGTTTGCCCTAAGCAGCTCCCAGCTTGATTTTTCCCTTTAGCTTAGTGATTTGGGGCCCCAAGATTTATTTTTCTTTCACAAGCCTTACAAGCTGCACCAATGATCTACTCGATAATGGCACACTTCTGTAACCATGAATCTGTCCTTCGAAAAACAGAAAATTAAAATAGTCCTTTCCACAATGCAAACTTAAACTTTAAACAATGTCATAGTGACTCAGTTAGGATGGTGCTTTTCTTATTTTATAGAGGTGGGATTTTGCTCTGTCACTCAGGCTAGAGTGCAGTGGTACCACGATAGCTCTGTAGCCTCAAATTCCTGGGCTCAAAGATCCTCCTGCCTCAGTCTTCCAAGTAGCTGGGATTACAGGCACAAACCACCATGCCCTGTGAATGGTGCTTTTTCATACAAAATGCACAATCAGTTCACAAAAACAGGATGTAAAAAATCATGATCTAATGTGAGATTTGTTAATTTTGATGCAAAACTCAGTAGACCAGTTGGCTTGAATATGATGGGTTTTCATGTCTTTATTAGTCCAGCTTTGAGGAAGCTGTGCAAGGGAGAGTGAGGAAGCCTCCCTAACCCCTTTAGGGCAAAACTTCTTCAGAGTAGAACCAAGTTTGGCGAGTCTCTGAGGTCTAGAGTGAAATACAATAAAATTTGCATTTATATAGCACTCCTTGTGCTCTTCCTTTATGTGTGCTATCCATATTAAATAAAAACACAATTAAGAGTTAGTTCTAAAATACCAGGTCAAATATATCAAACAAAATCAGGAATGGCAATTAGTGCTAGAATACCAGAACAAACAGATGGCTATTGAGTTTGGATTTAAGAAGAGAAATAAGATGTGCTTGCTGCATATCAATGGAGGAGTAATTCTGGAACTTGGGCTGACTTGGGCTGGGAGGGTGGGCTGCAGGAAGAGCCAAGTTGGGACGGTGATCAGGCCTAGGCATTGTAATGATTAGAAAGAACAAAAGCTCAGTGCAGCTGAAATTAGTGGACATGCACTATGTGCCAAGGAAATATCATCAGACTGAATTCTGTCTTCAAGCCACTTCATTTTCGTTTTTTTTTTTTTTTTTTTTTTTGGAGACGGAGTCTTGCTCTGTCACCCAGGCTGTAGTGCAGTGGTGCGATCTCGGCTCACTGTAACCTCTGCCTCCTGGGTTCTACAGATTCTCCTGCCTCAGCTTCCTGAGTAGCTGGGACTACAGGCGTGAGCCACCATACCTGGCTCATTTTTTTTTTTTTTTTTTTTTTTTAGTGCAGATTAGGTTTTGCTATGTTGAACCAGGCTGGTCTCGAACTCCTGACCTCAAGTGATCCACCCACCTGGGCCTCCCAAAGTGCTGGGATTACAGGCTTGAGCCACCATGCCCGACTGGCCAAGCCACTTAGAGTCCGATGGAGGACCTTCACTATTTGTTGCAGTCTAAGACCTAAAATAAACCCATGCTGCTCTACCTAAGCCCTGAAAAGAAATTCAGCTCAGGTCCCTTATCTGTTCTGAAGTCTAAGAAGCTCTGAAAACCCAAAAGATTTTCTTAAGGAGAAGCTGAAATTTTGTAGTCTTTACCTATCCCACTTGGTATGAATATTCATATGATTCACTGCAGAAATATTAATAGGTTTGATTGAGGGGTCTTATTCCAGACTCTGCTGGGTGTGTTACATGGAATATAATAGAATATATGTACTCTATAACCTTTCTAAAACCAAAAATCATCCAAATTCTGGAATACCACAGGCTCCAAAGTTATAGGGAAGGGGTCCAGATCCAGACCCCAAGAGGCGGTTCTTGGATCTCACGCAACAAATAATTCAGGGGGAGTCTGTAGAGTAAAGTGAAAGCAAGTTTATTAGGAAAGTAAAGGAATAAAAGAATGGCTACTTTGTATACAGGGCAGCCCCAAGGGCTGCTGGTTGCCCGTTTTTATGGTTATTTCTTGATGATATGCTAAACAAGCGGTGGATTATTCATGCCTCCCCTTTTTAGACCATATAGGGTAACTTCCTGTTGTTGCCATGGCATTTATTTGTAAACCGTCATGGCGCTAATGGGAATGTAGCAGTGAGGACAACCAGAGGTCACTCTTGTTGCCATTTTGGTTCTGGTGGGTTTTAGCTGGCTTCTTTACCGCAATTTTTTTTTTTTTTTTTTTTGAGACACAGTCTTGCCCTGTCGCCCAGGCTAGAGTGCAGTGGCATGATCTCTGCTCACTGCAACCTCTGCCTCCTGGGTTCAAGCTATTCTCCTGCCTCAGCCTCCCAAGTAGCTGGGCTTACAGGTGCATGCCACCATGCCTGGCTAATTTTTTAAAATTTTTTGTATTTTCAGTAGAGAAGGGGTTTCACCATGTTGGCCAGGCTGGTCTCGAACTCTTAACCTCAGGTGATCTGCCTGCCTCGGCCTCCCAAAGTGCTGGGATTACAGGCGTGAGCCACTGCGCCCTGCCTATTGCAACCTTTTTTTAATCAGCAATATCTTTATGACCTGTATCTTGTGGTGACCCTTTATGTCATCCTGTGACTTAGAATGCCTTAACTGTCTGGGAATGCAGCCCAGTAGGTCTCAGCCTCATTTTACCCAGCTCCTATTCAACATGGAGTTGCTCAGAGGTTCACACGCCTCTGACAATATGACCTGTTGTAAAATGGTCTTTCTTCAGCCTCTAGTTCCTCACTGCACAGTCCCTATTAATTCAATATATGGCTTTGTTCCTCAGGCTCCAGCTGAACTTTCTGTCATCAATGCTTCTTTTTGCTTCTTCTTCTTTTTTTTCCCCCCTGCCTTTGGCCTTAACTTCTTGATCTGGTGGCAAAGGTATGACTTCGTCCTTCCTGGGAGCTCTTTCCTTGGCATCATTCCCTGACACTATGGTAGCCGTCCCTCCCTTTTGCCTCTGTGACCAAAGCTTGGTTTTGTTTGTTTGCACCTTTCCTTAGGTTTGTGCTCCCTACGGAGCCTCTTGCATTGTAGGTACTAATAAATATTTGTAATGAAGGAATTCCCCAAGGCCTGGATTGCTGCTCTCTACCCCCGCAGAGAGCTCATCCATTCACAGCAGTCACCGGCTGGGCAGAGGCTCCTAAATCTACATATTCACTTCTGACCTGTCACTGGAATTCCTCTTCCATTGTTGCAGATGTTTACTGATCTCTTTGGCTAACTGTCTTGCTAGCACCTCATTTTCAACCTCTCCCTTCAAAAGTCTCACATACGCACAAATCCCACACTTGCATCTATAGGAATGGGAAGAAATTGGTAGGCTGGAGGAATGGTTGTGGGACAGAAGGAGGGAAACTTTTAAAACAATTGCATCTTTTGTTTGTTGTACCTTCACGTGTATTACTTAAAAAGAAAGGAATTTATTTTTCAAAAGGAAAAGTTACATGACATTCTGGAAAAGGCAAAACTATGGATACAGTAAGAAGACTGTTGGTGACTAGGGGCTTGAAGGGACGGAGGGATGAGAAGGGGGAGGACAGAGGACTTTTAGGGCAGTGAAATTATCCTGTAGGTTCCTTTAAATGGGGGATGTGCATCATTATGCATTTTTCCAAATCCATAGAATGCACAACACAGACAGAACCCCCAAAGTAAACTATGGACTCCAGGTGATCGTGATATGTTAACGTAGGTTTATGTAGGTAACAAATGTCCCACACTGGTGTGGGATGTCAGGATGTGGATGGTGGGGAGGATGAATGTGTGTTTGGGGAGGGGCTGTGCGGGAACTCTGCACATTTTACCCCATTTCATGTCAACCTAAAATGGCTCTAAAAATGTCTATTAATTATAAAAAAAAAAAGAAAGAAAGAAAAGGAAAGACAAGCAGCAGAGAGTGGTGGTGTGTACCTGTAATCCCAGCGAGTTGGGAGGCTGAGGCAGGAGGATTACTTGAGGCAAGGAGTTTGAGACCAGCCTGGGCAATATAGCAAGATCCCTTCTCTCTAAAAACACACACACAAAAAACCCCAAAACCAAAAAACAAGGGCTTGCACTGGGCCAGAATGCTTGGTATTTTGTGCTGGAAGCTCACTATATTTACACTAATTAGAGTCAGTGCAGACAAACTGATTATTCATAAAAGGAGGAAGTAGTTCACTCACTCAGGCTGGATTCACTAGATCCCTGTTGACAGCTCAGGCCTCCAGGTCTGGTGAATCCCAGGCATTTTGTCTTTCCTTTGGAAGAGCATTTGTGCTTGACCTCTGCCATGACTCTGTGGGTTGGGCCTCCTTTAGCTCATCCCTGGAATACTCTAACAGTCTTCTAAATATTTGAACATATCTGCCTATTTCTCTACCATCCTATACAATATCATCAGATTAAGATGCATTTCTTCCTGTTACTTCTCACCTTAAAAAATCTACAATGCTTGGCTGGGTGAGGTGGCTCACGCCTGTAATCACAGCACTTTGGGAAGACGATGTGGGCAGATCACCTGAGGTCAGGAGTTTGAGACCAGCCTGGCCAACATGGTGAGACCCTGTCTCTACTAAAAATACAACAATTAGCCATGCGCGATGGTGTGTGCCTGTAATCCCACCTACTCGGGAGGCTGAGGCAGGAGAATCGCTTGAACCTGGGAGGTGGAGGTTACAGTGAGCAGTGAGCTAGGATTGCACCACTGCACTCCAGCCTGGGCAATAGGCAAAAAAAAAAAAAAAAAAAAGGAAAAAGAAAAACCAAAAATACCTACAATGCCCCTTACATGAAGTCTTGGCTCTTTCTTGACTCTGGGGGACCCCTGTTCACCATCCACACCTCCTAGGCCACTGTCTTTTTCAGTCACCCCCAATACAACCTCCCACCTTCCTATCTGCCTTTTGTATCTCTCTGGGCTGGCATGCCTAGAATCTTTCTCCCCATTCATTGCTCTTTGCCCGAAATCCAACTCCTAAAGGGACTTACAATTCTTTTGTTCTACTGCCTAGGGCAGTGGTATAAACTCATACATTTAACAGCTTGATTTTTTTTGGTTGGGTATGTATGGGAGCATATGGGTGATCCATTTCACATGTAGAAATGAGAATTGCACCCCTGGAAGAGATGGTCATGTGACTTCGGCCCATGTGTTCTGGAACCCATGCTGGTTCCATTTTGCTATAGGGGCATCACGGGGATTTATGCTTGGACTGGAACGAACCGTGGAAAGACCCCAGGTGACCCTAATCTGCAAGATCCACTTGGGTTCTAGGCAGCCTCAATCAGAAGATTATTTCAAAACTGGCTTTTTTTTAGGGTCTTTAGGGGACTTTTTGGCTTCTCTTAAGCGGCAGAGAAGCTTTAGAGTTTGGGCAATAAAGTATAAAATTAACCTCTGGGTTTTGGTCCATTTCTGTTTCTAAGAAGTAGATCTGATACTTCCCTTGTCAGCTTTTATAACTCTTGCAAAGCTCAAGAGAGACAAGAATACCAATGAATCATATGAACCAGGTGGCAGCAAATGATGGCCCGTGGGACACATTTAGCCTGCTGCTTGTTTTTGTACAGCCCACAAACTAAGAATGGTTTTTACTTTTTTTTTTTTTTTTTATATGGATTCTGGCTCTGTCACCCAGACTGGAGTGCAATGATGCGATCTTGGCTCACTGCAGCCTCTGCCTCCCAGGTTCAAGTGATTCTCATGTCTCAGCCTCCTGAGTAGCTGGGATTACAGGTGCCTGCCACCATGCCCAGCTAATTTTTTGTATTTTTAGGTTTTGCCATGTTGGCCAGGCTGGTCTCGAACTCATGACCTCCAGTGATCCGCCCTTCTTGGCCTCCCAAACTGCTGAGATTACAGGCATGAACCACTGTGCCTGGCCTATATTTTTAAAGTGTTGAAACAAAAAATAGGCCAGGCATGGTGGCCTGTAATCCCAGTGCTTTAGTAGGCTGAGGCGGGAGGATTGCTTGAGGCCAGAAGTTAGAGGTTACAGTGAGCTACTCATGCCACTGCACTCCACCCTAGGCAACAGAGGGAGCAGAGGGAGACTGTCTAAAAAAAAAAAAAAAAAAAATTGAAAAAATAAAAAGATGGCTATTTTTGTGACATGTGAACATTATATGAAATTCAAATCTTGGCATCCATAAATAAAGTTTTATTGGAATGCAGCCAGGCTGGTTGGTTTACTTACTGCCTATAGCTGCTTTTGTTCTTCCATGTCAGAGTTGAGGCTATGCAACAGAGACGGTATGATGTGTAGAGCCTAAATAGTAAATATCCAGCCCACACAGAGAAATTCTGCCCGCCTCTGTAAGGCACAGTACACACATAAGACATGCTTGTTGTAGCTGTGATCTTTCTTCATGGCGCTGGGGCTATGAACTATCTAATTGCTAAGATTCTGGAGGTGCAGGGCCTCAGGGAGGTGCCATGCACATACAATACAAGGGGTATAGCGCCCCCTGGAGGCAACGTTGGATTTGAAGCAGCCAGTGTGGTGGACAGGCCTTGCGGGGAGTGAGGAGGCCTGATTCTAACCTTGGCCCTGCAGAGAACTCCCTGGCTATGTAACTCAGGGGCAGATCTCACCGAACTTCTCTGGGCCTCAAATCCACATCTGTAAAAGGAAGGGGTTGTACTCTCAATGGTTCTAAAACTCCTTCTCTTCCTCTGTCCCTTCCTTTCTGCATTCTTCTTGGCAGAATCCTTTCCTCAAATCAGTGCTCCGATAGACCCCTAATACAGTAAACAGCTGAAGGTGGAGAGTCTCTGTTGGAAGTGGGTCTTGGCCTAAGCCTCCCTCATTGACCCATGATGACTGCACAGAAGAGATTTCCAAACTCCTCCCAGCCCTAGCAGTTATGGGTCCAGGGCCTCATCACTGAGAACAGCCCCACACCAGTTTACTTTTCATTTTTTAGAGTGAGGGTTTTACTCTGTCACCTAGCCTGGAGTGCAGTGGTGCCATCATAGCTCACTGAAGCCTCGACGTCCTGGGCTCAAGTGATCCTCCTGCCTCAGCCTCCTGAGTAGCTGGGATGATAGGTGCACGCCACCACACCTAGCTCATGTTTTTATTTTTATTCTGTAGAGACGGCGTCTTGCTGTGTGGCCAGGCTGGTCTTGAACTCCTGGGCTCAAGCAATTCTCCCGCCTCAGGCTCCCGAGTAGCTGGGACTGCATGTGTGCACCACCATGCCCGGCTCAAATCAGATCTTTGCATGCATGCTTTGAGGCCACATATTCTGGTTCAGTCAACCAGAATGTTCTGTGGTGCTGGCGTTTCCCAATCATCCCTCACATGTTGTTAGTAGTAATAGTAGCAGCTAAAATTTACTGAGCACTTACTGCTTTCCAGATAACTAGGCGAAGCCTCAAGGGGTCTTTTGTCATTGAATATAGACAACAGCTCAATGAAGTAGGTGCTATAATTACTCCCAGTTTACAAACAAGAAGAGGTAGGAGGACTACTTGAGCCCAAGAGTTGGAGGCCAGCCTGCCTAACACCTGCAAGACACCTTGTCTCTTAAAAAAGAAAGAAAGAAAGAAAAAAATGACTTTCATAAAACCAATGGACAAGGTGTTAAAAACAGTCCTGGAAGACTATGTTAACATGGAAAGGCCCAAAGCATTGTGTCAGAAGAATCATTACCTGGGACTGAAATAGAATGCAAGAGGCAGGGAATGACAATTGGTCACAGTAACAGAAGATAATGATTTCTGAGCACTGGGTAGCACCAATGACTAACTGTATGTTCTGTCCCATGCACCCACACAGCAATACATGTTATTGATCCTATCACTATTTCCATTTGACCAATGTGGAAACTGAAGCCTAGAAAGGTTAAGTTTTGGGCCAGGCACAGTGGCTTATGCCTGTAATCCCAGCACTTTGAGAGGCAAAAGTGGGTGGATCACTTGAGGTCAGGAGTTCGAGACCAGCCTGGCCAACATGGGGGAAACCCAGTTTCTACTAAAAATACAAAATTTAGCCAGGAGTGGTGGTGGGCACTCGTAATCCCAGCTACTTGGAAAGCTGAGGCAGGAGAATCGCTTGAACCTAGGAGGTGGAGTTTGCAGTGAGCTGAGATTGTGCCACTGCACTCCAGCCTGGGCGACAGAGCGAGACTCCGTCTCAAAAAAAAAAAAAAAAAAGAAAGAAATATTTGGTGCATTGGCTCCAGACTATATACCTGCAGGCATGAGCAATCGTGTTTTTTTTTGTTTTTGTTTTTGAGACAGGGTCTTCTTCTGTGACTCAGGCTGGAGTACAGTAGTGTCATCATGACTCACTGCAGCCTTGACCTCCTGGGCTCAAGTGAACCTTCTACCTCAGCCTCCCAAGTAGCTGGAACTACAAGTGTGCACCACTATACCTGGCTAATTTTTTTTTTTTTGAGACAGTCTCACTCTATCACCCAGGCTGGAGTACACTGGCATGATCTTGGCTCACTGCAACCTCCGCCTCTCAGGTTCACGTGATTCTCATGCCTCAGCTTCACAAGTAGCTGGGATTACCAGCGCCTGCCATCACTGTTGGCTAATTTTTATATTTTTAGTAGAGATGGGGTTTCCCCATGTTGGCCGGGCTGGTCTCGAACTCTTGGCCTCAAGTGATCTGCCTGCTTTGGCCTCCCAAAGCTCTAGGGTTACAGACATGAGTCATCACTCCTGGCCTCTGGCTAATTTTTGTATATTTTTGTAGAGATGGGGTTTTGACATATTGCTCAGGCTGGTCTCAAACTTCTGAACTCAAGAGATCCATCCACCTCGGCCTCCCAAAGGCTGGGATTATAGGCATGAGCCATCATACTCGAGTGGCAATCAGTTTTGACCAACAAACTACCATATTCTACTTGTGGCTCAGTTTTGGTGAGAAGAGGCTTCTGTGAGGAAGGGGTAGAAGATTATAGGAAGTGTGGGTCTCAAGGCAAGGAACTTGAAAAGCCACACCAGGGCTACACTAGGGGTTGGTGGGTGGAGGGTTGTGGTGGGATGAAGCCCAAGGTGTGGGTTAACCTCACAACAGCAGAGCCTGGACATGTAGAAGAAAAATTCTAGGTTTTTATAAGCACAGAAAGGTGGTAAGTTGGGCTGGGCGTGGTGGCTCACGCCTGTAATCCCAGCTCTTTGGGAGGCTATGGTGGGCAGATCACTAGAGGTCAGGAGTTTGAGACCAGCCTGCCCAACATGGTGGAACGCTGTCTCCACTAAAAATACAAAAAATTAGCCAGGCATGGTTGTGCACACCTGTAGTTTCATCTACTCAGGAGGCTGAGGCATGACAATCGCTTGAACCTAGGAGGCGGAGGTCAGAATGAGTTGAGATCACACCACTGCACTTCAGTCTGGGCAACAGAGTGAGGCTCTGTCTTTAAAAAAAAAAAAAAAAAAAGAAAGGGCTGGCTGTGGTGGCTCACTCCTGTAATCCCAATCCCAGCACTTTGGGAGGCTGAGGCAGGCAGATCGCCTGAGGTCGGGAATTCAAGACCAGCCTGACCAATATGGAGAAACCCCGTCTCTACTAAAAATACAAAAAAAAAAAAAAAAAAAAAATTAGCTGGGTGTGGTGGCACTTGCCTGTAATCCCAGCTACTCGGGAGGCCGAGGCAGGAGAATTGCTTGAACCCAGGAGGCAGAGGTTGCGGTGAGCCAAGATTCCGTCATTGCACTCCAGCCTTGGCAACAAGAGCAAAACTCTGTCTCAAAAAAAAAAAAAAAAAAAAGCTGGTAATGTGATGAGTCTATGTTAGTTCAGGTTTTACAAAAGCAAACAAGACACATGGGTGCAAGTAGGTTTTGCAGAGGTGATCTCAGGAAATATTAGGAGGAGTGAGGACACGAAAAACAGAGAGGAGGAAAACCTGCAAAGTGGGTTTCGTGAGTGGGCACTCTGCACCACTCGGGCTCAGTGAGAGGAACTCTCGGAGACCCCTATTTTGGAGTCATCCCACTTAAGGTCTGGAAGCTGGGGAAACTTGTCCAAATCTAGTGATTGAAGGTTGCTCTGGTAATGTTTTCTGCTGGGGTCAAGCCTGAGACAGAAAACGCCCATAGGAAGAGAGATGCAGAAAGCCAGTGTATTTATTAAAAGCTTAAAATGGCTTAAAACAGCACACATTCATTAGCTTATAGTTTCTGGGAGTCAGGACCTGGGCATGATTTAGTTGAGAGATGCTCTGCTCCAGGGTCGCTCATGAGGCCGCGATAAAGCTGTTGAGCAGGGTGGGGTGGGCATCTCATCTGAAGGCTCAGCTGGGGAAGAATCCACCTCTAAATTCACTTGCATGGTGGTGGGCAGAATTTACAGTTAGCCCTTGAACAACACAGGCGTGAACTTCATGGGTCCACTTACACATGGACTTTCTTCCTCCTCTGCCTTCCCTGAGACAGCAAAACCAACCCCTCCTCCTCTTCCTTCTCCTCAGCCTACTCAATGTGAAGATGATGAGGATGAAGACCTTTATGATGATCCACTTCCACTCAATGAATAGTCAATATATTTTCTTTTTAAATTTTATTTTAAAATAATTAATATTAATAATTTAAATTAAAAAAAGCAAATATTTTTTCCTTATGATTCTTAAATAACATTTTTCTTTTCTCTAGCATACTGTATTGTAAGAATATAGTGTATAGGCTGGGTGTGGTGGCTCAAACTTGTAATCCCAGCACTTTGGGAGGCCAAGTCGGGTGGAACACTTGAGGCCAGGGGTTCGAGACCAGGCTGGCCAACATGATGAAACCCTGTCTCTACTAAAAATGCAAAAATTAGCCAGGAGTGGAGGTGCATTCATGTAATCCCAGCTACTCGGGAGGCTGAGGCACGAGAATTGTTTGAGCCTGGGAAGTGGAGGTTGCAGTGAGCTGAGATCATGCCATTGCACTCCAGCCTGGGCAACAGAGGGAAATTGTGTCTCAAAAATAGATAAATAATACTAACTAACTAAATAAAACGCAGTGTATAATGCATAGAACATAGGAAATATGTGTTAATCGACTATGTGATTGGTAAGGCTTCTTGTCAACAGCAGGACATTAGTAGTTAAGCTTTTGGGAAGTCAAAAGTTATACATGGATTTTTCTGACTCTGTCTGGGGCCATCACCCATAACTCCTGCATTGTTTAAGGGTCCACTGTATTTCCTGCAAGGATGTTGGACTGAGAACCTGGGCTCCTTCTTGGCTGTTGGCTGGATTTTGCCCTCACTTTCTTGTTACTGGGCCTCTCTAAACCGGCACCTTGCTTTCAAAGCAAGAAAATCTTCTCACAAAATGGTAGTTAGAATGTTTTATAACCTACTCATGGAAGTAACATCCCCTCAGCATTGCCATATTCTATTGGTCAGATGCAAGTTACTCAAGGAGATCACAAGGGCCATGAACATTGAAAGATGGGTCTCCTTGGAGCCATCTTAGAGGCTGCCTGGCAGAGCTAGCGTGGGCAGAGGGAATGTGAGCAGGACTTACAGCATCTGCTGCAGGGGTAAGCAAATTCTGGTGAAGGAGAAGGGGTGTTGGTAAGGAAAGGTCAAGGGTAAATTATCTGTGTATAGAGATAAGCTGAGAACCCTGGGAGCCTTTGGTCCCAGACAGTGAGATCCACCCCTCAGCTGGGCAGAGCACTTAGCAACTCCCTGGTTCCTGGGTCTGAGCCCCTGAGGGCAGGACTAGAAGCTGCATCTTAAGGGATGTGCTGCTCTCTGCCAGGCGGTCTTTCTTGTGTTTCCCTGGAGAATCCTCATGGCTGGTCCACAGAGCAACACTTGGCAGAGGCTGTAGGGTGTAGATAGGGAGGGACTGTCCACTTCCTCAGTGTCAACTGAACTGGAAACCACAGCCTCACAAATTGGATCTCAGCCCAAAGGCTGGTCAGTTCTACCAGCCCTGTGATGCTTAGCCCCTCTGTCTAGCTTCAGTGGGAGGAAGTCCCCTAGACTTGGAATACCCTCTGTCCCGCTCCCTCCAGGACTATTAGGAAATTTATTCTTATACAGAAATGAAATCTATTTCCCTGAAGCTCAATTCCCTCTTTCTCTTGGAGACCAGCTCTCCAAGGGAGAAATCTGCTGCTTGGGATCCTTCCTCCTGTTGAAATTTTACAGGTTGGTGCTCAAAGGTATAAATAGTGTCTTAGATGTGGTTGGTTTAGAGCAGATATGAGAGGGGCGAGAGGGAACTCTCACCTCCCCACAAACTGCCCTTCTATTAACCTCCTCCGAGGGCCCACAAGCTCCCAACCCTGTGGCTGTCCAATTTCATCATGTGGAACCTCCAATCAAGTAGATGACTCCAGTTGTCTTTGGTGAGCAGCTGCCAAGTCACATTTCCTCTTTCCTGTACCTAGATTTTTGTTTGTTTGTTTTGGTTGGGGCGGGGTGGCAGAGTAAGAAGGAGCCTTGTCTATTCTGTACATCCAAGAAGAGAGATGGCCAGCATGATCCTGGCTTCAAGGGACAATTTATCTTGCCATTTTATGGCACAATGACCATGATGGACATAATATCAATAAAGCAAAAAATGCACGCTCAACTGTCCAGGGAGGAGGAAGATAAAGGACAGTAAGAGCAACTAATAATGATTCACAGTTGACACTCCTCTTTCACTCCAATGATCTCATTGATTTTTTAAGATAATGCTGCAAGAGAGCTATTAATATACTCAATTTACAGATGCAAAAAGCAACTTGTAGATATTGCTCAAATGCCACACAGCTATCAAACGGAGGATCTGGAGCAAGAACCCCTGGTGTTTTGTTATTTATGTATTTATTTATTTGACATGGTCTTGCTCTGCTGCCCAGGCTGGAGTGCAGTGGTGTGATCATAGCTCACTGTAACCTCAAACTTCTGGCCTCAGTTGATCCTCTTACCTCAGCCTCGTGAGTAGCTGAGACTACAGATGTGCACCATCATGCCTGGCTAATTCAAAAATTTTTGGTTTTGTATAGACAGGATCTTGCTATTTTGCCCAGGCTGGTATTAAACTTCTGGCCTCAAGCGATCCTCCATCTTGGCCTCCCAAAGTGCTGAGATTAAAGGTGTGAGCCACTACAGCAGGTGTATTTGTTTATTTTTGACACGTAAAAATTTTTTATATTTGCCGGGTGCGGTGGCTTACGCCTGTAATTCCAGCACTTTGGGAGGCCGAGGTGGGTGGATAACGAGGTCAGGAGATCGAGACCATCCTGGCTAACATGGTGAAACCCCGTCTCTACTAAAAAAAAAAAAAAAAAAAAAAAAAAAATTAACCAAGTGTGGTGGCGGGTGCCTGTAGACCCAGCTACTCAGGAGGCTGAAGAATGGTGTGAACCTGGGAGGCGGAACTTGCAGTGAGCTGAGATTACACCACTGCACTCCAGCCTGGGTGACAGAGTGAGACTCCATCTCAAAAAAAAAATTGTTTCTATTTAAGATGTACAATGTGATGTTTTGATATATGTATATGCACTATGAAGTGATTACCACAATTAACATATCCATCACTTCATATAGTTACTATTCTTTTGTGTGTGGTGGGAACATTTAAGATCTATTCTCGGCAGGGCGCAGTGGCTCACGCCTGTAATCCTAGCACTTTGGGAGGCTGACGCGGGTGGATCACTTGAGGCGAGGAGCTCAAGACCAGCCTGGCTATCATGGTGAAACCCCGTCTCTACTAAAAATACAAAAATCAGCCAGGCGTGGTGGCGGGTGCCCATTGTCCCAGCTGCTCAGGAGGTTGAGGCAGGAGAATCGCTTGAACCTGGGAGGTGGAGGTTGCAGTGAGCCGAGATCGTAATATTGCATTCCAGCCTGGATGACAAAGTGGAACTCCATCTAGAAAAAAAAAAAAAAAAGATCTGTTTACTATTCTCTTAGTAGTTTCAAGTATACAAACATTATTATCGACTATAGCTACCACGTTGTACATGAAACCCGGAATATGTTAATCTTGTAACTAAAATTTTGTAACCTTTCACCAACATCTTTATTTCGTCTGCCCTCCAGCCGCTAGCAACCACCTCTCTACTCTCTACTTCCAGGAGTTCAACTTCTTGAGAACCTGTTTAGGAGTCGAAGTTTTAGAGTTTGTTTAGAAGTTTACGTGAGATCATGCAGTATTTGTCTCTCTGTGTCTAGCTTATTTCACTTAGCATAACATCCTCTAGGTTCATTCATGTTGTTGCAAATGGCAGGATTTCCTTATTTTTTAAGGCTGTATAATATTCCATTGTATATATGCCACATTTTCTTGATCTAGTCATTGGTCTATGGACTTCTATGTTGTTTCCATATCTTGGTTATTGTGAATAATGCTTCAGTGAACACAAGAGTGGAGATATAAATTCCTTTGGATATATACCTAGAAGTGAGATTGCTGGATGATATGGTAATTCTATTTTCAGTCTTTTGAGGAACTGACATACTGTTTTCCATAATGGCTGTACCAATTTACAGTCTCACCAACAGAGATGAGGAGATCCCTGGGATTTTGTCCCCAAATTCTGTACACTTGCAGTTGCACATTCTGTTCTCTTTAATGTACATATCCATACGTTGTGTGAATTATTCGGTCCTGGACAAGTCGTTATTGAGAACCCACTAAGATAGTAGGAAGTATGAGGTATAAAAAAGAGTTGAACGACTTGTCCTCAAGGAGTTCATGACCTGCTGGGGTGAGATAAGATCTATATACCAAACAATTTAAAAATTATGGGCTGGGCGCGGTGGCTCACACCTGTAATCCCAACACTTCGGGAGGCCAAGGTGGGCAGACCACTTGAGGTCAGGATTTCGAGACCAGCCTGGCCAACATGGTGAAACCCCATCTCTACTAAAAATGCAAAAAATTAGCTGAGTGTGGTGGCGCACACCTGTAATCCCAGCTACATGGGAGGCTGAGGCAGGAGAATCACTTGAACTCAGGAGGTGGAAGTTGCAGTGAGCCAAGATCACATCATTGCACTGCAGCCTGGGTGACAGAGTGAGACTCTGTCTCAAAAAAAAAAAAAAAATATGGAAAATAGTCTCAGACTCTATCAGATTATAAGAGTTTTATGACAGTCTAGGAGGGCTATACCAATTTGGAGATGTGCAGCTTAATTGAAGATGCTTAATAGAAGAAACTTCTGTGGTTTACGATAATTTCTGAGTAATTTAGCACAATTAAGAAATTAATATTTCTCACAGAGGGATGACAGAAACTGTAGGGGAGTTGCAGTATCATTTATGTCCACCAGATGATGCCACCATTCAGTGGAATTCCAGAGTTTTGCTTTGGGGATACAAGTACAGTTGTGGTTAAATTCAAGATGATGTCTAGAAAGATATTTTAACCTGTTTCAGACATAAATAATTTTCTTACTGCAATTTTACATGGAGTTCATGCACAGAAGCAATAGAGAATTTGAAAACAAACAAAGAACTCCTCAAATTTCTTTCAGGTTAATTCCGTACATTGACCCATTTTCCTAGCTGGGTCTTAACCACTTTTTTGTATTTGCTCTAAGTCAAGTGACAATGAGATTAATAGAAGGTGGCAGAGAGCTGTGCCTGGAGACCCAGTCTGGTAGGGAAGACCACCACCTTAGAGGTAAACTTCTTCCTCTATTAGGCATTTACTCTCACTATATATGCAAATATATTCCCTACAGCAAATCTCCATAAACAACAGATTCAGCCCAGTGGAAAAGCCAGTATGGACAGCCTGATGCAATTATATTCAGCATTAATGAACTGTGGGCTTCATCCTAATGTGTTGATATTTAGTAATCTTTGATAATGAAAGAGGGTGTAGCCTTTGAAGTCAAAGTGTCTGATGCTGCTGCATAGTTCTAACCACGAACGTTCATTATTTTGTTTGACAAATTGGCCTGCTTTGGAATATTAAACACTCAGTCTTTAGAGTGCGAAGAAGATAAAAGCAACTCTGTTTGTTGTGCTCATCGAGACTATTTCCCAAGAAGCCCAAAGCTCTTATAAGGTTTTATCTGGGAGATCCCATCTCTACGAATCTGCCTTCATCTCTCTGGAGGTGGCTGTGACAGGCATGTTCATTTGCACTCTCATTTAGGGGGAGGAGGGCCCAATTTCTTTGGCCCAGGCTGCCTCGGCCAGCCCTTGGAGTTCAGCATCTGCTGTTGTTGTACACAACCAACCCCTCTTAGAGGACTCAGAAGGCCCCTGGGTACCAGAGGGCCAAGACACTTAGGAATGCCCTCATGGAAAGCCACAATGGGAGAAGATGGGACAAGTGTCTTCCATTGCTCTGTTGTGCCCAGCAGGAAATGGGGATCCCCACAGTGCTTCTTTGGCATTCTTGTGAGACACTCTGCTCTGGCGGTGGTCAAACCACAATGGAGATGCGATGATCAGTCAATAATGATTATGATTAAAGTACCTAAGCTAAGATCCCTTAGGTACTTATGCTCTAGGGATTATACACACTGCTCTGGATGTTTTATTTTAACTCATACGATCACCTTATGAGTTGTATGCCAATTGTAATCCACCCTATCTTCTTGTTTCCAAAGTCTCTTAAATTTTTTTAAATTTTTTTGGCCAGGTGCAGTGGCTCATGCCTGTAATCCCAGCACTTTGGGAGGCCGAGGCGGGTGGATCACTTGAGGTCAGAAGTTCGAGACCAGCCTGGCCAACATGGTGAAACTCTGTCTCTATTGAAAAATACAGAATTTAACCAGACATGGTGGCACGTGTCTGTAATCTCAGCTACTTGGGAGGCTGAGGCAGGAGAATTGCATGAACCTGGGAGGCAGAGGTTGCAGTGAGCCGAGATCACACCACTGCACTCCAGCCTGGGTGACAGAGCAAGATACCATCTCCCAAAAAAAAAAAAAAATTAAATTAAAATTTTTATTTTTAATGTATTTTTTACTCTTTAGAGATAGAGCCTTGCTCTGTTGCCCAGGCTGGAGCACAGTGGCATGAACACAGCTCTCTGCAGCCTCAAACTCTTGGGCTCAGGCGATCCTCCTGCCTTAGCCTCCCAAGTAGCTGGGACTACAGGTGCATACCACCATGCCACTATGCTAGGCTAACTTTTTAAAATTATTTTTCGAAGAGACAGGGGTCTTGCTTTATTGTGCAGGCTGGTCTTGAACTCCTGTCCTCAACTGATCCTCCTGCCTCAGCCTCCCAAAGTGCTGGGATTACAGGCATAATCCCACGTCCAGCTTCAGTTGCCGCAGTCTTGATTTTGTAGTTTCCACTCTCTTTTGAGTGGTCACATGCAGTGAGAGGAGGTATTTCAAACACCAGGACTGACTCCTGGTTGGTCTAAGACCAAGGCAATCCTAGGAGTCTTGGTTTATGAATGAGCATGCAGTTGGGGCGCCACACATCGGTGTTCATGTTGCACACAGTCCGAAGGTACCACACCTAAGAGGGCATCATTCACATCATACACATACATTAACTGACAAGAGTGCTCAGGCATGAAGCTTCTGACCTTCTGGCTGAATTATAGAGCAGCTCTGTCCCATAGATCTTTCTGTGTTGATGAAAATGTTCTTTTGAATACAACAGACACTAGCCACATGTAGCTACTGAGCACTTGAAGTGTGGCCAGTACAACTGACGAACAAATGAATTTTTGATTTTATTTAATTTTAACTAATTTAATATTAAATTGAAATAGCATTATGTGGCTGATGGTTGCCATATTGGACCATGCAGTTTTAGATCATAAATCCCTCTCAGCATCTTCCATTGAGACCACACTGTCGGGAACATGTACACACACAATCACTCCCAAATTCAACCAGAGGGGTGTCTCCAAGGAGAAGTCTTGCGTGAGAAAGAGGATCCCATCTCCAGTTTGCATAAAGGCAAAGTGTAGGCCCACAGCAGCCCTGACTGTGATCCATGTCTCCACAACGAGGGTGGGAAGAAAGTGCTTCTGGGAAAAGTTTTTTTTCCCAACTATCCAAATAAGACACATCAGAACAGCAGCCTGGGCATGGTGGCTCATGCCTGTAATCCCAGCACTTTGGGAGGCCGAGGTGGGCAGATCACTTGAGGTCAGGAGTTTGAGACCAGCCTGGCCAACATGGCAAAACCCTGTCTTTACTGAAAAAACAAAAATTAGAGGCCAGGTGTGGTGGCTCATGCCTGTAATCCCAGCACTTTGGGAGGCCGAGGTGGGCGGATCACCTGAGGTCAGGAGTTTGAGACTGGCCTGGCCAATGTGGTGAAACCCCATCTTTATTAAAAATACAAAAAATTACCTGGGCATGGTGGCGAGCACCTGTAATCCCATCTACTCGGGAGGCTGAGGCAGGAGAATTGCTGGGACCTGGCAAGTGGAGGTTGCAGTGAGCCGAGATCGCGCCGTTGCACTCCAGTCTGAGTGACAGAGTGAGACTCCGTCTGAAAAAAACAAAAAACAAAAAAAACCCCAAATAAACAAAAAAAACAAAAATTATCCAGTCATGGTGGTGCACACCTGTAATCCCAGCTACTCTGGAGGCTGAGGCAGCAAATTGCTTGAACCCGGGAGGCAGAGGTTGCAGTAAGCTGAGATCATGCCACTGCACTCCAGCCTGAGTGACACAGTGAGACTCTGTCTCCAAAACAAGCCCCTCAAACTCCATCAATTGAAAACCAAGGCTGGGATTTTCTCCCTTGCTGAAATTGAGAGATGCTCACCTTAGTGCTTCCCCTGAGGATTCTGGGCTGTTTGAAAAGAGACACAGGCATCTGAAAAGAGTCCCCCCAGGGAGCACCGTGTGGATCCACGGGCAAACCAAGGCTTCTCAGGACATCCTCTTAAGATTCGACCCTGGGACTCAGGTGAGGGAAGAGCCTCATGCAGTGTGGGTGTGGGGAATTGGGGCCTGCCTTGAGCAGCATCTTCCATTGAGTATTCGCTAAGTCAGTGCTTGCAGCAATGTTTTAGAACGTTAACTACCGTGAGTAATGAGCTGTATGAGTGGTGGCTCATGCCTGTAATCCTAACACTTTGGGAGGCCAAGTTGGGTGGGTTGCTTGAGCTCAGGAGTTCGAGACTAGCCTGGGCAACATGGCGAAACTCTGTCTCTACCAAAAATACAAAAATTAGCCGGGCATGGTGGTGTGCACCTGTGGTCCCAGCTACTCGGGAGGCTAAGGTGGGAGAATCACCTGAGTCTGGGAGGCAGAGGTTGCAGTGAGCCTGAGATCACATCACTGCAGTCCAGCCTGGATGACAGAGTGAGACCCCATCTCAACAAAACAAAAACAAAAAGAAACTAGCAAAAAAGAAAAAAAAAATCAGCATACCTGGTGATCGATCAGATATGGGGGGCAGCAGGATCGAGGGGCTTTTCCACTGGTCTGCAGGGGCAGCCAGAGGTGCTGAAGAATTAATGCTCCTAGAAGCAATTTTTAACCAATGACGGATTAGAGTCTGTTGATAAATACTCCAACTTCTTCACCCTTGGTTGGGATAACTCCAAGGTGTGTTCTACACAAGGGCTCAGCAAACTAAATCCCAAGGACCAAATCCAGCCACCACCCATTTTGTAAAAAAGTGTTATTGGAACACAGCCATGATCATTTGTTTACATATGGTCTATGACTGTCTTCACATTCCAGTGGTAGAGTTGAGTAGTTGTGACAGAGACTGCCTGGCTTGGAAAGCCAAAAATATTTACTGTCTGGGCTTTTCAGAAAAGCGTACTGTTGCCTGTTTTATACAGTTTCCCAGGTTCCAGGTGGGACTGAGCTTCAGGTGCCCACAGTGGCCACTTTGATAACGCACTATTGGCTTTCTTCCCTTTCCTGTTTCACTTCTCCTCTCTTCTATTATAAACTATGTGCCCTTGAATTATTGCATCAAAACCTGCTTCTGAGGGAATTCAACCAATACAGTCACACAGCAATCAGAAATACTTAAGGCTTCTTAAATTCAAAGACTATTTTTTGGGGTATGATGGTGCTCACCATACGCAGTGAGATTAGTAGTGATAAAACCTGTGATGGGGTTTTGCAGCGTGAGAGTAAGAGGCTGCTGTGGTTTGAATGTTGGTGTCCCCCTCCCACTGCCCCAGGATTCCTGTGTTAGAACCTAATAACTGATGTGATAGTTTAAGAGGTGGGGCCTTTGGGAAGTGATTAGATCATGAGGGCTCCATCCTTATAAATGGGATTAGTGTTCTTATAAAAGAGGTGCGGTGGCTCACACCTGTAATCCCAGCACTTTGGGAGGCCCAGGTGGGTGGATCACCTGAGGTCAGGAGTTCAAGACCAGCCTGGCCAACATGGTAAAACCCCATCTCTACTAAAAACACAAAAATTAGTCGGGCACGGTGGCGCACACCTGTAATCCCAGCTACTCGGGAGGCTGAGGCAGGAGAATCATTTGAACCCAGGAGGTAGAGGTTGCAGCGGGCTAAGATTGTGCCACTGCACTCTAGACTCTGTCTCAAAAATAAAAATAAAAATAAAAATAAAATAAAATAAAAGAGGCTCAGCAAGCTCTCTTGCCCCTATTGTCACGTGAGGATGCAGCAAGAAGGCACCATATTTGAAAAAGAACAAGCCCTTTCCAGACACTGAATCTGCTAGCACCTTGGTCTTGGATTTCCCAGCCTCCAGAACTGTGAGCAATACATTTCTGTTGTCATGTTAACAAATTACCCAGTGTAAGGCTTTTTTTTTTTTTTTTTTTTTTTTTTTTTTTTTTTTTAAATAGCAACTGGAACAAATTAAGGGACCAATGCTTTCCAGAGCAACAGAAAGTATACTCTGGTCTATGAACTTAACAACGTGCCTGGACACCTCTGCATTAATCATCACTCTTTTTTTTTCCCCACCTGTAAACTTACATTGTTTTTCCACAACTTTCCCTCATATCTTGTAAGAACTCACTCTAATACTTTGAGTGAGTCAGAAGGAGAGTTGAGGACAACACCTGCAGAAGGGTGGCAACTTGCTCTGTCAGCCCTTTGCTCTTGTGGGGATGGGATGGCCCACCCAGTTCATTCCTGAGGCAAAGGCCCAGCAAATGCCTCTTCTCTAGCTCCTTGCAGAGGGCCATGTGCTGCCTGGAAGGCCATGGACAATGGTGCTGCACTGTCCCAGCACCGTGGTAGGGGCAGATGAGAGATGCTCTTTATATATCAGTGCTGTGCCTTTCCAGCTCCCTACACTTCTGCTTCAGGCTATCTCCCTACAGGATCATCCCAACTGGGGACACAGTGTGAAGTGGATATGCCTCAAATCCAACCACAGTATAAACTTCTTATGGCACCACTGGGCCAGTTTCTTCAACTGTTAGATCTGGAAAAGAGGAATACTGTAGCAGAGAAAAGGAGGCCTAGCATGACTAGCTCCATTTTGCCCCTAACTGCACCACCCTCCCTCCTACTCCTGCCATGGTGATATCTTTTGGTTTAACTGCTTTTTGTTTGTTTGTTTGAGACGGAGTTTCACTGTTATTGCCCAGGCTGGAGTGCAATGGTGTGATCTTGGCTCACGGCAACCTCTGCCTCCCAGGTTCAAGTGATTCTCCTGCTTCAACCTCCCGAGTATCTGGGATTATAGGCACCCACCACCACGCCCGGCTAATTTTTGTATTTTTAGTAGAGACGGGGTTTCGCCATGTTGCCCAGGCTGGTCTTGAACTCCTGACCTCAGGTGATCCGCCTGCCTCGGCCTCTCAAAGTACTGGGATTACAGGCGTGAGCCACTGTGCCTGGCCAGTTTAACCGCTTTTGCTTATCTCTGCACGTAGGCCAAGCTAACTATGGGAAGAATTTAGCTTAGAGTTTAATTTTAAAGCAAGAATAATCATAGTCCCTTCCCAAAACTAACCCCCGGGGAGATAGGAGAGCACACACAAGTAAGCATGCTATGCTAAAATTTATAGAAGCACTGTGACCTGGTCACGGACAAAGAAGTTTCACAACCTCCCCCGCTTGGACTCTTACTGCCACCCAGATGTCTGTGATCATCAGTCACCTCTTGATCTCAACCCCCCGCCCCCTTTCCCTTTCCCCTAACATAACAGGAGCCTAGAATTCTATTAGCTTAGGGTGTTTCTTTAGGACACTAGTCCGCCATCTTCTCAATTTGCTGGCTCTTCTTAATAAAAGGTGTTTTCCTTGTCCCAATTCCTTATCTCTTGACTTATTGGCTGTGATGCAGTGAGCAGTACAAGCTTTGGACTTGGTTACAATACCTCAAGTGGTATGAGGATTAAATGGGTAAATACCTACGCTAAGAGTACTTAGAACAATGCCCAGAACATAATATGTGTTCAATCGCTGTTGCCATTGTGATTATTTCTCTTATTATTATTACTGTCACTATAACAGCACCTTGTGCATCCACAAAAGACCCAAAGTAGATAATACATCTGTATCTTCTTGAGAAGCCCACCAAAGGGGCTGTGGGTACTGTTTTTAGATGGCCTTTTCTGTCCCCTGATGCTGAAAGAGAATCCTGCTCTGATGTTAGTTATTGCGTTTGTATAATCTCCTGACTGGGTAATCGTCTACAAACGTGCTATTTAGAATGTCTACACGGAATTTAAAGAGAGGTTTGTAATCATGGGCACACTGGAAAACCACTACACCCACCAGCCAATTATCATGGAGTCACAGACCAGGGAGGGATGGCAGATGCTAAGTTCAGCCTTCCATCCCCAGCCCCAGCCTTGGGGCCGGACCCTAGGCTCAACCAATGTGCTCAGACACAAGCCTGGCCTTCTCTTGGAAATGAGGCTTTTCTGGGGAAATTTCTTTTAAAAATTGTGACCTTGATTTTGATCACTTCCTGAGAGAAAATTCAGCCCTATATTTAACTGCCCACAGCTTTGAATTCATCAAAGCCCCAGTTTAATTTCCAATCCCAGATACATTTTGCTTTCCTTCGTTTCTCCCTGGGTTTCCAGCTCTGGCACTGGGAGCTTTGCAAGACTGACACTCTTCAGAGACCCCCATAGGGAACAGGCGTGGGGCCAGATTCACGCAGCTTGGGTCCCCCTAGCCGAGTGGGCCAGAGAGCACCTTCCCTTCTAAATCCTGTGATCTGGGGCAAACTTCTTGTGCAGAGGCACTTGTTCAATCAGTTTAACCTCTTCCCCAGCAAAGCATTTCGTGATGGCGTATTCAGAGACACAGCGATCCTCCTCCGACATTTTCCTCAGGCCAGCGTCCTTCATTCTTGGGGTTCATTGGAGCCGTTTCCATAGTGACAGCCACTTGTTGAGTTTTGAATCTCCTATCGAGGCCCTCGCAATTTGCCAGCTAAGCCAGGGATCACCAGGCGTGTGTGCCAGGATAATAAGACAAAGTCTGTTTTATTTTACCCTTCTCTTTTTTGTCGGCTTTCGGTTGGGGGCAGCCTTACAAAAGAGAGGGGCCTTTTGGCTTTCAAAATCCTTAGGCCTCTGCTCATTATCCCAGGCGATATCTTGGACTGAACAGTGTGGACTCCATTCCTGCATGGTCTCCAGGCGGCTGCTGCTGGTCTGAGTGAACCATGGCAACAGCTGGGAGTGTGCACGTCTCAGCAGGACACGCAGGGCTGTTTTGGTGCATGTGAGTGTGTGTTGCCGCTGACACTCCTATCTCTTTATTTTAAAGGTAGGGAGATTAGGATAAAAACAAGTCTATCACGAGGCTCAGTATCCTTTATTGAAGGCTAGAATCAAGATCATTTTGCTTTTGCTTTCTTTTTAGAGCATCTCCTGGGACACTTTTTTCTTTTCTTTCTTTCTTTCTTTTTTTTTTTGAGACAGGGTCTCACTCTGTTACCTGGGATGGTGTGCAATGGTGTGGTCATGGCTCACTGCAGCCTCAGCCTCCCGGGCCTAAGCAATCCTTCTGCCCCAGCCTCCTGTGTAGCTGGGACCACCACGCCTGGCTGATTTTTATATTGTTTGTAGGGATAGTGCCTCACTTTGTTGCCCAGGTTGGTCTTGAACTCCTGGGCTCAAGCAATCCTCCTGCCTCAGCTTCCCAAAGTGCTAGGCTTACAGTGTGAGCCGCTGTGCCCAGCCTGTCTCTTTATTTTGAAGGTACTGATGATTAGGATGAAAAACTTCCATCATGAGGTTCAGCGTCCATTATTGAAGGTTGGAATCAGGATAATTTTCCTTTCTTTTTAGAGACTCTTCTGGGACACTTAATGTCAGTGACATTTAGCAGAGCAGCCTGGAGCCTTGTGGCTCCCACTGCCTTGATGTTTCATGTGTATTCAGACAGGGGTTACCCACCATTTCCCTGGGGTGTGTTTAGTCTAATAGGTGTAAACCAAGACCTGCAAGAAGCATTAGTGATTCAAGCGGACAACTATCCTCACAAGTAGAACAACTAGAGAAAGAAATTCAATAAGAGGATCAGCACATCAAAGCATGCCTTGCCATCCACGATCCCTTCTTACTGACTGAAATGGAAATGCTTCCTGCTTGCGAGTCTACACCAGTGCTCCCGTGCACCACCATGAGGTTTAAGTATCGAGAGCGCCTGTGACTCCCTAATGTTTTTAACTTTCACTGCAAGATTTTGTTGTTCGTTGCTGTTGAGCTTTTGGAAGAATCTCTAAAGAAAATTCCTCTGCTCTGAACGGATTTGCTGTTTTGTGTGTGGCTAGAACTTCAGCAAGGGCATAATGAGGGGCAACATTTTTTCTCTTTTAGGAGATGCCAGGTCCTGAGTAGGAGCTGACCGGGGTGCAGAAGAGAAGGGCTCGACCTTCAGAAGAATGCCTGAAAGCTCTGCCTGTCTGGTTTCATCATGGGTTTTAACGGAATACTTGGAAAGGGAAAACAGGGGAACATAGTGATTCAGAGCCTGGGGCTTCTTGGCTGCCAATATACCAAATACTTGAACAAATGAACACACAATCAAGGGCAGTTTATAACTCAGCATCCTAGAGCAGATCTATTTTAAAGGCAAGGCAAAAAGAAAAAGAGGAAATTATCTAAATTAAAAGTCAATGTTTCTAATTGCAAATAAGAAAATGATGAACATAATGATAGAATAAAGAAGCCCATCAGACTGCGTCTGGAATCCGCAGGCCCTGTTAGCAAATTTGGCACACCACAGGCCCTGGGCTTTCTCCAGAGCCTTCTGGCCTTTGGAAAAGTGGCTCTTAAGCAGATAGGGTTGGATGACCTGCTCCTGTCTGGAGCTGTTTTCAAAGGGCTAGAGGCTGCAGAAGTCTGGACCGGATTCCCGGATGAGCTGTTTCATTCTAGGGCTTCCCGTGGACTCAGTCATTAAGGAATGCTTCAGTTTCAGCATAACCCAATGCAAACCATTTCAAGCAATCTGGAAACGTATTGATTTGCCTAACAGGAAAACCCAGATGCAAGGCAGGACTGGGTTGGTTGGATCCAATGGTTCAATAATATTGCCAAGGACTGGATTTCTTTT